>NC_000008.11:69052265-69677265 GCF_000001405.40 Homo sapiens | reverse complement strand
TGGGAATAACTTGGAGTATAAGTTTTTAAAAAAGAAAAAAAGATGTGGTTGGAGGGCTTATGCTTCCTCTGATCTTTGACTTGTTTCCTATACATTTTTTGAATATACTTTTATTCTTTACTCTTCTTTCTTCCTGTTTTGGAAGAATTATTGGAGTAATTTTCAATGTATGCATCTACCACTCTGGAAGATGCAGGCACACAGGCAAAAAAACAAAAACAAAAACAAAAACAAAAAAACCGTGCAGTATTTAAGATGAAATTCTATAATTAAAAAAAAATGGATCTGATTTTGGAAGCTCAGTTAGAGGCATTCCAGCTTCTTCAGCCAAAAGCCTTTAACCCTCTACCAGTATTTTTGTAGAAACAATTAGAGATAGTCAGAGTTTCTTTGATGTCTACATTGGGAAAACCTTTATTCAGGGATTTAGCCACCAGCAATCTTGTGTGGCTATTGTTAGTAAATAATAGTGAATTAAATATTTTGGCATGGCATCTTTAGTCCCTGGCTCTGCACAAAGCCGACTTGATTTGACATTCATTTTCTTGGGGCTACTATTTAAAATGCATTTCCTTCTTTCCCTTCACTGTAGGTCCGTAGAAGATGAGGAGAGACCTTTTGCACTGGGAATGCAGTTTGTTTTGTTGCGAACACTTGGTACGTCCCTGAATTTCCAAGTGTACCTCTTAGTTCCTCTTTGCAGATGGCAAATTTTCACTGTCCTTTAAAAATGGCAAGTCATGTCATTTATTACCATGAATAAGATTTTACAGGCTAGTGGTGAGGGTACAACTTCCTTGTTTTCTGATTTGAACTAGAAGCTGACAGGTTCTGTTGTTTGATGAAACAAAACAAAACCAACGTTAGGTTAGTTTCTTTTTCATTATGAACATAAACTTGGACAAAATTCCCCAGAATTTTGCACAGTAAGAAATAGGAAATCAAGCAATTTGTGAAGAATTTGTAATCCTAGCATTTTGACCCCTTTATGCCTTTTTACTATGAAAGCAGTAGAAATTGGTCTTTATTTGTGAAGTTTTCAATGCCTCACTTCTTTACAGTAATTTTATTGGACTAAACAAAGAGTATACCTATCAAGTTTTCTGAGAAAAAGAAAAAACTTTAAAAAGGAAAAGAAAGGTCTCCAAAGTGACATATAGGGACTGCCTTGTAAGTATTTACTTATCAACAAGAGAAGCTCAGTAGTGCTGTGTCCATGTGATAAACCACAGAGTACATTTGTACGGGTGGAACATAGGTCTTATTTTTACAAACACCACATCCCTCTGTGAGTTCTTGAGACAATGGGAAATAAGCATGTAACATACAACATTCCTTTGATCAGTTTCAATGTATTTTAAATTGACGTCTTTGTCATCAAGCTTATTTTTCCTTTTATAATGTCTTTTTCTCAAGTGGCAGTCTGTCATTTCCTTCAGCTGTTATTTTCTCCTCAGTAATCAGTGTCATTGTCTACAAGACAAAAAAATTGCTTTTTGATTCAAATTTCTTATTTCAGTTTTGAAGAGGTAATGTTTAAAAAGGGCATCTTCTGACCCCCTGAAGCATGAATCCCCTGGCATTCTCCATTTGTCATATGTTGTGGTTGATGGCCCAGTCCAAGAATGAGCATTTTCAATAAGCCCCAGGAGGAAAATGCTTCTAGTTCCATTTAATGAGTGGCTTGTTTTTTTCAGTACTAATAAGACTCTGAGGCTATCATTTTTTAAAAAACATGCTGTTTAAAGGAAATCCTGACACACTTAGATATAGTGAAGAAGTCTGCCTTAGGCCGGGTGCAGTGGCTAATGCTTTAATCCCTGCACTTTGGGAGGCCGAGGTGAGTGGATCACCTGAGGTCAGGAGTTCGAGACCAGCCTGGCCAACGTGACGAAACCCCATCTCTACTAAAAATACAAAGAAATTAGCTGGGTGTGGTGGTGCCTACCTGTAATCCCAACTACTCAGGAGGCTAAGGCAGGGGAATTGCTTGAACCTGGGAGGCGGAGGTTGCAGTGAGCCGAGATGGAGCCACTGTACTCCAGCCTGGGCAACAAGAGCAGAACTCTGTCTGAAAAAAAAAAAAAAGTCAGTCTTATAGATCTTGTTAAAAGTTAAACAGTATTATTTAGAAATAACATTTAGAAATAAGGAGATTTGTTAACCAAAGGGGTAATTGAATAAGAAAAGAAATATATATGTATATATATATGTATTTTTTTTTTGGAGACAGAGTCTTGCTCTGTTGCCCAGGCTGGAGGGCAGTGGCACAATCTCAGTTCTCTGCAACCTCTGCCTCTAGGGTTCAAGTGTTTCTCCTGCCTCAGCCTCCCAAGTAAGTGGGATTACAGGCACTTGCCACCATGCCTGGCTAATTTTTGCATTTTTTTTTTTTGTTTTTTTTTTTAGTAGAGATGGGGTTTCACCATGTTGGCCAGGCTGGTCTTGAGCTCTTGACCTCAGGTGATCCACCCGCTTTGGCCTCCCAAAGTTCTGGGATTACAGATGTGAGCCACAATGCCTGGCCAGAAAAAGATAATTTCTTCTTTTTGCTTTGCCCCTCTCTGATGCCGTGGAGTTGGGGTCATTTGATATGATTTGGAGGTAAAGGTGAGTCAACAGATGTATGCTACAGCATCAAGAATAAGTGGAGGGAGAACATTTCAGACATTTATTATTTAATTCAACTTTATTTTAACTTCTATGGATTGTGAAAAAGTCTAGTTGGGCCAACAAGCCAATTTTCATTTCCCCCCAAATTCTGAAGCAGAAAAAGAGTTTTAAAAACTTTAATAATATTAAAATTAAACCAATAGACTTTATTTTAAATAAAAACAACTTATTTAAAACGTATCACTCACAGCTTCCTGGGTTATCAGCCTGCCTATCCTCTCTGCCTTCCTTTCTGTCTTCCTGGCTCCCTTCCTCCTTTCTCTCTTTTATTCCTTCCTCCCTCCTCCCTCCCATTGCTATCTTCCATAAATTTTTATTGAGGTCTTTGGGATGCAAAGAATAAAAGGCGTGGCCCCTGCCTTGAAGAAGCTTATGGAGTGACAAATTTGTAAACATTTAAAATGCTATGTGATAGTTAATAAAATGGAGGTAGATCCAAAATGCAGTGAGAATATGATGGCATCTGAGTAAGTCAGGAATTTAAAGGGGGCATAGATATTTGCAAAGTGAATGAGTTGGGGGAACATTTTGGTAAAGGGAGTAGCATGTGACACAGGAGTCTATGTACTAGGTAGACTTTTTTTCTCATTGGATTAAGGAAATGTCTATGTCATAGCCCAGACAACGAAGCTACTATTCATCTCAGATGTTTCACAAACTTCAAAGATGAAATTTATGCCATAATAAAGTTCCTTCATATATATAATTTCTTAGATTTATAAGTGCTTTTACAAAGTTGCCATGTTATGTGGTTTCTGACTCATAGGAGATGCTGCTTTTCTCGTACTTTTCCTGCATCCAAGGACTAAAGCCCAACCCACAAGAACTAAGCGTATCGAATTTTGGTGGGTAATAAAGGGTTCTAGTATAGCCTGTTGAATACTTAATGACAAAATCCAATTTTTAAGATTAAAAGGATTCTCTAATTGTATTTTTAGCAATACCCCTTTTTTCAGCTTTATTGAGGTATACTTGACAAATACAATTGTATATATTTAAAGGGTACAACATGTTGATTTGATCCTAAAAATCAACAGCGCATTCTGGGTGGCTAACTCGACTTTAAGTGTTTATCATATAGTGAATGCTTTTATGATAAATATATTGTGATAAAATATGATGCGTCTTAAAAAAAATCTGGTAACACAAGAAAATCCCTCCCCTCAACTGGTTTTAGAGCACACAAGTACCTTGCTAATTTACAAACCTGTTTTCCCTTGGAAGATGTGCTAAGTCTTCGTATTTTCTTCTTCTCCACCCCTCTAGCATACATTCCTACTCCAATCTACTTTGGAGCAGTCATTGACACCACCTGCATGCTCTGGCAACAGGAATGTGGTGTGCAGGGTTCTTGCTGGGAGTACAACGTGACGTCGTTTCGTTTTGTGTATTTTGGTTTGGCTGCCGGCCTCAAATTCGTTGGGTTTATTTTTATTTTTCTGGCCTGGTACTCCATAAAATACAAGGAGGATGGACTGCAGAGGCGGAGGCAGAGAGAATTTCCCCTGAGCACCGTGAGTGAGAGAGTGGGACACCCCGACAATGCCCGGACTAGATCTTGCCCAGCTTTCAGCACCCAGGGAGAATTCCACGAAGAGACTGGCCTGCAAAAAGGGATCCAGTGCGCAGCACAGACCTACCCGGGGCCCTTCCCAGAAGCAATAAGTTCCTCTGCGGACCCGGGGCTGGAAGAGAGCCCCGCTGCCTTGGAGCCGCCCTCCTGAAGCTTGAAAATGGAAGAATTTAGTTTTGTTGGTTGAATTGAAAATGGCGACTTGAGAAACAACTGTGCCTTCTTTTCTTTCTTTCTTTTTTTTAACCTCTACAGACACAATCCTCAAACCAACAAAACTCAGTATACACAGCCGCTATTCATTGAGGGCTGGATACCTCAACAAGACTGAGAGCCTTTCCCCGCTTCTCTCCAAGAAGGAGACGTTCAGCTAGATTTGTTCCCATTTCCGTTGTGTTAATTCAAAGCTCATGCTCCCCTACGGTACAGGCTGAGGTACACGGTTAGCAAAACCATGGGAAGGGGAATGGCGGTGCATATCATTAACTAACACTCCAAACAAAGGTGAGCTTGCCCAGGACTTGGCATTTCCAAATCAAAGTTTTTAGATATGAACACCTACTGTGAGTTCTGCTACAAAGCACAAATGAATTTGTCTCAACTATGCAATTTGATTGGAAAAATGTATGTGCAGCATGTTACATTTACTTTCACGGAATAAAGCAGATATGTTTCTGAAAAGAGGAAGCTGAACTTTCCATCCAGTACTGTTGATAGCATTTTAAGCCATAGCAGTTATAAATCAGGTAGAGTTTTTCAAATGCTTCAGAGGAACCATAGGCATAGTGTGATAGAAGGAACAGCTACTTCAGGTCGTAGGACACATTCTCTTTCAGTCTGCCTGCCCCATCCTAAGATAAAGAGGCTGCTGAATCATAAATCTGATAGCTTAAATATAAACTCCAGTATTCTTTTGTAAGGAGCATTAAAACTAGTGTGCTAAACAATATGGCTAGAAACTGTAATTTGAAATGCATAATAGGGAAAGAAAATGACAGCTTTCTCATCCAAGAAAATTGTTGCAGAAATTTTCTTTAGCTCTACGGGCCCACAAAGTCACTGGGAAAAGTCCCACCTGAGTATTTTAGTTACATCTTGAAAGCACTGGCAAATCTGTGTGGTTTTCTTTTTTTCTGGACAGAAAATTGCTGTGGTTGCTCCTGAAAATGCATACTTATATCAGGAAATCTGTGCCTGGGATATGAAAATCACTTAGAATACAGGAGGAGGGAGATCTGTGTTCTGGAACAGAATATGATCTTAAGTAATTGTTGAAAATTATGTAAAATAAACCAGTCCATCCGAAAGAACCCTACTTTATCAGAGATAGAATCGTTTTACACTACCCTTTGATTCCCCCTTACTGTAAGTTTCTGGCAGTGATTCTGAGAGAGGATTTTTCTGTTCCTAAATGCACTTTGGGTTCATTACCCATCATTCTTTTCAGTACCTCCCAGCACATCACTTTGAAGTAAGCATCATAGAGAATGCTTTCTACATGGCTCTTAAGATAGATGCTTCCTGACGGCGCTAACGGATTGACAGCAAGTTAGCTCAGGGGTTCTGGCTGCCAGGGAGTGTAAGGGCCAAATGCTGATATAATTGTGAACTTTTTCTGCCAAGGAGCCTATGGTCATGGAGGGCTAATTAGGGAAATGTTTTTCTCTTCTGGTTTACCCTTATCCCCAGAAGAGATGTGATTGACAGACTGTTCCATGATTCAGGCTTCTGCTCTCCAACCTTGCTTGACTGCACAGGTGGAATTGTGCAAATACTCCTGGGTATAAGGCTGTTTCCCTCTCTTCCTAGGAATGACATTGGTCAAACAGTTCTCTTGGTTGCATACAGTTTGTGTTAACACTGTTAGACTGAACAATGTCTACAAGGGGTGGAGCTAGTGGTCTCAGGGGCTAAGGACTTCCCTCTGGTTCCTGGGCTTGGCTCTCGGGGAGGTGAGGATTCTTGCTTGGTTAAGACTGTAATTGCACTGGTAATTGTCAGACTCTGGCCAATGTGGCATATATTGGAAGTATTCAAAAAATCTTGCTGATTAAGAAAACCTTGCTGATTGAACTAGTGTCTCCTTTGGGGCCTCAGGGTTCCCCTTTACCCTCTATGGGAGAGCTCTGATCCTTTAAAGGAGAAATTTTCCTTTGGTGTGGGAGTTAAAGATATGTAGATTGGAGAGGTGTGGTGTTTTCTTAATTTTCTTCTGATCATTAAGATACTGCATTGAGAGAATTTTGGTGGGATTGGCACTTTTTCTGGTAGCTAAGATTGCTGGACTCAGCACGGAGTAGTTAGAGAGCCCCCTTACTCCCTTTGCTGCCATGAACAGTCATCCAGTTTGGCGATCACTGATCAGGTGCCAGGTATCTTCAGGTGTCATATTACCTGATTACCATCTGCCACTCCATAAAATCCTTTGGGATGATTGGGCCAGAACTCAAAGAAATGGGCCTGAAATGTGCACCACAGTGTTAATATTGTACTTCCTCAAGTATCTGCTCCTTATAAATAGCAGGTATTTCATTAATGTGTTGTTGGTGAATGTAGACTAAGTAGTAAAAATCATGAGAAAATAAAGCTTTGGAATATGTACCAATTAAGAGTGGTTCACAAAATACTTGGGGCTATGGTAGCATCACTGGAATATTACATAGCCAACTGAAGTGACTGTTTTGTAGATGATACCATTTAATTGTATATATAGGGTCTTATATGTTTCTTAATAAATTGATCCCATTACTTTATAGTCACAGCTCCTATTAGAAGTTTTAATGAAGACTCTCCATGAGCTTAGGCTTCAAATTACTTGTTTTGGAAAAGGTCATCTTGTCCTTTATAAACTGTAAATTCATATATTATTTAGCTTTAATATGCAAATACAATATCCTTGAGTTCATCCTATTAATTTAGAAACTCCCAGGAGGTAAGATGGGTGGTTGGAGCGCATTCTTTGGTTATTTTCATTAGCATTAAGTCCTTATTCTTTATAGGTGGATTTAATTCTTGAAAATATTCAAAAGTAATTCAGAGTCAAGGTGTTGGGGATGGAGAGAAAGGAGGAACAGAGAGGAAAAAAATTAGCATTTGTTGAGTGTTGACGATTTGTAGAGCATTTTGACAAGCACTTAATATACATCATCATTCATTTTGATCCTCTTAATTACCTTGCAAAGATTTGATTCTTTTTTTTTTTTTGAGACAGAGTCTTGCTCTGTCACCCAGGCTGGAGTGCAGTGGCTTAATCTCAGCTCACTGCAACCTCCGCTTCCTGGGTTCAAGTGATTCTCCTGTTTCAGTCTCCTGAGGAACTGGGATTAAGGTGTGTGCCACCACACCCAGCTATTTTTTTTCTATTTTTAGTAGAGAGAGGGTTTCACCATGTTGGCCAGGCTGGTCTTGAACTCCTGACCTCAAGTGATCCACCTGCCTTGGCCTCTCAAAGTGCTGGGATTACAGGCATGAGCCACCATGCCCGGCTGATTTTATTATTTTTTTAAAAAACATATGAAACCAAGACTCAGAGAAGTAAAATAACTCATTTAGGATCATACAGAATGGTAAAGTCAGGATTCAGACATAGATTTCTCTCACTCCATTATTCATTTTTTACACTACGCAATGTATACAATAGCTTTTGGTTAACAAAGGCAAGGTGACTATAAAATCGTGAGATTAAAGCATTTCAATTTTTTGATATATTACCGTTTATGAAGAGTAGAGAGGTTTTTTTGTGTAAATAAAAAAAACTGTAGGAAACATCTGTAGGAAATATCAAGATTTAATGTTTAACTAGATTTTCAAGGTAAATTTACATTTATTTAGCTAAGTGTTATATTAAAGTTATTTGTCATAACATACCTCAAATATTTATTTATAGTTCATATTTAATACAGAACAAATCTAGTCTTCGTGTTAACATCGGGTCTCGGCAGAGTTTCTGAAATGAAACATTATGAAGAAAGGTAGTTCAGATTTGTTGAATCTGAGCTTTAGGGATTTCAAGTGTATTTTTTTTTATTTTCCTCTTTCAGAATATTAACATCTCTATTAGTTTTTTGATGAATATGAGTTTTAAGATTCCTAATAAGGGTTTTAAGTGAACACACATAAAATACATATCAAACCACTGATCCCGATTGTTCCCTTTAGTCGCTGTGACATTGTTACCTTTAGTGGCATGCACTTGGAAATGTCAGCCTTCAGAGAAGGGGGAGTTACATGGAGTAAGGCCTCATGGATGTCATGGTGGTCCTCCATGTTCACCAACCACCAAGAAAATTCTTCTTCAGTCCACAATTCCAGCTTGCGCTCTTTGGTGCACTTGGAGCCAGAAAGTGTCTTTTTGGCCCTGTTTTGTAGAAACCGTGCATGTACCAAAGAGAAACTTTAGAGTTTGGATGGAGCTGAAGCATTGATGGGAATTCCCTAGTGCACCCAGGAGCAGGAGGCAAGCCCAAGCCTCGGGTGGTAGCCAATTATATTTTGTGATCGTGTATGTACTTAAAACATCAGAGATGACACAGCACATGAATATAACTATTGATATGTAGGTGCATACTGAGTATTCTAAGTAGCAGATAGATACCAAAATACTGTATAATCCCAGAATTGCCTAAACTGCAGGTTTGCTAGTTCTCTGTTATACAGACCAGTAGGTAGCCTTTCCACACATTTGTGTTTTCTCTTCCATAATAAGAGAGTGCTGCGGCTGGCAGGCAAAGGTAGTTGCCTCATGCACTTTATCTTTTTGTCTTTTTCTCTTCTTCATCTTTTGGGATGCTGCTGGCTGTATCTGTCCCAAACTTCTTGTTGCATTAGAATCAGATCTGTGTATGTTTGAGGAGGTTTTATTTTAAAGACTTCAGTTTTACTCAGCTCTAGGAAGGGTCAAATACAACAACAACAACAAAAAACAGAAAACAAAAAACCCTCCCTAGGTGTTTGCTTTTGCAACATTAAAAAAAATGCCTTGGTGCTAAAAAGTATTTAATGACGCATGTTCACCACTAAAAAGCGCCACTGAATTCACAGTATTTCACTGCTAAGTGGCTGCATGTACTTTGTGTTTGGAAATCTGAAGAATTTTCCAGAAAACAAGCATCCATTACTCTCATTTCAACAGTTACTCCATCTATGCTGCAAAAATGAAGCGTGAAAGGGGGGATACTTTTCTATGGAATACTCAGTGCTTTTGATATTTATTTTAGCAAGAATAATCAGATGCCAAAAATAATTTCAGAGAAAGGTAGAAAAAATATTTCAGGTAACCTTTTCTTATTTCTTCTCCAAAAAGATTACACCCATGTAAGGTATTTTTAACACTGGGGTTTTGAAGGTGTTATCTTTTCTGGTATCCTATCACTACATGTTAAAATTGAAGGAGAAAATATTATTGAAACTAAAGTAATTGCAGGGACACATTAAACCAAAGGGGTGAACAAAAGAGGTTTAAAGTTTGTATCTAGAAATGAAAAATAAGAATCATTGGTAAGACTAGTACCGATTATTGGCAATTGGTAATTGATAATTGGTAAGAGTAGTACCAAATAATGGGCATTTTTCTTAAAATACATACCTCTACCCCAAACCCCAAATGTTAATTTAGAATCCTGAAACAGGCAAGTCAGGCTCTGACTCTTTTGTTTAAGGAAATGTAATACTGTGTCAACTAAACTGGCATTAGGTTCTTAGTGGAGTGTGTGTTTGTGTGTGTGTGTGTGTGTTTTGTGTAGAGGTATGTTTGTGATGAAAGGTTTTGCACTGTTGCATAAAGAAGTTTGATTTTGTGATTTTTAAAATGATATTCATTTGGAGACTTTTTAAGGTAATTTAAAAGATGTATAATTTCCGTGTGTTTAATGAAATCTGTTGTCGATGTACTAATCTTGGTTTACAGCATCTTGAATACTTGATTATTGAAAATTAAGAAAAAAGTTAAAAATGAATAAAGTGTGTTGGACTGAAATGAAATTGTTTCTAGAACTTTGTTGTTTGAAGGGATGAAGCAATGAGACCAATGCGATTGTCCACCCCTCCTACATCATTAACTCCTTACCTAACTGTTAACTCTACATTGAAGCAGAATGTTCTATGTGTAAAGTTTTAGGAGTATAGTTTAAAGAGCCATAGCATGTTTTTTTTTATTGAGTCTCCAAAGAGAATAATTTTAAGTAATTCATCACTTACTTATTGAAATTCAAAACAGACTTTCAGAACACAGAGCTATGTACCTTGAATGTGATTTGTTAAGTTATACTTAAATAACATATTAACCCTGAAATCTCAATGGCTTCATAACACACAGGTCTGTTTCTCATTCACTTACATATCTATTATGGCTCTGTTCCACATAGTCTTTCAGGGATCCAGGCTGACAGAGGCTCCACCATCTTGAAGTGGCACCACCTGGAACTTTCATCGTTAATATTGGTTGCTGGGGCAAAGAAAGGAAATGCCCTGAGAATGGCAAAAGAGCTTTTCTCTTTCTCAGCCTGGAAGTGCCATGTGTCTATTCTCCCATTTCATTGGCCCTAAGTAGTCTCATGGCTCTGCCTAAGAGCCTGAGGTCCTGAAAATATAGAGGAGTAAATGGTAAGAATTCAGTGGGTATAATTCTTTGCCACATGGTTGACTTTGATAGGTTAAGAATAATTTCCAAAGAAGTCCAACTCATTATTCCAAAAACTGGAATAATTTCTAAAGGCATGAATATCAAAACTTGGTCAACAAAGCACTGAAAATCTCCCTTCCTCCTGTCTCCTAGTATGCTACTGAATAGCAAACTAATCATTCATTGTTAAAGTGGCCCAGAAGCCAGTGCTCTGAGACAAGAGTAAGAAACTTGCACACGTACTCCTGAACTTAAAAGTTAAGTTAGAAAGAAGAAGAACTTGAGCACAGATCCACTTAGGGAGAAAAAAAACCCTGGATCTAGAGGTCTCTCCTGACTAGTGGCAGAGTTTTCTAAACACACTGGCATCTAAAACTTTGGAGTGAGAGGTGGAAGGAGGTAAGGGAGTCATAACTCACGGACTGAAGCACAACGTGAGTATATTTAGAATCCTGCCTTGAGCACTCTGTAGGTGGGAAGCAGCATAACTGATTTCCACTTTTCATTCCCTCATCCCACTGCTCACCTAAAGGGTCGCAGTGGCCTAAGCTACATGAGTTATTGGGGGAGGGGAGTATAGGTGTCAGTGTTGACTTCCCCCCATCGCTTTCTACATTCATCAAGGCAGCCGTTTATGCAAAGAGCAAGTAGTAATCCCTGCCTGAATCTACCATCTTCTGCTCAATTATGTGTGCATGAGTTAGGCAAAAGGATCTCTGTTAAATTTCTTAAATTTCCCACACTTTCAGCATATAGGTAGATCTGTGTTCGGTATTGGGCTTTTTATTTTTATTTATTTATTTTTTTCTCTCTCTCTTAACATTTTATTTTTATTTATTTATTTATTTATTTTTTATTATACTTTAAGTTTTAGGGTACATGTGCACAATGTGCAGGTTAGTTACATATGCATACATGTGCCATGTTGGTGTGCTGCACCCATTAATTCATCATTTAACATTAGGTATATCTCCTAATGCTATCCCTCCCCCCTCCCCCCACCCCACAACAGGCCCCGGTGTCTGATGTTCCCCTTCCTGTGTCCATGTGTTCTCATTGTTCAATTCCCACCTATGAGTGAGAACATGCGGTGTTTGGTTTTTTGTCCTTGGGATAGTTTGCTGAGAATGATGGTTTCCAGCTTCATCCATGTCCCTACAAAGGACATGAACTCATCATTTTTTATGGCTGCATAGTATTCCATGGTGTATATGTGCCACATTTTCTTAATCCAGTCTATCATTGCCGGACATTTGGGTTGGTTCCAAGTCTTTGCTATTGTGAATAGTGCCGCAATAAACATACGTGTGCATGTGTCTTTATAACAGCATGATTTATAATCCTTTGGGTATATACCCAGTAATGAGATGGCTGAGTCAAATGGTATTTCTAGTTCTAGATCCCTGAGGAATCGCCACACTGTCTTCCACCATGGTTGAACTAGTTTACAGTCCCACCAACAGTGTAAAAGTGTTCCTATTTCTCCACATCCTCTCCAGCACCTGTTGTTTCCTGACTTTTTAATGATTGCCATTCTAACTGGTGTGAGATGGTATGTCATTGTGGTTTTGATTTGCATTTCTCTGATGGCCAGTGATGATGAGCATTTTTTCATGTGTCTTTTGGCTGCATAAATGTCTTCTTTTGAGAAGTGTCTGTTCATATCCTTCGCCCACTTGTTGATGGGGTTGTTTGTTTTTTTCTTGTAAATTTGTTTGAGTTCATTATAGATTCTGGATATTAGCCCTTTGTCAGATGAGTAGATTGCAAAAATTTTCTCCCATTCTGTAGGTTGTCTGTTCACTCTGATGGTAGTTTCTTTTGCTGTGCAGAAGCTCTTTAGTTCAATTAGATCCCATTTGTCAATTTTGGCTTTTGTGGCCATTGTTTTTGGTGTTTTAGACATGACGTCCTTGGGTATTGGGCTTTTTGAATAGGCACATTAGAAAATGTTTCTTTTTAAGAAATGAGGAGGGGGAAAGGTTATGAATATGGTCACTTGTCGTCCTTGCTTTAGCACCAGACTTGGTACAACCTCAGTGTTTTAAGAGCTGTTAAAAAGCATCTAGTTCCGCTCTTCTTTGCAAAATTGCCAGCTAGGCAGAGATGACCTCTGTTGGTTCAGTGTATGGGAGCTAAAAAACATTTTTAATTGCACAAAGACTTTGGAAAGCAGGGAGATCGATATTCAGTGCTCACTTTTGAATTGAAACGTCAAAGTTTGATGCAGTTCCAATTTAAAATACCAATATAAATCAGAAGCAAAAACTGTTCTTTCGCCTGCTGGAATGGCTAAGATCCTAAGCACTGAAGAAAGGGCAAGTCTGCCAAGGATCAAGCTGTTCTAGCTGTATTCTTGTCAAAATGGTAACACCGAGAGGTGCGCTGCTACTTTAGAAATCAAAGTAGCTGCTTTGCAGGGGTGGGTCCTGGAGCCAAGCAAAGATGTCTTTAGTTGAACTAGACTACCACCTAGTGGTCATTTTGGAAAACACATGCTAATCTCGTGTTTTCTGGTTCTTGGGCTTGATGGGGTGATGCTCTTAGTGATGCGAAAACAGATTAGGGTGGCAGGGTCGGTCCATGACCCCTCTCCTGCTGAAACTTACTAGAGGTTGGGTTGGTTCCGCTCTAGCTCTGAGTCATACGCCCTGTTGGGGCTGGAAAGGGGAAACGTCAGGGAAGGAATGGGGAGCCCGGTGGTGGATGCAGATTCTGGACCTGAGTGCCAGAAGGAGGCCCACTGATACGAGGACCAGGAAATTCAGACAGAAAGCAATACCTTCGCCAGCTGAAGAGTAAGGTAGTGCGGATTCCTTTGTCCCCTATCTTTCTGTAGTGCTTCCCCCAACGTGAGGGCTCAGGGATTCTGTGGTCTCAACAGAGAAAATTTGATTTTTAAAAGTCATTCTCTCTACTTACTTCAAACAGCAGAGGGGTCACTACAAGGCCCAAGGTACTGTGCTGGCAACGTGCTCAGTGTCAACAACACCACTGAGAGAAAGGTGAGTTAACTAGACCACAACCAATGATGGTCACATGAGGGTCAGTTTCTTGGTCAGCAGTGGGGAAGGGTGAGGTGATACGTGTGGCCAGTGATTTTTCTTCCATTGGCCGCAGACTTGGTACAACATCAGCATTTGCTTACCGGGAGGAGAGTGTCAAATAGGGGAGATAGTAGTTTCAGGGGTCGATGAGTCCAGGAAAGTGAACACAAAAGGAAAAGGTAAATTTTGAACTGATATGGGAATTAAAGGATGGACAAGATTTCTCCAGGTTGAGGTGGGGCTGGGGGTAGATATTATAAACAGGAGGGGAAAGAGAAGTGAAAGTTCCGGCCTGGGAAGGCGGCGCTAACCCAGGAGCAGCTGAGAGACAGGTGAGGCAGGGCGGGAGCAGGAGCTGGGTGGGAGGCTGGGGCTTCTTGTGGCTTAGAGTCCAGAACACGGAGGGCATCAGGAAGCACTGAAGGCCTCTGAGCAGGAGACTGAGATCTGAGCCAAGGTGGTGGAAGACTCCCCAGGCAGTGAGTGTGGGATGTGCTGGGAGGTGGGAAAGGGAGGAGGTGGGAAAGGGGCTTGGGGACTATCGCAGCTTTCACAGCCCCTTCTATGAATCCTGGGGGCCTAAAAGCCCCGGGTGTTAGGGCATAGTCAGGTATTAATTGCTTAATGAATACCTAATTTAATTATCAACTGAAGGTCTTTGTTTTCTGTTAAATACATTTCAGAAATATCAGGCAGAATTGGACTAATTTGGGGAATGGAGGGTTTTAAACGAGCTCTGAAAAACAAGTATTTAAAACACTTTTTTTAAAAAAAAGCCAACATTTTGAGATATATTTGGCAAAGGGATGGAGTATATTCATTCCTTCTCTCTGTACCAAAACTGCACATGCTGACGATCATATGTTTGTTTGGTTATTTTTAAAAGGCCAGGAGGGTCTCAGAAATAATCTCATTTGGGTAGGGACAGTTGGTTTTTGTCTCGCACACCAATGCTTATTCAACAGCAGAGCTGGCTGGAGAAGTAGTTGGCTGTGTTGAGAAGGCCTGTAAGGCCACAAATGCTCTAGCTTAATGGACAAGCGTCCCATTGGATTAGCAACGTCTTCCCTGGGGATATTTTGGGAAAAGAAGTCACATATGCTATGTATTTGCCATCCTTGACCCAAATCTCTTATTTTACAGTTGAGGAAGCTGTTTTAGAGAGGTTTGTGTGACTTTTCCAAACTCACAGAAATAGTAAAAAATAGTGTCTGAAGTTAACTTGGGTCTTGTTGAGTTTCATGTTCATAGTTCTTTCCACTAGTCCTTGCAGATGTGGCCCCCGATGCCCTCTCTTCCCCGTTCTGGTAAGTGTGAATGTGTGTGGGGGGGTGCGTGCTTGCGTGCCCCCCACACACTTGTGTATGTGCATATGAATTTAAATGGAGAAAGTAGAGAGGCCTGGCCTCTGAGAGATCTCTTCCTCTTTTACGTCTAGGGAAGTCGCTCAGCTCTTCTGAGCCTCAGCTTCCTCGCAGATCAAATGAGGCTAGCTGGGCAGCCAATCTCTAAGGGCCTTTCAAGATCCGATAAACAGCTCTGGGAGACATGCAATCCCTCTCATGTCCTTGCCACATAGTAGGTACTCCATATGCAGCTATTGAATGGAACTAAGATGCATTTTTCTCCAGGATGGCAATATTTGACTCAGGCACATTTTACAGAAAGGAACAAGGAGCAAGGCACCAAGATGCGCCTTTGGACAACAATGCTATTATCTTAGACTATGTTCTCTTGAAAACTTGGTTTCCTCAATTATCCAAGGGTTGGATTGGTAGGTCCCCTGACCCTTTGCTTTCTTTTTTTCTTCTTCTTATTTATTTTTAACCTTCTGGTCTCTGGACATTTCACAGATTTTTAGCCCCTCAACCTGAAGGCTAAATTTCTTCAGGAGATTTGGAACAGACAGAAGGAAGCATATGGAATTTGTGTATCAAAAAACTTGAGATCTTGAAGGGTGTTTAGGTTTCCACCCAAGTTCCTGGTTCCTGAAGAACCGACACTGCCTTCAGTGGGTCTGTTCTCTTGGTTTTGAAAAATTCCATTTTACTGCCCAGAACCATTTTTGGTTCTGCCCAGACCTGATTTGCAGGGCCCCCGTGGAAAATGAAAATGTGGGGCCCCTTGTTAAAAAATTATTAAGGATTTCAAGGCGGTGACATCAGAGCATTAAACCAAGTGCTGGCCCTTTGTGACCATCTAGGTTGCCTGCCGGGAAAGCTACCTTGGCGCTGCCTCTGCTGCCTCCCTCAAGACAGCAATGAGGTAAATCCGTGGTGAAGTTGTTAATCTGAGAACGTTCTATAACACATTGACTTCAGCTCCATTTTATAAGTTTGGTTAGTATTCAATCATGTAAATAGAGATCATGACTCAATTTTACTTGCAAGAAATGGGTGTACCACAAAAACTTGGTTAAGTTCATTTCTCTGAAACAGAAAAAAGTTTAAACACCTTTTATTTGAAGAAATATTGCTTCTAGACTTTCCTGAAGCCAGAATTGTTCTATAAAAGTATCATGGAATATTATACATGATTAAAAAACAGAGTATGCTTCCTAATAACTTGAAATCTTTTTACAAAGCACATTATTCATGATCATAAATATGTTTGTTCTGTCATCCCACCGATGATACACACATCAGGCAAGCAGCTAATTTGAACATATGTACAGAGTCTATGATAAAGATTTAAAGTTACCAAAAAGATTCAGCTATAACATATTAAATTTTCTTTAAAAGAGTTTACCATAAACACTTAAAGAAAACATAATTTATCTAAGCACTTGAATTATCTAAAAATAAGAAGAAAACCTCTCTTAGGGTAAGCAAAAACACATCATCTTGGGGAGCTGAATAGGAGGGTACTGATGACTCAGTGAGGTAATCCTTTAGCTGGTATTTAAAAACCTAATACACAACAAGGATATTTTCAAGAATACAGATTTTCAAAAGCAATTTTGAACTATGTCTTTAAAAGATATCAGAACTTGGTGAAGGTCTTACAAATAATCATAGAACACAATGTTAAGAAATTAACTTCTCTTGTGGTATGTTGAAATTGTGGAGCATTCATGATTTTCTTTTATTGAGAAGTTCTTGGTGTAAATTCAAAACTAGTCATATTTTATCAACATTTAAGCTTCTTAGTCATGCCAAGAAAACCAAAAAAGATGAAAATAAAAGATCTTTAGATCTTTTTCTCCTGTCAAGAAAATAACCCAAAATATAGCAATCTTAAAGGTATGATGTATGATGAACGCTTTGAGGCTAGGCACAGAGAGAGCAGGCAATCTTCATTTTGTTTACTTATTTATTTATTTTCACCACCAACATTATTAGCCATGCCTTTCTGCTAATCGATTTTAGCAAGTCGAGGTAAAACACATGCAACATTTTCTGGCAAAAGCTTAATGTCAAACAATATGTGATCCATACTGTGTGTCGTCCTTGGGGGTTTATTTGACTTTGTCACAATGACAGCCAACAGTGAGACTGATAAGCCTGTAAAAATAAAAAAATAAGACTAATCAAATAGACATGGCATTTTAATCTCAAAGTGCAAAATCATCTAACTGAAAATGACGGCATTGAAAAATTCCAGTGGTTAAAAATGAATCAAAACTTCATTACGCAGGCAGTGGAAGTGTGTTGAAAGATTTACCAGGGGTGTCAAGTTTTAGACACTCAGAAAGGCACCATTCTAGCCATCTTGATTGGATAACATGTATATACTTATGTCCCTACGATATTCAAAAGATAATACTGTTTTAGTACAAAACAAACAAACAAGCAAAAAATCAAAACCAAGCCAACCCAAATATCCCCAGCCTTTCTTTCTACTCTTGGCAGATAGTAAATTATAACGATGAGTCTCCGTGTGCACACCGCTTGCTCACATGCTCACTAGCTTCTACTGCACAAAGGTACCCAGGGTAGCTTGGAATGTTGGTGGCTGTGATTACCTTTATTAGTTTACAAATAAAAAAGTTAAAAAGAAATACTGTGTTTAGGGTAAGGTAACAGTTTCATCTAATCAGAGGAGAGTGAAGAGGAGGCGCTGCCTTCTAGGTGCTGTGACTTCTCCTTTTCGTGATTCTTCTCCACCTTGGTCAACATCTTCCCCGCTATGCTGGAATTACTTCGGTGTTCTGCGGTGGCCATGGTGAACATCTGATGAACTGAAATTCCATCGGAATGCACAGGAAGATATAGTTGATCTTCAAAAATGTCCTTTCCAGGACCACCATACTGGGGAAGTTCTTTCGGGTGCCTGCGAATGGGCTGCAGCCTGGGGCTGGGCCCGAGCTCTAGCTCTGTCATGCCATCGCCACTGAAATCGGTTTCCAGATGATTAGTCTCTTCATGCCCCGTCCATTTTTCGGTTTTTCTCCAGTGTTCAGAATTCAAATGATTAACTTCTGGAATGTCGTTATTCCATTCAAGTTTACTCTCTGGACTTAATGTTGGTCGGTTCAAATGCAGGGTTTGAAGGTCAGCTGGCAAGGTCAAATGAGGTGTTTTCCCAACCTTATGCCTTGGGTCTTCATCTGAGTCAGCAGAGGCCATCTCCATTGACACAGCGTGCTCAGCAGAGACAACCAAGAACCCGTCACTTTGAGCAGTTTGAGTCTTATTTGTTTTATTTTGCTCATAGTGACTCTTCAGCAGTGCAAATACTCTATCTAAATCCTTCAAGTAATTAGTCCAGTCCACCAGACTAAGTCTGTAGTTTTGTCTGTACTCATAGATGTTTTCATTCACACTGTGTAGCTCCTCTAGGCCTTGCCAGTTGATGTCTGCAGTGAGACGGGGCTGATTAACCTTCCCATCCATCCCATAACTGTCCTCTGTGAAAAGAGAGAAGAAGGTGAATCATTAGTGGAGAAAAGGCTTTCTACTTACCTGGACAAGCAACTTACATTGTTTTTACAGAGTTAATCAATGAGAAGTATGACACTCAAAAGCATTTTCCCCTAGTCATTTGTTATCACAGAGTGGCCTTAGGTTACAGGTGATTAAACAACAGAAAATTGGGGAAAAAAAAGATCACATTCGTGAAAACATCTATGACTAAGCATGGTTAGTGCTGAAAATGGCACGGTCCTTTCAGCCAGGGGATTTGGGTTTCACTCCTGGCCCCACTCAAATCAACTTTGCAACCAGAAGAGCATGTGAGTGAGTCCCTCTGAGTCTTGCTCCCTCATCTGTCAAGTGTAGAAATAGTTGTATGATAAAATCATTACTACTTATAAGGTTGCTGGGTGAATGACAAATTTGAAAGTATTTGAATGTAATAGGCAATGCTTAGTATGATATTTTTATTTTATATTCCCTAACACTCAGTATAAAAGCAAATCTGAATGCAATTAAGCTCTTCAAATCAAATGCCTGGATTTATTTCTTTGATTGTTGTTTTTGCCCTGAAAGTTCTATGTCCTAGATAAATGTGTGCCTTAGATAACTGAATGACTTTCTCATATGCAAAGAAGGCACCAGCTTTCTCTCTCTCAGATCTTTCTACATCTCCAGGATGACTGTAGCCCTGCAGAAAATAACACTTGTTCTCTAGTTGTGCCTAAGTACCATTTGGAAAGAGGTGGCCTAGATGAGTGCAATGACCACCCATAAAGCCATACAGACCAGCAAGAAGAATAAGCAAAACTATACCAAACCCACAACCTCGGTCTAGCTAGAAGATAGAGAATCCTACAATCTTCAGATCACGTGTAGATAAAAAACGTTGACACCAAATCCCAGCAGAGCTGAATGTCACACTGTGGCCACAAGCTCTGGGAAAACAGTATGGAAGAGAGAAGAGGGAAGTGTCAGTGGAGTCAAAGATTGATTGGAGGCTGTTGGTGGAAAGAACGTCAATCTTTTGCATAAAATACTGTAAAGATTCCTGGTGAGCCACAGCACTGACAATGAGGATGGGACCCCTAAGTCCCAGCCTTGTGCCTGTGCACGATTGAAGGCAGCAGTCTGGGAGGCATTGCTTAGGGCAGAAAAGGACACAAAGGAAGAGAGAAGGGAGAAACAGCCATTGGAAACTGGGTGGTAAAACAAAGAGGAAGCAAAAGATGGGAAATTTCAGATCCTGCAAGAAAAAAGAGATACGAAAAGTTGGAAGACACACAACCTCTCTCACTTTCACTCCCAAATAATAATAAAATAAAAAGGTAAAGAGGAAGTATACTTAGTTACACTCACAGAAAAGAATTCTCTTAAACCAGGAGGGTTGTAAATAGTATAAATCCATGAAATAAAAGAACCTAAATCTATATCAAATTACCATAAAAGAAAGTAGAACAATGAGATACCATCTCATGCCAGTCAGAATGGTGATTATTAAAATGTCAAGAAACAACAGATGCTGGCAAGGTTGCAGAGAAGTAGGAACGCTTTCACACTGCTGGTGGGAGTATAAATTAGTTCAACCATTGTGGAAGACAGTGTGGTGATTCCTCAAAGATTTAGAACCAGAAATACCATTTGACCCAGCAATCCCATTACTGGATATGTACTCAAAGGAATATAAATCATTCTATTATAAAGACATATGCACGTGTATGTTCACTGCAGCACTATTCACAATAGCAAAGACATGGAATCAAACCAAATGCCCATCAATGATAGACTGGATAAAGAAAATGTGGTACATATATACCGTGGAATACTATGCAGCCATAAAAAGGAATGAGATCATTTCCTATTCAGGGACATGGATGAAGCTGGAAGCCATTATCTTCAGCAAACTAACACAAGAACAGAAAACCAAACACTGCATGTTCTCACTTACAAGTGGGAGCCGAACATTGAGAACACATGGACACAGGAAGGGGAACTATCTAACACTGGGGCTTGTTGTGGGGTTGTTGGGAGAAAGAGAGCATCAGGGAAAATAGCTAATGCATGCTGGGCTTAATACCTAGGTGATGGGTTGATAGGTGCAGCAAACCACCATAGCACACATTTACCTATGTAACAAACCTGCGCATCCTGCACATGTATCCCAGAACTTAAAAAAATAAAATAAACAACAACGACAACAACAAAAATAAAGTGGAAAACAAGAATTTAAAAAACCATCTTAAGAAAATGCTCCTGGCGAAATAAACTATAAAGTGCAGAAAACCACAACACACCAGTGCTGTGTGAATTAAATGTTCTCAATCAAGCATATGAGGATGGAAAAGCCATCTGAAATCAGAAATTCAAATATGAACCTAGCATCTCATATCCAGTCCAGATCTCCTTCAAGTATCAAGGCTATAAAGGAACAGTTTGAAACACACAAGAATGCAGGGGATACTGTGCGCATCAGCTCTTCTTCAGCAATCTTCCAGAGGCTGTGACTCGTTTGTCCAAGAAATCAATGGGGAAATGGAAGCAAAAATATAGAGGGTGCACATTTAATAGATTTATCAGATCTAGGATAAAAATAAAGGTAGAAGAAGTGTGAAAAAATAATATATGCATTTTATAGGACACGCTAGAAATAATGCAACTAAAAATGTGAGAGGGAGCACAGACCAAAGAGAATAATCTCATTCAGTATGATTCAGGTAATAGCTGGGAGTGAGAGAAGCCATTAAAAACTGTCTAATGAGATAATGAAAGGTTAAATAAGATAACAGGGATTTAGACCGGGCATGGTGCCTCATGCCTCTAATCCCAGTAGTTTGGGGAGGATGAGGCGGGTGAATCACTTGAGGTCAGGAGTTTAAGACCAGCCTGACCAGCATGGTGAAACCCTGTCTCTATTAAAAATACCAAAAAAGAAAAAACACAAAACAGGGATTAAGGGCAATAAAAATGTGTAAGTACAAAGACAATTACCAAAAGAGCAACTATCTTGATAAAGAAGAAATTATAGAAGATGCAATGAGAAATATATAGAAACACAATAGGTGTTATCAGTACAAGGGAGCAAGAGTAAATAAGAATATGTATTGGAGTATTACGGGCACCATCAAGTGGACCTTTTGGTGTGCTCCCTTGTGGTAGCCACTGGGGCTCATAAAATGAGTGGGTATGGGGGGTGGTGCTGCAGCCATGCAGAGATGGGCTAAGTCTGGACCTATTCCTCTTGCACTGTCAGACATATAATGCCAAAAAGAGAGTCAGAGACTGCAGATGGCTATGGGGCAGATTCCCCTGGGGTAGGCACCCCATGCATAGCTGGTAAGTGGATTACATGGGAGCAACCAATGCCAGTAGCCCCGACGGGATAGATCAGGGTCTTAACAGAAATAGACACTTACCCCAGGCTGGGTTTTGTAGACCCATTTTAAGCATTGCATCTACTTAAATGCAATGCAAATGCTTAAAATATTATTACAGGATAGGAACGGAAAATACTGTACTAATTTGGACCACCAAGTTACATTTCTTCAGATGAAAGGACACATTTTATAGCCCATAATGTCCAAAAGTGAGCAAAGATAGCTCACATCAAATGGACGTATAATGGTGCACATTATCCTTAGAGTAACAGTTCCATAAGAACAGGAAGGAATGGGCAGTTAAAACATTTGCTGTCTAAAATGTGGGGAGACAAAAGCATTGAAGGCTGGCTTACATACCTTCACACTCAACATAAGGGGGCTAAGGGAGTGTCCCCCACTGGACAGATTTCTCTGCTTTGCAGGAGGATAAGAGGAGAGGGGGCAGGAGAGGATGCCGGTGTGATGATGCAAGTCTTCTGCACAGCACTTCAACTTTCTTTTTTATACGTGATGCAGAGATGCAACTGCTGGTGTTGGAAGCAGGGATGTTTCCTAAGCAAAAAACCCTAATTATACTTTAAAACGATGTCAGAATTCCTAAGGGCCTGATAGGGCAGGTTGTGCCTTCACCCCATCTGGCAAAACTGGGGTTAACAGTGAATGCAGGTATACTGCCTGGTGGTTAAAAACAGTTCATTAGTTCTGCACCTATATAAACTTACTCTATTTGAATGGGAGCAGACTGAGCAAGAGGTACTTGCTAGCCTATTATTGGTAGTCTAGTGATAATACTAGACTAGTATTGCTGCCTGAAGCCTAGAGCAGCACAGTGGCTGAATCTAATGTCTCTTCCGAAGGTGGAAAACTTTGGTCATAAATGGAGAGATGGAGGAATAGTAACTGAGGCTGAAGGAATGAATAAGTGGGTTACGTCATGAGTCATGAGAGAAATCCAATATTACATTAACAGCTTGAAAAAGGCTCAGAACAGGAGATGACATTGTCTCTTAGCTCCATTATACCAGACTCCTAAAAGGGTGAGGTCATATATTGCTAAGCCACTCCTGGCAAGATCCAACAGAAGCTGGCAAACCTGAGTGGCCTTGCCCTAGGAGGTATTTTCATATGACAGAATGATGGACTGGACTAATTATTGATGGCTGAATGCAATTCTAGGAATGTGCCAATATCTTTTGACTTTTATAATCTTCTCACTACGGGGTTCATGGCCAGGGGACTAGGGCATAATAAGAAAAATGTATTTGGTCTACCCCCAGTTCACAGAGATCCTAACGCCCTTGCAATCTCCAGGGAGATAAGAGTGTCTTTTATATGCTGAGGAGATGGCTAGGGTACCCTAGACAGCTCTAGGTTGGGAGCTGGGCTGATCATCAGAAAGACCTCCACATGATTAGAGAGTTGGGACTCTCAGACCTCTGTGGAGTGGACAGGGGCCTGGAGATTGAGTTAACTACCAATGGCCAATGATGCAATCAATCATGCTTATGTAATGGAACCTCATTAAAAATCTTAAACGATAACAGGGTTCAGAGAAATTTCCAGCTGGTGAATGCAACCACATGCCGTGAAGGTAGCACACTTCGAACTCAAGGACAGAAGCTTCTGCGTTTGGGACCCATCTGGACCTTAGCCTATGTACCTCTTTGTCTGGCTATTTATTTGCATTTCTTATAATATCCTTTATAATAAACTGGTAAATATTTTAAAAATCGTTGAAATACACAAAATTAAAAACACAAGAGATGTGGCTCATGCCTGTAATCCCAGCACTCTGGGAGGCTGAGATGGGAGGATTGCGTGAGCCCAGGAGTTTAACAGTAGCCTGGGCACCATAGCAAGAACTCACCTCTAATAAAAATTTAAAAATTAGCTGAGTGTGGTGGCACACGCCTGTAATCCCAGCTACTCAGAAGGCTGAGGTGGGAGGATCACTGGAACCCAGGAGGCTGAGGCTGCAGTGAGCCATGATTGCTACTATACTCCAGCCTGGGTGACAGACGGAAACCCCATCTTAAAAAAAAAATAAAAACAAGAGACTACTTTGCAGACCTCAGTGAGAACAAATTTGAAAACCTGGATGAAACGTAGTTGCTCAGGAAAATAGTTTGCCGAAATTGATGCTGTTAAAAGAAAAACCTCAGCTGAATTAAGTTTAACAGAGTTTAATTGAGCAAAGAACGATTTGCAAATCTGGCAGCCTCCCAAGCCAGAGTAGACTGAGAGACTCCAACGCAGCTGCGTGGTGGAAGAAGATGTATGGACAGAAAAAGAAAAGCGACGGACAGAAAACAAAAGTGAAGTACAGAAGCAGCCAGATTGGTTACAGCTCAGTGTTTGCCTTATTTGAACAGAGTTTGAGCAGTTGGCCACCTTTGAAGGGCCAAAACTCAGTGATGGGCACAAGAGTAGGCTACAGTCTGTATACAACTCTATTTAGGTTATAGTTCACGATATACAGAGAAACCTTTAGGCTGAACTTAAAATATGTGAGGAGGCAGATTTAGGCTAAACTTGATTTAACAACCCAATATAGATAGAAAGCTTAAATAGAACAGTTTCCATAGAAGAAAAAGCAAGCCCAAAGAACCACTGTGCAAAGATGCATCAGGTCTGTGGACTTTCACAGGAGAAGTTTAACAAATCTTCAATGAAAAGAGAATACTAATAGACTGTTCTAGAGCAGATAACTCAAGAAAACTTCCAAACTCTTTTCACGAAGCAAGGATAACATTGATAGCTGTGATAGGCAGAATAGTGGACTCCACCCGGCAAAGATGTCCACATCCAAATTCCTGGAAACTATGGACAAGTTCCTTTACCTGGCCAAAGGGACTCTGCAAATGTGACTAAGTCATGGATCCTGAGATTGGGGTGGGGGAGTATCCTGGAGCATCCAGGTGGGGCCAGTGGGATCTCAAGAGTCCTTATAAAGGGAAAGGGAGGTGGTAGGAAGGAGGGGTAGAGAACGAGATGTGACCCCAGAAAACAGAGGAAGGTGGGGGTTGGGGGAGAGACTGATTTGAAGATTGGCTACATTTTTGTATTTGAAGATGGCAGAAGAGACCATGAATGAGGAATGCAGGCAGCCTCTAGAAACTGGAAAAGCAAGGACATTCTTGCCTCGAGCCCCCAGAAGATTTCAGCCCAGTAAGATTCATTTCGAATTTCTGACCCCTAGAAACACAAGAGAATAAATTTGTGTTGTTTTAAAGGCACAGTGGTAATTTATTACAGCAGTAATAAGAAACTAATATATCTAAGAGATAATGCTGGTAAAAACAAAAAGGAAATCACAGATTGGTATCATTTAAAAATATGATACAAAAATCTTAAATAAAATATTAGTGAACAGAATTCAATATTACGAAAGCAACACACAATGACCCAGTGGAATTTATTTCAGGAATGAAAGGATTCATTCTTACCAAATCTATTAATATAATACACAATAATAATTTAATAGATCTAAAGAGAATAATTATCTGAGCATCTTCATAGATGCTAAAAAAAGCTTTTTGACAAATTCAACGTTCATTAAAGATAAAAGCACTAAAAAAAAGAACTGATGGCTATTTCCTTAACATGATAAAAGTATATATAACTCAGTCCTAAAGCTTGCCTCTTATTTAATAGAGAAACTCTAAAAGCATTTTAATTGAAATCAGGAGCAGGGTAACATTATATTGGAAGCATTAGGTCACTCAATTAGACATATCTCTACATATCTGTAGGTACAACAATAGATGTCGAGGCTGGGCGCGGTGGCTCATGCCTGTAATCCTAGCACTCTGGAAGGCTGAGGTGGGCGGATCACCTGAGGTCAGGAGTTCAAGACCAGCCTGGCCAACATGGTGAAACCCTGTCTCTACTAAAAATACAAAAATTAGCTGGGCATGGTGGCAGGTGCCTGCAATCCCAGCTACTCGGGAGGGGAGGAAGAAGAATGGCTTGAACCCAGAAAGTGGAGGTTACAGTGAGCCAAGATCATGCCACTGCACTCCAGCTTGGGAGACAGAGCAAAACTCTGTCTCAAAAAAAAAAAAAAAGAAAAGAAAAAAAAGAATAGATGTTGATAGATGCCAGTGTGTCTCTTAGCTCTATCCATCAAAAGGATCTATATGCCAAGACACCTCAGCAGCAATTTTATACACCTCAGACCCAGATCTTGGTGTTCAAATGCCATTCCCCTTTAAAAGGAACTGGGGCCCTTTGGAGAAATGGCTGTTTCCAAATGTGGAGTGGCAAAAATGCCATATGAACCTGGAACATGCTTTTAGGCCAGAAAGCAACGAGGTGGTCAAAAAATGATGAGGATGCTTCAAAAGTACACGGAATCCAGGTGCAGGGACACCAGTGGCCAATCTAAGACACTTTAATCATCAAAATAAATAATGATAGCAAGAGAATATCCATGGAATAAACTGAGAATCTAAGTCCATACTGATAGAAATAAATACGCAGGAGAGGAGGAAAATCTCTTCTTTCATATTTTTGAAACAGGGTCTGGCTCTGTCATCCAGGTTGGAATGTAGTGGTGCTATCTCAGCTCACTGCAAGCTCTGCCTCTGAGTAACTGGGACAACAGGTGCTGGGACTAAGCCCAGCTAATGTTTTGAATGTTGTATTTTTAGTAGAGATAAGGTCTTGCTATGCTGCTCAGGCCGGTCTTGAACTTCTGAGCTCAAGCACGTATTCCTCCCACCTCAGCCTTCCAAAGTGCTGGGATTACAGGTGTGAGCCTCCATATCTGGCCGGGAAATCTCTTCTTTACAGTACAATACTACCTAAGAAATGCAGGAGGAGCCAGGCACGATGGTTCATGACTGTAATCCCAGCAATTCGGGAGGTTGAGAGATGGGAGAATCGCTTGAGCCTAGGAGTTTGAGACTAGCCTGGGCAATATAGTGAGACCTTGTCTCTACAAAATAAATTTTTAAAAATTAGCTGAGTGTGGTGGCATGCGCCTGTAATCCCAGCTACTTGGGAGGCTGAGGTGGCAGGATCCCTTGAGCCTGGGGGGTCAAGCCTGCAGTAAGCCAAGATTGCAACACTGTACTCCAGCCTGGGTGACAGAGCAAGACCGTGTCTCAGACAAAAAAAAAAAAAAAAAAAAAAAAAAAAAAAAAAAAAGCAAGCAGGAGGAATTACAGAGTGGGAGAAACCATCATTTGCAACCATCATGGTAACAACAAATGATTCAGGCAGAAATGAATCGTGAATGCCTTAAAAGCTGGTAGATGAATTACTTATTAATTAAAAAAGAAAAAAATTATAGTGGCTTCACCTAGCAAACTCCACCTTTGCCAAGTAATCAAAGGTAATACCACCAAGATGTTATGCAGCTCCTGATAAGATATCCCGAGAGCACAATATGTGGTATTCCTGACAAAAATCCACAGCTTCAATTCAATCCTGATGAAACATCAGACAAACCCCAACAGAGGGACATTTTACAAAATAACTGGCATGCACTCTTTAAAATATCATGACTGATAATGAGAAGTTGAGGAACTGTTCCAGATAAAAGAATACTCTAAAAAGAGGTGAGTTTCCTGCAATGTGTGATTCTGGATTGGATCCCAGGCCAGAAAAGCAAAAAATGATGAATATGGCATTATTGGGACAATTGTTAACATTTGAACATGAAATGTAGATTTGACAATTGCTTTGTAACAATGTTAAATTGCTTGATTTTGATAAATGCATAACAGTTATGTAAGAGAATGTTTTTGTTCTACGGAAATACCTCCTAAAGCATTTATATATAAAGGGGAATGATGTTTGCAAATTACTTGCAAATGATTCAGAAAAAAAAGGTGTGTGGAGAAAGTGAGTGAAAGAACAAGAAAAAACAATAAAGCAAATGGGGTAACAGTTCTTGAAATTATTCTTGCGACCTTTCTGTAAATGTAAAGTTATATCAAAATAGAAAGTTAAATTTATTCGACATTAGAACTTAAATTTTCCATGTGTCTCCTGGTTTCTGCCTGTCTTCAGCTCAAAAAAGGAAACCTTTTTCTTTGGTCGTTTGGAAGCTGTTTATTCAGAGAGAAAAGGTATAGATAGGCTTGTTCTGACAGGTGAATTTTCAGAATAAATGTAGATGATTTCACATTACAGATAATTATTCCCCAATCCCGGAAACAGAAAAGCCGTGAATCCATTAAGACAAATTCAAGAACATACCCAGGTCGCAAGCCAAGTCACATTTCTTTCTGGATGACACTTACTTACTTTTAAAAACTTAACCACAGAATTACATCATGCTATATTCCACAGACGGGTAATTTAAGAGATCATGCATGCATGGAATTTTAACTCTACCTGGAGCAGTGTTATAATTAACAGGTGCTGATGGTGTCATAAGAAGCAGAAGGGATTGTTTCTGCAGACACAGGCTGACTTCTGCAGCTTCTGTGGCCTCTTCTCTTCCCCTTTGGCACATCACCTCTGTACCAGCCACAGGAACAAGTGCAATGTCCTGAAAGTACCAGGCTCTCTCCTTCCTCAGTGTTTGTATTTATTTCTAGAATGTACTTCCCTGCCTCATTAGCCCAGTCAGCTCTCAGCCTTCAAGAGGAGCTCTCATCCCCTCCACAGAGCCTCTCTGGCCGTTCCCCTGGGTTGTGTGAACCCCTCCATTATGGCATCATCTATACCTGATTCTGGGTACCTGTGCTCAGTAGCAAATTGAATTTCACCGGGCCAGGTGTCTACAGTTTCAAGAAGCAAGCAATGGGTCGATCAGAAAAATCATAAAGCATTATA
Organism: Homo sapiens; assembly: GCF_000001405.40. Classification (NCBI taxonomy): domain Eukaryota; kingdom Metazoa; phylum Chordata; class Mammalia; order Primates; family Hominidae; genus Homo; species Homo sapiens. The sequence continues at coordinate 69,648,334 of NC_000008.11, read as the reverse complement.
TGTAGTTTGTTGCTTGTTGCTATCTGGCAGGATATTTTAATTAATATAGCTATTCTCTTCCAAGTCTCATTTCTAATGGTACTAATTTAAACTTCACAATGGGAAGAGCCCGAACAGACTATCTGCGTTAATACATCTGCTCCTTTCTCCTAAGCCCTTCCATGTTTTGCTGAGCTCTTTGTTTTTTTTTTTTTTCTGAAGGCACAGGGTTTCCAATATTTGGACCAAACTGGTATTCATCTTGGGTGATTTTCATGCTACTTGAAACATAATATGTTTTAGCTTGAAATGGAATTTGATTTAGGCTTTGAAATTTCAGAGGTTCTGATTTTGGCGTCCTGCTAGTATCCAAAAGCAAATTGTAAATTGGCTTTTTGATACTAGCAGGACACCAAAATCAGAATTGGCCATAGTAAAAATACCATAAATTTCTTTCTTTTTTGAGACAGAGTATCACTCTTGTTGCCCAGGCTGGAGTGCAATGGCGCGATCTTGGCTCATTGCAACCTCCGCCTCCTGGGTTCAAGCCATTCTCCTGTCTCAGCCTCCCGAGTAGCTGGGATTACAGGCATGCACCACCACGTCCGGGTAATTTTGTATTTTTAGTAGAGACAGGGTTTCTCCATGTTGGTCAGGCTGGTCTCGAACGAGGTGATCTGCCCACCTTGGCCTCCCAAAGTGCTGCGATTACAGGTGTGAGCCACTGTGCCTAGCCGTTTTTATTTTTTTTGTAAGGTGAAAGGAAGTTTATTAAGAAAGCAAAGGAATAAAAAATGGCTACTCCACAGGCAGAGCAACCAGAAGACCATAAATTTCTAACCTACATAATTTTATGGATGAATTGTAGGAATAGCTATTTATTTTACAAATGAAAGCCAATTAATGTTCAACCCTAAAGATAGTCTAAAAATAGAAATAAATATATATGTCATTTATAGATGACTACCTTGTGTGTGGTTAATGGCTGATTATATCTACTTATTGGTAAATGCACATAACTTTTCCTCTTTATTAATATAGCATTGACATTAAAAACTGCAATTTTGTCATCCATTAATGTGAAGATAAATGTCCTTCAAAATTCCAGGGCTCAGCCAGGCGCAGTGGCTCATACCTGTAATCTCAGCACTTTGGGAGGCTGAGGTGGGAGGATCACTTGAGCAGGAGTTCGAGACCAGCCTGACGAACATGGTGAAACCCCATCTCTACTAAAAATACAAAAATTAGCCAGGCATGGTGGTCTGTGCCTGTAGTCCCAGCTACTAGGGAGGCTGAGGCAGGGGAATTGCTTGAACCTGGGAGGTGGAGGTTGCAGTGAGCCAAGATTGTGTCACTGCACTCCAGCCTGGGTGACAGAGCAAGACTCCACCTCAAAAAAAAAAAAAAAAAAAAAAAATTCCAGGGCTCTTTGATACAATTTGTCTCTCACTAATCAAATTTATTATCAAACTTCAGTCATACAATAATATGAATTCAGGGCTTACTTTTCAGGTAATATCTCATGAAATCCTTGTGTATTATTATGTGTATGTATTATCACCTTTTTAAAGATGAGAAAATTCAGCCATAATAAAAGAAGTTAAATAAATTGTCCAAGAGAATCAGTATAGTGTAGAGATGAACAGCACAGCTAGAACCAGACTCGCTGGGTTTGAATTTCACCATTTATCAGCTGTGTAATCTTGGGAAAGTTATTTAGTCACTCTGTGGCTTAATTTCCTCATCTGTAAAATGGGGATAATAAGCTGGGTGTGGTGGCAGGCACCTGTAATCCCAGCTACCTGGGAGGCTGAGGCAAGGAGAATTGCTTGAACCTGGGAGATGGAGGTTGCAGTGAGCCAAGATGGTGCCACGGCCCTCCAGCCCAGGCGACAGTGTGAGACTCCGTCTTAAAAAAAAAAAAAAAAATGAGGATAATAATAGTACTGACCTCACGAAGTTATCGAGAGGGTTACATACATTAATATACGAAAGCATTCAGAAGAGCGCTGGACCACAGTAAGTGTTGTAATACTGTTAGCAACTGGTCCTCAAATTGGGAAGTGATGGAGCCAGAACTGACCCACAAACCAATGTGACTCACAAAACTATTCTCATAACTATTTATGCCACCTAATCTGATCAGCCCAAATCCTCTCATATTATTTCTCCCAGTTTAATACTCTTGAATGTCTGCCTATTGCTTTTAGGACAGGGATTACATCCTTTGATGTAGCATGTAACTAGGGTGACCACATTTTTCGTTTGCCTGGGAGGGTCCCAGTTTGTATCTGCTGTACTGGTACCCTGTTCATTTTGGCATTTGTCCAGAATTTTTGACATTTTAGCTTAGAAAATAGTTTTAAATACAACTGTTTTATAGATCTACTGACTAGTTCATTGGTAAACAAATACATAACAATATTTATATAGAATTAATATAAATAATAATTAATATAAATAATTAACTATTTTTAGTACTCCTCCCCCATGGTCAAAACATCCCTGTTTGGAAGATACATCATATCATCATTCTCCATATAACACACTCCATAAAATAGGCCCTGGTTGCCTTTTCAGCTCATCCTTCTCTTCTCCTTCCCTTGCACTGTCACGGAACTGATGATAAGTCCCCACACGAGTCTTGCCTTCTGGTTGGACTGACTTCCTTTTCCATCCTGTGTCTGGATCACTGCACTGTTGCCTTCAGGATGCGGCATAAATGCCAACTCCTTGGAAAGCTTCCTTTGATTTCTCAGGGTTGGGTTGGGGCCCTCTCCTGGCTCTTATGACGCCATATATTTCTGGTCAAGGCACTTTGCATCGTGCATTCTAACACCAGACTGCACTCCCTGTGAAGGCGGCGTTTGGCACAGAGGTGGTTGTTTCGATTCTTTCTGTCTTTATATGTTGCATGGATGAATGAGGGCACATTTTCCCCCTATATATTGGAACTGATTAAAGATACATTTCATTCCGCAGCCTGGGGAGGATCTTAAGGAGTTCTGCACGTGCTATACTTTAGTTTCTTCTCTGGCACAAGAAACAAGGCCTTTGGAATAGGGTCACTATTGGAAAGGTAAGAAAAATGATGAACACCCTCTGACAGCTTAGACTAACCCAAGTCTGACCTTAACCTTACCAGGGTGGCCACTGTTGTCACCCCTGCCGCTACCCAGCTCTCATGGCCGAGCTTTGGCTGGATTTTGGTGCCTACTGGCCGCTCCATGACACACCTCTGTGCACGCAGCGGCCCTGGCTCTGACCTACATATACCCTAACGACTTTCACCCCAAGTGTCCTCAACACCTTAGGGGGGCCAATCTCACCTCCAGCCCATTTAACCCCAAACCCTGCCCCTGCTCCATCTCTTGTTTGAGCATCTGAAACAGAAAAGTCCAACAGTGCTAGTAAGACAGCTTTAAAATAAGGTGGAGTCCCTGAGATGTGACAGGGAGAGGAGAACCCAGGAAGCTCCATTAGGGTAACCTACATCAGGACAGCGCAGGTTTGTTTTGTTCTTCTCATCTCAAGAGGTTCAGGCAGTTTAGAAGACGGACTTGAGTGCTCAATTCTTTTTTTTTTTTTTTTTTTTGAGACGGCGTCTCCCTCTGTCACTCAGGCAGGAGTCCAGTGGCGTGATCTCGGCTCACTGCAAGCTCCGCCTCCCGGGTTCACGCCATTCTCCTGCCTCAGCCTCCCGCCACCATGCCCGGCTAATTTTTCTTTTTTTTTTGTATTTTTAGTACAGACGGGGTTTCACCGTGTTAGCCAGGATGGTCTCGATCTCCTGACCTCGTGATCTGCCTGCCTCGGCCTCCCAAAGTTCTGGGAGAGTGATCAATTCTTGGTTGCCTGTGACTGATGATGGAGTTTGGTGGTGCTGGTGAATACCTTTTTGTTTCTTATAAAATATACTAACACGCTTTGGAATTCATATCACTGAAATTCCCTTTCCCATACTCTTTCATCCATATAAATGTCCTGCATTCAGCATTATCCTTTACCAATGACTCCACCACTTACTGGGGCTTGGCGCCTGCTAGGGTCTGTTCTAAGCATGCCCACCAGCGAGGCTGGGATTTGAACTCAAACTAATCAGGAGCTCCAGCGTCCACCCCCATGACCACAGTGCCGTACAGCACGAACACACGGCTGTGTCACCCACAGCCACCTTTGGCACACACTGTCACTATGGGGGAGATGAGTCAAAATCAGTGAAAGCAATGTGGTTACAGCGTGGCTGCTGAGGGTGGAGCTCTGTGTGGTCTAACAGCCCAGAAGGCTTGAAGCAAAGGATCAGGAAGCAGCCCTGCCAGAGGAAGGCTGCCAAGAACTGACCGCCTGCCCCACACACCCCCGGGACACATGGCCACGGCTGCCAGGAGCTCCTCTTGGCCATCAAAGGGCAGCAGCACCAGCTTTCATACGCAGTGGGGAAAATAAACACCCCAACAACCTGTTGATTTTTCTCTATTTTGCAACACACTTAGAAGATGCTGCTTTCAAATGAGCCACAAATTATTTCCTGAGTCATGAGTGCCACCTTCTGAGCTGTGCTCTCCCTTTGAGCTTGTCCTAACTGGAAAATGACCAGGGTGAGTATGCAAAGCATTTCAGCTGCCCCTCCTGCTTCACACACAGGGAACAGCAAAAGGAAGAGAAAAGAAAAGATAGAAAAGAAAAGAAAGAAATTGAGCAGCAACAGAAAAAAACTTGCTTTATGAAAACCCTCTAAATAAGTCTGAAGGTTAACTTTTGAAATCCACCAAAAAGAAGTCAGTTTAAAAACATTTATTTAGTTCATCTTGTACAAGATACATTTAAAAAAATGCTCTGCTGAATTTTCAAATTTCAAATTCTTCAGATCTGGTTCTTATCATTTCTCTCAAAATCTTTTGTAATCAAATTTCACGATAAAAACTTGTTTTTTTTTTTTTTAGTTTTCTAAAACTGTCAAAATCTAAAAGAATTAAGACACTGAAACCTCCTAAGTGGCTCCATCAATGGAGGGCTTTGAACTGTTGAACCCCATTGGAAGACAGTAGTTTTCCTGGCATTTCTGTACATACTTGTTTTGCATCTGTTCTCATTCAATCCAATAAGATACAAGGAGCAGGTAAGGCCACATCAAACACTGCATTTGGGTGTTTAGTGAATTCCCAGGTGTGACTAGGCAGATATTTTCTGAGAAACCAATGTCAAGATTTCCTGCCCACCATGTGGATATCCACTGAAAGATGGCTTGCCCTATGGACTATGAAATGGCAAAGTCTGAAAATGCCGGTTATTTCAAGTTACACAGTATCCTTAGATCTGCTCTCTGGTAAGGAGCTTAGAAGGGGGAAAAAAAAAGCAACAGGTAACACCATGTTGCCCCTGCATGCATGCTTTCAACAACTAAAGTTGCCAAGATTATGTGAAAGTGACCTCAGAAACAATTGATTATCTGGCCGATTGAGTGGTGGTGGCAGGGATCAGGGAAGGGGAGGGTCCCAGATGCTTGTCATTTACGCCCAAAGTGCAGTTAAACATTCTTCCTTTCAAAGTTGGCCAGGGGTGACTTCATGGAGAATGACTCTCTGACTCATCCCTGACCAGCCTTATGTCTTAAATAATCTGTGAACACCCTTTTATCTCTTTCATGACACTAGACTGAAAAACCCTTAGCTATAAATTGAGTGCCTCATAAAATAACTGTAAAGTCAATATTTAGAGGTAGGTCCATTTATAATATTACACTTTGAAAATGTCTTAATGTGACCGATGGGAGGCAGGGAAGATCGTCCTGGTGTGTGGGATGTTACCTCAGCCCATACCCAGGGGAGACCAGCTCAAGGATGGGGTCTTCTGCTCTGTCTTATGTGTGCTGGGAGTGACACAGGGTTGGTGTGGGGCAGATTGAGGACAGTTAAGATGAAGAACAAGAGAAAATAGAAAAAAGAAGACATACATACATGGCTATAACATATACCCAAAAGTCCACCTTCCTTTGTTTTCATCTTCCCATCACCTTTCCTGTTGTCATTTGGCTTCTTGGTGGACTAATGACCTTCTCTCTAAAAGGAAGCATCTGAGACCATAGCTCTGGAGGTTAGAGGGGCCGAACAGGGTACCAGGAACAGCAACATTCTTTGGGATGTTAATTTTAAAGATATTAATACAGATGAAGAAGATATTAATATAGATAAAGAAGATATTAATATAGATAAAGAAGATATTAATATAGATGGCACCAATTAAGTTCACATTTCTTTGACGGATGTTTTTCTCCCAAGTGGATACATTAACTAGGGTACTGGTAACGTCTGTGCCTCAGTTTTGTCTCAGCAGAGGCGGTAAGGACAGTGCCCAGCTGCTTCGGGTGGCAGACCTGCCTGAGGTCTGTGCTCAGAGTAGAAAATTAGCAATGGCGAATATTGCCAGGTGACCAAGTGACACGGCCATCAGGAGCGTGCGTCCCCCCTCCAGAGCACAGTGAGGGATGGATGAGGGTTGGAGGGGCATAAAATGACAGGGCTGAGGGTTGTTTATGGAATGTTTGTGTGTTGTCTTGGTGCTGTGTTGACACTATTGAGTGTCTTTATTTTTTTATTTATTTATTTATTTTTAGAGACAGGGTCTCTCTCTGTCCCTCAGGCTGGAGGTCAGTGTCACTATCATAGCTCACTGCAGCCTCAACCTCCTGGGCTCAAGCGATCCTCCTGCCTCAGCTTCTTGAGTAGCTGAGTAGCTGGGACTACAGGTGTGCATCACCACACCTGGCTAGTTAAAAATTTTTTTTTATCTCACTTTGTTGCCCAAGCTAGTCTCAAACTCCTGGACTCAAGCAATCCTCCCGCTTGGGCTCCCATAGTGCTAGGATTACAGGTGTGAGCCACTGTGTGTGGCCCTTTACTAGTATCTTGACTCCCGGTACTCTGTCCCCAACTCCCAGCACCTTCTCGTTATTCACCACCTCTCTGCAGAGCTTTCAGAATCTTACGGCTGCTGCTTTTCACCACCAAAGTTAATGAATGAACATCAACAAAGAAATTCCTTGTTTCCTTCAACTTCGGCCTTACAGTGCTCTTAAAATTCTCATTAGTCATTTTGTGCCTTTGATGCTATATTTAATAAAAATCTCCAACCCATTTTCATGAAGCTCCCCCACCAAATCAATGTGTAAGTACCACAAAGAAAATAAATCTCCCACCCTTTCCCGGGGCTCCCAAAGGCCATTCTGTTTTTTTTCCTTCACATCATTCCATGCTTAAAAGCATCATCCAACAAGCAAACAAGCATGGGAGTGAGTAAATGCTCTGGAACATCTTGATGGGACAGTGAGCTGATTTAAAAGCAAAATGACAGTTCTGTGATCAATGACAAAACATAGTGGAGAATGCTGTTAGAACAAGCATGCACCCCCAGCTTTGCTCTGTGCAACACGGTAAGAAACAGAAATTAGTTGAAACCACTGGATCATGCAATTATTGGGGAAGAAGCTGTTGAGAAGAATAAAAAAGTGTGAATACCTGTGTAGGTCATAGCTTCCTCCATCTTTATTTCCTGATATAGGAAAATACAAGAGTAATTTCTGTTAGCTTTAGAACTTATAAAACCATTCACTATATAGTTTTTCATGCACAACATCTAAATCCTAGAAAGAAACACATGGTGTTAAATACAGACAGTGCTGAAGCCCAACAGAGATTTCCTATTAGGTTCAAAATGCAGATTGAAAGCTATGAATGAAAAGGTTTAAGATAAAAAAAAAAATAAGAGTTCATATGAAAAAAATGGGTGGGTGTTAAAGGGAGGAGAGCCCACTTAAAAGCAGTGGGAAAAGTACTTCCAGAAGTCCATGTAATTCTCAGGAAAAGTTAAATTTTGGTTATTTTTAGACAAAACATTGGAAAAAAACGGGCTAATAATCATCTCCCATAGGAATAGTCTGGAAGGTGGAGAGGACGGCTTGAAGTGAAACAGCATAACTGGCTCCACCCAGTGTGTCATTTCACCATTAAGGGACTCGATCAGATTTCACTAAGTAGAGTTGTTATGTCACCACCAATAAAAGTCCTATGTTCTTTTGGGGAGAAATATCTGGGTATAATATTTCTAGTGCCTCTAATGGTTGGTTGAGATTCCAAGTCTTTGCAGGCTCTTTCTCTCTCTCTCTCTTTCTTTCTTTTCTCTTTCTTTCTTTCTTTTTTTCTTTCTTTCTTTCCTTCCTTCCTTCCTTCTTCCTTCCTTTCTTCCTTCCTCTCTCTCTCTCTCCCTCCCTCCCTCTCTCTCTCTCTTTTTTTTGTAAGATTTGAGGAAAAGGTCAACAGATAAGCAGGATATTTGAAAAGATTTGAGCCGAGTGGGGTCAGTGACCAAAAGACCTATTTTGCAAGTACAGTCTGCTCTTGACTGACAACTGATTCCACTAAGTGTTAATTGAGAGGTGTTGATTGAGAACTGAGGATTTATATTTTCTTAGGGGACTCCCAGAACTCAAAAGCCTTTGTGACCCTGCAGTGGAAAGGAGATGACAGGTGGTGATATTGATCATTCTGGGATGGGAATCCCTACCCCTTTCAAGGCATGTGACCCAGAAAGCTGCCCACTTTTACTGTTGATGACACTGGCTCTGCACCAGACTCACAGAGAAAACCCAGCGGCACCACAAAAAGCTCCTGCAAACTGCACCCAAGTGCCTGTGAGTCCAGCTCTTCACCCTTCTGGAGTTGGCATGCCATGCCAAGGTCCATGCCCTTGCCAGCTTTAGTTCTTCCTCCTTCCTTGTATGGACAGCTGGTATTTACATTTCTGCAGACATCATGAGGAGGAAATGAGTATTTTCATTAACCAGAAAAGAGCTGGGGCGGACACTGAAAAGAACTGCATCTCCATGAAACAAAGGAGAAATAAGCCAGTTTAACACACATAGCTGGGAAGGAACATCTGGCTGATTCCATTCAGATCCTCTTATATTTTTAGATCCCAAGTTAATGAACTGCTCCAATATCTCTAGTTTCAGACGAAAAATACTGGCAAAAGAAATCTAATTCAGTGTCATAGGCAGGGATCCAACTGGGGGAACTCCAAACTGGGACAGCAGAAATAGAGCATTGTGTCTTTCCATCAAAGTTCTCTTAAAAAAAGAGAATATCCTGGTTTACTCAGAGTATATCTTCAGACTGTTGACAGCAATAACAAACAAATACCTAACGCTTTCGTGTCATCTTCCAACAGATGCTTCTATCAGGAATCAAGGTTTACTAATAGAATAGACCTGTGGGAGATATTGGAAGGAAATGCTCACCAAATCTTTTGGTGGATTAAGCTTTTCATTAGTACACCAGAGCTAAACTTAGAGATCAAATTGTATTTAGAATTGCCTGGAAAGTGTCTCCTCTAAGTATCTTGAATTATATGTTTCTGTGCAATTAAATGTTTCCAAGGCAGAAAGCTCAGTAACACAAAGAATTTTCCAGGTAAAATAGAAAAAATAGTATTTTTTTCCTTACCAACATCAAGATTCTTAGGTCTTGGGTTGCACTGCTTATATCCTTGACAGCTTCTGAGCTCCATTAGTTGTACGTGTAGCTGATTCAAAATGCCTCGTTCTACCGTGTGCACTGTATTTGTGAGCTGTGAATGCAGACAGGACAATCTATTTAAGCTTATGTCTGGTTATCCTATTTTCAACAACCTTCATAAAATGAACATATATTGTCTTACCTGATAAGGATCTGTATTCATATCAAAATACTCCAAAAAGCCAGTAGCAAACTCACAGAAAAGAAAATTATGCGTCTCATTAACTGTACGCAAACACCAGTAGGTGTTATTGTTAGAACTCGTGCAAGCACAGAAAGATCCCACTGTTGGGTAAAAAAGAAAAACACAACAAAACAAAAAGAGTGAAAAACCTTAGGCAGGCTTGCCATTCCAGTGTTCCCTTATCTTTACACTTTAAAGTTCACAATTTCTTTCTTATAAATATTGTGGTTTCATGTTAAGAATAATAATACCTTTCCCCCCGTAGGTAAATTTGCTGTGAAACTAGGTGAAAATGGGAAAAAAGATAGTGATCTCTTATAGGCTGAAGACTAAAGTAAAATTTCAGGCACATTAGTTTATCCTCCCCTTAGCTCTGTTATGCAGTGGTTTCCAAAGAGGGGTGAGTGACGGAAGTATGAGAAGAAAAATATCAGAATTTCTATTTATTCTTTGTACAAAAGAAAAATGGTTATTTAATAAAGATATGGAACTAGTACTCTCACTTGTTCTATGTGGCAGATGGCCACATGTCACCAATGAAGCATGAAAAGATGGGATTTTGCAACAAAGAAGGGTTTAGAGAAGCCTTGAGCCCAGCCTGGAGGATTTGGGATGGTCTCTGCAACACTCTAGCCTGAGCTAGGCTGTGACCACAAACATCTTTTATACCACATAGCCCTCTGGTTAACTTGTAGAATGTATGCAGAAGAGATGTCCCATTTATAATCAACTCATCTACTCTTCTGTTTACAAAAGGGCACATGTTCCAAATTTGCTGACCTTTCTTGAATTTCAGAAATGTGCTGCCTAACAAGTATTTTTTAAGAGATGGGGTCTCTCTATGTTACCCAGGCTGGACTAGAACTCCTGGGCTCAAGTGATCCTCAGCTTCCCAAGTAGCTGGGACTACAGGCATGCACCACTGTGCCTGGCCCAGCAAAATTTTTTTAGAAACAACTATTAGGTTGGTGCAAACGTAATTACGGTTTTTGCATTGTTGAAATTTGCTGTTTGATATTGGAATACATTCTTCAATAAATGTGGTTATATTAATCATCATTTTAATGGGCATTTCTTGCTTTATTTTTTTGCTAATAATGTATTACTTGCTCTTCATGTTTATTTTAGACTATGGAAATGGTGTTAGACAAAAACTAAATTCGAGTGATTTTCTTATTTGAGTTCAAAATGGATCGTAAAGCAGCGGAGACAACTCGCAACATTAACAAAGCATTTGGCCCAGGAACTGCTAACGAACATACAGTGGAGTGGTGGTTCAACAAGTTTTGCAAAGGAGATGAAAGCCCTGAAGATGAGGAGTGTAGTGGTGGACCATTGGAAGTTGACAATGACCTTGAGAGCAATCATTGAAGCTGATCCTCTTACAGCTACATGAGAATTTGTGGAAGAACTCAACGTCGACCCTTCTATGGTCATTTGGCATTTGAAACAAATCAGAAAGGTGAAAAAGCTCGGTAAGTGGGTGCCTTATGAGCTGAGAGGAAAATAAAAAATATTGTCGTTTTGAAGTGTTGTCTTCTCTTATTCTATGCAACAACAACGAACCATTTCTTAATCAGATTGTGACGTGCGATGAACAGCTCAGTGGCTGGAACAAGAAGAAGCTCTAAAGCACTTCCCAAAGCCAAATTCACACCAAAAAAGGTCACGGTCACTCTTTGGTGGCCTGCTGCTGGTTTGATCCACTACAGCTTTCTGAATCCTGGCCAAACCAGTACATCTGAGAAGTATGTTCGGCAAATCAATGAGATGCATCAAAAACTGCAATGTCTGCAGCCGGCATCGGTCAACAGAAAGGGCCCAATTCTTCTCCACGACAGTGCCTGACTGAATGTCACACAACCAACGCTTCAAAAGTTGAACAAATTGGGCTACGAAGTTTTGCCTCATCTGCTGTATTCACCTGACCTCTCGCCAATCGACTACCACTTCTTCAAGCATCTCGACAACTTTCTGTAGGGAAAACACTTCCACAACCAGCAGAACGTAGAAAATGCTTTCCAAGAGTTCATTGAATCCTGAAGCACAATTTTTTTTTTTTTCTTGAGATGGAGTATCGCTCTGTCGCCCAGGCTGGAGTGCAGTGGAGCGATCTCGGCTCACTGCAAGCTCCGCCTCCTGGGTTCACACCGTTCTCCTTCCTCAGCCTCCCAAGTAGCTGGGACTACAGGCGCCCGCCACCACCCCCAGTTAATTTTTTTGTATTTTTAGTAGAGACGGGGTTTCACCGTGTTAGCCAGGATGGTCTTGATCTCCTGACCTCGTGATCTGCCCATCTCGGCCTCCCAAAGTGTTGGGATTACAGGTGTGAGCCACCGCGCCCGGTCTGAAACATGAATTTTTATGCTACAGGAATAAACAAACTTATTTCTCGTGGCGAAAATGCGTTGGGTGTAATGGTTCCTATTTTGATTGAGAAAGATGTGTTTGAGCCCAGTTATAATGATTTAAAATTCACGGTCTGAAACTGCAATTGCTTTTGCACCAACCTAATAGGATAGGTACACGTAATGAGCATTCCTTGTGCACTATGTACTTTAACTCATTTAATCCCCAAAGCTACCTCTTGAGACAGAGGTTATTATTATCATCCTCATGTTAACAGATGGAAAAACCTGAGGCAAGGAGATGTTAAGTAATTTGTCCAAGGTCACCTGGCTGACAACTGGTAGCACTGGGATCTGGCTACAGAGTTTACTTTTTTTTTTTTTTGAGACAGTTTCTTGCTCTGTTGCCCAAGCTCGAGTGCAGTGGCATGATTAAGGCTCACTGCAGCTTTGACCTCCCAGGCTCAAGTGATCCTGTCAGTTCAGCCGCCTGTGGTGCTGGGACTACAGGTATGCACCATCACACCCGGCTAATATTTTATTTTTTGTAGAGATTGGTCTTGGCATGTTGCCTAGGCTGGTCTCGAACTCCGACACTCAAGCGATCTGCCTGCCTCGGTCTCTCAAAGTGTTGGGCTTACAGGCGTGAGCCACCACACCCGGGCAAGAGTTTACTCTTAATTACTAGACTCTGCTATCCTATGTAGTATCAGACACACTAAATCTGTCCCCTTAGGCTAAAAGAGATGTTTTAAACAATGAATGAGAAATGATTTTAAAAAATTATTTTAATAGACTATTTTTTAGAGCGGTTTTGAGGGAAAAGTACAGAGCATTCTTATTTATAACCCCAGTCCCCACAGATACATAACCTCTCTCACCATAGACATCCCTCACCAGGGTGGCACATTTGTTACAATCAATGAGCCTATATTGAGACATCATTGTCACTCAAAGTTCATAGTTTACATTTGTGTTTACTCTTGGTGTTGCACATCCTCTGGGTTTGGACAATGCATGATGACATTTATCTGCCATTGTTGTATCACATAGAGTAGTTTCACTGCTCTAAAAATCCTGTGTTCTGCCTATTCAACCCTCTCTCCCTCCAGGAATGATTTTGTTTTTAGTTGATTAGCTAATTTAAATATTTTTACACGGTCAGGTGCGGTGGCTCACGCCTATAATCCCAGCACTTTGAGATGCTGCAGTGGGCGGATCACCTGAGTTCAGGAGTTTGAGACCATCCTGGCCAACATGGCGAAACCCCTTCTCTACTAAAAATACAAAAATTAACCAGGCATGGTGGCAGGCGCCTGTAATCCCAGCTGAGGCAGGAGAATCACTTGAACCCGGGAGGCGGAGGTTGCAGTGAGCCAAGATCGCACCATTGCACTCCAGCCTGGGGGTCAAGAGTGAAACTCCATCTCAAAAAGAAAAAAATTTTTTTTTACACATTATGTTCTCCAACTTAAAACTTTTATTCTCTCCGCCTCTCTCTCTTTTTTTTTCTTTGAGACAGGGTCTCACTCTGTCGCCCAGTGGTGTGATCTGCAGCCTCCTCCACTGGGGCTCAAGTGACTCTCCCACCTCAGCCTCCCAAGTAGCTGGGACTACAGGCAAGCCCGGATAATTTTCATATTTTTTTGGTAGAGATAGGGTTTCACCATGTTGCCCAGGCTGGTCTTGAACTCCTGGGCTCAAGCGATCCACCTGCCTCGGCTTCCCAAAGTGCTGGGATTACAGGTGTGAGTCACTGTGCCCAGCCAACTTTTACGCTCTTAAACTTTTCATATCCTTTCTGACCTTTTATTTAACGCAAACAGTCTTTGTAATAGATGTGCACCCTTTAAGTAAAATATGTTACCACATTTATAATAACTTATGACAATAATTCTAGGAATGTCACCTAATGAAAACCATCTATTCTAAAGAACTTCTAAATTATATCAAAACATTAAAAAGCCTTAATACTTGAGATTTGATATTAACAAATCAGATAACAAACTACATATGCTTATTTCAAAGAAAGACCTAAAGCTTATAGGAAACGATATGAAGGGGTAGCTGTGGGGAAAAAATCCTAAATTGAATTGAATGAACCAGATTAGATCAAATACAGGTGAAGAAAAGATAATATCTTAAAAATGGATGATTGAAAATGCTTTCATCATTATACGACTTTTCATTAAAAGATCTCTAATTATGTTATTTATAACATATTATTTATATGTGAACATTTATCTCACATCTACATACATTAAAAACCACGGAACCCAAATTTTCTAATCTGTGTAGAAATCTTCCAAATTAACCGTTTAAATGGGTTTTAAACTTGTTTCATGAAATATACAAATACAATACCTTTGTATTTGCAAGAATAATTGATCAATCTCAGGGAGGACAGACATTTAAAAGTGTAATTTCAATAGAGATGACTGCCTAGTTAATGGTGGCATTAAAAAATACCTAACGTAGATGACGGGTTGATGGGTGCAGCAAACCACCATGGCACGTGTATTCCTATGTAACAAAACTGCACGTTCTGCAAATGCACCACAGAACTTAAAATATAATAAAAATAAAAATAATAAAATAAATAAATAAATGAATGTCCTGGCCGGGTGCAGTGGCTCATATCTGTAATCCCAGCACTTTGGGAGGCCGAGGCGGGTGGATCACCTGAGGTCAGGTGATCTCAGGTGAGGTCAGCCTGGCCAACATGGGGAAACCCTGTCTCTACTAAAAATACAAAAAAATTAGCTAGGCGTGGTGGTGGCCGCCTGTAATCCCAGCTACTTGGGAGGCTGAGGCAAGAGAATCACTTGAACCCAAGAGGCGGAGGTTGCAGTGAGCTGAGAACGCACCATTGCACTCCAGCCTGGGCAACAAGAGCGAAACTCCATCTCAAAAAAAAAAAAAAAAAGAATGTCCTGATTGACTCAGCATGCCGTGAAGCACATCTATGGAACCAGAAAATCTTTCTGAGTCATGTTTCATATGAAAGCAATTAAGATCACACATCAAACATAAACTGAATGTCTCACTGCATTGTTAAGTGGGACACTGAGATTTGTTTTCCTTAAGCATTCTTTAATAAGTGAGAACAAAATGTTTTGGACCTCCAAAGAATATGAAAACTATTTTTAAAAACTCTTTTTTAAACGTTTATCTCAAACTTTACATTTCTATTTTGTGTATTTTCTTTTTCTTTCTTTTCTTTTTTTTTTTTCTTCTGACATGCGGTCTCACTCTGTCACCCAGGCTGGAGTACAATCATGGCTCACTGCAGCCTTCACCTCCCATGCTCAAGTGATTCTCCCACCTCAGCCTCCCGAGTAGCTGGGACTACAGGCGGGCACCACCAAGCCCGGCTAATTTTTGTATTTTTTTGTAGAGACAAGGTTTCACCATGTTGCTCAGGCTGGTCTTGAACTCCTGGGCTCAGCTGATCCTCTGACCTTGGCCTCCCAAAGTGCTGGGTTTACAGGCATGAATTGCTGTTCTTGGCCTTTTTATTTTGTATATTTTCATAATACACAGGCATGTTTGTATATTAGTGTAATGAAATATAGACGGTGTGTTTATTTTAAAAATTGATATGGGTACATAATAAAAAAATGTTTAGAGACCATTGCATTGGAGGATCTTGTGCCTGGGTGGATTTGACTTTTCTTTTCTTCTTCTTTTTTTCATGTTATTGAGTCTCACTGTGCCAAGGGCTTAAGTTGACATAGCAAATATGAGGAATACAGCAATAATATTATTAAAATATGTAATAGAAAATGGATAAAAATATTTAAGCATAGCACACATAGTATTACTTTTTTGAAATTTTTACTTTAGTATATATATTACATATACACACAGATACACATATATACTTGTGTATGTGCACATATGTGTACAGGATCCTGATATAAGGTGCATTTTTTTACTGTGGCTTTTTGGGAAAAAATTCTGGAAGCCACTGTCCTAGAATACCAGAGCACCAAGAATACATTGTGTATCAGAAGGAGCATCAAATTTGGTATTGAATGGGATCAGTTCCTAATTCGCTCCTGTGTACAAGAGCAGAGTGATGGCAGGCACGTTCCTCACTCACCAGCACAGTGACACCCAGTGGCAGGCACTCAAAGCTTTGTTAAATTGACATGAGTTGATTTGATCTGGACAGGGTGGCTTGCTTGTTTGTTTATTTATTCACCTAAAATTGACTAAGCAATTCCTTTGGGTCAGGAATACAGTATCATAGAGACATGGTTTTTTATCTTGAGAAACTCACAGTCTAGTGGAAAGGACAACAGTTAAGCAAAAACAGTAGTCAAAAAAACTATGATTACAAATGTGATACGTCCCATGGGGGAAAAACAGAGCTTGCTGATAGAGCGTATCAAATGGGCGGACCCTAGTCTGAGGCACAGAGAGGGTGTCCACGAGCAGTGACACCGCAATTGAGGTCTGAAGGGTGAGTAGTGTTTTCTGGGCACGGGGCTGTGGGCAAGAGCCTTCCAGGGAGGGGAAACAAGTGCAAAGGCCCCATGGCGAGAGGGAGCTTGAGATGCTTGTGGAATAAAGAGAAGTTGAGTGGCTGAAGCAGGCAAGAACAGGAGGCAATGGTCCCAGTGTAAGATTGGATAGGAGCATATGGGGTTTTGTTGGATATGTTAAGGATTTTGCTATATTTTATTTTATTTTTGAGACAGCGTCTCACTCTATCGCCCAGGCTGGAGTGTGAGGGCACGATCACAGCTCACTGAAGCCTCAGCCTTCTGGGGTCAGGTGAAGGGATTCTGCTCTTTAGCTTAAGAAAAGCAGGTGTCCTTAAAAGATCACCCTAGCTCCTCTGAGCAGGATGGACTGGTGAGGACCAGAGGGGAGCCTGGGAGGCCACAGAGGAGGTCTGGCAGTGGCCGAGGTAAGAAATGGTGGTGGCTTGAGCAGGATGGCCTCAACTCAGATGATAAAAAGCAGATAGAGGTATGAAGGGCCTCCTTCTGCCATAAGCAACTATAACCCTGTGTTTTGCAATGCTTCAGCTTTCAAGGAGCTTCCACTCCTGGATAAACCAAAGGTGAGACTCCCTCAGGACCTCTGCTTGCACTGTTCCCTCTGCCTGGAACACGCTCCCTCCCACAGGGATCGCTTCTCTCTATCCTTTAGGTTTCAGCCTAAATTTCACCTCAAAGACCCGTCTTCCCCACGCTCTCCGAAAGAGTCCCATTTAAAAATGTTGACACAGGAAGAGGAACATCACACACCGGGGACTGTTGCAGGGTGGGGGCAGGGGGGAGGGATAGCATTAGGAGATATACCTAATACTAAATGACGAGTTAATGGGTGCAGCACACCAGCATGGCACATGTATACATACGTAACAAACCTGCACGTTGTGCACATGTACCCTAAAACTTAAAGTATAATAATAAAAAACAATGTTGATCACTGTTTCCTTCATAGCATTACTACAACTCATAATTATTTTGTTTCATTTACTTTCTTTTTTTTCTACCTGTACCCCATTAAAATATGAGCACAGAAAATAAAGTGTCTTGCTAGATGTTGCGTCCCCAGTTACTGTCCCCAGCGATCTGAATAACCCTCAGGGATTCCCACACCACAGTTTCAGAAACTAGATTAAAAGTTAAATGCTGTGACTTTAAGAGTTCATTCGGCCTCGATGTGATTTTAAACAGAAATGCAAACATGGACCCTGAAATCAAGAGACATCAAAATGGAAAGGGAAAACATAAAGTCTCCTAGGACAAGCCCTAGATCCCCCCAAGAATGGTCTATCAATTCTTTGGAGTCTCCAAATCCCAGTTTGAGAAACAGTAGCCCGGGTGGTCTCCAGTGAGCTTCTCAGTTAGAAGATTTTGTGTTTCATCTACTCTATAGGCTGGTAAGCTTCAATCAGAGGATGTACTATAAGAATGTGGGGTATTACTTCTATATGGCCTCAGTGAATAATGTGCACAGGCCACTAAAGAAAATATAAGCACTATTTTAAAAGTGCACAAATGTTATTATGCCATATCCTTAGCAGTTCAATGTAAAACCAAATAATTTTGTAGAGTATCTATTATTCTACAAGTCTAGTGCTGGTACTGAAGTGGACTGAGAATAAGTAGAGTATGGGCCCTGCATTTAAGAGGCTTTTACCATTCTTTTTCTTCCTTTTATTACACTTATGTACTTGAAATAAAGCAGAAACAAAATCTATTTGGGGCAAAATTGTTCATCCATTTACGGGATGTTCATCCCTTGCGTTATTTAGCTATAGAACAGTTCTACTGGGTAAAAACTGTGCCAGGTGCTGGGTATTATGTGAAACAACATCATCAGGAGGAAAAAGCCAGGGAGAAGCTTGGCATTACCAAACAAAATGCCAGAAAAAATTTAAAGAAAACAGTAATACATGGCAAAATCATTTGAGTTTCCAGTATAGAGTAGAATATGATGCCTTTCTCTTGAATCTTTGTAGATTCCTCATTTTATGCTGAATTTCTGATCTAAGTTATGAGTCGCTGTCTCTGCATGGCGGCAGGAAGTGGCATTTGGAACAAGCAACTTACGGTTCCAGAACGGGGCTGTCTGCCAGTGGTTGTTGTCATGCGTGAAGCAAGTGAGGCCAGGCAGGCTGCACTCTTCCCCCTTCCTCTGCCGTCTCTTCTCCTTCCTCTCCTTCTTCCTCCTACGGTTGTTCTCCTTGAAAAGTTGCAGTTTGCTATCTACTTCCTGAGCAGCCTCCCTGTTCCAAGAGAAGGGATTATTTTGAGTGTTCAGAAGGCACTTTCTCAATTACAAATAGGCTTGTTGCTGTGAGTCTTGCACAAATATTTAGATGCCTTGATAAGAGATAATGGACGACCTTCATTTTGTATAGAGGGACTTAAAATAGAATCAGGAATAGTGAAGGCAGGCTGGGCACAGTGACTTGCACCTGTAATCCCAGCACTTTGGGAGGCTAAGGTGGGCGGATCACTTGAGGTCACGAGTTTGAGATCAGTTTGGCCAACACGGTGAAACCCTGTCTCTGCTAAAAATATAAAAATTAGCTGGATGTGGTGGCGCACACCTGTAGTCCCAGCTACTAGGGAGGATGAGGCACAAGAATCTCTTGAACCCAGGAGGTGGAGGTTGTAGTTAGCCAAGATTGCACCACCGCACTAAAGCCTGGGCAAAAGAGTGAGACTCTGTCTCGAAAAAACAACAAAAAAGGAACACTGAATGCAAATGCATTCAGTGACAGCTTTCTTGGGACCTTATTGAACCTAAGAGGACCAACATTTTCCTCCTCATGTGCATGGAAACATCGATGGAAATAAATGTTAATGTGAATGACAGGATCCTGCTAGCCACACTCTTTGGACAAATGGCTCATTTTTTTGGCAGCCGAGTACCAATCAGCCATCGAGTTAAAGGTTAGTTGAATCAGATGGCTTGGATTAAAAAGTTTAAAAAATTCTTTGACAAATTCTACTAAACAAGTTTAGATAGCCTTTATTTTTTAGAATTATTTTTTATTATTTTGTTTTTTATATATAAAAGGCTTAAACTTTGTTGAAGTTTAAATACTAAATCTCCTTCACATGCAAATTTTGCTATTATTTAAAAAAATTTATATTTCTTCCCACTTTCAGAATTCAGCACTATTCCAGGCTGCTCTGTAGAACACCAACTGCATCGAGAGAGTCTGTAACCCTCAAGCACTCTCCACAGAAAGCAGTGCATGGAGTAAAATCTAGTTACTGGTCCCATCTGCCAGGTAGGGAGCACCCACAGAATGACAGTGGAGTTCAGCAAGCCTCCCCAACAAAGGATGCCAAGAGCATTGCCACGGTCCCTTGGTGAGGTGGGGCTTTGCTTTCAACTTCATGAGCTAGGTGCCCTCCTAGATGGATCTACTTCTTCTGAAGCGGCACTGCAGGAAACACAGGGGTCCCTCCAGCCTCTTCGAAGGGCCAGGTGGACAGTCATTGACTCCCAGCAAATGTGGAAAACAGAGAGTTACTTACTTGAATGGGTGAAGATGGCTCTTTAATTTCTCTTGCTTTTTTACACCTTTCTCTTTATTGTAATAGCTGCAGGAGAGAAGATTAAAAAGTGAGACTTCATAGCCTTGCATTGGATCAAAGTGTTCATTTTATAAAAAGAAAGCAAAATAGAAAGAAGGAAGGCAGTGATGTTGTAAGTATTTTAGCTGAATGTGACTTTTTACTTTCTGCTTAAGTTTAAGCATATTTAGTTTTACTTAAATAGCTTAGGTTATCGTACTCTATGACAATACATTCTATAGGTAAGAGAGAAAAATGAGCCCAGTGCTAATGCCTCTGGCTTGTGCGGAAATGAATTTGGAAAGTGGAGCATGGATGGAAACAAGCTCACCTTTGTTTACTGCAGCTACATTCCTCAGGCTTCCTTCTCTTCAGATGTCCTCTCACTTCTCTTAAATTCTTAATTTTATCTTGCAGAGCTTCAATCTGGAAAACATGTTTTCAAGCACTTACGTATTAAGATCAGGATTTTCTTTACAAAGTACTTTTCTTTTCACCTTGTTTTCTCTGTTCTGTAATAACAGCTATTCATCTGAGATGATACTTAACATAGAAACAAACTGGGCATAGAATATGTCTATATAGACTCTATATTCCAACCCATGTGTTATAGATAAACATTAGCAGATTCCTCTTTTATAACTGAATCATTTTCTCACAGAGATTTCAAAAGACCATTGAGTCAGTTCCCAGTCTCTTCTCATACTCTATATTGTTTTCAGTAGGACTATCATTAAATCACTGGAGAAAGACAAATAACTTTTTTTTTTTGTATTTTTTCACATAATTATAGATGATGTGTATCTGTGGTATGTCCCACCAGACACAGCAGGGCTGGCAGGCCGAGTTTGAGTTTGGAATATATCTGACAGTCACATAGCCATGGCTAACCTCTTTGTCAATGTATGCCTTATGGTCCTTCCACGCTCTGGCCGATTGGTACAGTTCTCTCTCACAATGGATAGAGTCATTGGGAAGAATAAAACACCTGCAAAACAAACCAAAACCATGTGAAATAGGTTTATATTCTAATAGCAGAAAACACTAAAGATAACAAAGAGAAATTTTAATCCTCAAAATCCTTAATGTTGATACATGCAGTAACCGTTGAGCTGATCCAAGACCAGCATCAATGGGAATATTGAGAGGTGACAGCGTGCTGGCAGTCGTGACAGCGTGCTGGCAGTCCTCACAGCCCTCGCTCGCTCTCCGCGCCTCCTCTGCGTAGGCTCCCACTTTGGCGGCACTTGAGGAGCCCTTCGGCCCGCTGCTGCACTGTGGGAGCCCCTTTCTGAGCTGGCCAAGGCCAGTGCCGGCTCCCTCAGCTTGCAGGGAGGTGTGGAGGGAGAGGCGCGAATGGGAACCGGGGCTGCCTGCGGTGCTTGCGGGCCAGCTGGAGTTCCGGATGGGCGTGGGCTTGGCTGGCCCCACACTCGCAGAGGCCGGCCGGCCCTTGCGGCCCCGGGCAGTGAGGGGCTTAGCACCCGGGCCAGCGGCTGCGGAGGTACCAGCAGTACCAGCCCACCGGCGCTGCGCTCGATTTCTCACCGGGCCTTAGCTGCCTTCCCGCAGGGCAGGCCTCGGGACTGCAGCCCGCCATGCCTGAGCCTCCCACCCACTCCATGGGCTCCTGTGCAGCCCGAGCCTCCCCGACGAGCACCACCCCCTGCTCTATGGCTCCCAGTCCCATCGACCACCCAAGGGCTGAGGAGTGCGAGCGCATGGCGCGGGACTGGCAGACGGCTCCACCTGCAGCCCCTGTGCGGGATCCACTAAGTGAAGCCAGCTGGGCTCCTGAGTCTGGTGGGGACGTGGAGTCTTTATGTCTAGCTCAGGGATTGTAAACACACCAATCAGCATCCTGTGTTTAGCTCAAGGTTTGTGAGTGCACCAATTGACACTCTGTATGTAGCTGCTCTGGTGGGGCCTCGGAGAACCTTTATGTCTAGCTCAGGGATTGTAAACACACCAATCAGCACCCTGTGTTTAGTTCAAGGTTTGTGACTGCACCAATCGACACTGTATCTAGCTGCTCTGGTGGGGCCTTGGAGAACCTTTATGTCTAGCTCAGGGATTGTGAATACACCATTTGACACTGTATCTAGCTCAAGGTTTGTAAACACACCAATCAGCACCCTGTGTTTAGCTCAAGGTTTGCGAATGCACCAATCGACACTCTGTATCTAGCTGCTCTGGTGGGGCCTTGGAGAACCTGTGTGTCAAAACTCTGTAACTAACTAATCTGATGGGGAAGTGGAGAACCTTTGTATCTAGCTCAGGGATTGTAAATGCACCAATCAGCACCCTGTCAAAACAGGCCACTCCGCTCTACCAATCAGCAGGATGTGGGTGGGGCCAGATAAGAGAATAAAAGCAGGCTGCCGGAGCCAGCAGTGGCAATCTGCCTGGGTCCCCTTCCACACTGTGGAAGCTCCGTTCTTTCGCTCTTTGCAATAAATCTTGCTACTGCTCACTCTTTGGGTCCACGCCGCTTTTATGAGCTGTAACACTCACCGCGAAGATCTGTAGCTTCACTCCTGAGCCCAGCGAGACCACGAGCCCACTGGGAGGAACGAACAACTCCAGACGCGCTGCCTTAAGAGCTGTAACACTCACGCGAAGGTCTGCAGCTTCACTGCTGAGCCAGCGAGACCACGAACCCACCAGAAGGAAGAAACTCCGAACACATCTGAACATCAGAAGGGACAGACTCCAGATGCGCCACCTTAAGAGCTGTAACACTCACCACGAGGGTCCGCAGCCTCATTCTTGAAGTCAGTGAGACCAAGAACCCACCAATTCTGGACACAATAGGTTCTAGCCACCAGTGAGGACAAAATGTCACATGGGTGGATGGTGTCACAGCTCTGTGACTAAGATCATCCCTACAACCACTTTTCAAGGCAGTTTTCAATGCTCACACCCTCATGAACAGGATACCACCAAAAAACTCAAGTTCAAATAGACATAGAACAAAAGGGACCTTTCACATCATAATGCAAATGGCTTGTTTGAAGAAAAGCAGATTCAGAAGGGGAATTCATTCCACTCATTTTGTTAAAAAGAGAGTGCCTTAAGTACCCCACTGAGTTTTGAAGTAAACAAACAGCCCCAGGGATAGACAGTAGGTGGGATGTGGGGTTAATAATGTAAGAGAAATGCATTCTGGTCTAAACCCCTTAGTATATAACTGCATCAACTTCAGGCACCAGGAGACCAGAGCCTCAGAGATAAAAATCCTGGCAGAGCACACAGTGTCCCATCTCCTCAAAGTGATACAATTAGGGAGAGAAAACAAAGATCTTGCTAATAAATTCAGAAAGAAAACATTTCCTAATCAAGAGAGTAAGTAGACTTTGGATGGAGCCAAAGAACAAAGTGAGTTCATTAAACTTATGAGGGAATCATCTGCCTTCCCTGTCCCCTTGACTTCCAGGGCCCTCTCTGTGATCCGGGACTGGTTAGATGTTTGTATGTCTTACATCCATTTGTAACCTACATCATCTCTCTGGAAGCGTCTCTGGGACTCACTGTCCTCCCTTGGACTGTGTTTCGTTTCTGAGTCTGTGACTACACAACTGCTCCAAGTGACAGTGATTGTGTAACATGGAAGAACTTCCAGCCTCTGAAATTGTTTCCATCTGTTTTCTAGATGCCTGCGAAGGTAACTGCTTAGGCTCATGAACTCCATGCCTGCTAAGTCAAGATGTGACGGAATTACTCCGGCTGGATTCCTAGCTGATCAGCCTTAATGTGAATTACTCTGGCTGGATTCCTAGCTGATCAGTCTTAATGTGAAATCAAACCCAAAGCATGTGTCCAAGCCTATGATTGCGTGGACTCATTGTTTCTTTAACCCCCAGTTGCTACATAGGCCAGCCCTCAGGCACTGTATTGCCAAGTGATACTGCTTTTTTGCCAAGTGCAAAATGGTGATAATATGGTGTGTTGTGGTGGTAATTCTGAACTCAACCCTAGTGAACAAATAAAGCTTTCTTACTTGTGTGTCACTCGGACAGTGGTAGGTGGGCCCACGGCGTTGCTGCTATCTGCCAGCATCCTGCCCCTGTTGCCACCACTGGAAGCCTGGAGATCTCTTGGCCCCTTGTGGCCTTCATCATGACGCTTAGCAATGTTTCTTGGTTGCAACACTTGCAATTCTTCTTCTTCTTCCAGATTTATGTCATATATTTCACCTTCAAATTCGACGGACAAGGAACGTGTCTGCCGAGTATGGACAAATCTGGGCTTGTACTCTAGAAGTAAGGGAAGATACATTACTATGGATGTCCTGATGTAGCTTACAAGGGAAGAAAGTGATCACCTGGTCCAGAAGGGATCCTGGAGTGGAGAAAGCAGTCCATGCTGCATTGCTGAGTGGCATCGTGGTGCCTGCAATTCACGGTAGCAGAGGTTGTCCTGGCAGTGCCATTGCCTGGCAGTGCCATTGCCTGGCAGTGCCATTGCCTGGCAGTGTGATGGATGACACACTTCTCTGGGCCTCCAGCCCTTCATCCGTCAAGTGAGGGGGTTAGTCCAGGTGATTTCTAGGATCCTTTTTATTCATGGCAGGCTGTGAACTTCTACATTTGGTTTTCAATGTGAACTGCTCAGGCTATTTTTTTGGATAAAACCATATTCCCAATTATGGTGTTAATAATAATGACTATCCTTTATTGAGCTTTTGCTATGTATTATATACTTCATATTTATCTCTAATCTGGAGTCTTGAAAGACAGGTATTATTATAAAAACCCTTACATACAAAAACATCAGATTGTCAATACCGGTTCATCCTTATTTTATGGACGAGAAAACTGAAGTTTTGAATGTCACATACATTTTGCAAGGTTATGGAGCTAGGACTATAATCTTCTGAGACTATGAAGTCTTACCACTACATTGGGCTGCTTTTTCAAAGAGGCAAATGCTCTAGACAACTTCTATTTGTACAAATAGTAGAGGATTACTCTAAGAAGAATTAAATTTTGTTAATGCTTTCATCAGCCAACTCACTTTTATACCTGGCAGAGGAGGGTTAAGGCAAGGGGTGGGCGGGCAGGGATGGGGAGAGGGCAGCATGCTTTCTGGTGACTATGGAACCTTTTCAAGAACTCATGTGTACCAGATAAGAACTTTAATGCACAAACACTAGATGCTCTTAGCTCTGTAGAGGCATATTCGTCTGGCCTTATCGCTCTAGCCTGCTGCTAACATAGAAAGAAGTGGGGCATACTGGCTGTGGAATCAGAATTGTCATGCTTCTGAGACACCTCTCAGCTGAATCCTGCAGTTTCCAGATCAGGGAGCAACCTCCGTGACAGTAGGGGTGTCAATAAGAGTGCTTACGAGTTCCATCCTTGCAGAAAGGGTGAAAACCGACTCCTGCTCTCAAATACACAAGATTCCATACAGTTTGAGAGAGCTGCCCTAGACTTGTGTTTGTGCCTAATACTGAAAAATCAATGTGCCTTATGCCCAGTGCCTGGGAAACAAGGTCGAACTTTCTGGAAGAGAAGAGGGCACTCCTACTTCTAAACTGAATGTTGCTAATCAGCTTCTGAAAAAAGAGCATGCTGGGGTCCTCGTCCCTTATTAATTTTTTTTTTTTTTGAGACGGAGTCTTGCTCTGTCATCCAGGCTGGAGTGCAGTGGTGCGATCTCGGCTCACTGCCACCTCTGCATCTCAGGTTCAAGCAATTCTCCTGCCTCAGCTTTCCGAGAAGTAGCTGGCATTACAGGCGTGTGCCACCATGCCCAGCTAATTTTTTTTGTAATTTTAGTAGAGATGGCGTTTCACCAGTTTGGTCAGGCTGGTCTGGAACCCCTGACCTCAAATGATCTGCCTGCCTCAGCCTCCCAAAGTGATGGGATTACAGATGTGAGTCACCGCGCCTGGCCTTATTGATTTTCAGAAATTTGATATCTTTGTGTGAGTTATTAGACCTGGAATTTTTCTGTTAGGGAAGAAAAAAAGTCTCCCAAATCAAAGATTCTTAGTATTTTGGCTTACGGATTCCTTTAAAATTTGTTAAAAATTGTTGACATGGAAACAAATGTCCATATACACATGGAAAACACAACAATTTTGGATGAAATATCAGGGCATGGCCCTGAAGCCCATATTGTGGAGTCTACAATAAAAATGCCTGTTCTCAGGGCTTCCATTGTTCTAGTGTATGATTTGATTTCCAAATCTTTGACATAGAATTTAATTTACTTAAATTGCTTCTTTCCAAACCAGTATAGAAAGAAATCACCATAAAATTGAGTCATTTTCCATGTTACTCCACTAGGTGGTACTAGATTCATTCTTTCGTGGAGGGTGTCAGCCCGTGGATTTTCACATTTATATAATCGTAGGTTTCTTATAGCTATTAAGAAAATTCTAGGAAGTATTTTTCATACTGAATGCAACTAGTTTGTCCCTGCCAATCAACGAGATCCAATGATTTGACAGAATTAAAACATACATATATTGTCCTAAAACAGAGATTAAAATATATGCCTTAAAAAAGTGTTTATGCTTTTCCTCTTAAAATTAAATGCATACACACTGAAACCTTGTATTTACTATTTTTTAAAAGCAACTTCAGGCAGACAAGTCAGGAGATGTTGGCATTACGATAAAATAAAATGGACTTAAACCATATCCTTTACCTTTTGGAATAACCATTTTATAAACTCTTTTATGTGTGCATATGTTTTGCATCTGGTGCTTTTATGAACTATATTTTCATTCTATGCTTAAGTGAAAATGTTTACAAAGCAAAATGTCACATTAGTCTTAGCTTTCTTATTTTAAATAGAGCAATGATGTGCTTTTAGCCTGAAAATGATGCATTGATAATATCTAAAATGTAGAAGGAGCAACCCTTTCGTCTCTCTATTGTTTATTCCCACAGGCCTAGGCCACCATTGAGATGGTCACAAAAGCGTGGCTTACTTGGAGTCCCCTGGTTTCTCAAGAATTGCCGTTGACTCTTTCTTTGGCTTCTGCTGGCACGGTAACCAGACTCCCTACAACTGCACTCTTTGTCTTTGTCATGGAAGCCGCGAGCGTAGAGGTTCCGCGTGCTCTGCCGGACTGTGAGCAGGTCACTGGGTCCTTTACACTTGTGAATTCGAAGCTTGCCAGATGTATCCTCAATGCATTGCCACTTCTGCAAAAGCCAACGTGAAAGCAGTTTACCGATTCTGCTCCAGGTGTTATTTATTAAGAGCTGCTGCCTTAGTTTTTTTCTTTTTTCTTTTTTTTAGAAGCACTGGCAATATCATTAAGGAGAGTGAATGAAGAAAGGCAAGCTTTTAAGTGACCCTGCACTAACTCGACTCTCAGTTATTTCTTTCACTGTAGGCAAATACAGATGACAACGAAATCATTGGAAATCAAACTACCTCAATGTCACTAGAGCCAAAAACTGATATATGAATCCTTAGCACGCAGACTAAACAGTCTTGAATGAAACACGTAAAAGCCGTTAGTTCACCAAGACACACGGTGCAGCTGTCAGGACTGCTTTCACCAGACCCCTCTTGCTCTGGAAAAACAAACTTGGCTGCTTTGTTCTCCGCTCCTGAATTTCTAATGTGAGCCAGGGAAGAATGGCACATGAGGAAGACAGAGATGAATTTAATTGGAGCCCATCATGGGGCGAGCCAACTCTCATATACCCCAGACATTAGCAAACTTGTCAGGCTTTCTTTTGTGTCTTTTCTTATCCTTCTAAGAACATTGTGATATGGACAGAAGACAGGGAAACCCTGGGTAGAAGAAGGTAGTTTCCTGGCAAAGGCCTCACCCTCAAGCCCGGGAATCTACAGCCCTAAATGGGGACAGGGATTCCTGTTTTTGCACCCCAAAAGTTGTTTTTGGCCTGCCATGCCACCTATCCTGTGCCCATATAAACCCTGAAACTCAGGCTCCGGAAGCAGACAAGGAGATGAGGAGACAAGCTGACGAATGGTGGAACAAGGTGGCAGAGAAAGACAGAAGAGGAACGTCTGAACACTGAGAGGAGCTTGGCTAGGGGTCAGAGAGGAGTGTGGCCATCCAGCGGCCAAACTGGGGAAGATCATCTTCCCACTCCATCCCTGCTTCTGGCTCCCCATCCGTCCCACTGAGAGCCACCTCCAACACTCAGTAAAACCCTGCATTCATCCTTCAAGCCCGTGTGTGACCTGATTCTTCCAAGAGCTAGGCAAGAGCTTGGAATACGGAAAGCTGTCATATTGGCCCTCTACCCTTGTCAAAAGGCAGAGGGTCCATTGAACTGGTTAACAAGCTGTCTGCAGACGGCAAGGCTAAAAGAGCATTGTAACACTGGGGCCGTCGGCACCCGCCCCTAGATACTACCGCAGGGCTGGAGCCCAAAAGACTCGCCCTGGTTCCTGTACCTGCCTATCTGCGTGCTCCCCCTCTCATCAGGGGTTTGAGCAGTGGTGGTGACCAAGCAGGCATGCCACACCCCTGTTGCACATCCTGTGAAGGGGATCAGGGAACTCTGCAGTTTCAACTGCATACTCGGCAGAGAGTGGGCATGCTGCTATGTGAGACAGAGTTCACTTCCCAACAGACACATACGGGGAGCTTGCACTGACTTTTCTAGACTGAGCCTTCTAACATGCCTGCCACAGATGCTGCAGGCTTACATCCAAGTAAATATGACATTGCCTCTGGACTAAGTGTCCTTGCACTTACTGAATCTCAACCTGGCTGAAATAATAGCTCTTCACCCTGGGGGTCATTTCCTGGGATCCTCCACATCTTACTTAAAGACTGAATAACTTCTTTTACATTTTATTTTCCCCCTTCTCCCTACAAAATTAATTGGGGAGGCAGGAAGAATATTTAATTTTAAGTTGGCCACAGTTGTCACAGAGTTAAAATATAGTGTTATCACACTTTTGTCTTTTTTCCTTTCCATATAGGTCTATCAGTTGTGTACCATTATCTACTGAAACTTTTCTTTATCCTTTATTGTTTTTGTTCATATCTAGTTAAAGAGTGAGAAACTCTTCTTTAAATGGGTGCATTTCTAAACTGTGGACAGAACAATACTATCTGCACTGTAAAATTATGGTTTTTTGTGCCACGTATATTTTCAAATATATTCAAATAAATAAATAATTATTAAATAAAAGATGTTCTTCCATGCATCATTTAAAAGGATCTCATACCTCCCTCTTATACCAGTACATATTTGGGGTGATATCTTGGTTGCAAAGTGTCCTACTGCAAAGTAAAGTTTGGCCAAAGGTCCCAGATGGCTTTGCTGATAACTGACACTCGTGTACAAAATGATATGCAATTATTCATGATGAACCAAGATGCAGAGCCATGGTTTGCTTTCTCTTAAGGGAGTTGTATGTCTTCAATGTATGTTGAATTATCAGAGCTGCTTTTTGGCTTCTACTATATAATCCCCAAATCCTAGAGATACAGGACTTCTTCTATGATTTTGCTTTAGCCCCCTATACTCTTGGTACTACTGAATTTGGTTGTTTCAAGCCATATCAGGGTACAACCTTTTTTTGTGGATTGGCTAGGATGTCTTGAACGTTTAGCATCTTCATCCAGAGAAGCAGGAGCTCAAGGGACAGACAGGCGACTAACGAGTCATCCCTCAGCATCCACTGAGAATTGGGTCCAGGATGCCCTGCAGATACCCGAATCCACAAATGCTCAAGTCTCTGATATAAAATGTAGTATTTCCATTTAGCCTACATACATACTCTTGTATACTTTATCTCTACATTACTTGTAATATCTAATACAATGTAAATGCTATGTAATTAGTAGTTATTCTGTATTGTTCAGGGAATAATCACAGGAAAAAAAGTTTATGCAGGTTCAATACAGACGAAATCATCTTTTCTTTTTCAATTCTTTCAATCTGCAGTTGGTTGAACCCACAGATGTAGAACCCACGGATAGAGAGGGTGGATTTTACTTACAAAGCCACAAAAAGGCAACACAAACAAGAACAGCCTAAGGACTAAGTTAGAGATGATTTAACTTAAAAACTGTGAAGTCAACTTAATTAAACACAGGAAGTTAGGTCAGATGAGTGGTTCTCAAATTTGGCTGGACAGAGGGACTTTCAGAAGCTCCCCAGATGATTCTAATGTGCAGTTGGAGTTCAGGCCACTGCTTTACATTAGCAACTGCTTACTGGACAGTTTTGCAGCTGGATTCCATGGGGAAGGCAGGAGGGATATATTTAAGTCTAAGTAGCTCAGATGCATGGGTCTTTGAGAGGGATGCGTGTAATTGGTGGGGGCGGCATGTGCAAAGGAAGCTGTGTCTAGAAATGTACTGATGTAAGCAGGTCAGAAAATGACTCCAGTTGGATGGATGAATACTATCAGTGCACCTATGCTTTCAGGACTATGTGCGTTGTTTAAGTGAAACCAGTTATCCTTGTGCTGTCTCCACAGTTAGTTGATAAGTGACAGAATTTTGACTTAGCTGAAAACTGCATGCGGCCTGTTCATGATTCTGCCATTTAATGTGGAGATCAGTGGTTTCCAGGCCTGGGTTTGTGGCACTCACAGACCCAATTATAGCATTCATGGCTATCCAATTAGCTTTAGGATGTGCCAAGAAATGATCAAAAAAGTTCTCAGAGCTGGGTGTGGTGGATCACACCTACAATCCCAGTACTTTAGGAGGCCAAGGCAGGTGGATTGCTTGAGCCCAGGAGTTCAAGAACAGCCTGGGCAACATGGTGAAACCCTGTCTCTCCAAAAAAAAAAAAAACATATATATATATATATATATATATATATATATATATATATATATATATATATATATATATAGCTAAGCATGCTGGCACATGCCTGTGGTATATACATCTAAGCATGCTGGCACATGCCTGTGGTCCCAGCTACTTGGAGGGAGGCTGAGGTGGGAAGATCACTTGAGCCCAGGAGGTCGGGGCTGCAGTGAGCTGAGATCATGCCATCATGCTACTGCACTACAGCCTGGGCTCAGAAACTGACAGACAACTCCATTAACATATAACTATATGCTATATAGAATTATTGCTGGGGAAAGTGTTGCCAAAATAAATAACTTTTCGTAACTTTGCAAAGTTTGGGAATCAGTAGCATTTGAGTGTCTGTCTGTATGTATATCTGTCTTAAATCCAAATGGTTTAAGGCTTATCCATCTACCTGGATGATCTCTGCCTCTAGCATTTAAAAATGAAGAGTTGACTGCTTAATGCCTAGAGAAGCAAAATAATCGGCTAGTGAATTCACAATCCACAGCCAAGTGGAAGCGTAAGAGGTGCTCCATCTTCTATCAGACAGGAAAATATGGCTAATTTTATTCTTGAGGCCGGGTGTGGTGGCTCACGCCTGTAATCCCAGCACTTTGGGAGGCCAAGGAGGCTGGATTGTCTGAGGTCAGGGGTTCAAGACCAGCCTGGCCAGTGTGGCAAAACCCTCTCTCTACTAAAAATACAGAAAAAAAAAAAAAAAAAAAACGGCCGGGCACAGTAGCTCAAGCCTGTAATTTCAGCACTTTGGGAGGCTGAGGCAGGTGAATTGCCTGAGGACAGGAGTTCAAGACCAGCCTGGACAACATGGTGAAACCCCGTCTCTACTAAAAATACAAAAATTAGCTGGGCATGGTGGCACACGCCTATAGTCCCAGCTACTTGGGAGGCTGAGGCAGGAGAATCACTTGAACCTGGGAGGCGGAGGTTGCCGTGAGCTGAGATCATGCCACTGCATTCCGGGCTGGGTGACAGAGCAAGATTCTGTTTCCAAAAACAAACAAACAAAAAACAAAGAAACAAAAATTAGCCAGGTGGCGGCGCATGCCTATAGTCCCAGCTATTTGGGAGGCTGAGGCAGGAGAATGGCTTGAACCTGAGAGGCAGAGGTTGCAGTGACCCGAGATTGAGCCACTGCACTCCAGCCTGGGTGACAGAGCAAGACTCCGTCTCAAAAAAATATATATATATATATATATACACACACATATATATGTGTATATATATTTATATACACATATATATGTATATATACACACACATATATGTGTGTATATATATACACATTATATATACACACACATATATGTGTGTATATATATACACATTATATATACACACATATATATGTGTGTGTATATATATATTCTTGAAAAATAATGGTCTAAAGTCTTTTTGTGGATCCAATTTATATCAACTTTAGTACAAATACTAATTTTTAAAGCACATGACTATAGTGAAAACCTGTGGTTTTTATAATCACAATGCATTCAAAGAATTCTGCCTATTTTGTTTGTTTTTGCCCTGGAGGAGCTGAGGGTACAAGTAGATTCCTGTAGAACACAAAGGTGTAGGCAGAAGTTTTAGTGACTTAGGCTATTTGGAATCCTAGTTGAATTTCCCATTAGCCAAATTCTTTGTTGGTTTCCTATGGGATAGAGATGAAGGGAAAAGGTGTTTCCTTTCTGAAGAGTTGAATTTAACCACACTGGATGTCTGGCACTGTCCTTGGCTATGATGATGTATCATACGAAATCAAATATACATACATATATGCATATATGTCTACACACATGCATACAAACATATTATCCATACATACTACATATATACATATATCTACACACATACTTGGATGAAGCAAGAGCCATGAACAAAAATGTCAATTATTTTTTCTACCATGGACCCTTTGAAAAAGTCATAGACCCTGTTAGATAAAGTAATTAACTAGAGGCTTTGAAAATCTTCCTACTGGCAAGCATACTAGGAATTTTAATGAAATGTAATTATCACACATTGCCACAGCCATTTTAGAACTCGATATCATGACAATTTTTATGACTGCACAATAAAACCTTGAAATAGCTACAACTAAAGTGGTGATCTTAGAGAGTTTATAGAGGGAAGCAGATAAAGAGAATTTTTAAAAGAATTGCTCTGAAACTCATGAAGCAAGCCATTTAAATAGTCAAAATAATGAGAAGGGATGTTTTTTGCATTGCAGGAGAGTTTCAGGAATCAGATGAAAGCCTGAGCTCAGGTGAGGCACCTGCTAATGGGATGTGTGGAGTCAGCCTCAGAAATGAGCTTTGTTCAACAAGTGCCCTTGCAGAAACACAGCTGTCACACTGTCTTTCTATTATCTATGCTCTTGAAGTTTATCAGTAAATCAGTTAATTGCCAAATCCGATTGTCTCCATCTTCACTGATGGTTCATTCCTTCTGCAAATTGTTTTCCTGTTTTCTGCAACTACATTATTTCCGTTCTCCTTCTGTCTGATTTATCAGTCTGTGCCAATAATTTAGCACACAGTCATTCCACAAATATTTCTGCACAGCAATTATGGGTGAGGTGCTAGATAAAACTATTTAAATAATTTCTTAAGTTGTTATAATTTTCTTTCAGCCTTTCCAACTATGGTGGAAGTTGGAATTAAGGGCAAGGGCCATGTCTCATATTCCTGAGTCATTCCCAGAAGTTATCTCAGCACAGAATCACTTGGTTAGGTAATTATGTGTTAGTGTTTTTGATTGATTATATCTGCCTGTATATAAATAACACCTGATGAAGAAGAGAAGGCTGGCAATTTTGGTATGAGGATACAAATAGTGTGCAGCTAGTTTGGTGGAATCAAATCTAATGAGAAATATGTCAAACGCATTTCAAACAATTTCATTCATCATCATCTTGACTACCATGATTATGATCATTTATTTAACTCTTGCTTGATAGCAGGTACTGCTCTAGAGCACTCTTTATGAATTTTTCATTTAATCCTCACTACAACCCAGAGTGCTGTCACAAGTCATTTACTGAAATAGGATTTCGTAGTAGTGAATATTACCTATATTCTGTCTTGGACTCGGAATGGTGTTTTTTACTCATCGGTGTGGCTTAAAGGAAAAAGTCTGGATTTGCAAGCTCAAAAAGCCTGGATTTGAACACCAGCTCTATCACATGGCTATGTGGCCCTGAGCAAGTAAGCTATGCCACATTAGCCTTTGCAGAGTTATGAGCATTAGCGATAACACACGGTAAGAACTCAGCACATGGCAGGCACTCAACAAAAGCAGCTGCTATTATTATTATTATTACATACATACACCCACACATGGTTTATTACTTAAAGAATGTGATCTAATGTGTATTTGATAAGAGGTAGCCATTTTTAATGGAGATGAGTATTGGGTTGGGATTCAAAGACCTTAATTTTATTATTTTTTTTTTTTTGCTGCTAACTCTATGGCTTTGAGCAAATTGCAGAATCTCTTTGTTCTTCTGGATTCCACATCCGATAAAATAATACTTGCTCCTCCTGGCTTCATGGATAGTCATGAGAATAGATTGTTTGAGTGTTTTGAAGTTCTAAGGAAAAGATGTACTATATGAACCTAGAGCAGTACTATAATTGGCCTTTAAAAAGTTTATCCAATCCTGGGCAAGCTAATGTTTTCTGGTGGTAAACTGTACAAAATAATTATTATTTAGTGAGAGAGACAGAAGCTTTGAGTCACCCAGATCTTGGTTTGAACTCAGGTTTGTCATTCTTCTAGCTGTGTGACTTTGGTCAAGTTATTTTCCCATCTGAGTTTCAGTCTCTTCATATCTAAAATGGGCATAATATGTATCTCATAGAACAGTTTTCCATGTAAAATACTTAGTGCAATATTAGATGACCTCTGGTTGCTTTTCCTTCCTGAAGTATCCACTAAGTAATCATTATAATTTCTGCATTTTGAATTGCAAATATTTCTCAGATTGGTTAAGGATGTTGTTCTCTGTTCTTACTTATGCCTACTTGTGTCCATTTTCATGAGTAAGAAACAAAAAAAAAAAACCCAAAAATTGGCTACACCAAAACAATATTAAGCAAAAAAAAAAAAAAAACCAAATCTGTAGGCATCACATTACCTGACTTCTAATTATACTACAAGCCTGTAATTACCAAAACAGCATGGTACTGGCATAAAAACAGGCACATAGAATGGAACAGAATAGAGAACCCAGAAATAAAGCCAAATACTTACCACCAACTGATCTTGGACAAAGTTAACAAAAACATAAATTGGGGTAAGGACACCCTATTCAATAAATGGTGCTGGGAAAACTGGCAAGCCACATGTAGAAGAATGAAACTGGATTCCTATCTCTCACGTTACACAAAAATCAACTCAAGATGGATCAAAGACTTAAATCTAAGACCCAAAACTATAAAAATTTGAGAAGATAACATTGGAAAAACTCTTCTAGACATTGGCTTAGGCAAAGAACTCATAACTAAGACCCCAAAAGCAAATATAAAAAAACCCAAACATAAATGAATGAGACCTAATTAAACTAAAAACCTTCTGCGCAGCAAAAGAAATAATCAGCAGAGTAAACAGACAACCCACAGAGTGGGAGAAAATATTTGCAAACTATGCATCCAACAAAGGACTAATATCCAGAATCTACAAAGGAACTCAACCAAATCAGCAAGAAAAAAGCCAATAATTCTATCAAAATGTAGGGTAAAGAAATGAATAGACAATTCTCAAAAGAAGATACACAAACAGCCAACAAGCATGAAAAAATACTCAACATCACTACTCATCAAGGAAATGCAAATTAAAACCACAATGAGATACCACCTTATTCCTGCAAGCATGGCTATAATAAAAAGTCAAAACAAAACAATAGATGTTGGCGTGAATGTGGCAAAAAGGAACACTTTTGCACTGCTGGTGAGAATGTAAATTAGTGCAACCATTACAGAAAACAGTATGGAGTTTCCTTAAAGAACTAAGAATGGAACCGCCATTCGATCCAGCAATCCTACTACTGGGTATCTACCCAAAAGAAAAGAAGTCATTATATGAAAAGGACACATGCATAGGCATGTTTATAGCAGCACAATTAGCAATTACAAAAATATGGAACCCAGCCTAAATGCCCATCAACCAACAAGTGCATAAAGAAAATGTGGTATATATACACCATGGAACACTACTCAGGCATAAAAAGGAACAAAATAATGTGTATTTTGCAGCAACTTGGATGGAGCTGGAGACCACTATTCTAAGTGAAGTAACTCAGGAATGGAAAACCAAATATTTTATTTTCTCACTTACAAGTGGGAGCTAAGCTATGAGGACGCAAAGGCATAAGAATGATATAATAAACTTTGGGGACTTGGAGGGGAAGGTTGGGAAGCAGGTGAGGGATAAAAGACTACAAACTGGGTATAGTATACACTGCTTGGGTGATGGGTGCACTAAAATCTCAGAAATCTAACTAAAGAATTTATCTATGTAACCAAAAACCACTTGTATCCCGAAAACTATTGAAATAAAAAGAAAAATTAAAAAAATTGTGTACAACTTTTTCAAAGGTGCACTGCAGTGAAAGCTTAATTTTATACATAAACACACACTAGTTCTTGGTTACCATATGTCTTATGACATGGATTTGGCCATAATGCAGGTCAAATCATGTTCTCTGAAATGTCACAACTGTATAGTAATTTTGTG
Organism: Homo sapiens; assembly: GCF_000001405.40. Lineage (NCBI taxonomy): Eukaryota > Metazoa > Chordata > Mammalia > Primates > Hominidae > Homo > Homo sapiens. Next base: position 69,611,680 of record NC_000008.11, on the reverse strand, counting down.
ATAAACTGATTATTATTCATGCCAACATGAACATCATAAAAAAGTTACCTGCATGTGGACATGTGTTTAAAATATTTATCTTAACACTGGGGAATATACAAAGACCATATTCACATCTTTGTCCAAACTGCTACTTAGCTCAAGTCATTGTCAAATTTTCTCTCACAAATATGAATTAGTGTTACTTGTGCCAGGAGGATTTATCTCCTGGCCTGTTTTCTTTGAGATGGTGTGAGATGGGAAAGAGAGGGGGACGGAAAACAGAAAAGGAGAAGCAGAAGAGAGAGAAATGTTACCTGTTATAGATTTTAATCTAGATAATCCCTTGTAAAAGTCAACACTGGAATGTTGGAAGATGTATGATTATTGTAATTCCTAGAAAATGAAATTGGTAAACTGATCTTGGCCAATGATTGACAACCAGCATTTGTTGAGTGCTTTCTATGTCCTAGACATTGTCCCAGATGCTTGATACATTTAATTCATATAACATTTACCACAGCCTATGAGGCAAGAACTATATGATGCCCATTTTACAGATGAAGAAACTGAGGCAGAGTTAGGTTAAGAAACTTGCACATAGGCAAATGCCAAGAAAGCAGTATATCCAGGATGTAATCCCAAAGCACCTTGATCAGGATACTGATGAAAAGGAGAATGGTACGAAGGCAGTATGAGTCTTCAGGTGAGCCTTAGGTGAGAAGAGAGAAGTAACAACATCCATGCAAGTGAGAAAGTGGGATTCACATGTAACATTTAAGAAACATAGAGGAGGACCTGAGCCTTAGGTGAGAAGAGAGAAGTAACAACCTCCATGCAAGTGAGAAAGTGGGATTCACATGTAACATTTAAGAAACATAGAGGAGGACCTGATTAGGATGGGCTGTTAGGAAATGGTGGAAAAGAAGACACAGTACAAATTAAGCAGAATGGGGCTGTATTATACAGTTTATGAGTAAAATGCCTATTCTCATGTTTGTCTTTTTTTGACTTGTTTAGAACAAATGCACAGAAGTCAAAGATTTAATTAGATGAACAACTGTTCATACATGAGCTTCAGCATGGGTTGAAGAGGGAAGGAAGCAAGGTTTAAAGGCTGAGTGGTCCACAATGGACCCATGCACAGAGGAGAATTCAGTAAAAGGATGGCACTGGGAGCTCAATCCTTCTGGATGTGCCCTCTGGAATCAGGTTAGCCAGGGGAAGATGTCTATGAGCCATGCTGCCATTTTGACCAGAGTTCAGTGAGTTTTGGGAAACAGGTTTGTCTGCTTCTGGAAAACTAACAATTCTAGGAGGATCTCCATGGTAAATGTCTTATTATTCATGCTCTGCTGCTGGTCACAAAGGGTCAGAAGGATATACGGCCAGAGAGATAAGTTTTGTATAGGAACAAAGATCCATCCTGGAGCTAAACCAGTTTCCACTCAACAAACTACATTCTATTTCCGTTATAATAGCATCAGCTTGCTTGATGCAGGGGTCCTCACAGATTTTTAAACAAATGTTTGATTTTATATTGATCCAATAGTAGAAAGGCAAACTAAATTGTAAAGATGCTGGAATTCAACAACTCATCAAAAGGATGTGATATTTGCCCTATCAAAACAAAGCAGGCTGCTTTTTTCCACTTAAATGCCAGATAATATGTAAAGTGTATTTCAAAATTGGATGCCCAGGGAATTTCTCTTTTATGTAGCTCCTATTTAAGACGTCAATACCTATGCCTAGAAGAAGAAGAAAAACCAACCCATTAATGCTCACTTGACATTTGTGGATCTCAAGCTTGTCTGCACGTAGGAATCATCAGGGGAGCTTGGAAAAAACACTGGTACCTGGGTCTCATACCCAGAGGTTCTGATTTAACTTGCCTGGGCTGGGACTTAAACATAAGCATCTCTAAAGCTGCCCATATGATTCTAACGTGCAGTCAGGGTTGAGAACCACCGTGAGTGGTGATTGCCATTCATAGTTTCAAAGGGAAAATCTGTCTTGCAATTTTGCAGTGGCAGCATGTTACAGGGAAGAAAGTACTCAACGTGAAGTGAAGAGATGCAGGTTTTGGCTTTGGGTTTGTAGCTTAACTTTTCTGGACCTAAATTTCCTTATCAGAAAAATGATACCATTCAACTTAGAAGATTTCTAAGATTCCTTCAAACTTTGATATTCTCTGGTTCTAGGCCTGTGATTCTTAACCTCGTTAAAAAATACAGATTCCTTGGCCTCACTTCCAGACATTTTTAACCTGGTTGGTCTGGGGGGTGCATCAGCATTTTTCAAGTGCCACCCAGGTGAGTTTATTTTTTATTTTCTGTTATTTTAGTTTTGTTTTTCTGAGACAGGGTCTCACTCAGTCGCCCAGGCTGGGGTGCAGTGGCACGATCACGGCTCACTGCAGCCTCGACTTCCTAGGCTCAAGCGATTCCCTCACCTCAGCCTCCTGAGTAGCTGGTACTGCAGGCACACACCACCACGCCTGGCTATTTTGTTTGTGCGTGGAGACGGCGTCTCCCTAGGTTGCCTAGACTGGTCTAGAACTCCTGGGCTTAGGGGATTTAGAACTCCTGCCTCAGCCTCCCAAAGTGCTGGGATTATGGGAGTAAGCCATAAGCTGCCGTGCTCGGCCCCAGGTGAGTTTAATGTGCCGCCAGCATTGAGCATCACTGCTCTTTGTTCTCTGTGGAACAAACATGCTTTAAGAAAGAGGTCGAGATTTGCCCCTCAGTATGCACATGTGCATGTGTGTGATGGTGTAGGGGGATGGGGAGTGTCTGTACATAAACGTGTCCGGGGGTGTAACGCCCAGCTGAGAGAGTGGTGGGAATTCACACTCCATCTCATATTAATTCAGGAACGTGGAAGTAATGCAAACACATATGTCCATGTTGTCTTAATTAGTCCCCGCTGGTTGTTGTGTTCACATAGTCAAGAAGTGATGCCAAGTCTCTGGGATTCCAGCCCATTTTTATTCTTTTTATATTTATTTATTTATTTTGAGATGGAGTTTCGCCCTTTTTGCCCAGGCTGGAGTGCAATGGTAAAATCTTGACTCACTGCAACCTCTGCCTCCTGGGTTCAAGTGATTCCCCGGTCTCAGCCTCCCAAGTAGCTGGAATTACAGGTGCCCACCACCACGCCTGGCTAATTTTGTATTTTTAGTAGAGATGGGGTTTCACTATGACTATGTCGGCCAGGCTGGTCTGAAACTCCTGACCTCAGATGATCTGCCCGCCTCGGGCTCCCAAAGTGTTGGGATTATAGGCATCAGCCACCGTGCCCGGCCTCAGCCCATTTTAATTCTAATTGGCTTCATAGGAATGAAAACAGCAGGTAAGATGGCTTGGAATAATAATAACACCCAATATTCGCACACTAGAGAAAATCTCAGTCTCACTTTAGTACATTACATGTATAATATCACTTAATCCTCACAAGGGTGAGGTTAATTTTCTCTATTTTAGAGATAGAAAACCTGAGACTCAGGAGAAAGTAAGTGACCTATTTGAGAAGACACAACTAGAAAGTGGTGGCGGCCAATATTCTAACCCCAACCTTTGGATCTCTTTTCTCTGTTGACTTACCTCATGCACCCACATTGACTCCACCAAACAACCTTTAGGTGACCTGGCACAAAGATGTGGTAGGAGGGGGGCATTCACTATCTCTGGGATTAAGAGTGAAGAGAATGGGGCTAGTCATGCTGATTTTCCCTTTGTTCCCCATGGAGTGTCAAAACCTGACTGTGTTGCCTTGGAATGAAGGCCATTCACCTTGTTAAGAGGAACGGAAGCAGGGCGCATGTCAGGAGGGACATCGAGAGAGAGCAGATTCCAAGCAGGTCAGTTCTAGCCTCCGCTGCCACCTCGAACCTGAACAATTCAGTGTCATTATTCTGAATTTTCTTCTTCCTTTTTTAAAGTCAGGGATACTGTCGCCAAAAACAGATAATCTTCAAAGTAGCCAGAAAGAAAGAGCAAAAGGCCAAGATATAAAAAGTCGATAGAACACAACAGAGCTGCCTGGGCATGGAGGCTCGCTCCTGTAATCCCAGCACTTTGGGAGGTCAAGGTGGGTGGATCACTTGAGTCCTGGAGTTCCAGATCAGCCTGGGCAACATGGCAAAACCCCATCTCTAAAAAAGCACAAAAATTAGTCGAGCATGGTGGTGTGTGCCTGTAGTCCTAGCTACTCAGGAGGCTGAGGTAGGAGGATAACCTGAGCCCAGGAGGGCGAGGCTGCAGTGGGCCATGATCACGCCACTGCACTCCAGCCTGGGTGACAGAGTAAAACCCTGTCCCAAAGAAAACAAAACAACAACACACAACACAGCTATCAGGTTTGACCCACAGATTCAATAACTGCTTTAAAGATTAAGGCTCAAAATTTTCTTGAAGTTCTTAGATTCCTAAGCTATGGTTTGAGGGCCACCAGTAAACACAATCGTGGGTTAGAATAGTGCTTCTCAAACTTTAGGGAGCATCAGAGTCACCTGGAGGACTTGTTAACACACAGATTGCTGGGCTTCACCCCTAGGGGTTCTGATTCAGAAGGTCTGCAATAGCCAGAGAATTTGCATTTCTGACAAACTCTCAGGGATGCTGATCCTGCTGGTTCGGGATTAGAGTAACAATTCACTAGTGCTGTGGATACACTGAAGCTAGAGACAATCTGAAATACTCTCCAGGTCTTCACTTCTAAAGCTCACTCAGGCCCAATATAAAGAAATTCTATAGAAAGAAATCACCATCAGGGCATAGCCTAATTCTTTGTTCCACGAATTCAGGCCTTTCTAAAAGAGACCATTGCTGACGTTCTCATATATCCACATAATGGATCTAAATTCAGACTGATTCACAGCGAAATGAAACAGTGGAAGAAAATTCCAGATATGAAAGCATTTCATGGGGCCAAAACAAGTTCAAAAAATATGAAAAAGCAAAATTAAGTTTGTAACTTAGTTAGCATTCAGCTCGTGAGTGAAAAGCTTGTGCCAAAGTACCATAATCTGGTTTATGCTACATTTGCCCTTTAGGACATATATTAAAATTTTAGGGCAAGCCATATGGAGAGGTTTGTAAAATTACACACTGAAATGTAGGCAGTGTACCTTATTCCCAAAAGGCTATAATGTTCACCTCTTAGAGCTAAAAGAGTAACAAGATCACCAATTTGCATGAGATATATTTAACACTGAACATTTGCAACTCCTGAATAAAAGTAAATTAGTCTATTGAGGCTAGCTCATAAAAATCATCTTAGAGCTACAAAACAATTCTGAGGTTTTATTCATAATAATATTTGGAGGTTTCATAAGAAAGATTTGAAGACTTCAAATTAAAATATAATGAATAGGTCTCAGCTTTTCTCCACTAAACACTTGAAAATTAAGATGTACTAGAATGTAGTGAAGGCTTAGTTTTAGCCCTTCCTTCAACAGCTCTCCCTCCCTATCCTCTTCTATTTCAAAGGGATCCTGTGTACAAGAAAGCATGAGGAAATGCAGGGTATAAGGATCAAGTTGTTTATTAGGAATGTCTATTCAACAAGCTAGATACCATATAATAAGCGTATAATGAGTGAGGCCATTTTAATAATAACTTTGTTACCTACTCATTCCATGAGCCTGACATCTTGAACTGGTGTTGGTGAATTGTGTGGATATCTAGAGGTCAGTTAAGTTAAAAAAGACTCACAGATTTGAACTTCTCTTCACCTGGTTATTGTAACTTACCTTGGAAGGCAGCAAGTGGCCTGAGTTATTGAATCAGACAACTCCTGTTTGAATCCCAGCTGCCCATTTGTAAAATGGAGATGCCAATGCCCACCTCACTCTACAGTTGTGAGGATTAAATTGAGTAAATGCTACAAAATCCTGCGTACTGTGCCTGATGTAAGACAAATGCTCACTATGTGTTAGTATTTTTCACTTTCCTCTGATTTTGTTCTCAGCTGCAATGATTTGGGCCAAAGTTCAGTTCCTCTTGTCATGACACAGCATTTTCTTTTAGCTAGCATACATTTCAATCAAGGGCATTTAAAATCAATGGTTTTAAACTGGTTTAAATTCATACGTACTCACTTTCTTTAAAAGCAATGTTAATTCATCACACAGTATTTCTTTTATTCTTACTGATAATAACTGGTATTCTGGGTAGCTCTGGGGTCTATAGTAATATTTCTACTAACGAAGAGGATCTATTCTAATGAAATATTTGATGCCAGAATCTTTGTGAGCAGAAGTAGGAACAATAAACAAACAGAATATGGTTTCTCTTCTCATTCCTCAAGCTTGGTCACAGGCTCTGTCCTCTACTGGGGGTAAGATGACATTCTGACTTTAGCCTAGGGTGAAGGCCCTATCATGTCTCTTGGGGTGGTTCACTGCCAAGAGGCTCAGCACGTACCTGTGCTTTGACTAAGTAGCCTTTTGGCAACTCTTCAGTGACTAGTTAACAGGGACTATAACAGGAATCTTCTCCTCAGAGGAAACCAGTGTCTTTTGGCATAGAACTTTCTCTGAGATCATCATCTTTTTTAACTGGAGGGAGCCCAAGTAGTAATGGGGAGGCCCAGCCTGAACCAGTTACGTAATTCTGTCCGCGGAGAGGTGTCTCAGTGAGCTTGCCCTCAAGGCCACTAGGAAAAGCTTATTTATACACAAATGTACATTCTTTTATATGTGGACAATTTTCTAAATTAGAGATGGAGAAGCACATGAGTGGTGGTAAAGAAAGCCTGCGTCACTCACCTGCCCCGGTTGTTCACAGGCTGTCTGGTACCTGGCCTGCTGGCATAGTTCTTTGACCCGTTCATATTTGGGCAAGTGATTTGACTGTTGGATATTCTTGCTGGATTCTTCCTTCTTACGTAGAAATTTGCTTCGACAAAAAGGGAAAAGCTTCGTACATGAGAAGTGATCTGAATTACGGTCCCTGAGTCCTGCCCCCTTTTTTTTTTTACCCTGTCACATGACTCCACATTCTTTAAACAGCAAGAAATAGATGTTAAAGCTCTGTCTACAGGAGTTCAACATTTGATGGGTCCTTTATGAAAATGACAAACTGGGTAGGATGAAGATGAGAGGTCAGGAAAAGATTCGTTCTTCCCAAAAGCATTAATTTCAAAATTTGGGCATACATGTTTCATTTTACATGCTCAAAGTTCCTTTTGTTAAAAAAATTATACAAATATTTTCTCTCTCCTAATTTATGTACAGAGAAAAACAAGGCAATGGGTATTAATGAACCAAAAGGGGAAACCCAGAAGTGACAATGGAAATAATTACAATGGCATACATTTATCTATTTAAAACTAGGAAAGGCACACAAGGAAAAGAAGTAGGAAGTAGGAAGAAGGGTGCCGGGTGAGGCTTGGAGGCAGCTTAGAGAAGAACGTGGGGAGGATGGTAGAGAAACTCAATCCACTGGTCTGATTAGAAACCAGCACTGAGAAATGCAACAGTAAATCTACACCCATGATAAAGGCTTTGGTCCAAGCTTATGAGAATTTATTCTTTTTGGGGGATGTGGAGTCGTCATTCTCTTGCTTTTTTGGTATTTTAAAAATTGATATATCACAATTATACATATTTTGGGGGTACGTGTGATATATGGATACCAGTCTACAATGTGTAATGATCAAATCAAGATAATTGGGATATTCATCATCTCATTTATCTTTTCCTTGTGTTGGGAACTTTGCAATTCTTCACTTCTAGCTATTTTAAGATATACATAAATTATTGTTAACGATAATGTCCCAACTATACTATCAAATTCTATAACTTCTATCTAACTGTGTTTTTGTACCAATTAACCAACTTGAGGGTTATTCTTTACAATTCTGATCCAGCAATTATTACTCTATTGACCACTACAGAATAAGCAGCAAACCATTCAATCTTGTGACTAGGTTTACGAAATCTGCATGCTTAGTAAACAAAAATAAGGAGAAAAAAAATACTCAGCAGGGAAAGCTGCCCACTAGGACTGGTTCCCAGAAGCACCCCAGGAACCAATAATTACCCTCTTTCCACTAGGAATGTATCACGCCAAATTTTGGCCTTCTTGTTTGTTCGAAACCTGAAAGCAAAATGATAATATTTACTTTTGGCATCTGGACGTTTTTCCAAATGGATCTGTGCTAACAGCTTATTTAAAGAAACACCTCTCACTTCCCACAGACCATGAGTGCATCTCCATCAATATGCTATTCACAAGCAGCTGAGAAATGCTCAGCTTGGGGTGATCCTTGTGGGCAAGGCATATTCTGCCTCCATGTCTTCAGCTGCTGGCTGGCTCTGGGCACCAGCTGGAGCTCAGTGTATTTGGGGCTGGCTGAGAGGAGGAACAATGACACACCTGTTACCTGGCTTTTCTGGGTCCAGAAGTTTGAGGACAGACTTGCCGTCCACATCAGGAGGTGTGTCGAGCCCAGCAATATCCAGGATCGTGGGGGCCAAGTCAATGTTGAGAACGATCTGTGGGACTCTGTAAAGGGGCACACGGTGATGGCTGAGATCCAATGCCAGGGGAAGGTGGCACTTAGGGCTGCTTTTTCTACAGCAGTGACTCATTGGCCTTCAACTCTTCTCACCCTCTCATCTGGTCTCCTAGGCATGGGTAGTTGTGTGGCAAGGGTGGGTGTGTGATCACAGCAATGGCACTGAGCAAGATTAACTGACTCTTGCCAGGGTCAGGCTGGAGAGATGCCTGCACCCCTGTATTCTGACCACATCACCAGGCAAGATGCAGCCTGATACATGGTTTTTGCAGCAAGCATACTTTTGCTTAAAACCCAATAGTCCATAACTTTTCCGTTGAACAAGAGCTTTAAAATCAATATTTTAAAAAAGGATGTACAGTTTTTACAGTTGAATTCAATCTATGCTATCTAGTCCTTAAAACATAAAGCCTTCTAGATATAGATCTGACAATTCTCAGGGTGTTTCTAATAATCTTAGGAAGCACAATAACATTCTTCAAAGAAACCTTTCTTACTTCAATTGCCCTCTCTCCAGGATGTAGTATGATGCAGCAGCACATGTGGTACTCGGGGGAGATTCAGAACATCTGGGCTCTGGGCCCCACTGCCACCACTTCCAGAATCAGGGATCTGAGAGGGGCACTGACGCTGTCTGCCTAGCTTCACTGTTACATCAGGGGTCCAGGCTAGATGCTTTTCAAGGGCCATTCCAGCTTCTGGATTCTACTTCCACTTTTTCTTTTAGTCTTTCCATAATTCTTTCATGGATGCAATCCCATTTTATTCAAAACATCCTGAGATGATTGACAAGGCCATTTTATGATGGGAAAATAGGCAAGGCCATTTCATGATGGGAAAATAGAGATGCAAAGAGAAGCAGTGACCTGCCTACAGTGACAGAAATAGCAGCCTAGTCCTTTAGCTCTTTTTCCTTTAAAAGAAAAGCCAGCTTTTCAAAATTTATCTTTTAAAAACATTTCTTTCGGAATAATTTTTAAAAGTTAAACACTAAAAGGATGGTGTCAGGTTTTTTTTTTAAATGACAGCGTATCTCTGATTCAAAGAAGGGTGATATCCCAGAAGATCACATCCTGTCTGTGCACACAGACCAAAAAGACATAGATTCCAGTCAATTTGAGAGAATTAGTCATTGATACACTTATTTTTCCTTTCTCTTTAAGTAGTATACTTGAGCTAATTTAAGATGTGGCAGGGAGGAAAAGGTTTTCATCTTCGAAATTAACCAGCCTACACACATCCTTTTTTGTTTTGGATGAAAGGAAACCAGATACTGAGACTGGTAATTGAATTATCTTAGACACACTTGAGGTACGACAGTTGAATGTTGCAAACAGAGAAATACGTACATTGATCCTGGTTCTACACTTGGACCACGAATAAAAAAAGGCACACGAATATCAAAGTCATATGGCATGGATTTCCCCTTGACCAGTCCAAACTGCCCAATATGGTAACCATGGTCGGCGGTGTAAATGATGTAAGTATTCTCCAGCTCCCCCGTCTCCACGAGCATGTTATACAGCTGAAATACAGCAAAGGAACAAGTCAGAATCAATTGTGCTGGTATAAGATGATGCTCAATAGTGTTGCCACGATTGCCCCCAAATCTTTTTCCTGTTATTTTTAAAAGGCAAGAGTTGCTTTAATAACATTATCCACATTTTCTATTTGCTTACAGTCTGGGAGGGAAAGGTCCAATGGTAAAGGTGAAATGTAACTTTTTGGAATCTAGCACATTCTACTTTTAGGCTTTTTGTTTGCTTGTTTGGTAGAACAAAAACAAAAACACCCCGCACAACAACCTCTACCATCAAACTTTATAGGTTGTACTTTGAAAATCCATTGTTAAAATTATCATCACATATCTAATTACCAAGGGTTAAAAACAGGCTGCTTCTGAGCCTGATCCAGTTAAATCCAGCCTGAGGCACGTCTTGTTTGGCTTATACTATGTTTCAAAGTTCAGAAAATTTCAAATAAAATTTTTTGTGTTTCTGGCTTCTTTAAAAAAGTCAGAAGACCTGCTGATACTTGATCCACATTTCTACATGGCAAAATTTAGCTGGAGCTGAGTAATTGCTGTTCCTTTAGATGGGGCCCTTAACTTAAAGTTCAAGTTCAGCACAAGCTCCATCAATTCTTTATTGCCTTTGAGGATGTGGCCCCTGATCTACGCTGATTTGATTTTTCTCTCCTCTTTTTTACTGGCTCCATAAGAAACCAACCCTGGAGAGGTAGATGGAATGAGGACAAGATAAGGGAGGGATGATTAAGCCACTAAACACATACTCTCTCTCTTTCTTTCTCTCTCAAAATGATGCTGGAAAATGAAGGGGAAAAAACCAAACAGGATTGGCAAGAATAAGTCTACACAAAGGAAGCTGGGCCAAAAACTATCACTGAGGTAGGTTCATGTGCTTACCCTCTCCACAGAATCATCCACTGACATCAAAGTCTGGAGCCTTTTGCGCTGTAGAATGTTTGTAAATTCCATGTGGATGGGCAGCATTGGTCCTGTGTACTGCATAATCCAGTGTTTATCCATATTTGGTGCATAGTTATAACTAGGAGTTCTGAAAATATCCAGAAAGGAATCTTACTATATATTTCTTACTTAGTCTTTTAGGAAAATATCTCGAGGTTGTGAAATAATCATTAAGGAGAGATAATTGAGACACTGCTAAAACATTTTCCTCTTCCAACTATCTTCTGTTTGCATTTATAAGAAGATGAAGTCTTCACCACCCCAAAGAGCAAATATCCTCTGAAGGTATATATATTCAAACATATAAAACCATGACTGGCAGCTGAACATGTAATTAGAAGTTCATTTGGGTTCACTGAATAAAATGTGTAAGAAACATACCAAGATGATTATGGTTATGTTACAAATCTACAGATAAAGTCTCGGTAAGGTACAAGGGAATATCCTCATATGATGTTAACTCATAAAAATTTTATTGCTAATGAGGCTATTAAATGTAGTCACAAATACGTTATGTGGAATGATGAATCATCATTTCAACACATTTTTTCTCCTGAATACTTGAGAAGAGTATTTTATTGATTACTTACATATCTAGTTTTTATGAGTTTTTTATATAGATGCCATTACTTTAACTGGACTTGTGGGAATGATAACCAAGTCTACTTCCGCAATATACATGTTTACCAATAAAGCTATTCGTTTAATAAACAAATCAATATAGGTGCAGGGAATAATTTCTGTAAGCCACAAGGATATTGTCCTATTGTTCCAGGATAGGTTAGTTCAAGTCTATATTTAATCTACTGCAGAGATCCACATGGTATCCCATGCCTTCCACTGGGTACTCAAAAAAATATGTCACCTTCTCTTGATGTCTCACCCAACTCCCTCAACCATTAGATGCTGCCACCTCACGCTCTGCCATGGGTACGTAACATATCTATGCTATGGCAATTCTCACCCTGAGAATTATTTATTTATATTTGAACTCTTTAACAGACTATAATCTACTTGAATCTTCTTCTTCAATGTTATTAAGCACATAGAGGTTAATATTAAAAACCGAGTGAGAGTTTAATATGTGTTGGGTATTATGCAAACCATTTTATATACATTAACTCACCTAATTGTCTCAGCTGCTCTGTAAAATAGGTTTATTATTCCCTCTTTACAGCAGAGAAAATCAAGCCTTGGCAAAGTTGAGGAACTCCTCCAAATTAACAACATTAGTAAGTGGTAGAAACAGGCCTGAATTCCAAAGCCCATTTGCTTTAACAAAATGAATGAGAAGGGAAGTGAGGGGTGCTTGCTACGTCTGAGATTGCTTTTAATAAGAACCACAACTTTACAAATAGGCAGCCTCACAGAATGAGCAACAGTTTATGTGACCGAGAAATCTGATTCCCAATCTCTGTCTGAGGAGGATCCCATCAGTGAAATGATGTGGATAATGACGGCTGAATGTGACCCCATGCCATTATTTATATTATAAAACTAGGGAAAGAATCAGTCACTGTGAGTTCTTTGATTTCAGGAGTCTTGACCGAGTCCTCCACTGGATCTGTGGTGGTGTGGATTTCCCATGGGGAAAGCCTGGAGTTTCTGAGATTCACGGTGATACCCTGGGACACTGCCATGCACACTGGGTCATATAAATGCCACCTGCTATTATATTTTCTCTCCTGCCAGTGGATTTGCAGAACCTCTCTTTTGATAGTAGAAAATGCTGGTTTGGGATCCTTGGCCTTCTTGGTTGACAAAGTTACCCTGGTGACCAGGATGGGTGCTGGTTACCCAGTAGCAGCACAGCAGCACAAATAATATCACATTGAGCTTAGAAGACACTGTCTCTAAAAGTGCCTCAGTTATGCTCAGAAGTATAAGTAACTCATGTTTAAAGAAAGAGACAAGATTTAGAGTGTGGAAAAGAGGGTGTGGCTCAAATGTGCTCATCTGTAAATGGGGTTAATAGCACTTTTCTTAAAAAGCTGTTTTGGGCCAGCCATGGTGGCTCACGCCTGTAATCCCAGCATTTTGGAAGGCCCAGGCGGGTGAATCACCTGAGGTCAGGAGTTCGAGACCAGCCTGGCCAACATGGGGAAACCCCGTCTCTACTAAAAATACAAAAATTAGCTGGGCATGGTGGCGGGCGCCTGTAATCCCAGCTACTCAGGAGGCTGAGGCAGGAGAATCTTTTGAACCAGAGAGGTGGAGGGTGCAGTGAGCCGAGATTGCGCCACTGCACTCCAGCCTGGGTAACAGAGCGAGACTCTATCTCAAAAAACCACCACTAACAACAAAAAACAAAAAACAAACCCAAAGCTGTTTTGAGGAACAACCACCATATATACAGAGCACTTAAAATGCCTAGAACAGAGGCGCTTGAATTTCCTCCATGAGCCAATAAACAAGGAACTCTCTTGTAATTATTTGGGTTAGAAAAAATCCACAGTATTCCAAAACAAACCCTTCAGGTATGACCTGTCATCCTTAAGATAAACTTTCAATATAAACTTTCTCCTGCCTACCAAAGAAAATGGTTCGTTAACCAAATGGTCCCCCCCTTTTTTTTTTTTTGGCCTGAAAGAGTTCTTCATATCTAAAAGTAAACCACAGTCATAAGGGAAGTGGGGAGGGACTTAAGCCCATGTTTCGTATTCTTCATGCAGCATGTTGCGTTACAAACAGGATTAGATTAAGAGGTTGAGGAGGAGGAGAGAGGGGCTACTAAATCCCCTCAAAAAGGGTTTTTTGCCCATGAGGGTAGTCCGAGGTCAGAGAAATATAGAAAGTTGGTTGTGAAAGGCCCCTAACCATTTACCATTACATGCCCTGAGAAAGAATACAGCTATAACAGATTACACAGGGTTTCTTTATAATACCTAAACATCCTCTACTTATTGCCTTTGATGTTGGGCTGGGTTAATTTAAAAATAAATCTGGTTGACTTTTTTAAAACCACAAAACCTCAACACAAATAAAAATTACAATAGGGAACTGAAATGCAGGCTCACAGTGGGGAAATTATATCTTCCACCAGTTACCTTGATGTGCTTGGCATAGCTCCACCCCACTTGGAGGAACAGGGAAGCTTGCAGCAAATTACAAGCCTCAAATTGGACTCCCGGATTTACAGAATGACATACGTTAAATCTGGCTTATATTAAAAGGGAAAGTTCAGGGACTGTTGTCAAAGCTGTCCTTTCCTGCCCCCCCTTATTTTTCTTAATTTCTTGATATGGGAGATGACCCCCAGCTCTGGGGATGAGGTCCCAGGTGGGATCTCAGCAGGCAGCAGGGACAGAGTGTGCATGTGCCTTTTAAAGGAAGACAGACTGCCACTGCTTCCCACAGAACAGCAGCTGTTCAGGGACCTGCAGGTGGAAGGTCGGGGGTCACTGGAATTGACAATGTTGTTGAAAAGTGATCTTTTGCCAAAGGCCTGTGGTTGCCCCCTGCTGAGGTCTGCCAAATTCCTCGAAGATGCGGCCTTCTGTTCCCCAGTGATAATTAAAGCTTGCTTTCCTAACTAAGGATTGTCTTCGAATTATTCAAACAGGCCCTGGAGCTGTCAGCTGGAACACAAGCCACTGAAAAAAGCAGGTACCTGTTTTTGGGAGAAATGGAAAACCACATATTGAGTTATTCCAGAATGTTTTGGAATTAGACTCAAATATTCATCCCAGCTCTGTTCCTTAATATTATGTGATCTTGGACAACTTTTTGTCTAAGTCTCAGTTTCCTCATCTATATAATGGGGATAACAACTTTAAAGAGTTCTTGTAGGGGTTAAGAGATTTCTGTGGCTCTAGAGAGCAAATTCTGGGACCATATCATACCCATTCTCATAGGTAGCTGGAAAAGAGCTTATCCCTTAATAGCTCATTTGATTGTTGCAGCAACTCTGAGGACTCAGCAGGGCACATTAGTCCCATGTTACAAATGAGGAAGTAAAGTGCACAGAGGTGGCTCAGAAATAATGCACCGGGATAGCTCTCCATCAGTGCCCCTCCTACAACACCACACTGGCCACAGTCTTGAACCAGAGGCCCCACAAAGTACCTCAAAAATCCCACTCATTAAAAGGAAAATTGATATATCCTTTCTTCCTATCAAAAGTGAGTCCTAAAATCTTAGCTTTCATCCTGATTTAAAATACCAGCTGCTTCTGCTTCCCAATCAGATATCTTCCCATCAGTTGCTGGGTCTACTTTTGTTGCAAATACAGAATAAAGTCTGGCCCTTCTAGGCACACTGGATGCATCCATGAAAAGGTAGATAACACAATACTGGTTATTTGCTTTAAAATTGAGAGGACAAAAGACCAGACTATCATTTGCAAATTTCTGTTGCTTTCTTAAAAAAAAAAATTCTGTGTTGGAGGTAGAGTCACGTGTGCCTAACCTGGGAAGACCTTTCTGTTGCCTGTTAGATAAGGGCTTCACCCAGTACTGCACACTCCAGACCTTATACCCCCAAGAAAACATCCCTGTAATCCTCCATAGACTATTCCCATATATAAAAGTTTAGCTTTTCCCAGCGAGGCCTCCCTGCATATTGTTTTCCTGTGGTCACTGCTCATTTGGATTTATTGCTCAGTGCGCTGGATCATGGATACTTGAGTCCACTGTACTTGTAAGCTCAACCTTCACCATCATGCCAATTCTCCTGAGTGTTTGATTTTCTTTCCGGTATTGCTTACTGACACGACAGAAATAAGAATTCTAAAAATCAATAATGTTACCTTTCTTTTTGACAGGTGGGTATTTCAGGAGAATAATTCTTACTAGCAAAGAAAGAGTTTCAAGAGATGCATGTGTTGTATATTAAATCTATACCTGGGGAATTGCAAAGAACTTAGGAGTTCATTTTTAATGTCGATGGCCTTTGGTGTCGCTCCAGTGAAAATTAATATATTTCTAGTGTTTTGTATCTAACATGTGTTTTCTTCATTTATTTAGTCTCAAACAAACAAAAAACCCGAATGATCTAACCCTTAAAGATTACTGGTAGCAGAACCATCATTCTCTGAGAAATGAAATAAGACTTCAATTCCCAGAATAAGCCAGTGATACAGATTTAAGGTACACATTCAAAGCATTA
Organism: Homo sapiens; assembly: GCF_000001405.40. NCBI lineage: Eukaryota > Metazoa > Chordata > Mammalia > Primates > Hominidae > Homo > Homo sapiens. The sequence goes on along the minus strand of NC_000008.11, from coordinate 69,595,584 downwards.
CATTGGAAATTCTACACTTAATCTCTCAAGCTGCACCATCTCAGTTTTCACTAAAACTGAACTTACTTAATGGACTTTGTGGAGATATTCCCCACCTAAGTTCAAATATCTGTAGATAGGTAACATTTGAACATATGCAGGATAATACCAAATGATCTTGATTAGAGGTATATAAGAAAAATAATTCAGAGTCTTTTAATGAAGTTAGAAACACCAGTTAGAATTGTGCAAATGGATAGAATTGTTCATAGCTCTAATCTGAATTGTGACTGTGATGTGAACTGAGTAAGTCTGGTGGAGTGAGAAGATCACCTGGGGCCAAGAGAATTGAGTTTCAGCTCTAGTTTTGTCCCTAAATACTCACATGACCTTCACAAAACCATCTGGGCCTTCCTTTAAAAAATATAGACTTTGGGTCTTTGTTTTTTAATCTAAAAAACTACGGAATTGTAGTATCTCTAGGTGTCTTTTAAATTCATAAAATCGACTGTTTAAATATCTTGATACTATTTTTAAAATGTTTTCATGTCAGCTATTTAGTGAGGTGAACATATTTGTTCATTTGCTAAGCAACAATGAATTGTGCAACTACTTGGTCCGAAGGCATGTCCACCAGGCACTGGGAGGTAAAGAGATGAAACATTTTTGTCCCTGTCTTCAGGACAAAGCTACCTGCAAAACTCCAGGGCATCATTCACATGATATTTTATCTGAATGCCCCCTGGAGTTGTGCAACTCGACTTCAGGGATCTAAGTAAACAAGCAACACCAACACTGACAGTATAAGTAGTAAATGATCCACCCAGAGAAGAACAAGGTAGAAACAGAGAAAAGGGAGCAATGAGTTCTGCCCAAATCAGATTTTTTTTTTTTGTAGAATTTAAACTTTTCTTATCTTCAAAAGCACGTCCTTTCACGTATTTGTGGAAAGAGGTACGAATGTGCAAATTCTTTTAAGGCAAGACATTTCTTTCCAGCTTTAGATAACAAAGGTGTTTCAAAACCTTTGTCCTGTGGCTTACACAGAGGGAGTTTTTCCTTTGACAACCTATGTTTATTCAAAAGCTCTACCCTCACAACAACTCTTGCAAATTAGTGCACATGGACTGTTTTACCAAGCATTTAGATTTCACTTGAACTTGTGTATTTGTGTGTGTGTGAGTGTACATGCACACACACACAGTCACACACATTTACAGGTATGGGAAGAAAGAACTGTTAAATTGGAATAACAGGTCAGGTGTGCTGGCTCATGCCTGTAATCCCAGCACTTTGGGAGCCTGAGGCGGGCGGATCACCTGAGGTCAGGAGTTCAAGACCAGCCTGAACAACATGGAGAAAACCCGTTTCCACTAAAAATACAAAATTAGCCGAGCGTGGTGGCGCATGCCTGTAATTCCAGCTACTCAGGAGGCTGAGGCAGGAGAATGGTTTGAACCTGGGAGGCAGAGGTTGTGGTGAGCCGAGATTGTGCCATTGCACTCCAGCCTGGGCAACAAGAGTGAAACTCCATCTCAAAAAAAAAAAAATTGGAATAACAACAACAAATTTTTAAAGCTGACAGGGGCATAGTTCATAGAAGGGTGATAAGGAGGTCCCTTAGTTTCCTATAGAATCACCAGGGACGTAAATGGCATCTCCTTCCCTGTCACGGCTTTTGTCCACAGGTGTATATGATGACATCACTGAGGCGAGGAGAGAGAAGTAACTTAAAGCAGGGGTGAAGGAATTGCATCCCTATGGAGATTCTGGGGAAATAAGTTACTGAAAAGTATAGTAGAGTCTTAGCCAGAGCGCAGGGCTTTCTAATACTAGGATTATTATGTGTGTTATTATGACAGAGGCTTTCTCAGATTTCTCAGTGGCCATGAGTAGCTGAGTTACAGTTTGATTAAACTATTTTCCCTGTCAACAAGTGGTCGATAATCCCCTTTCACTCTTCCTTGGTAAGCATAAGCTCTACCATCCGTTTGTAAAGCTAACAGGCCAATAGCGAACTGGCTTCCTCTCTTTGTTGGGAACGGCAAACACCTTGGAAAGATGATACATTCACCCCAGTCTGAGAGGGTCAGGTAGTTATAACCCGATGCCAGATGAAAGTGATCCAGATGATGCCTGACCACCAAGGAAGATGACCGAAAGGAAAGTGTTCACGTTACTTGCATCCCTGCAATTGGGGAGAACCTATGGTTTCTTGCTCAGTGTTTGCAGGGCCTGTCAAATATTTCTGCAAAGTACTTAACTTCTCGCATCCCTTTGCCTGAATGTGTTGCTAATGTTTTCGCTAAGGAAGCTGGTCATTGAGCAGTTCCATGCACTACCATCGGCAGCTTGTCTTCAATTTATCTCACTCCTTTTGTCTGAAGACTGAACTCTGAACCTGTGCACACACTCACTCCTTCCAGCCCCTTCCTCCAGCAGCAGCCAGGGAGACCTTCACAGCAAAGATGCCAGGAATTCAAGGCTTTCAGGGCCTGCAGGAGACCACATTCTAGGTGCACAAAACCCAAGGATTAGCAGCAAAGAGAAGCTGAATCCTTCAAACAATCACATGAATTTTCATTTCCTGTGGCTAAGGGAGTTCTCCAAACTGGCACTTACCCATAGCACATACTTGCACCTGGAAAAGATAACACAGTCCAGATTGGTCCTTACCCTGTCTGTTCCATTGGAATGGCCAGGTGTGAGAGGCTCATCACAATGGGAGTCTTAGCTTGTCAAGAGGTCTGTCATGTCACAATGGACAAGCATCAAGTTGTCATTTCTCTCACTGCTTCCCCTAAACCTTAAGTTGAGCCACATGAAATTGCCCTTTTGTAGGTCCAGAATGATAGAATATTGTTAGTTTCTTAATAAAAAGGTTCAATAAGAATTGACACTTATGAAGTGGCTTGTATGTCCCAGGCTCTATGTGGGGACTTTACTTACACTGCCTCTCTTAATTTCTCTTCATGACATCACATCAAGGTGTTAGTATTATCTCCATTTTACAGATGAGACAGTGGAGGTTTCCAGAGATTAAAGAAAGCACCCCTACACTCAGTGAGGGCAGCTGAGGCAGGAAACCAGGCTCGTTAGCCTCTAAGGCCACCCTCTGCACTGTGTAGATTTTACTTTATAGAATCACTAATAAGGGCAATAGAAGGTTCATTTGAACTAAAAAGGAACTACTGAATCTATTTGCATGTGGAAATGTCTGAGCCACCTCCTATTTTGTTACTACCCAACCTCCAGTGACTCTCTGCTTGCAGTTACATACAAACTCACTGACACCCTCAATATTCTGCAACAGTTTCCCTCTGCAGCATTGTTCCTTAGTGCTGCTTTCTTTGTAGCCCATTCTCCAGTTTCTAGGACACATCTTAGATTGCCTCCCTTATACAGTGACCACGTGTCCTTGCCATATTCTCTTCCTGAAACCCAATCTCTAAACAATTATCTGCAGAAATTTTACCCATCTTTTGAGGCCCACTTTGAAGCCTTGGTCCATGAAGTTTTCCTGGTTTCCTTCAAAGATATGAAGGCTTCTCCCTCCCCGCTCCACAGCCCTGCGAACGTCTGCTCTGTGCTTGTCACTTCTGGCCCTATTGGTGATATTGCCATTGGGACACTTGCCCATCCTGCCCCTAGAGCAGAGGTTGGGGCAAAGTTACTTTATCGAGGATGAGATAGTATTTCCAGGCTGTATGGTATCTGACACAACTACTCGACTTGGCTGTTGTATTGTGAAAGCAGCCACAGACAATACATAAATGAATGAGCATGGCTGTGTGTCAATAAAATTTTGTTAACAAAAACTGGTGGCAAGCTAGGTTTGGACTGTGGGTACCAGTGTGCCAACCCCTGCCTTAGTTTATCTGTCCTTAAATGTTAGCAACTGTGTCTTCCTCACGCTTATCTATATCCCTGCTGGGCTGCATAGTGTCACATGTGGCACTGATAAATATTCGTGGAATGAAATAGAATTTTTAATTACTGGAATCAGAGATGTTTTTCTTTTCTTTTCTTTGTTTTTTTTTTTAAGACAGAGTCTTGCTCTGTCGCCGAGGCTGGAGTGCAGTGGTGCGATCTCGGCTCACTGCAAGCTCCGCCTCCCGGGTTCATGCCATTCTCCTGCCTCAGCCTCCCGAGTAGCTAGGACTACAGGTGCCCACCACCACGCCTGGCTAATTTTTATTTTTTTTTTGTATTTTTAGTAGAGACAGTGTTTCACAGTGTTAGCCAAGATGGTCTTGATCTCTTGACCTCGTGATCCGCCCGCCTCGGCCTCCCAAAGTGCTGAGATTACAGGCGTGAGCCACCGCGCCTGGCCAGCACAGAGATGTTTTTCAAAAAGCTATTGCTGAGACCCTGAGAACTCTGCAGGCTCCTCCCCTCATGCAGTACTGATTCCATGCAACTGAGCTCTTATAAACTCTTGACCTGAGGCTGATTTTCCTGCAGGCTTAGGACCTTGCCTCAAAGCTTCAAAGGCAGGCTGACTTTTAAGGAGCCACAAAACACTCTGTTTTGTCAACCCCTTCTCCTCCAGCTTGAGGGAACATCTGTAAAGTTTACAGTTATAGGAAGTCACCTTAGACTGGGTTTCTGCTAATGCAACAAAGATAGGTAAAGTGATTTCTGATTCAACAGAAATGGGAACAGGGGGGTTCAGGGGTATTGAAAAAGCCCGCAGGACTTTTTCCTTTCATTGAATCAGTTGGCTACTAAATTTGTAAGTGAGCTATAATGGAGAGCCACTTGTCACACATGGGCTTCATTCATGAATTTACTCGCAGAGTTGTATATAGGGGAAGATCTTCAGAAGCTTAAATATCCACCCATGGAGTTGACTCCAAAACATAATGGCTTATCCCAGCTATATTCCCAGGTGCTGGGGCAACCTTCATGATTTGTCGATGATATTTTATGCATTAAAACACTTCCATCCTCTGAGTTCCTGGGCATGCTCAGTAGGTAACCCACCCTGGCTTCATATTGTTAGTTCTTGTCCTGAGTCAGCTCTGGCCTCCTTCTTTCTGGTCTAAGTCACATGATATCATAGAGATGATCTGTGTACCACTGACCAGGAGTCATAAGTCAATCAGTTACATTAAGGTACAAATAAAAATATTTTATAAGGCTGGGTGCGGTGGCTCATGCCTGTAATCCCAGCACTTTGGGAGGCCGAGGTGGGTGGATCACTTGAGGTCAGGGGAGTTTGAGACCAGCCTGGCCAACATGGTGGAACTGCGTCTCTACTAAAAATACAAAAAATTAGCCAGGTGTGGTGGCGTGTGCCTGTAGTCCCAGCTCCTCAGAAGCCTGAGGTGGGAGAATTGTTTGAACCCAGGAGGCGGAGGTTGCAGTGAGCCAAGATTGCACCACTGCACTCCAGCCTGGGTTACAGAGCAAGACTCTGTCTCAAAAAAAAGAGAACATTTTATAAAAACTTCTCTAGGGATGTATAGTGACCGGCAACTAGAGAGCCTGCATAGTTACTTACCTATTTTCGTAAGGTTCTTTCTGCCTGGAATCTTGGCTAATAACCAGTGTGGATGAAAAGAGATGATATTTAAGTACAAATAGATTAAGAACCAATTTTGGAGGTTTCACAATATAGGAAACAGATACCAATTTTCTGTTCCCTGTCTCCCTAATGGTCAGGCTTTCAGCAGACACAGAGCCAACTCCACTGCTCTGTGTGGAAGACTGGATATTGATGGCAAAGCTTAGGAAGAAATGGTGTCAACTGAGTGAACAACAAAATCATGTTCTTTGCTGCCAAAGCATCTAGATTTTTCCACCTTTGGCTGGTGAGAATTGTGGGCACACGACAGCTCTTTGTTCTGTCTCATCCCTCCACGCCATCAGCCCTCTCCCTTGTGCCTTCCCACCCCCCATCTCCAAGACTCCTGCCTCTTTAAAAAAAAAAAAATCAGGTTATTTTAAAGCTGTGACCTGAGAAGCCCTCTTGGGCAAGCCACTCAAGCTGCCTTCTGCAGGAATTCTAATTGCACGTCTGCAGCAAAGCTGCTACGGTATTCGCCTGGAAAATAAATCCATGTTTCTATAACCAGACCAGAGGTCCCCACTGTGCAGCTATGAAAAGCATACTATTTGATCATCATCATTATTAGATCAGACACACGAATATTATTTAAGACAACGAAAGGAAACTCTTGTAAAACTTGCCCCCATTCACTCTATGTGCATCTCTTCCTTTCTATTTAGCTACTTGTAAATGCTGGAAATTTGATTCCTCCTCAAACCACCCAGATAAGGCGCTTTCTTTCAGGCTCAGCGGCTCTGCCTGTTCCGTGGTCTGCTCTTAAGTTATCCTTTCATGAAGAAAGCCTTGTGGATACGCAGGGTGGAAGGAAACGGGGTAAAGGAGAGGAGTGGGATGAGGAGAAAAGGGAAAGGCATGTTCGGCAGGTCGCAGAGTTGAGTTTGTTACTTACATGTGTTGGGAAGCATTGGGGTACAGTTTAGAAAACTGTGGGGCTGAGTCCTCGGGGCCGTGGGGCGCAGCGTGGCTGATCACCATCATAACGGGCCTATGGGGATACATTCTCTTAGACATTTTGAAGTAATTAATGCTCTCGTTAGTGATTAAGTCTGTGAAGTAGTCCTGAAACATACATTTGACACAAAACAAAAATTACAAAAGGTGACATTCATCAGATCGCATTTGAATAACTGCTTTCCTCAGAAGCAATTCACTGCACGAAGTGGCAAGGTCTACAGCAGGAAGGAAGGCTGCACCTCCCAAGGCAGCCGAACATTTTCGATAATAGAGAAAATCAGCTGCCAGTTGTTTTCTAGGGTTGCTAGCTTGGTAACATACGAAAAATGGATTTTAAGTAATACACAACTTAGCAATGGGGAAAAAAAAAGTCAAGTCGTGTTTGCCCAAGATAATGATTAATCTGGCGATAAAAGTACTAGAACACATGAAACACCGGATACATATTTCAGTCTCAGGTTTCATTGATGTAATTCCTTGGCAAAAAATTTAATTACTTTAAGGGCAGGAAACACCCACGCCCACTTCAAATTTACAGTTGCAGAACACACACACATACATACACACACGCTCACACACACACGCCCATGAATACATAAACACAAGAAAAGATATTTTCTTCAAACGAAAAATCCACCTGTGGGAATTACAATAATCAGTAATCAAAGCCATGGCCAAAATCCAGGAGCACAGGGAAAAGCTGCAACATTTGATCAGTTAATTTACTTGAAACACTTGAATAGGGAGCAGTTGATTTCCTGCAGATTATACTGTGTTAATTGCACAACTAAAGCAATACAGCTGCTGGGATTAGAGCCTGACTTGCTAATAAAATGACTTAACCCACAGTCAGGGGGGGCTGATGCAGGTCTGTAAGAGGGAGGGAGGAAATGGAATGAAAAGGAAAGAAAAGATGAAAACTTAAACCACCTGCTTCTTTTAAGTGTGTGTCATTGGCTTGGAGCTCCAGTATAAACTTTATTCAGAAAGTGTTTAGGCAATATTTGCAAATGTTGAAGGCTTCCAGGCATGGCTAATCACATGTTGTGGATTTAAGGACCAGAACAGCTGCAAAAGCAGTATCAGAGGGATGGTGTGTGCCGCATGTCATTGTTAGGGCAAGTCTACAGGCTATCCCCTTCCTCTTCCAAGGGAGTGTCTGTTTCATTCTTTTCCTCACTAAAAAAAGATATATATTCTTTTCAGACACAGTTGTCTTTGACACTTAATCAGCTGTGATAATGAACAAGTTACGCTGATTTAGTATTTGGAGAGAATCTTGATTACTTTGCTCTCTTTAGGACAGCAGGGAAAGAAAGGTTAATAACTTGAACAAGGAGCATGAAAAAGCATCCCTACAGACAGCAAAGGAGAGCAGTGACAATTAGTGCACGTGGTCTGCACCATTTGCTTGCAATGATTGTATCCACAGCTGGGGATATGACCTAGGATGAGTGGTTGAGCCACTCTAGAATGCTTTTTTCTCATCTTTGCAAATGAGGACATTGCTCAAATTTGCCTCCAAGGTCTCTGCTAACTTTTAACTTTCATGAGTTTGGAAGCCTATTAGCAATGTTTATGAATTCATTTGCATTCATTGTTTTCTGAAGGGTATAAAGGAGCTGGACTTAATCTTATCTCCCATCAAGTCCCTTGTGCTCAAATCAGGCCAAGCATAAAGACAGCAATATGCCAACATTAAATCAAGTTCTCTCCTTCCGATTTCTACCAAGTGATCTAGCCTGTTGGGAGAGGTTGCTAGATAGAGCAGATTCTCGGCTTCTTCTAGATAAATGAAGAAGAGATGGGTATGGCTGGAAGGGAAGGGGATATTTTGGCAAATAAGCATGCTAAATTCGAAGATATTTTCCCCTTCATTCTTATGATTTGAAAAAAATTTAAACTTAAGTCAGCTATCACAAAATCTTTGTGAATTTTTAAGTCAAAACTAGAACCCACTGGTCAAAGAACTATGGGACATGTTGATTTCAGTTTCTCTGAACTGATTTGAAAATCCTAGAATTGATAGCATTAGAGACTTTTGTGGATGCTTGCCGTGATAGGGAAGGTGTCCTTGTCACGTATACTAAGCTTGGTCAGACAGGAGTAAAAGCAAGGAATGTGGTTTTTCAAACTTTAATTATCATATTTATTTGCTCTTATGCTTGTGCCTAAATCTGAAGCCACAGACAAAATATACTTTTGTCCCAGTGAAAAGTAAAACAGTACAAGATGAACATTTGATTATGTGGACAAGTCCTTGGTTGGGTCCGGGGGAACTGGGAGGACAAAAATTATCATAAGAGAGCAGAGAATTCTGATTTTCTTGATGATACTTTCATCAAAGCCTGATTGCCTTTCATCCTAATGAGGGAAATCACTACACAAAGGCAGCGTTCCTTGAGAGTCTTTTCCTTGCCTAGAGTTTAAAATTACCTTAACATTTCTCATGCTAACATTGTGAGAACATAGAAAGCCAATCTTGTGGATAGTTTAACTCACTGAAAATGGCTTTTCCCCATTATGCACAAAGTAAATTGATGCAGTGTAAAAGTGCCTGAAAATTACCTTTGCATAATCAAATCCATGCTTTTCTTTGATGCCATTGCGACAAACAGTGTAATTATAGAAGCGAGAATTCTTGATTAATCCAAGCCATTCTCGCCACCCAGGGGGGATGTAGCTGCCATTATATTCATTGAGGTATTTTCCAAAAAAGGCTGCAGTGGGAAAAAAGAATTATTTTTTTCACGTAAAATGATTAATCATAAATAAATGGATAAGTATAAAATTATGACTTGAAAAAGAGACGGTAAAACAAAAGTTGCCCTAGGTAATAGTGAATGCCAAAATGACATTAGTGTAATACTCCAATCCTTTGGCAAAGTGACACAAACACATTTTTAAAAAATAAATAGAAGTAGTATCCAAGTACATGGATTACAGCTCAATGAAACCATCATAATGATCACAGCACTCTGGGTGCATTCATTTCTTATGGTCCTACTGGAGTAAAATCAGGCTATGCTCTTTTGTTAAGTTGATGGAACAATCAGAGAAGTAGCGTGAGATTTGGAATGCAACCACCGGGCAGGTGTTGGAGAACTGAAAGTTCAGTCTTTGTGATAAGTTTTCTAACTTACTATTTGAGAATTGTGAATTATAAAAACACTATTGAAAAGCTTATTTTCGTTTTTACATATCCAGAGAGTACAAATTTTCCAAACCAGGGAACCATGGTAAACTCCATTTTTATGGGATATGGTCAGGGTTTATATCACATGTATAGTATGTAATGGGTGTTTATGTTATGTGTATTTTATGAATGTATACATCTATTATCGATAATAAAAATTCTGTCAACATAGAGTTACTACATAGATTACTAATTTTCATACAATTATAGTATAGTAGAAGTGTATGTGTCACAAAGACACCACAGTTCACTAAAAAAGCCACTGGAAGGCCTTCACATTTATAACTTTGGCATGTCACTTCCAAGAAAGACCACTGTGCCACAGGGCTGACTCGGTCTCTCTGAGAGGGTGACTAGAAATTTGGTCTTCTGCAAAAGATGATGACAGGAGAGGGGTACGGGAAGCAAAGAAGAAGCTGGGATTCCAGGAACAATATGGGTTCATTCTTGAAGTGAAAAAGACATTACAACCTAGCAGAATGGTAGTCATAAATATACTGGAATACTTTTGAGAGAGCAAGAGGATGTTATTTGTAATTGCTGTAATTACAGAAAAGCAGGTATAAACAAGCATGATTCTGGGTAAACCTAAATGTTTAGTCACTCCAGCCACACACATAGCTTTCCCTTCAAGTAGAAAGGGCTAGAGAAAACTTTATTTTATATATGTCTGTATAGGTATAAGCATGTGTGCGTGTATGTATATATGTGTGTGTACACACACACACACACACCCCTATGCATGCATATACATATGTAGGCAAGTTTTAGTTTTTCTGATGTTATAAAGCTGTTGCCAGACGCCTTCCATGTCAAAGCCAATGCCTGGCTTCATTAAACAGATTTTATAGGTGCCCTCGCTTATATCCATGGTAAAAAAGTAGTTCCTGGAAGACTGGCTTGGGATAATAGAAACGAATTCTAGAATTGCAGCACTTTATTGACATTGGTCTTAAAACACACATTCTGAATTTTAAACTTAATGATGTACATAATTTTGATGTCTCTATGGGATAGGTATTTAGCTTGCTTTTATCTTTGATATACGACTACAGATGGTCCCTGACCTACGATGGTTCAATTGAAGATTTTCACATTTACAGTGGTGTAAAATTGGTATGCATTCAGTGCAGTACTCAATCAATCCTATGAGTTATTCAGTACTTTATTACAAGCCTATTGGCTTTGTGTTCGATGATTTTGCCCAACTGTAGGCTAATATAAGTGTTCTGAGCACATTTAAGTTAGACTGGGCTAAGCTAAGCTCTGGTGTTCGGTAGGTTCAGTATATTAAATGCATTTTTGACTTACCTTATTTTCAACTTATGATGGGTTTATTGGGATGTCACCCCATCGTAAGTCAAGGAGCACCTGTACCTGTAGAATTCCTCCATCTGAATGTTTTACTTGCTTCCTAATGCCATTGCCTAAAATGGAATTACCAGTTTTCCCTTTCAGCCTTACTCCATTCCTCTGAATGGCATAATCACCCTCCATGAACCATGCTTGGCCCTCCAGAGCCCCCTCTGCTTTCGCCTGCTCCTGCGCTCCCCTTGCTGGGCAGTTGCCACCTCCTATCAGGTCTGCCTTGGAAATAGTGCTCAAATCCCTCCTGCCATCCCTGGTAACTTGCCACCCCTCACAGATGCTCATGGTCTCACTGACTTTCCCAGCCAGGATGGAGGGTCTTTCCACTTCGATTGCCACTGGTTAATCTTCCCAAGGACCTGCTCTGGTTACTTCACCCTCTTCTCGCAATCTCAGATTACCCTCATTGCCTGCAGAATCAAGTGTACTCTGCTAGCTTGCCCTCAGAGGCCTACTTTGAGTTTGGACAAAATCCTTCCCTTTCCAACCCCATCTCCTATTTCTCTGTTAATCGTCCCTCTCTCCAGCTAATGTTTCCTCTATTTGCTCTCTGGTTCCCACCTCTCTATTTTTGCTTGTGCAATTCTCTTTATTTGCCTCTTTATATATCAAGGCCAGAGCAGATGCCATTTCACTCACAGTCTCTGTCTTAATTCCACAACACTGTCTTTGTGGTTGTAATGTCATCTTCCCTTTCTCCATTGTGGTATAGTCATGTTCATATAGAAGCTGAACACCTGCTAGACTGTAAGCTTTTTGAGGGCAAACATTGCCTCTGCCTTATCTCTGAGGCACTCTCCATCCTTGCACACAGTTCAGGGCTCCATCCTTTTTGTTTCTTGAATTTGGGTTCATGAATCCAATGTATTCTGGGGACTTTACGAGGTCTAGACTTTAAAAATTTTGTGATTTTGCTTGAATTATCTTTTTTATTTTTTTGAGATGGAGTCTTACCCTGTTGCCCAGGCTAGAGTACAGTGGTGTGATCTCGGCTCACTGCAACCTCTGCCTCTTGGGTTCAAGCGATTCTCCTGTCTCAGACTCCCAAGTAGCTGGGACTACAGGCACACGCCACCACACCTGGCTAATTTTTTTTTTTTTTTTTTAAATAGAGATGGGGTTTCACCATATTGGTCAGGTTGGTCTCGAACTCCTGACCTCAGGTGATCGATCCATCTGCCTAGGCCTCCCAAAGTGCTGGGATTACAGGCATGAGGCGCTGCGCCCAATCAAATCATCATATTTTTTAAAGCTGATTTGGCCTTCAAAACATTTTCATAGAATAGAGCTTTAGAGTTTCTAAAATTGTTATTTCTTATTATATTATTTTTAAAAGAATCTAGACTCCAGTCTGAGAAACATGGCAATGTTTGTTTGTTGAATGAATGTTTATTTGTTGGCTCTGTGAATGAGTGAACCAATTAGGTCTACAGTCAGCCAAGTGCCCGCTGCTTAAGCATTCTGCCAGGGGCACTGAGCACGTTGATCAGTGTAGGGCAAAGTGTCAAAGGGTCTCACATCAGGTGACTCAGGATTTCCTTCTGTGCTGACTACGTGTAGTTGGAATTCTTTTAATGAGGAATTCCTGTCTTAGAGACGAACTGACCTTTTCACATAGAACCACAAGATGATTTTCCTTTTCCAACAAAATGCAGTATGACTTGGAGCCACAGGCAGCAGACCAAGGCCACACCCCACTAACGTTCAAAAGCGATTGTTTCCAAAAAGCTTGCACTTAACAGCCTCAAGCCCCGTGCTTTCCTTGGCCTCCTCCTCATCCCTACGGGTTTATCCCACTTTTCTTTCCTTTTTTTTTTTTTTTTTCCAAGAAGGCAAAAAGCATAGTGATTGAGAATATAAACCCTAGAGCCAGCCTGCTTGGGTTCAAATTCTGGCTCTGCTACTTGCTAGGGTATCCATCTACATGCAAGTTACTTCACTTCTCCCTCCCCCAACTCCCCTTCTGCAAAGCCACTATGGTGATAATAATAATGGTGGCAGGATTGTTTTGAGGATTAAATGCATCAACACATATGTAAAGCGCTGAAAACAGTGCCTGGCACAAAACAACGGCTTGTTAAGTGCTCCTACAACTAATATTGTTATTAGCATCACCATTAGCAGTATTCTTTTGGCCCTGTCTTTTGTAAATGATTTTCCATCCTGCAGTGTAAGGAAATCTCGCACTAGAGTTCTGCACTTGTGCACTTGAAAATATCTCTTCGGAGGTTACATATTTTCTTCCCCACTACTACTTATTTTGTGGCAACAAACTCCTCCATTTGGCTTACATTTTTCTGCTTAATTAGTTTTAATTTTTTTTTCTGCACTTTAAGTTACTTCATTGTTGGGGTTTTTTTGTTTCCTCTCCCCAAGTCATTCCTGCCCTTTCCTCATTGTTTTACTTTGTAGGATATTTTGTACTGTTTTCTACCCATTGCCATGGCATTCCCCTTTGACTTAATCCTTCCCTTATAAACTATTCCTTCAAGTCTTTTAATAGTCCTTGTTATTTGCTTCAGAACTCCCTCCAGGTTTTTGGTGTCTCTGTGTTAACGGAGCGTAAGAAATGTACTCAGTATTCCAGATGTGCGCTCACCCATCACACTCATTCCAAGGCTGATGGGGGCCTTGGGTGTCAGGGTGCAGCACTGTTGGCCTCCAGTTGCTCTGGCCTTTTTGTTGCCTCATGACATTGAGACTCGTTTGTAATCACCCCGGCCTCTTTCAACACGATGTTTCCTGGCGGCGCTCTGCAATTGATTATCTGGCCCTCTAATTATTTTCCTCCAGATGTATTAAATCTCTTTTTCCCTTCCTAAGGTGAATTTAGCTTTCTTGCCCTTACTGCCATTATGTCTACATGTAGGTTACGTATAGTTCAATATTTTTCTATCCTTCGGCATTGGCAATTCAATTCAACTCCTACTATCTGAATACATCACTAATGTGCCATTTACCCATCCTCTTTGTTTTGGATACCATTAAGCACTTCCCTTCACAGCTGTTTAAGAAGGTGGTGGGGGTTGGGGGGCAGGGAGAAAGATCAGAAGACCTGATTGTAATTATTGTTGGCTTCAGGCCATGCTACTTCTGTCTAGGACAACCTGTTCCATAATGCTTAGAAAAATTTCCAGGAACTACCTGAAGCCAAGGAATTTCTTTTAAAGCCAGCAATAGTGACTAACCCAAAGATCTGATGCCGCAGAAAAGTCAAATCTTATTTAATGTATCAAAAGATATATTGAGATTTTAATCCACGTAATTGATAGACTTAGGGTGATGGATTTCACGCTAGTAACTATAAATATAAATAATTTTGAACCAAGTTAAAATTATGATTAATGTCAGTTTGTATACAGCAGTCTGGTTTCCTCAACTAGATTGTAAGTCTAGTGAAGACAGGAATCTTCCTTTAAATGTCTTCATCCCAATGTCTAGTGTGTTCCAAGCACACTGTGGTTTAATAAATGTATGACATTTCTCATGTTTATGCATGTATCAAGAATCTACATCATAATAAAATTAAGAATATTAGTTTGTCTTACTTTAAGTGAACTCTACATTTAAAAAATCTCATATTAGAGAATAAATATACTTGCTATAAGTAACATAAATTTTGTAACGTAAAAAGACAAAAAAATTTTTGATCCAATATTGTATTTACCATTATTTGATATAATTTTTCTTTTTCAGAACTAAGGTCTATGATTTTGATTTATGACAAAAGAATTCTTCACAAAAATATTTATTGCAGCTGTCTATTAAATATTGTCCCTTCTACCTCAGTGATGTGAGGTAGAATTCATGTGATTAAGATTTAACTCATATGTGATTTTATGTACCATGTGTTAGGATTATAATTCAAATACCACAATTGTTAAATGAATCAATATTATAATTACCATGAGTATAATAAAGTTATAACACACTGTAACTTTGGACAAGAAAGAAAACTTAGGAATCATTCTAGGCCAATCTCTGCATCATACAGATTGGAAAACTGGCCAGTCCAAGTCCTCAAAACAAATCAAGGTAGAATGTGATTCCACGATGTTTTCAATCTTGCTTCAGTTTTTTTTGTTGTTGTTAAATACTTAATGCTATCACTCAACCATGGATAATTATTTTTACCTTAAAACCTAAGCCAGGTTTTATATTAATGTTGATATCCTCATAATAAATTTAAGTTAATTTTTTTGGAGCTGATTTCAGGCAGGATAATCATTTTTATGATATATAATCCAATCTCATTCCTATTTCACTTGTCAGAATATGAAGTGCAGTCGACATGTTACTGCATTTTCCCCTTCTTGAACATTCAAGCTCTCATAGACTCATATTTTCCATGAGTAAACTTAGAAAAATTTAGGCTATAGCCAGTCCAAAAATATGCCTCAGTTCTGAAAGAGAAAACTCATGTCATACAATGGTAAATATAATATTGGATTAATTCAACTCATTTAAATCCATGGATTCTGGACGCCTCCCAAAATAAGCCCTTTAGTAATTTGTTTTCTCTGAGTTATTCTACATAAAACTTACTCTCTAGATGGATATTTATGTATGTATAGTACATATTTCAGTTTCCGTCATTATTTTTCTTAGGTTTGTAGCTAAATGTTCCAAATAATAAATTCATTATTAGGAAAGCAATAGAATCTTTACACATTGACTTTCTCCCTACTAGTTTAGTGTCTCATAATTACATTGGTTTAATATCTACCTACCAATTCTCTTAATTTTCTAAGATTCCTGCCACTTGTGTGTACTTATTTGTGTATTTTCAAATGGGTTGTTGTCCATGGTTGGATCAATAACTATTGTCATGAAGACATTTTTACTTCCTAATTGTCTGAGATACTGTAATGTTTTCCCATCAAGGATAAATTAAATTATAGAGATCTCTATCACTGCCATTTCAGTCTTCCCATTTTTTTTTTTTTTTGTGTGTGTGTGTGTGTGTGACAGAGTCTTGCTTTGTTGCCCAGGCTGGAGTGCAATGGTGCGATCTTGGCTCACTGCAACCTCTGCCTCCTTGGTTCAAGTGATTCTCCTGCCTCAGCCTCCTGAGTAGCTGGGATTACAAGCATGCACCAACACACCTGGCTAATTTCTGTATTTTCAGTAGAGATGGGGTTTTGCTATTTTGGCCAGGCTCGAACTCCTGACCTCAGGTGATACGCCCATCTCAGCCTCCCAAAGTGCTGGGATTACAGGTATGAGCCACTGCACCCGGCCCCAATTTTTATTTTTTCTGATTTACTAATAGGCAAATCTAGATTTGTTTTCCTGAGCCCATATTATCCTTTTCCTACTGGTTTTTCTTTCCTTTTTTTTTTTTTTTTTTTTGAGACAGAGTCTCGCTTTGTCTCCCAGACTGGAGTGCAGTGGCACGATCTTGGCTCACTGGAAGCTCCGCCTCCCAGGTACACGCCATTCTCCTGCCTCAGCCTCCCAAGTAGCTGGGACTACAGGCGTCCGCCACCACGCCTGGCTAATTTTTTCTATTTTTAGTAGAGACAGTTTCACCGTGATAGCCAGGATGGTCTCGATCTCCTGACCTCGTGATCCGCCAGCCTTGTCCTCCTAAAGTGCTGGGATTACAGGCGTGAGCCACCGCACCCAGCCCCTTTTCCTACTGTTAACTAAGTTTTTGGAAAAGTCTTTATTTCCCTTAAAGAATTCCTTTTATTTTGGAGGTTGACTCACTATAAATTGTATTATTACCTAAGTGTCTAAACCCTGGGGAAAAGGTTTAGAAACAGATTTAGTTTCCAGGAGCAAATCTACTCTCCCTGGAGAAGACATCGACTGAAACAAACTTCTCGGGCTGCACAAAAAAGTGACAGTCCATTGAGGTAACAGGGAAGCCTTCCGGTGTGTACACAGTTTCATCCCAGACCCGATTCTTAAGGTTTGATCAGCACACTGGAGAGAGCCCTGAAGACTAAGGTCCCGGTGCCGGCTCTTCCCATTGGAACGTCAGTCAGTTGTGGGGTGGGGGGAGGGGGGAGGGATAGCATTAGGAGATATACCTTATGCTAAATGACGAGTTAATGGGTGCAGCACACCAGCACGGCACATGTATACATATGTAACTAACCTGCACATTGTGCACATGTACCCTAAAACTTAAAGTATAATAATAATAAAATAAAATAAATAAACAAATAAATAAAAAACAGTCAGATCTGTCACTTCAGTCACTTTATTCTTGTGGGTGTAAATTTGCTCCTCTAAAAATAAGGAAATGGAACTAAATCATCTTTGAGTTTTAGTTAAACTCTCTCAATCCCTCTTAAGGTGGATATAGCACAGTATAACCGAAGCAAGTACCAGGAAACATGCTTAGAGGCAACTGAATTGTTTTTATCCCGGTGACTGGGTGAACTTTACAATGGATGGTGTTTCCATTTTTGCTCTTAACATCTGGATGCTTAGTTCTAAATATTCCACCTTTCCCTACAACTCCACAGCAAGCAGTTTGTACAGCAATCTTTGCCTTGACTTTAGCTAGTCCTACTCTTTGTTTCTGTTTGCCAGGGTCCTCATGGGTCTGTAGCTTCTAAAGTCTGTATCTCTGGAAGGCGTTTTGGAATGAGGCAGAAGAGAATCATTACATAAATAAATAAGACAATGAACAGAGGAAAGACTTTGGAGTCAGATGTGCTGGGTTCATTCCATCACCGACTAGCTCATGACCATAGACAATTAGCCTTTCTGAGTCTCGGTTTTTTCATTAGTAACATGGGAAATTCCTTTCTTTCAAGATTGCCCTAGGAATTAGGTGAGATAATGGCAAAATGGAGTTCCCTTCTTTCTTGCCCTTCCTAATTTAGCCCTGAAACAAATTAGCAAACCCTAGTTGACTGCTCTAAGTCCTGGCAGGGCCCTGTCTCACCCTCAATCTCTATTTCTTATGACAAATGTCATCCATTTCACTCTGGATATGTGAGAGTCCCAATCGTTCCAGTTCCATGTTTGCTACTAGGGAACCTGGGAGGTGAAAGGCACTGATTTCACACAACACTTCCCAGAAGCAAAACACAATTTGATGGTTAAAATCAGGAACCGGTTATTAGGGAACCGCCTCTGATTCTGTTTCTGAGCTGGTCACGCAATATTTGAAATCCCCACCTCAGTTATAAAACAGAGCCAAGTACATTTGCCATCTATGAACTCTACAGGGATGTTTGGTGGATTTGCAAATTGCTTTAGAGTCCTCAAATGAAAGGTGCTATAAATTTAAATCACTAATGTGAGAAAACACACTCAGATAAGGCACTCTCTGTAACCTCTACGTAACCTAGTTTCTTTCCTACGCATAAGAAAACACCCTTGAGATGCACGGGAGGAGCTGCTTCGAGTCGAGACTTTGAGCTGTCTGCGAGTGACAGTGCTATCATATGCACAATCAATATTTTCATCCATAAATAACAAGTATTAAGTGCCCGTAGGGCGCTCTGCAAAGAAGCAAATGGCCATATATTTCCTGAGTCCAGTGGGAAAGATTAATTTCACTTTTAAAAGAGATGCAGGAGAATATTTATCTGAACTCCTTTACTTTTAAATCTTCAAAATAGAGAAATTGTAGGCCTGAAAGTCATTTGAACAAGCTTTAATCATAACATATTTGATTCTTATGAATAAGCCTAGGTGATTCTGGAAAAATAAAAACAAGCAACAACCCATGTCTGCACTGTAGCCCTTCTACGAACAACGTTGTGCCCTTTTATGAAGAAATGCTACAAAAAACCCAAGGACATCATCTACATGCTGGGAGGATAGGGCCTTGGGGCTAATATTACCAGAAGGAACCTTGCTTTTTTCTCAGAAAGACTGGCATGATGTTCACTACCCCTCTTGAAAGAAGTCCCCAATTTTCAAAAAACCAATTAATCAAAAACCTCTTCTTGCCCTGTGTAGGTTAAACAATAATAGGAGGTGTAGCAATTAGGATGACTTCCTTTCCTGGAAGGTAGAAGTGAACATTTGAGACCTAAAAACAACCACAAGCTAAAGAAACTTTCCAAATCCTATTAATTATGAATGAACAAATACATGAATCAACAAGGTACACATGATTGATTTACCCATCAGTTTTTCATTAATTAATAAATAATAAATAATTTTGATCATTTACTGTGTCCCAGACCCTGGGGTAGATGTCAAGCAGTTTAAAAACACTTGATCCTTTTTTAGGTATTTGTTGGAACTTCATGCATTTCATTACATGACACTTCTTCCTGAGTCTAAGACATATTACAAGACGTTCATGGGCTAGAAACGTCATCCCTTACCTGTTCTGTAGCCAGTGTTGTTAAGATATACAGCAAAAGTCCGAGGCTCATGCATGGCCTGCCACGAGGGGGAAGAGCAGTTCTCGTTGTTGGTGTAGACATTGTGATTGTGCACATACTTCCCGGTGAGCATGGAGGACCGTGACGGGCAGCACATGGGTGTAGTCACAAAGGCATTGATGAAGGTGGCCCCCCCATGTTCCATAATCTTTCTCGTTTTGTTCATGACTTGCAGGGACCCTGAAAGGCACAGTGCCAGCATTGTTTAGCAAAGTGCAGCACATGAATGCCTATTTCGATTGTGCCCCTCAGTGCCTCTGTTTCCCTGACTTATTCATTTCCTTTCCTTAGCTTAAAGGAGTCTATAATTTGATCAGCTCTCATTTCTACAACAAAATTAAGCATTTGAGATCCTACCATCTCAAGTATTTTGCAGAATAATAAACATACACTTCTCCTCCCTGTAATCACGAAGAAAAAAAAATGCAGGCTAATCTGATAATTAAAGCTAGAATTTTAGATATGGAGCAGATTCAAAGGCCAGCAGCCCTTTGAAGATTACCAGAGAACAATAGCCTGATACACAGAGCATCAAAACCCCCAGCCCAGCACAAATGCAATCTACTAGTGACATTGCTACTAGATTACTAGTGTAGATTACTACTATAGCATTTTAATCGTATGAAAGAAAAGAGAAAAAAATTTCTTCCATATTAAGTCCCATCAAAATGCCTGTGTTTGTTTAATAATAATTAAAAAAGATCTTCAATGCAAGTTGGTATCCTCTAGCAAGCTCACCAAATGTTTGCCAGTTTTTCTATTAGGATAACAACATCAATTTATATTTTGACCTATTTATGCACAATTTTTTAAAGATAGGCTGTTTGCTTGTGAAAGAGCTATAATTCGATTGCACTCGAAAGTATTTGCAGGGTTGTAAAATATTCCATTTTAACTTTAAGGATCAACTGGTAACGTAAGATTGCTGAGGAAGGAAAAAAAAAAAAAAACTATTTCGATTACTCTGTCCAGCCAAACACTGCAGCTGAAACACATCCAAACACTGCAGAAAAGCACAGGCCAGAATTCAATAGTCTTTTCAGGACTTGTCAAGAAGTGTACTACAGAGCACTACAGCCAAGCCCATTGCATTTGAATCTTGGAGCCTCAGATTTCCAACAGGTCCCACTTCTTCCAAAGAAAGGAAGAAAGTCTATGTTTTCCAGCAAGGAAGGAAATCGTAATGCAAACCAGGCAAGCATTCAGGGCAGAAGAGAAGCATGCAACAGTCCAAAAAGCCACAGTTAGCCCCGTGTCTTCATATACTAGCTTTTACCGTTCACATGACGCATATGAGAACAGGAGGAGGGTTTCTAATTGGGTCTCATTAGAGCTCCCTAAAATATGCCTCGGCTAGGAGCAATCCTAACTGCTCTTTCTCTTCTGGTTGTCTTCAGGGCATCAAGCAACCTTTTGTAGTCAATGAATAACATGTCTTGAGTGCCTACTTCATGCAAAACATTCTATCAACCTCAGCATTCCGGGCTGATCTCCCAAGTGTAGCATAAACAAAAGAAATGGGAAATTTTCTGCCTCTGGTCTTCAGTAATAAATTCTCTAGAGGAGAACCTACATAGAAAAATCACTTGGGGATATTTGCAAAGCAATGCACACGTAACAATGTGAATACAGCAGTAGCAGGGCATATAAAAATAGAGGGAACTTGGATTGATGGCTTAATAAGAGTTCTGAAATGAGAGATGAGGACAGATGGAAAAAAAGGAGGAAGTAAATGTCGGATGGGTGAAGTATATCATTGGGGGATTGCAGCGAGTGACATGTGTGATGCTCTGGAGGTGGGAAGAAACAAGTAGAGTGATGAGAACAACACATTGATTTCCTGGCATGAAGAGAAATATGGAGAATTCTCTTCATGAAATGTGGAAAGCAGATTTAGCAAATAGCTTGAAGGCTGGGCAGAGATACTGGATGTGATAGAATAAAAAAAACAAAGGTAGAGTTATGTTCTGTGTCAAAGACACGAACGGCATGTTAAGAAAAAAGTCTTTGTAAGGTGTTGCTGCTGCAGTGGATTGCAATCCCCTCGAGAGGCGTTGCAGTTGCAATGGTGGTGTGTGGATTGAGGAGGGCACACTGCTGCTGGTCCACGAAGGGTGCAGATGAGGTCGCTGAAGCCGTCTACCCCTGAGGAAAGAAGAACTCGGACGACTATGCCTCTGACACAGAGCGACCCTAAGAAGCAGACCCAAGTGATGTGGTGATGCATGAGAAGGCTGGGAGTTGGCTAACACCTTGAAGTTTTCACCGTGAGAAGAAAACTGGAAACCAATCGTTTCACTGATGGTGAAGAAGTAACTAAAAAGGAATATGCCTTATGGGAGATTTTAAAACCCCATTTTAGAAATGTTGCATTTTATATTTGTGTTGGTTGATCACACAGGGGGAATATCCTGGAGATAAGTGGATGAACGGAGATGTAGAAGTGGAAAGAGGGTGAAAGGTGACACTGAAGATTTCTACCATGTCTCATTGCTCCTCTTTAGATCTCTGCAGTAGTTAGTTACTGAGTATCTTGATTTTGGGGAAAACAGCAAACCCTGTTGATGGCTTTTCAGTGTCCAGTAGTCTATTTCAAAGAACAAGCTCCCAGTTTCCTTTATGAGCCTTAGCAGAATTCAAATAAAAGAAAAATGCAGCTGAGGCCATCATCCAAGGTTCTGAATCGCAGCACTGTAATCTCTAGTTTACAGACTCATTTAGACTACAAATATGGGACCGAGGTAGAAATCTGATTTAAAGTCAAAATAATATAAAAACAGGGGCTAAAACTTATCCCAATTCATCACTGCTGGAAGTGCCCCAGCTAGGATTCTCCTCTCATTCTCAGTATCATCCTTTTCTTAACTAACTGAGCTGATTGTGTAGGGCTCCCAAGCAATCCCTCCAGATGCCCTGGCTCCCACCAGTCCACACGTCAAAAGGAACCAAGACAACAGTGGATCCCCATAGGCACTGTTAAGAATACAGCTCCACCACTGGGGTCCTTGAAAATGCGAATCTCGGGCCGGGCTCAGTGGCTCATGCCTGTAATCCCGGCACTTTGGGAGGCCAAGGTGGGCAAATCACCTGAGGCGGGGAATTCAAGACCAGTCTGGCCGACATGGTAAAACCCTGTCCCTACTGAAAATACAAAACTTAGCCAGCATGATGGCATGCGCCTGTAGACCCAGCTACTTGGGAGGCTGAGGCAGGAGAATTGCTTGAACCCAGGAGGCAGAGGTTGCAGTGAGCCAAGATCGCGCCACTGCACTTCAGCCTGGGGGACAAAGCGAGACTCTGTCTCATAAAAACAAAACAAAAAGTGGGAATCTGGCTTGAAGGTTCTCAGTAAAGAGATTCTGAGACAATGCTTGTCCAACTTTAAAAAATCACCTGAAGGGCATAATAAGCCCTAGAATCCTGTACCCACCCCAAGATACTGGCTTAGTAAGTCCAGGATGGGGCCTGAGAATTTGTGTTTCTAATGAAACCTGGGTGAAGCCGAAGCTGCCTCTCAGTGAATCTCACCTGAAAAAGTATTCTAGGTTGGACACAGAATCAGGGAAGCCTAGAGCTGGAAGAGACTGTAGTGGGTGCCTAATTTTGAGTGATCTAGGTGGCTTAGATCACTGCCAAGACTATAAGGTATATTGTAGACAGGAAAAAGAAACATCGATTTTCTACTTACTCTCAGCCAGGTTCTCTTCTAAGTGCTTCACATGAGCAATTAATTTGATCCAGACAATAATCCTTTGTGGTGGGTGCTAGTAGCTATTATTCCTATATCACAGATAATGAAATGGAGGTGCAGAAGGCTAAATCATGCTGTGCCTAGGGCCACACAGACCCTCAGTAGCAGAACCCAGAAGTAAATGCAGGCAGTCTTCCCAGAGACCATGCTCTTGAGCTCTATCTAGGCTGAATGCTGGCTGTGACATTGACATTTTCAAGATGAGAAACAGAATTGACGTCTGCTTGCAGTCGCGATAGGTCTCTCTTTCTGCACTCTCATCTTTTGATTCTTCTCGCCTCTTAGAGGAGATACTGACTGACATTAACACCTGTCTCCTACCCTCCCCTCAAGGCTGAAATGGTCTCAGTGGCTCAGGCACAGATGAGGCATGAGTGGGCTGTGGATCTGTCTGTCTTTAGCTGCTGACTGCCATGGTGGCGTTAATTGTTGCCTCTGATCTCTATGGATTCTCTGGGTAGAGACAGATGACGGTGTGCAGGAATCTGAATCTCTTCACTCCACTGTGTTAGTGTGTACCAGTAAGGAAAGCATCGAGCACCTTTTAATGGCTGTGCAATGATTAATGTCAGTCAATAACACTGCCTTACCCTGTATATATTCCCACTGTGATTGTGCCATTGATTTTTTTATTGGCAAACCTTACTAAAAATGATTCTGTAATAAAACTCATAGTTATTTATTCACAGCTGTTGAGAGCAGTGGACAGGACAATGTCTGTCCGATAAGTGGAAGGGCTCAGTTTTGTTTTAAGCTGAAGCTCTTCACTTCTGTAGGTTTCAGGCCTTGGGTGCCTGAAATGCAAACGGTGCTGATTCTCAGTTATTACAACAATTATTTCATAGGAATGATATGAATTGTAAAGCTGAACACTCATAATCAGATTCACAAGGCAGGGGTGAGGATGATAAAGATGAGAAGGGAAAGAGCCCTAGACTTGAACATGTGGGAAAACATTTGGATTTTGCCACAGCTTAGCCTGAGCAAGTCATTTATCCTTTTTTGGTTTGTGTTTCTCATCTGTAAAATGGAGCTTCTAATAGCGCTCCCCACTCCGACTAGTTTACAAGGTTGTTGCTGAGCAAACGGCAGGATGCCATCAAGTACTTCCTGTAAGGAGTGTGCCGAGGTGGCTGTGGTTGCCCTATGTGCTCACCTCAACCCCATCACATTAAATTTTCTCCTGCCTCTTCCATCTTCTTCTCTGTAATCTACATCTGAAGTCCAAAAGCTGGAGGAGAGAACAGAGGTCAACTACCTTTTCTATGCTGTAAGACTTAAAATGTTGATATTGGTTTTCAAATACAAATATCAATTCTTCCCTTTTCTACACACACTGACTCCTCACCCTAAGCAAAAAGCCCAACTTCATTGTTATTTTAAGTTGTCCCATGAAGTGGGAGCCAGACACAAATGCTCTGAAGCAACCGTGATTATGTCTGTGTAGCTGGTGTGCATGCACTGCTGACTGGGCTGGCTTGATGAGAGGGAAGGTCCAGGCCACAGGACTGCCAAGACACACTGTCCCAGTGCCCCAGTTCCAGGCTGGGACTGAGAACATCTTCCATTGCTCCTGCAGGCGGATGCTGTGACAGCCATCGGCTGTGGACCAGGATGCTGAAGAGGTCAGCGGTGGCTGGGAGTGGGAGAAGTGCCACCCTTCAGGAATCCATCAAGATCCACCATGTTGGCAATTTTGGCACAGTTAAAAATCAAAGCTCCAGGAATAGTGCTTTGGATGGAGTATGTGATAGGTTGTGGCTAGACAGAACCATAGTGAGGAATTTAAATCACTTTATATACTCCAACTACTTGATTCCCAAAATCATTTCATACAGAATGATTTCATACAAAAATCATTTGTATGAAAAAGGATCGGAGAAAATGTCCCCCTAATTTGGATGACTTTGCTAAAATCACACGGAGATCCTGAATTACTTCATTGACATGTTTAAACTTCAAAACAAAGCTTTACCTTTCCCGATACATATATCTTAGCATTTGAGTATACAGTATTTTGTATTACTAAACATTAAAAATTTCATCAAACCTGTTTGTCATGTCCAGAAAAACTCGCAGAACCAGAAATTCAACAGTAAATATTGTCATTATCACTTATGGAAATCCCAGACATGTGGGATTCATATACACCTGGCTTCCTAGAGAGATACTTCCATGTGGATTAGAGCATTCATGGTTTGAAGATTGACAACAACAAGCAAACCCAGCTCTTACTGATTGTGGAGGGGTGTTTGTCGATGTCATTCTTTTATGATGAAGTAAGGCTAATGCTTTAAATATTTAAGTCGTTTGTATTAGGTACTTCCCTGCCATTTTCACATGCCAACAGTTATTTTCATAGTAAAGTATGAAACATGAAACAGTGACATTTCCTTTATTAAAATGCCTGTATGATCTATTGAATATTCTAATTCTAAAAGCATAAGCATATAAAAAATAACAAAATTAAATGGTATTTTTTTTTCTACCCAAACTATGGAATTGGCAAGAAAAAAAAAAGATGTTTTTTACCTAAAACCAAAGGGGGAAAAGGTAGTTGGGAGAAGAAGGGAAAAAAGAGAAGATAATAAATTAGTCTGGAATGTTTCCAGATCACTAAGACTCATCATTTCCTCCTGGCCCCTCCAAAAGAGCACAAGGCCATTAAAAGCTACTTACAGGAATGGAAGTTAACATGCCTACAGGGCTACATAGATAAGGTAGGCAAGTGAAGGCAGCCAGGTATAAGAAAAGTCAGAGGGTTTTTGTGTCTTTTTGTTGTTTTACCTTTGATAGAGACATGGTTTATAGAGCTTTTCCTGACTATAAGAAAAACAGCAGTATGGTCAATGATAAATGGCACCTGCACCTTGGCATAAGTTATTGAGGGACAACACAGTAGTGGGGGATCCCAGTGTCCGAGAGCAGCTGCAGCTCCCCTTCAAACATCCAAGTGATGACTGCTTCATGGGAATACAAGCCTTCATTTTTTGAATTTTCAAGAAACGTCAGAATCTGATTTTTTTATATGTTATATATATTTTAAAATATGATTTTAAAATATTGGCTTAATTCTGAAAAGTATGCTCATCAAACAACATACATCTGTGGGCTAGCTCTGGTCTGAATATCTTGTGTTCTGGCTTTTGTTTTAAAGAAACAAAATATCTCCATGTACTCATAGCTTCCCTATACATATGATCTAAGAGAAACATCGGGTCAATGTTACTGAGATGTTCCTGTCAGGTCAATTTCCTAGGAATGTAAGAAATGCCATGTTGAGTCAGATCAATGGTCTAATCTGCTCAGTATTTTGTTTCTCAGACTAGCACCAAAGGCCATTTGGGAAAGATTTAGAGCCCAATTTCTTTGATGCTAGGCTCAGAAAGTTAGGAGTCCCTCAAACATTTTTTATTTTCTTCCTTCTGATTTATAAAATATTTCAAGTGTAGGGTGTAACAGAATAAATAACGCATCTCCTAGCTTTAACAAAACTTAACATGATTATATTCTTTCAGATATATATTTTTTCAGTTTTGAAATAGAATGTGAATGTACTGATGCTCTCGGTCATCACTTTTTCCCCAGTGGTAGCCATTATCCTGAACTTTATGTTGATCACTTCCTTGCGTGTTTACTTAGCTTAAAAAATTGTAAATCTTCCACCCATTATTCTAGCCTAAAACTCTGAAGTACTTACGGGTATAGGCACAACGTGAACAACTTCTTAAGTTGTGGGAAAAGCAAATTCAGAAGTAAGGGGACCATGGTTAAGCCATTTCATCTTTCCACAGGCTGTTTCCTCCTGGGATGATGATCTTTGTCCTACCCACCCAACTCATGTGAGATGGCAATATTCATTCACAATAATGTGAACAAAATGTTCTTTGGGAAAAGATAAAGTGTTATCCATATGCAAGGTTCTAGTACTTTTATTAATGAATTCCTTATGTGTCTTACTCCCTTTACAGAGTAATAGTTTATTTGTCCTGAAAGTGAAGGGAAGGGCTCCTGCTCATAATGAACTAGTACTTTCCTCCCTGGCTCGATTTTATAAACTTTGATTATAGCCCTTCTCAGCCTTCATCTTTCTAGATAAACAGATAGGATTGTTTTATGCTTTCCCAGTGAGAAAAGTATTCTATTAGAATTTTCATAATTGTTCTTCTAAGTCTTTACTAAGTCTGTTACTTTCTTTTTGGAGGCACAGTAGCCAAAATTGCCTACAGCATTACAGGTGCAAAAAGGTTTGCATTAGGTGAAGATTTATTAAAGCACTTGGCAAAGAAAATTGCACTGGAGTAAAAAACAAAACAAAACCTAACCATATCAAAGTGACAATGAGATAACACTTCATGCCCATTAGGATGGCTACTATTAAAAACAAAACCAGAAAATAACAAGTGTGGGCATGGATGTGGAAAAATTATGACACTTGTGCTCAGTTGGAGGGAACGTAACAAGGTGAGTTGCTATGGAGAACAGTAAGGTGGTTCCTCAAAATAATAAAAATAAGAGTATCATATGATCCAGCAATTCCACTTCTGGGTATAGCTCCAAAATAACTAAAAGCAAGGTCTCGAAGAGCTCTTTGTACACCCATGTTCACAGCAGCATTATCCACAATAGGGAAAAGGAGGAAGCAACTCAAATTTCCAACAGTGGATGAATGGGTTAAAAAAATGTGGTACATATATGCAATGAAAAGTTATTCAGCATTAAAAAGGAAGGACACTCTGACACATGTTACAACATGGATGAGCCTTGAGGACATGAGGGTAAGTAAAATAAGCCAGTCATAAAAAGATAAATGCTGTATGATTTCACCCATATAAGATACCTAGAGTAGTCAAATCCACAGAGACAGAAAGTAGAATGATAGTTGCCAGGATTGAGGGAGAGAGAAACGGGAGTTGCTGTTTAATGGGTATAGGGTTTTACTTTTGTAAGATGGAAAGAGTTCTGGAGATGGGTTACACACCAATGTAAATGTACTTAACAGTACTGAATTGTACACTTAAAAATGGTTAAGATGGTAAAAAAACAAAAACAAAACAACCAACACCCAAAATCTAGAGCAATAATGTTCTAGAAGGATTATGAGCACATTACAGAAAAATGAGGAAAAGTCTCCATCAAGCGGGAACCACTACCGAGAGCATGACTTTTCTGCCAAGAAAGGAGGTCTTTTCTGGACCTCCAACCCACAGTTCACTGTGGTTCCTAGTCATTTTGTTTTTGCCAGTGGCCTATCTTTTGCTTCTGTTCCCTCTCTCCCAGAACCTAAAATATTATGAATTTGCCGATTGTTTTTAGGAGGTGCTTAATAATTATTTGTAGATGGCTGATTAATGGAAGGGACAGTGGTTAAATACGTAGCTGTGGAGACTCAGATCTAATACAGGTCTGGGTTTCACAATTTACTTGCTCACCACAAGCTACATGACTTCTCTGAGCCTCATTTTTCTCATACCTAAATTAAAGAGAGAATAGTAACTACTTCCTAGAGTTACTGTGAGAGTTAAACAAGCTAGTTCTTTTTTTGTTTTGAAATGGAGTCTCGCTCTGTAGCCCAGGCTGGAGTGCAATGGTGTGATCTCGGCTCACTGCAACCTCTGCCTCACGGGTCAAGCAATTCTCCTGCCTCAGCCTCCAGAGTAGCTGGGATTACAGGTGCCTGCCACCATGCCTGGCTAATTTTTGTACTGTTAGTACAGACGGGGTTTCACTATGTTGGCCAGGCTGGTCTTGAACTCCTGACCTCAGGTGATCCGCCTGCCTCAGCCTCCCGAAGTGCTGGGATTATAGGCGAGAATGACCACACCCAGCCAATGAGCTAGTTCTTAGCATGTTATCTGGCTAGAAAATCAAGGAAGGAGTTAAAGGCAAATATGTAGGAAATATCTGGGTTGGCTGAGCCTGGTCTATAACCCTTCACCATGATAGTCACATGCCTCCAACAGAAGGCAATACTTGGTAACTGCTCAGAAAATATTTACTGGATGAATAAATGAACTATAGGACAAGGCTGAAAATTTGAATTCTGTTAAAAAAGAAAGTTATGAGCAATTTCTTAATATATTTTAAAGACAGTGCTGTATATTGAAGAGGTAGATGATGATGAATACTTATATTTATTTCTGGGAATTTTAGCTTGTTTAGAGCCTTATGGGTCCATTTCAAGTTAGTTTAGTGCCCACTATATTCCCAGGCACTAGGAGTGCATGAGGAGTGCAACATAAAACACACCCTTGCTCTCTGGTTGATCTTGGTCAAGTGGAAGGGACAGGCATGGAAGGCTATGGTGGAATGAGCACCATGCTGGAGTCGTGTTCTCGGGGTGCAAAGGAAAGTTCCATCAATGCTGCTGGAGGGGAGGGTGGTTTTGTTTTGGGAACACCAAGCGCATGACATGAACTGGGTTATGAAGAACAGGTAGGGTTTCTCCAGGTGGGGAAAGAGGAAAAGGCAGAGGGGATGAGATGTGCAAAGGCATGGATAGAGGCGAGGGGGGTGAAGCCACCAGACACCTTTGGGGAGATGGCAATTGTGTTTATGAAGCACAGAGTGAAAGTGGAGGAAAGGGAAACAGCCTTGGGGACAGGCAGGGGCCGCAAGGCTCAGAACTCATTTGCCCACAGAGGAGAAGGGCATAATCTCATGGCAAAGGGAAACCACAGAAGGGACTTAAGCAGAAAAGTGATCTGATCAGAGAGATACTTGAAAGATAACTCTGGCAATTGAGTGAAGGGTGGGCAAGAGAGGCCAAGACTAGAGGAGGCAGGCAGGCCAGGTGACAAACCGGTGAGGGAAAAACTGGGAAAGATGAGAGGATCCAGAGATCTCAGCTGTAGCAAAAGCGATGGATGGGTGAGATATTAAGGAAGGTGAGTTCAGGTGTGAGGTCAAGCAGAGGGCAAGGATATGTTTAACATTGCAATCCTCATGCAGAGACTGTGCTATTAACACATTAGGCACTAAACTAACTTGAAATGGACCCACAAGGCTCTAAAAAAGCTAAAATTACTTGCTCTGTAAGTGAATGAAAACATTTAAACCACCACTTACATACATACTAACATCATATGTGCTAAATACACACTCATGTATGTGTGACACCTTTCATTTTGGCCTGTCGCCTGAAAATCAATACCCTTGTTAAAAAAAAAAAAAAGTTGGGTTGACTCCTCAAACCAACGTCAGCAATAATGACATCTGCTGGCTTTTTAGCGCATTTGCTTCCAGCTGAACCCAAGGAATTAACTTTACTGGGATCTCACCGTCTGGTTTCAAGTGGGAAAGCAAAGTCCCCTTCCATGGAGACCAAGTGCCAGCGTGAAGAGTTTTATCCTCAAGAACCTGAGCCTCAGGAGCTCGGTAAAGAAGCCCAGCATGCTCTGCTAGAAGATTCAACTACCAGTCAGGTTGAATGTGATGGCTAAGCACAGCTGGGTGATGCCTGAGAGCAAGGAATTTGGGTTCAGGAAAAGAAATGAGGAGTGGTAGTGACAACTTCTAGGGGCAAGCTTTCTATCTGCCTTGCACTAGGTGGACTAGAAGAATTGGCCCTTGGCTTATGAACAAGACCGTAGGGCTGGGCCATTGAAGACGGTGAGAAGGTAAGAAACCCAGTCAGGTGATATAGAAGGTAAGTTAGAATCACTAGATTTTGGCAGGCTTTCTGGGTGCTCTACGCTTAGCCTAGGCAAGCTAAATAAAAAAGCATCATATCTAAGGTAGTAGTAAGTGGATTCTCTACCAAAAGACATATAGAACACTGCAACTTTGAATTACCTAACAATTACTATAACAAACTGTGAATAAGTAATCCACTCTAATACTAATAACCACTGAAAGTTCCTTTAGTATCAGTCTATATTCATATCCATTGCATAAAATTACAGTCACATCCTCATACTCTTTGAAACAACTTTGCCCAAATATTTTTACAATGTCTTAACTGAGGGCTTTCAATCCTTTCCTTCTACAGTCTTCAGTGCTGACCCTCTTTCTCCATTGTCCTACTCCCCCAGGCCCCTTCCCCGACCATTTCAAAAGCATAACATCAGAAAAGTAATGCTGAAACACAAACCAAATGCCTTATGGTCAATACAAGTTCATTGCGTAAACTAGGGTGTTGGTTAATGTGCAATAATTAAGTGCAAAGCCTCAGAATGTCTCCTGATAATCCTGAGACTCGAGAAATCATCTGAACAAAAGAGACTAACAAGTGAAGAGTCCAGTGTCTCACCCAGCTCCACATCTTGATCATCGGTAAGCACAAGAATAATGTTGGGTCGGATGTTTTTTCGTTCCTGCTGTATCCGTCCTCTGAACCTCGGGGATCTGACAGTCGAACAGAGGCTTCCCAGCAATTCTGTGCCCAGGACAGCCAAAACCAGAGCACAGCAAGAATACTTCATTGTATTTGGTCCAATGTTGCAAAACTGACAAAATGTCTCCGTCTCCTGATTTCTGGAGTTCTGGGCAGTCAGAGAAAAACGGAGACGGTGAGACTAAAATGAAATCCAAACTCCAAGCACAGTTGCAGAGAAAGGGCTACAAATAAGTCAGTATTGGCACATAAGCTGGCAGAGACAGGGTTGCACATGAGTCAGAAATAGCAAACCCTCACAAGTGCTGGGTAGTTTTTTAAGCACTTGATTATTTTGCAAATTCACTTTTGTCCTTTATTCTCATTCCAACTTTTCCTATTTCAATTCATTGCCAAAATAGAATTTCCAACACAGAGCTCAAATGTAAAAGCTTTCTGACGAGAGCTAATACCTTGAATTAGGTATCCTGGTTGAATAATCAATCTCTATTCTCAGAGGTATTCAGAACATCTGCAGATAGGGTCCTGGAAGGGGGAGAAAAAAATACAAAGGAAATATCAGTCAATGATTTTAAAAACAGATTTTCGATCTGAAGTAGTCTCTTGCAACAGCATATTATATGTGTATATATTACATATATTTTTTCTTCTGTGCTCCAAAAGGGAGGAACAGAAGGAAACAACTTTCAGAACTGCTAACAAATGATTCAAATGCTATCTTCATTTCATAATCAGCTCCATAAAAGGGTGGTAAGGTATCACCCTGCTCACACTCTGACAGTACTTTACACATCCCCAACAGAGCTGACGATCGATTAGGAAGAGCCAGCAGTGCCAGGGAAACCACAGAGCGTTGGGAACGAGTGTTTGCATGTGGGGAGCAGATGGCGCAAGGGGCATGTTGGGGAGCGCTGACTCACCTGCGTGTGATACTGAGTACCTAGCAAGCAGAACGAAACACACACCTGTCATTTGTCATCTGCATTATATCATTCTCTACCCCGGAGAGTCTTTTCTGCTGACAAAGACTTCATAGTAAGTGACTGGGACAATTTTTTCCAGTCTCTGAAAACCTCCTCACTGTCCCCCATCAATCAATCACCAGAAGGAAAAGGTGCTTCCTCCGTGCAAGGCTGGTTCCTCTGTCCCACTCATGTCCTCAGCTTGTGCCGGCACCTACGTGGACAGAGCCCCCTCTCGATTGTCAGTCACCAGGCTTATTGTTGGTGAGACTGGTAAGGCACAGATAGCACAGGGGTTTCGCTTTGTCACAGATCTTAAACCTGCAAAGCAAAATGATTGATTGGCCCCGAGGCTGGAGTCAGCGGCTACCCTTCCGCATTAAAAAATAAATAAATAAAATCCAGAAGGGCGAGCTGCAAAATCTTTGCAAAGCTGCACAGAAGGAGGCTTTTGAAAGGGTTGGAAAAATGCCCCTCTCACTTTGGAACACTAACCTGCTGAAAGCTTTTCTCTTGGAAAGATAGCAAAGGGCTCATTAAAAAAATAAAATCTTCCTCTCATATGTCATGAGGGAACATCTTTATGGGAATTTAGGCTGCCCTAAAATTAATTAGATAGCAGTCTGTTTCATCAGCCACTCAGTCCCCATACACCTGAGAATCTGTATTTTGATCTGCAACAATAAACTGGCATTGGATAAGTAGGCATAACTAATTAAGTGTAAGCATCGCATAGCAGGAGGAAAGGGCTCCATCTCTCAACTTCATGCCCTTAATTCTGGAAGGTGACAGGGGGTAGTGAAAGAAGAAAGACTGGATATTGTTTACCCCTACCATACACATTATTTTGTTTTACACAAACACACACACGTATCCCCATTATTTTAAACTTTATGAGCTGTTTTGTAAACAGTTCTAATGCTTTTCACTCTGCAGCCTGTAATTATACTGCAAGAGAGAGAAAGAGACAAGAAGAAATCGGTTTTTAAACAAAACTCTAGTGTCTGCAGCCAGGCAGTCCTGACTACATTATCTGCAACAAACAAGACAGCTCCAATTGATAACGCAGCCCTGTAGAAGTCACTAATGTAAGATTTGGTGCTTTCTTCTTAATAACGCAGGGTGATTCCACAGTGATTGCTGTACATGCTGAACACTGAAAGCCTGCAATTATTCTGCACTGACTGTTTGGTTTCTGTGCATTTGTTTTAAATCGTGAGAAACCTGATACAGGCATGAAGGGACAGGAAAACTAAAGTAATAAAATGATAAACAATGGCTTGTTCTCACAAAGCATGGGTCAGGCTAAATAGTTAAATACAGAAATTTCTTAGAGGTTGGTTCCTTAAGTAGCAAAAACTTTGCTCACCTCTCAAGGCCTGCAGAGGTGTGTGAAGGGAGAGTTTGTGAAGAGGGCCTTTGTGCATCCACTATACTGTAAATGAACCCCTGCTGATGGTAGCAACCAGGTAGGAACAGTTACAGGCTCACTGCGTTAGACAAACAGTGGCATTTGAGTTTAAATAATCAGCAATACAAGAAGCTGAAAGTTCTTGACAATTCAGATGCTGATAACCTTTGCTGGAACCCAATCAACATTGCTAGTTATTCTTTTCTTTATCTTATTTACTTTACTTCTTCCTTTAGGAAAAAGCAAATTAGCTTTAATGATACCTTTGTATAAACTACATCAAAAATCATTTCCTAATATGGAAAAGAGAGAGTGGTTTTTTCCTATGAAATGAACTTCCTTTCTGGTGAATGAAAGGTGCAGAAAAGATCTACATTTTTTTCTGCCACAGTGTATCTTATTTTTTTAATTAAAATTTTTATTTTTATTGACAAATGATAATTGTATATATTTACAGGGTTCAATTTGATGTTTTGATATATGTGTACATTGTGGAATGATTATATCAAGCTAATTAACATGTCTATCTCCTCACATGCTTATCATTTTTTTTGTAGTGATAACATTTAAGAATCTATTCTGTTAGCATTTTTGAAACATACAATTAATTCATTGTTATTAACTGTGGTCACCTTGCTGGGCAACAGATCTTTAATGTTTATTCCTCCTGTCTCACTAGAACTTTGGAACTTTTGGTCAGCTTCTTCCCACCACCACCAACATTCAATTCAGGGAATTCATACCTACAACGATATACATTAAGTGGTCAAGAAAATTGAATTTTTTGACTAGTCTGGCCAGCACGAGTCCTCTCTCTATCTCACCTTCCTTCACTAAAACACACAAAACATGCCACTCTAGAAACACTGCACACAGACAATTCTTTATTCAAAAATGACCTTTTAAAGCCTGTCATCCTCTTAACTGCCTGGTTTCCAGCTCTAGAAGGAAAAGAAGTAAAGAAGGGAAAAAAGTCCTGACAGACAAAATGCGGAGCTTGACAGAAGAGACAAGGATGCAATGTTTGAATTGGATACTTTGTGGGGGACAACAAGAGTCCTTAGAGACTAACAATTTATCTTGAGAAAGAGTAGAAAATGAAAGAAATGCAGAAAGGTTTTTCTTATACATACAGAGTGAGTTTGAAGAACAGTGTTCTATTCTTCACCAGTCAAGACCAGGATATAAGTTGCTTTTACTCCAAGCCATAAAATGAAAACAGCAGTTGTAGTTATGGTCAATTGGTGTGGAAAGTTTACAAGACTTTGTTTAGGGTGGCTTAGGGCCGTCAAGCCAAACTATAAAAGTGGCATTAAATGTTTCAAGTCACATGTAAAAGAAAAAAAAAAAAGACTGGCAGGATGTCCAGCCAACTGGATAGGAAGTTTAGGTCACATATGTTTGTTCCACAATACCCCAATCTAAACTGAAGCCCTGTTGCTCCCAAAGGTTTAAGGGGACCTCTGTCTTCCCCAATCCCCACTTTGGCTGGGCAGCTTGGTGCTAGGTCTCTAGAGGGGATGGTGGCCAATATATCAAAAGCACCTTGCTTTTGTCCACAGCAGCAATGTCCAAAGTATAGTTTGGGACGTTTGGAGGACCCTGTGACCCTTTTGAGAGGTTCATGAGGTCAGAACTATTTTGATAAGAATACTGACACATTATTTGCTTTCTTCACTGCGCTGACATTTCTACAGATGGCATAAAAGCAATAGTAGGTAGAACCGCTTTCCGCTTTTGTCTTAGCATGAATGATAGAAGCTTCACATATAGTAAAAACAAACAAACAAACAAAAACAACAACAAAAAAAACCCAGCTTCACTTAAGATGAAGCAGTAAAACCACTAATTTTATTAAACCTTGACCTTGAGTACACATCTTTTCTTTTCACTGTTGTGTTTTCTGAGATAAGAGGTTCACACAAAGTCCCTTGGTGGCTGGGGGAGTATGATGGCTGTCTTGAGGAAAAGCATGAAGGTGGCTGAGCTGCAAGCTAAAGTGGCTTTAAACAAACAAACAAACAAAAAATGAAACACTACTTTTACTTAAAAGAATTTTTTAGACTTGGATATTTGGCAGACATTTTCTCAAATAATGAATGAAATGAGCCTATCATTTCAAGGGAAACAATTGACAGTGTTTGTTACCAATGATAGAAATCTACCTTTCAAGTTAAAATTAGAATTCTGGAAAACTTGTATACTACACTTGGCAGACTCCCAATAAGTAAAACTTTTTCTGATGACAATGGTAGTGATGTTAACAAATGTTATTTTTTGATATTGTAAAATGAAATGAGTCAACATTTAGAATATTCGCATAGTTCAGTGAACCAAATTTCCCAAATAATCACAGTGCTACAAAATCTTACATGAATAAAAAATGCATTTGAAGTACAAGATGACCAATGGATTCTATTGTAACAGAATGAAAAGTTCATTGATATGGCTTCAGATTTCTTAATACAACTAACCTTTAATGAATTATCACTTGCCAAGTTTTGTTGTAGTATCAGAAAATATCTATAAGTATCTGAAAAAGCTATTAAAATGCTTCTACTTTCCAACTACTTATTCATGTGATTCTGGATTTTATTACTGTACTTCAGCCAGAACAGTGTATTTCAACAGACTGAATGTAGAAGCAGAAATAAGAATTCGACTTCCTTCTTTTCAGATAAACATTAAAGAGATTTGCAAAAATGTAAAATGAATTCATAATTTATTCACAATTTTTTTGTTTGGAAAGTATAGTTTTTTTTAATAAAATATATCATTTAGGTTAACATATAATAGATTTATTATTTTCAAAAGAATCAAATATTTGAAAATTTTCTCAGTTTTCACTTGTAAGTATTAATAATTATAATCCACATAAAAACTGTTGGGGCAAGGGTCTTCAATAAATTTTAATTATATAAAGGGATACTGAGACAACCAAAGGGTTTGAGAATTGCTGGCTTAGAGTGTACCTTGTTCTATAGTTAAGCCCAGACTCTCACATTTAAGGCTGTAGGTCTGGCCCTAGTCACAAGCTTCTCATTTACTTTTTTTCCTTAAAGCCTTGAAACTGTCCTCAGTTCTAAATGCCTGGTCTCAGATAAAAGTTGTTGATGAGTGATAAAATTCTGTGTTTTTTATTACCCAAGGATAACACAAAATTTTACAAATGAATGCCCATGCATCTGAAGTATGCAAGGGACAGGGTCAGAACAACCCACTCGCCACAGAAATAAACCTCTCTTGGATGGGGCAGAAGAATTATTTCTAGTACAAAGCAATGGCACTTTATAGTTAGGCCAGAGAAAAAAGGGACACCATAAGCAGTTGAAACAGCAGGGGCAGGGGAGATTATGCAGTTATGCGAAGCTGAATTTAGCCAGAACACGCTTAGATTATTGTCAGAGGCAAGCGAAGTAGAATTACACCAGCAAGAAGCTGGTACCCACATCTCATCCTCCCATCCTACATTGCTGTCTACATACATTTCTTAGGATCAGTTAACATGGCCCTTTCCCCTTAATTTTGGCTTTTGAGTCTCCCAGAGATTACTTCTTTTCTTTAGAGTAAGGCTTCAGGATGTGCTATCTTCTTTATAAGATACATGAATCCACGAAAAAGCTAATTTCTTCTTTTAACAACCCCACAGCTGGCAAGTTCACCTACTGTTAATCTCCAGAAAGCCTGTTTCCTGGTCTAATTTACTACAACTCCAAGCAAAGAAGATAGACAATCATCCCCTCCTGGTGTAGTAACACTTTTATTCTCCTCCAATAATAAATCCTCTTCCAACAAACAATGACAGCTGAAAAGTGTATGCCTATGACCTGGAACACCTGTGGGGAAATATTTGGCTAAATGATGAGATCTTCCTTTCTCCTCTCCTCCTGCCACACAACACTGTGAATCTTGAAATTGGAAGGAATCTTCAAAGCTCATCTATTCACACAGTGGTGAGTGCTGGTTATCCCTGGTGTATGGTGAGGGAGAGGGACAGATTTTATTTTTTGGCTTAATTCATATATATATTGAATTTTTTCAATAATCTGTTGCATTACAAAACATAGAAATAAATAAACTTAAGTTTTCTAGGTTTTCTCTCTGTCTTCTCAGGGAGGAAGAAAATAGATGGAGTTGAAGAGTGGGAAGGATGAAGTGAGGGTTGAAGAGTGAGAAGGATGAAGTGAGAAATGTGCCTTTGAGACTCTGCCTCATAAAAGCAGGTACTAAAACCATATAAAAACAAGCTTCCGAAGGGCATTTTAGAGAATGCATAAAGTCCAAATTAAAATTTGTCCAGCTTCTTTCAGATGAAATTAACAAGACAAAGGAAAACAAAGTGATCTAGATATTATGAAAACCACCAGAAGAACTCAGTATTCCTGAAGCATATGTTACAAAGTGTCTAAAGGGACTAATAATGGTCATTGGTGACCAATTGTGGTCCAAATGATCAATGGTTTCAATGGTGGCAGTGAGATCCAAGAGAATGAGAACGAAGAGACAACTGGATTTCCAAAAGAAGAGGCATTGGAAACTTCAGGTAAAGTGGATTTGCATGAAATACTATGCAGCGATAAAAAGGAACAAGATCATGTCCTTTGCAGGGACATGGATGAACTTGGAAGCCATTATCCTCAGCAAACTAACGTAGGAACAGAAAACCAAACAGCACATGTTCTCACTTATAAGTGGGAGGTGAATGATGAGAACACATGGACCCATGTGGGGGAACAGCACACGCTGGGGCCTGTTGGGGGTTCTTTAGGGTTGGGGGAGGGACAGCATCAGGAAGAATAGCTAATGGATGCTGGGCTTAATACCTAGATAATGGGATGACATGTGCAGCAAGCCACCATGACACACGTTTACCTGTGTAACAAACCTACACATCCTGCACATGTACCCCTGGACTTAAAATAAAAGTTGATGAAAAAACATAAAGTGGGTTTGGGGGAAGGGCAGCGATATTGTTAAAAAGAACTAAAATGTGGTCTTGGGCATCTTAGCTAGGTCTTAAAATATAAGGTTTATTACATTAAATTTCATTAAATTTGCCTTTGGTTTTATATATCTATGGCTTATTTGTACTGAAGTACCTTGAGATATTGCATTAGTCAGCAGAAGTAGTTTGTTGCAATAACAAAGAAATTCCAAATATGATAAAAGCATATTTGTCACTCATACTGCAAGTCACACATAGAATGGCAGAGAACTCTGCTCTGCCCAGCCATGCATGGATGCACACTGATGGGGGCAGTGTTGTCCTGTTGCTGCAATAACTAGACCAGGAAGCAAGGGAAGAATAAACTCAAGAATTGTGCAGGAGCTTTTCAGGGCTTCAACCTGGAAGTGACCCAGTTCACTTCTAACATTTCATTGGATGAGACTAGTCTTGTGGCCCCACTCAACGGCAAGGACACTGGAAAATTTAGTGGACCAAAGTGTTTGCTGAGCACTAATGTCTATGCCACAAACATTACATTTCACTAGTACCCCATTTCTTTCTCTTTCTCTACATGCACATACCACACACACACATACACGTGCATATGCCCACACACATACTTAAGATATGTGTATAAATATATATACCCACACACAGACACATATCTCAAGTAACGAAGAAACATAATCTTTCTCACAGTATAAAGTTCAATCATTCTTAGACACTAAAAATATACTTTCGACAGATTCGGGGATTTTTTATACATGTTTCGTTTTAGTCTGTTTTCCTGATGTACATAATCTGGCGCAATGCAAAAATTTTTAAAGTTCCACAATTCTTGAGATACATTTTAAGTTGAAGTAAATATTTTTAAAAAGACAATTAGATGGTATATTTATGTTTTGAAGGCATTTCTGGAAACACTATCTTGTACTACGAGAAATGGTTTCGAAACATAAATATACCATCTGAAAATCATTTCTCGAAATACTATCTCACAGTCGTATGTAGGAAGAGGAACACCTGACTTTACTATATAAATGAAGCTGCAGTCAAGAGAACCCCATTGGCATACTTTTTTTTTTTTGAGATGGAGTCTTGCCTGTTGCCTAGGCTGGAGTGCAGTGGCAAGATCTTGGCTCACTGCAACTTATGCCTCCCAGGTTCAAGTGATTCTCTTTTCTCAACCTCCCAAGTAGCTGGGATTACAGGTATGCACCACCACACCCGGCTAATTTTTATATTTTTAGTAGAGACGGGCTTTCACCATATTGGCAGGCTGGTCTCGAACTCCTGACCTCAAGTGATCTGCCTGTCCCGGCCTCCCAAAGTGCTGGGATTACAGGCGTGAGCCACCACGCCCAGCCCACTGGCCTACTTCCTATGCCATCAAGTTCACTGCCAATATAATGCTCTCTAACTTCTTTGCAGGGCTAAACACAGCAGAGTGGGGAAACAAGTTCCTTCCTCCTTCCCTTGGCCTCCCGCAGAGGCAGATAGAGGACCAGGAAAGAAAGCTCTGGGAAACAGTGTGAAGGAGGCATTCACATTTCAAAAGACAATTCTAGTTCCTAGCTCAAGGCAAATTATGGAGATTAGCTGTATTTTTTTTTCAAAATGTATTACTTACAGGAGAACCTTAAAAAAATCAAATATCCTATTAAAGCCAATGCCTTTGCTTGGAGACATTTTCAAGGAAACTTTAAAATGCAGATCAGTTTATGTATGAAGTTTTTTTTTTTTGTTTTTTTTTTTTTTTTTTTTGAGATGGAATCTCGCCCTGTCGCCCAGGCTGGAGTGCAGTGGCGCAGTCTCGGCTTACCGCAAGCTCCGCCTCCCAGGTTCGCGCCATTCTCCTACCTCAGCCTCCCGAGTAGCTGGGACCACAGGCGCCTGCCACCACGCCTGGCTAATTTTCTGTATTTTCAGTAAAGACGGGGTTTCACCATGTTAGCCAGGATGGTCTCGATCTACTGACCTCATGATCCTCCTGCCTCGGCCTCCCAAAGTGCTAGGATTACAGGTGTGAGCCACGGCGACTCACCAATTTCTTTCTTTCTTTTTTTCTTTTTCTTTTTTTTTAGAAAGGCTAACAACTCAAGAGATACAACAGGAGATTTCTAAAACCATAACTTTCCTAACATTTATAGATTCAAATAATGAACCTGTAGTGTCTTGAAACTTTATGACATCTGTGTTAGTTTACTGGCTGGACAGAAGTTGGGAAATACTTTAGCTAATAAAAACTTAGCATTTTATTCTAATGTTACAAAAAAGTAACCTTTATGAAGTTTTATGCATAAGAATTTATAGAATGAAAATTTTAAGAGCCACATTAGCATCCTAAAGTGTTACTTATATGTAAAATAAATCTTCCTGAAAAGGCACATATTATGATCTAGGTCCAGGGACATTTAAGGCAAATTTACACTTACTGTCACTGTGGAGTATCTCTATAAATAGATGTTTATAGGTGGACCAGTCCTTAGAATTCTTCCGTACAAACACCCAGGGGTGTTCCACTTCCAGAATTTATTTTCTCACTCATTACTCTACTTTGTTTTAAACTTTCATTTCTCAGCATATGCAAGAACAGCACTTGTCACACAAAGGAGCTGATATAATTAAACTGGATGATGGGCCCCACAAGTAAAGCCAGCCATTCATGAAAGCTGGTCACCAGAGGCCATTTCAAACAATGCATATTTTAAAGTCATCTAAAGTAATCCCTTCTCTCTTCTGACTTGGTTTCCATGAAGTCTCAAGCACATGTGTGCTGCAAAAAGGAGGTTTATTAAAACCTGATGTGATATTAGAGATTACAGTGCAACAGGGTTGGGCTGATTTTAATATCTCAGTCTTCAAAAAGAAAAGCAATCTTTAATAATATTTGCAAGCTTACTAAAACATCCTGCATAGAAAGGAAGATAGATGATGTTTATTAATTAAGGAAAAACAAAAATAAAGACTGCACTCATGTTCTCTTGATTAGGGTATATATAAAATTTGCATAAAAATTGAGGGGAAACTAAAACAGTTTTCAATGATGGGTGGATTAGCCAAACACAGCAACTATTTCCAACAATAGTGAGGAGCTTGGTTTATTTGGAAAATGCTTTATAAAGTTGTGAATCTGAAGCCTAACATTCCCTTGGCTCGCTATGGTGAAATATGAAATGTGTCATAGAACAACATTTGTCAATTTCAAAATATTAATAGTTGCCATCATTAATAGAAGTCTACTAAGTCTGGCTGCCTGCAAAGTTTACCAGGGCTCCTAAAGTTTACTGAGGCCTCCAGTCCTGGTGGACTTCTAGATGTTTTCTTAATTTGCTGGTTCTCTCTGATCTTTGTTTCTGTTTCATAATTGTATTTAGTTTCAATCAGGGTTGAAAACACAAAGGCTTGGATTTGACATGCGTCTGGCCCTCCATATCAAGATCTCTTGCATACAGCATATCCTTGAAGTACACACGAAAGGATAAATGTAAATGATCATAAACTGTTTTTGTGAAATCATCAAAAATGATGCTCTGGCATGCAGGCCATCTGCTTTCTGCTTTTTCTCCTTGGAATATGGCTTCAGGGAAGAGATCATATATGAGAAAGGAGGTTAGCAAGCCTGACTTTGGAGAGCTAATGTGAAGGAGGTGTTCTGGAAAACACCTTGTGGAATCTCTGAGTCTGAAAGGGATCTTAAAAGTTCACCTCCATCAACCTTTAATGAATAAAACCTCTCACTCATCAGTGAATAGTGTCCCTGTGTAGGTAACAAGGGACTCACTAGGCCACCTGTTTAGTTTAGGGTGAGATTTAAGATTAGGAAATTCTCCCTTTTATTGAACAAAAATCTGCCTTCCCCTCTCTTCTAGATGCTTAGTCATGCTGTATTCTTCTGAGCCACACAAAATAATTCTACATTTTTTTACATAACAAACGATTTAAATAATTCAAGATTGTTTCTATCTATCTCCTAAATCATCTCTTACAGAACATACCTATGTGGTGGTTTACTGGTAATTATGGGAGAGAGTTGGAAGGGATTGTTTTTAATGTGGCCATTGGTTGGTTAAGTATTGGATCAATAAATCCTGTAAAACTGTAGTTACACAAATAGCAAGCCAGCATATTTAATGCCCATCTGGCTCAAAGGGATTTTGACTACTGGACTACTGTAAATCAATGCTTTCCAAATTCACTAAGAAAAATGTCCTTATGTACCACTACTTTCATATTTGGACTAAATCCAAATCAGAAATCTTCCAAAATTTGCATAGTTAAATTGCTAATTAGTTTTATTGGAGAATAAAGCCAGGCAAGAAAGATGAAGATCCAGGCTAGAGTCATAATCTTAGTACTGATTTTTTTAAAATTCCTTGACAACTTACTGACTTCCTTCTAGCAATTAGATTTTGAGGAAGCTTTTCTTCCCAAAAGAAACATCTTTACCACACTTGGCTCCTAACTTCAGAATACTGGACACTTTAAAAGAGCTACGCAAGAGAAGGACAACCCTTAAATAAAGGCCCTAGGCTCAAGTACTTAATTCATAACGTGGAGTAGGGGTTCATCAGAATCATCTAGAGGTCTTGTTAATTACTCCAGCATTTTTGATTCTGGGATGAGACCTATAAAATTGCTTTTTCTTTGAGACATAGTTTCACTCTTGTTGCCCAGGCTGGAGTGCAGTGGCGGCGATCTCAGCTCACTGCAACCTCCACCTTGTGGGTTCAAGTGATTCTCCTGCCTCAGCCTTCTGAGTAGCTGGGATTACAGGTGTGCACCACCATGTCCAGTTAAGTTTTGTATTTTTAGGAGAGACGAGGTTTCAGCATGTTGGCCAGGCTGGTCTCAAACTCCTGGCCTCAGGTGATCCACCCGCCTTGGCCT
Source organism: Homo sapiens (assembly GCF_000001405.40). Classification (NCBI taxonomy): domain Eukaryota; kingdom Metazoa; phylum Chordata; class Mammalia; order Primates; family Hominidae; genus Homo; species Homo sapiens. Next base: position 69,551,852 of record NC_000008.11, on the reverse strand, counting down.
CTCAAAGTGCTGGGATTACAGGCATGAGCCACCGCACCCGGCCTTAAAATTGCATTTCTAGCAAGTTCCCAGGTGATGCTGATGCTGACAGTACTGGTCTAGAGTACAGCGATCAACCCACTAGCACTAACGAAAGGAAAAGTGAAGCCCAGACAAGTAGGTGTTGCAAGTCTCTTCCGTGAAGGCTGACTCCTCAGACCTTCGCATGGGCTGAAGCAGCTAAGCATTTACAAGATAGGATTATTTTCTATCTACAAAATAATCGCCAATTATTTTGTAGCTGACAGGACTGTTTACGATCACCCTTCCCAGAGTTGCCAAGAAGGCAAACATGCCAACATACAGTCTATCCTAGGCATCAACAACTGAAGGAGTTTTCCATGGGAGAGCCTTCACCTCCTTCAACAAGTATCCAGAAGTGTTCTTTTGAGTGGCTTTCAAATGACCAGCTAACATCTCTTTCTACGTACTCTCTTTCCATGTCTGAAGGAGTAAGGTTGCTCAAATTCTTGACATATGTGAAGTAACGGACTCTGACAGGGGCCAGAGCAATGCTGGAGTTTGTTATGTTCATTAAACAACTGCTAAGCTTAAAGATAGGTTCAACACTCCCAGGCTGAAATTTCCATCTTAAGGTAAATTATCACCAGAGATTAAGGAGGCAGAGTGAGTTACTTGGCTTTTGTTTTCATAAAGCCCTGACTCAGTTTACCAATTCTGTTCAGCCGTATCTGCCAATCGCCCCCTGTGGGCCTTTCATCACCTATAGCCTCCTCTTTGAGACAGTGGCAGGTGAATATAGTTGCAGTAGGAAACAAACTTCGAATCGATTAAACAATATGATCCAAAAAATGTATCAAACCACCATGATAGTAAAGACACCATGACATTAGGTGCCTCTGGGAATGCTGAGCTGAATCCTTCATCCCACACTGTGGAAGAGTAGGGAAAGGGATGCGGCCACACAAAGTGAGCTGGAAAAGTGGGGCATGAATCATGGGGACCAGGTGCAGTGGGCTGAAATTGGGCCAAGGTCATGTTTGCAACTTTCCAAATGACTTTATCTACCTCAATTCTTATCACAGCAACCCCAAATTGGGACACGTGGTCTGATACCCAGTTGAGAAGGGAAAACAGTTTTGGAGCCCTAGTTTTCCAGTTGCCTGACTTCAGGGAGTAACTTCCAGCACCACGTGGACTAGTGCCGGGATCTGGGCACAACCGAAAGGGTTCATGTCTGGTCTTCTTTCCTTCTCTCTTTTTGCTCCCTTTTCCCCTCGCCCCCTCATTTTATCGCCAGCTCCTCCTTCATTCCTCAGATCCTACAGCCCCATTCTGCCCCGTGACTGCCAAAAGTCCCTCACCATTCCACCTTTTTCTTTTTGTTCTCCTGAGTTTCCAAATTCCCACAATTTCCAAGACGTGGATGACACTCAACTCTTAATCAAGAAGCAAGAATTTTTGCTAATATCCATTGATCATGTGCCAATATTAAACATTTCATAGTCATTAGTTCACTTTATCATAGCCACACACCAATGAAGTAGGAACTATTTTCACTCATTTTTTTTTCTTTTTAAATGAGAAAACTGAGATTCAGGGAAGTTTAGGGATCTGTTCAAGATTACACAGTAAGGGCAGAATGGGGATGACACCACACCAAAGTCTTCCTTCATAAGTGTTCTGTTTTTGTATTTTCTCTTGAAGTGCATTTACACTCTAAAAGATCTTGTATGCCTAGAGAATTTCAAACTGGAAAAATTAATGGGGAGAAATTTTGGGGGGCAAAAATGAGCTTCAGGTGAATCTGCCACTGTGCCTTACAGTATCTCCCCAGGAGAACAAAACAGGCCATCAGTATTGCAGCCACACACCATGTACAGCCCCCCTTTCACCTTCCAAACAGAAGGGGAACCCTCAGAACTCAGTAAAACAAAGAGTTGTTGCTGGGTGAGAGAGTGCACTGGCATGGTTAAAAATGAATATTCAAGACCACGAGTCACAGCTCCATGAATTCGAGGGTCTCCTCTATTTGTATTTAGCATTGTGGAGTCGCGAGACAACTTGCAATGATTAATTAATCCTTGGTGACAAGGCAGAAGGTGAAATAATTTGTGCATAGTCACGCAGTCAGTCATTCTCAGGCTCCGAGTAGTACTGGGGTGCTTGCTTTTCCAGAAACAGAAAGCTGTCCTTAACCCACACCTTAATGAGTGACATCATCTTCAATATCCCCAGTCCATGAAAATTCCATCCTCTGAGATCCCCCTCCCAACCCACCCCCAGCAGGACTTGTCTCCCTAACTTCAAGGAGATGAGGCCAGGCATCCTGGCTTGTGGGGTGCAGGAGGCACAATCTAGTTAACACACTGCATTTGGCTGCTTGTGGCTGTTTTCTCACCATCTCAAGTGCAATTTTAACTGAGGCTATTCACAGTAATACCTCAATTATCTATCACAGTAGGGGAAAAGAGGGTCTCTAGATACATGAATTTCCATGCTGCCTTACTTGAACTATTTAAAAGTTCCAACTTAAAACAAGCAAATAAAAATAAAATATTTTAAAGCACACGGAATTTGCACAAGGAAATCTTTAAAGCTCACAACAAAAAAAAGGGTTATCTCCTGCTGTTTCATGGAGGGGGCAGTGGCTCCATGCTGCTCCAAGCTGTGGCTCTTCTCACTCCAGGACTTGGGCTGAGGCATGGCATTGCCATGGCAGGAGCAGGATTGCTGATGGAAACTGCGAGTGCTGTTCAAAACATCTGCTTACACAGGGCATCTGGCACATCTGCTGACCTGCCATTGGCTAAAGCAAGCCATAGGGTCGAGCCCAGGGTGGGGTGGGTATAAGTTCCGCTCTCCTGGGAGCCCTGGGTGGGGATGTTGGTTCCCTTCACTTCTCTGGTTTGTGTGTGTGTATGTGTGTGGGGAGGTGGTGACAATCATTGGGGATTGTGGCAAAATCTAACATATGCACTTTCAAACATTAATTATACATTTCCTGGTCTTTAAAGAGTACTGCAGATGATGTCACTGTTTTGTTTTGTTTTGTTTTGTTTTGGCTCTGGGTCCTCAATATTAACATCCAAGTCTGGGCACGGTGGCTCATGCCTGTAATCCCAGCACTTTGGGAGGCCAAGGTGGGTGGATAACTTGAGGTCAGGAGTTTGAGACCAGCCTGGCCAACATGGTGAAACCCTGTCTCTACTAAAAATACAAAAAAAAAAAAAAAAAATCAGCGAGGCATGGTGGTGCATGCCTGTAATCCTAGCTACTCGGGAGGCTGAGGTGGGAGGATTGTTTGAACCCAGGAGGCAGAGGATGCAGTGAGCCGAGATCATGCCACTGCACACTCTAGCTTGAGCGACAGAGTGAGACTCCATCAAAAAAAAAAAAAAAAAGTTAACATCCAAAGTGCTCTAGGCTATGATTTTGACTTTTTCTAAGTGATACTGGGATGTGGAAAGCAGTTTGCCCAATACATAAATGACACCAGATCAACATTGTTTGAAATTCCTTATGGATGCTTCTCATAGTATTGTTTTTACCTCCTTTGCTATCAGTGATCATTTCTAGTTATCATTGGCATGTTTACACTTGTCTTCTAACGTGCTAGGGAGAGTATTCTCCCACCTTCTCCCTTCTATAATAATACATGAGGGAGACACCAGGAGGTGGCTTGTTAGACCTCATTAGATCCATGTTTAAAATAAGAATGAAGACGTGAGGGTCTCTCTCAAGTCCTTTGTGTATGGGCATGGTAGCAAATGCTTGTGTAGGGGGGCATCATCGGTTTATTAGAATTCTGCTTGCTTTTGCTTGTGTTTCCCTGTTTTTGCTGGCTGGTTGAGGGTGTTAGATAAATGAACTTAGAGAAGATTGAGCTGGATTAAGTTCCAAGCACTCCTGCTTTGCCATTTTCCATATTTAACAGATTTTTTTCCAGATATTTGACTAAGCATTAACACTACCTGCAATTTGTTCAATTCCATTTATTCTAACTTCGAGAAACATTTTGATTCAGCAACCCTTTGTTGAGCACCTGTATAAGGCACTTCATCAGGCACTAGTGAGATAATGAGAAAAGAGTCCTGCCTTTGAATGGAAAGTCATATGCTATGCTACGTACAATACACTTTCAAAATGTGTTGGCAACTCCCTTCACTCTAAAGCTAGAGCAGACGGCACACTTTGAAAGGCCCCAGGGCTTCCTGGGGTGTGTGTGATACTCTCTGTGAGTTGATATTACCCTGAACAACACAGTGGTGTGCAGCGCTCATGTTTTTCAAATGAAAACAAACCCCACAGAGCCATTTTCGCCAGTCAAGGTAGATGAAAGTCAAACGTTTCCAACTTGGTTAGTGCACAACTATTTCCTAACTAGCATTTTCCTCTAACACATATTTAGTTATCTTCTGAAAGCCTGACCTTACATTGATAATAATTGAACTGTGAACCAGATTTTTCCTATGCTTAGGTGGTTTCTTATATCTCAAATCCCAGGGGAAGATATTTGCTCTTTCATGGATAAAATGATTCCTTCTGTGTTCACAAGGCATCACAGTTCAGGAAAATATTTTGGTATAAATCATCAAATTTGCTTTTCACAACAACTTACATGGGAAATTAGAGCAGGTGTTATTAGTCCTCCCCCACCCCACCCCACCTCCTCCTGCCACAGTAGCTTGAGAAAGCATAACCTGAAATTATACTCAGGTCTTCTGACTCCAAGGCTGGTAGCTATTTTCCATGATAAATCAATTATTTTCCATTTTTATCTTGTTGTTTTATAATTGTCAACTTGATCATTCATGGATATAGATGGCAAAAATATATAAGCTAATATAATGTACAGACAAGCAAAGGAAAGCTGTGTCTGCACTGGTTTCAAACCTTTTCATTGCTACTTTTCACAAAACTCACACAACTAGAATATTGGTTTCAGGTTTACTTATTCTTTCTGCACAAACCCACCAACCAGTAAAAATACAAAGAGGTAATGACTTCCCGAGTAATGAGAATATAGTGAGTTAAAGTGTTAATGCTGCTTCCTAATAATTTTAGCAACATTATGATGTTGCTCAGAGTACTCTTAATAGACTCTTATGTTTTAAAAGAGTATGTGAAGAACAAGATTTTGGTAACAATATGTCTACAAAATAGCTCAGAGTAAATCACTCAAGGATTAATAATTTAAGGAAAGCCTTGAAGATACGTTGATTTTAACATTTTAAAGTCTTTTTACAAAAACAGATTAGGAAGTTAGATTGATTATACTACTGAAAATGCATTTGTGCTTGACATGAAACGCAAAATTTTAAATAGAAAAGGACTGCTTTATGGGAATTTAGCATCTTTCCTGTGGACAGCAGCTGGAAAGCTTGTAATTTTCTAGGTAGGACTCACGGGGAGAGGGCAGCAGAATGTGCTGCATTCCTGGAAATTCACCTCAGCTTGAATCATAGCTTTGCCTGACCACGGGGATAAATGTAGAGGACAAAATAGTTTTCCATACAATAATGATAAGGCACAACTTTATTTTGTCTGATAGCAGCAGTCTATTTTCTCCATACTGTGAACTCATCTCATTTCTGTTACCATTTCTTGAAAACAATTACATTTTCATTTTTTTGCTGTTGTAGAGTCCTAAATGATGTGATGCAAATTGCTAATTGCCTACCTCATCATTCATTGTCTTCTTTATTTAGAACAAGATCCCAATTTTATTTGCAGTGGCCAGCTATAGGTGATATTTCTTAGTTGCCCTAGCAACTCTATGTGCCCACAAGGTTGATTTCTTTCCAGTGACACGTAATGAAAGGATTGTGTGGGACAGTTCTATAAAACAGTGTGGAGGCTGGACATGGTGGCTCACGCCTGTAATCTCAGCACTTTGGGAGGCCGAGGTGGGCGGATCACCTGAGGTCAGGAGTTGGAGACCAGCCTGGCCAACATGATGAAACCCTGTCTCTACTAAAAAGACCAAACAAAACATAACAAAACAAAACAAAAGAAAACATCAGCTGGGCGTGGACTGCGGCAGGAGAATTGCTTGAACCTGGAAGGTGGAGGTTGCAGTGAGCCAAGATTGTGCCATTGCACTCCAGCCTGGGCGAAAAGAGCGAAACTCTGTCTCAAAGAAAAAACAAAAACAAACAAACCAAAAAACAAAACAAAACAAAACAAAAAAACCCAAAAAACCAAAGACAAAAGAAATAAAAGAGTGTGGGTGTCCATTTGTCACATGTCATGACTGGCGTTTCTGCAGCCATCTTGGACCACGAGAAGTTCTCACAGATGGAATGCTCCATCATGTAGTAAAGAGAGAAAAGAAGCTCAGGTCCCTAGTGGCTAATGTTCCAGTCTTGATGCCCTGACTCTGAATTTTCCTTACTTGAGAGAATAAAACCTTTAGTCAATAAGGCCCTATTTTGGTTTTTGCTATGTGTAGTCAAATACCCAATTATATCTCCTAACTAACCCTACTGTTTTTTCTCATTCTACAACCATTCTAGATTTAAAATGTTAGGACAACACGGCCTTTAACGTCAGACCAGAAGAGTTTGGTTTATATTTGAAATAGGACAAACAATAACATATGGTAAGTGCTATGAAATTGATAGAGGTAAGTGGGAACAAGAAATTCTCTTAACAGACATTATACTCCAAACTCAACTAATATTTTAGGCAGTTTAAGGTTTCTGGGTCAAATAAAGAATATTAGGAATCTCTCATGAGCCATAGAAATGAAAAAAAAAAAAAAAGAATTCCTTTATCTTTTTATAATTTTTTAGGATTCAAGTATATTTTATTATGCCATGAATTGCTCTTTAGCTTCTTTAAAAAACAACAACAATGAAAAGCCTAGAATCTTCACACATGCAATCTACCTGGACTCTACCTGAGTTTTCCTGAAAGAGGTTAAGTGGTAACCCCCAAATGATGGATTTTCATATTTTATATCCAAAAGAAGAATTTCAGTATTTTCAGAAAATATTGCTAAAAATATTCTATATTTTCTTACCTAAATGTAAAATTGTAAGTTGGATACAAAGATGATACTAAAAACAACTCCACAGGAATGTTGGCACATGTCTATTCATAAGAAAAACTTGATTATCTGTCTTCATCTGCAGGCATTTTCCCCATTTCCTTTCTCACTCATGCAAATAGGACTTTTATTTTCAGTTGAAAATAGGAATTCTGCCTTCACTGAATAGCAAGGATTTTTTAAAGAAACAAGGTTTCTATGCTTTAAAGGAATTTTAAAAAGTGATTTGTTGGGCCAGGTGTGGTGGCTCACCCCTATAATCCCAGCACTTTTGGAGGCTGAGGCAGGAGGATCAGGAGATCAGGAGTTTGAGACCAGCCTGACCAACATGGTGAAACTCCATCTCTACTAAAAATACAAAAATTAGCCAGCTGTGGTGGCGCATGCCTGTAATCCCAGCTACTCAGGAGGCTGAGGTAGGAGAATCGCCTGAACCCGGGAGGTAGAGGTTGTAGTGAGCCGAGATCGTGGCACTGTACTCCAACCTGGGTGACAGAACGAGACTCCATCTCAAAAAAAAACAAACAAAAAAACAAACAAAAAAAAACATTTGTTTTGTATAAATGTCTCAGTTATACCTCAAATTAGGATTCCAAAAACTCAAATTAATACATTACAACACACTATTCTTAGACTTGTGAAACTGATTTTATAGTAATTACTAAACTCTAAAGTTATTAATAAACTAGCAAAGTTTAGAAAGAGAAACATGAATGTGTAAATCGAAACACCTTAGCCAATTTGATTTATGCATAACTACCATGAAATGAATATAATTTGATAAACTTGATTAGTTTAGACTATGATCCTCAAAGTGTTTCCTGTCATGGAAAATACTGACATTGATTATATACAGCACACTGGGATAAGCAGATGAGGCCACTCACAGTCCAAGGGGCTCTGGCCATCCCAGAACTGCCCAGCCATCCTGAGGCTGAGCAGGTAGATATCTTGGTACACCTGTAGTTCACATCTTGACACATCTGTCATCCATTTGTGGCCCACTGCCAACACAGAGTGATGCTAGGATGCTACAGTCTAGAGAATCAATTGGGCTATAAGGATTCCTAAATGATGTGGCTATTTGTCAAAAAAAAGATGTAAAGGTATTGAACACAGATGATTAAAAAAATCAGGGGCTTCTAAAGACATGGAATCAACCCAAATGCCCATCAGTGATAGACTGGATAAAGGAAATGTGGTACATATACATTGTGGAATACTACGCAGCCATAAAAAAGAACAAGATCATGTCCTTTGCAGGGACATGGATGAAGCTGGAAACCATTATCCTCAGCAAACTAATGCAGGAACAGAAAACAAAACACTGCATGTTCTCACTTATAAGTGGGAGCTGAGCAATGAGAACACATGGATACAGGGAGGGAAACAGCACACACTAAGGTCTGTGAGGGGAGGGTGGGGGTTGGGGAGAGCATTAGGGAAAATAGCCAATGCATGCTGGGTTTAATGCCTCGGTGATGGATGATAGGTGCAGCAAACCACCATGGCACAGGTTTACCTATGTAACAAACCTGCATATCTTGCACGTGTACCCTGGAATTTAAAAGAAATAAACAACAACAACAACAACAAAAACAAAACCAGGGGCTTAATTTATATATTTGCAAGTATGGAATGTATACAGTGGTGTTTTTAGAGTAATTAAAAAAACAAATAGTCTGATTTGATCAATAAGAAGCATTAATTGGATGGTTGCTAAATCTCTATCTCACAGAACCACAGACTCATAGAAGTTTGTCATGCGTGTCATAGTAAGTCCCATGTTGTTTTTGCCTAGGTTAAGACTAGTTGGGGTGTCCTCTGGTCTCACAAGCGGGGCCATTTCATATTAATTTGCTTTACCCCCATTATTCTGTGTAATGTGGATGCCATCTATGACATTTGATTGAATTTCATGGGAAATTAATATATAGACCTGGAGACATTATCCTCTCTTCCCTGTTAATTTCACCACCTTCCTCTTCACTCCTGCTCCGTCATTTTCTATCACGCTTCTCCCAAACCCACACTTACATTCTGCTCATTTCTTTCCCTTTTCCTAAATTTCTGTTTTCAGGAATCACGAATGGACTTCAGAAGTCATCGTATTCAACTTATTTTAAAATTGAGGATGCTGAGGCCTCAAGTAATTGATAATATCATTTGTATCAAACTTACACTGTACAAAGGTTTCACATACTTGTTCTAATTTGGATCCTCCAGTAACTCTCGGCAGCACTGTTGGTATCCCCATTTCTCGGGGGTCAAAACAGATTCGGAGAGGTGAAATGGCTAAGCCCAAATCACTGTTTCTCAAAGTGGAGAAGGAAGCCATATCTCGTACCTTTCTGCTACACCACAGAACACTCCATCATGACCACACTGGGGACACACATTGCACTTGATGCAAAGCAGTTTCCTTCATGTTCTGTGAATATTTTCACTGAAGCCAGTTCTGTCTCGGGTTAAGGAATTTTCTCAGATGAGTAAGTTGCATATGTTGTGAAGAAATGTCTTCTGCTTCCATCATAACCACATATTTAAACACTGTGAAGCCCTCCCCAATATTCTTCAGCATATGCAGAACTCTCAAGGTCTTACAGTAGTGACCTCCAGAAGTTATGTCAATGAGGAAGGTATGGGAAGAAGAATGGAATATAACTGTATGTCACCAGCTCTCTGGGAAGAAGGTGTTAGGGGACATGCCTATCCTCCAGACCTTTAAATGAATGACAGCGCTGTAAAGAAAATGTATAATTCCAGGTCAGTAAGCCTCAAGTTTAAGTAAGGACACACCTTCCTCATATTCCTCTTCCACTCCCTCTCCAGTTCCTTCCCATCAATAGCTTGGATGAAGTGTTGAGAAAGAATGGAAGATCAAATATTTTCAGTGATCTACAAATTGGTGCCTTCACAGTTCTGAGCTTAAACCATTTCCATCTTTATTCCTTTTTTTAATTAAGAAGTTAAGTTTTGTAGTAACCACTCTAGAAAACAAACATCATTATTTACCCATATGTCATACACTAACAATACCCACATATCTTATTTAATGGCTTCCTGTCCCTAACAAATATTTGAAAACAAAGACATTCTTCCTGAGCTTTTCTACCTGTGAGCATTTTAGGGTTCTGTGTTTCTGTGGTACCCTATTTGAACAAGAAATCTGTACTTTCAAATACATGTTCAGAGATTACTGTGCTTGCTTTAAAAATGTCACTGTTAGAAGCAGACGTCTTTCGTTTCTACTTTCTCTTCCTTCTCTTTCACATATGATGCATTTGTTACAGTCCCTCATCCTCAAATCATATGCTAGGGTAAACCCAAGGGGATGAAATGTGAGAATGCATTTCACTATTTCCACTGCCTCGGTTTTTCTGAATCTTTTAGCTGTGCCACAGATGGGAGTTAGATGCTCTTTCATGTTCCTTCAGCGACACTGGCAGGCTTACCTGCCATCATACTTCTCAGGGGAAGTGCCATGTTGCCTTTGCCTAGGTTAAGACTAGTTGGGGTGTCCTCCGGTCTCACAAGCAGGGCCATTCCATATCAATTTGCTTTAACCTCATATTTCTGTGTAATGTGGATGCCATCTGTGACATCTGATTGAATTTAGTGGGAAATTAATATATAGGCCTGGAGACATTATCCTTTCTTCCCTGTAAATCCCACCACCTTCCTGCTCCACCATTCTCCATCATGCTTCTCCCAAACCCACACTTATGTTCTGCTTGTTTCTTTCCCTTTTCCTAAATTTCTGTTTTCAGGAATCTTTCAGCTGTGCCATATAGGAAAGGCTATAAGCTTTCAAGATTAGAAATTCTTATTGAAACCCCAGATTTTTGAGATCCAGGTTAATTTGGGTTAGTTTAGAGTGAAGTTAACAGAGGCATTAGTAAGTCCCTACTGACTTCATTTAATGAAATGCCTGCAGTCATCTAGAATTTGACAGGTCTTGTGAAAATTACAAAGAGTACATTTGCTCCAGGGACTTTTCATCGGCCTTCCATTTGTGGATTTTATGTGGCAAGAGGAAAAAGAAGGTATAACACATATGTATCTCAAGTGGAGCCCTAAAATATGATCCTACAGCAAGAACATCCACTCCTGACCATGGTCACCAATGCACAGTGCTAGTTACAGAAACCCGGGCAAGAAGGCAGGAAACGCTGTCACCAAGGCAGAAACAGCTTGTCTCTGTCCTGGCAGGGAGATGGCTCCTCACCAAAAGAACTGGCCTTGCTACAGGGAAGGAGGGATGGATTTGGAAGGGAGTTCTGAATCTGAGTTTCTGCTCTCCCACTTACTAGCTGTGTGACTTTGAGAAGTAGATGTCCTCTGTGAAACATAATTTCTCGTCCATAAAATATAATAGCCCTGCCTGTCTTTCAGCATTGTAATTATACCAAATGACTTACAATGAGTGAAACATTTTATAAATGCAAAAGTGCCTTACAAATATTAGATACTCTAGTATTTTGTTCTCTATTTGTAGAAAATAATCCGTGTCATTGTGTTAGAAAGAAAAGTGACTTAGGGTCTTATTAGTGTCTTTATCTCATTCAGTGGCACAACCATCGTTTTATGAATAGAGAGATGAATCTGGTGGCCATATGTATCCTCTCTTTCCATTTATCCCAGTACTTTCTCCACTCATGAGATCTGATTAATCCCCTATCCTGCTGATTTTATCATCAAAATACTTCTCGATTCTGTCTCCTTTTCTCCATTGCTTTCATCACTACCACAGTTCATGCCTTTATAATTACTTTTCCAGATCACTGTAATGGCTTCTAATGGTCTTTTTGCCTTCTGTCTGTTAATCCTGAAATTACCCTTAAATTCACCCAGGTACCAGACCAATCTTCTTAGATGCTGGCCTAACCATGTCTTTTCCCTGTTCCCCACAACAGCCCTGTTATTAAAAACACCTGTGGGCTCATGAACCTGCAGCTGTCTGCCCAACCAACTCCACTTCCACCAAAATGGTTACACCATTTTTATACCCTAAGAAAGTTCAGACCTCAGTGAAGCCTCCCTTCAACTCCCACTGCCATGAACACACTTACTTCTCTTCCGTAGAAATCGTAGAAATTCCCTGTCCCTCCCCGAGACTCGAGGAATGCCCTGCGCATATCGGACAGTTATTTTCCCTCTAGAGGCCACCTGGAATTTGGTACATCATAGGGGCTTAGTCATTGACTTTGGAATAGAAGAATGGATGTCTAGATGCTAATGTTCTCTTCTATGGGTATTTCTTCAACTCAAATGTAAAATATTTAATAAAATGAACTGGCTACCTCATCCCTTGGTGTTTGCAGTCATATCTACATATCTAGTTAGCAATTGCCAAGCGCAAGATCTTTTCATATTTGCACATCATAGTATAATCTGAGAAATATTAGGACATCTAAATGTCTTTTTCAAATAACATGAGATCTTTCATCTTTAAAAGACTTTCCTTTTTCACAGAGCCCTGGTTTCTCAAAAAGATCATTTTTATTCGGTAGACTAAAAAAAAGTAAAAAGTTGTGGAAGTCCAACTTTATTCCCAATCAGTCTAAAAGCCATTTCTCAGCTTTTAAGTTGTTCTTTCCAAGAACAATGGCTAAGGTATTTCCACTCAGAGGCAGCCCCCTCAGCCTATCAGCAGGTCGAATGACAAAGGCGAGTGTCTGAGCAGTGGGAAGAATTCACTGGCAGATGGACCTCTGCTGTCCTTTCAAAGGCAGCCCTGGACACTAGACGGGATCCAGCTACAGGGTTCAATCCTGGCATATATCACTTTGTTTTGAAAATGAGTTAGGCTGGGCACGGTAGCTTACGCCTGCAATCCCAGCACTTTGGGAGGCCGAAGCCGGCAGATCACAAGGTCAGCAGTTCGAGACCAGCTTGGCCAACATGGTGAAACCCCATCTCCACTAAAAATACAAAAATTAGCCAGGCATGGTGGCAGGCACCTGTAATCCCAGCTACTCGGGAGGCTGAGGTAGGAGAATTGCTTGAATCTGGGAGGAGGAGGTTGTAGTGAGCCAAGATTGCACCATTGCACTTCAGCCTGGGTGACAGAGGGAGACTCCGTCTCAAAAAAACAAAAAAAAAGAAAAAAGAAAATAAGCTAAACTTTGCAAAAAGAAAAAAGACTATAGTGTTGGAAGGTTTGACATGACAGGACTTTCTACTTTCTCTCATGGTCTAATTTTTGCCCTGCACTTTGTTTCCAAGCACCTCTCCATACCATTAGCAAGTACTCCCCCTCGCCTTCCAGACAGGTGCTTTCAGACCAACTCAACTTCTGGACTACCTGGGGCAGACTCCTGGAGGCTGGTATCTCCAGAAAGGGGCCCGGCCTTAGTGCATTACTGCACTTAACCTAGAAATCTCAAGCCAAATTGATAGTCACTGACTGCAGGCAAATGAACGCGGCTGCTGAAGGGTTTAATGTTCATGGCATTGCATAGAAGGACGGGATGAGAAGCATGTGTCTGAGCAAGAGCTTAATGGCTCAAAAAAAAAAAAAGGCAACAGAAATGTAAAAACCAATAAGCAAACAAAACAAAAAGCAGGCTTTTTCCTTGAAAAAAAAGTATACATATAAAAAAGTATAAAAGTATTTGACATCCTGGCTAACACGGTGAAACCCCGTCTCTACTAAAAGTACAAAAAATTAGCAGGGCGAGGTGGCTGGTGCCTGTAGTCCCAGCTACGCGGGAGGCTGAGGCAGGGGAATGGCGTGAACCCCGGGGGGCGGAGCCTGCAGTGAGCCGAGATGGCGCCACTGCACGACAGCCTGGGTGAAAGAGCGAGACTCCGTCTAAAAAAAAAAAAAAAGGATTTGAAATGTTATAAAACTTGAGAAAATTACTTTTTTTTCAATTTTCTATTCTATTTTTATTTTTCTGTTTTCTCTTTTTCTTCTGTTTCAGTTCCAGACACACAGTTAAAAGGGCCCTGAAAAGACAGTCTCTGAGGAATTTGAAAATGAGTGAAGAAAGCGAGAAGTTGAAAGTCAAAAGTTGCCGTCATCCTGTATTGTGCAAAGCACTGCATGTCACACACTCTCATTCCAAACGTGCAGATATTAGCCTCAGTGTCCCCTGACATATGGCAGGATAGTAACTGTTTCTGCAGGCTGTTTCCCCCTTTGTGGTAAAAATGGTAAACACCTGAACTTTAGTGTCAGAAGATGGCTTAGTCATGAGGACGAATCCCCTTGAATGATTCACATTCTTGGGGTACCCCTAAGATGCCCACACTCATGCTGAGGGTAGAATTAAGAATTTTTATATCTATTTAATATGGTATACTCTTGGAAACCAAAAGCTGTTCAAAAAAAATCTCTTAACAGAGTCATGCATATTTAATGACAGTTTCTGGCAATCGAACTCTATTTCATAGAAGACAAGGTTGAGGTTATTAAAAAGAAATGTATGAAACTATTCTTAAAGTGCCTGATACCTTGGGGATGAGAAGCACCTTTCAGCCAGGGTCCTGGCATTCATTCAACAAACCTCTAAGAGGCCCTACTGTGTACCAGATGCTGTCAGGGATGCCCAGAAATCCCTTTGCTAGCTAATCTCCTTCCACCAGCAGAGACAAATAGAGTGTTCTGAAAGCCCAGCTGGAGGGTTTCACTCTCTCCCCAGGGCACAGAGTCTCCTAATGCTGTGCAGTGAGTCAGAGGTGCTAATGATAGAAGCTTACGTTTGCTGGGCACAGAGTATAAGCCAGGAACCATGCATTAAGTGCCTACAAAACGGAGGAGGTAGGACTCATTCCCCCATTTTAGCTGAAGTCATCATAGTACAGAGGTTGAATAGCTTTTCCAAGGTTACAACTAGTAGGTAGGGGACTGGCATTTAACTCAGGCAGTCAAGCGCCTGGGTCCTTCTGCAGGACACCACCCTTCCTCCCTGGGAGGGCCATAAAGAGCAGGAACATGGCTTTCGATGATCTCACCAGACTTCCTGGCAGTTACCACTCCATGTCTTGCTTATGAGAGTGTGAGTTCGACACATTGGCCTAAAAAATAGCAGCTATGTCTACCACATTGCTCTAAGTGAGTAGAAATTAGTGAATCAACATACCAAGGATTCCTCGAAAAAGGAAAATATTCTTAGGTGTCTGTGCTTCGGGGCTCCATCCTTAGTAATTTTATGTTTGTTAAGTGATTATTTTAAAATGCAGCCCACTTTAGCCTGGGAAATGTGGCTAATAGATTACACTCTGACCATCCCTCCAACCAAATGTACCTAGAAGCAGAATGTCTTGCCAATCAAAGATGTTAATAAACACAAACAACAGGCTGCAAAGAAAGCCCAAATGTCTTCTGATATATAGTAGTAGTGGTAAGATATCAGCTATTTTTGATTTAACTTGCTAATGATACTCAGGATCATGGAGTTTACACAAAATATAAACAAAATTAATTTCTGTGGCATGTTTGATGAAAGGGAACAACATTTACTTTCTGATCCTTTACACATTGTTTGAATAAGAACTAGACAAGCCCTTCTTAGGAGCTGCCAGGTGAATTTACACATGTAAGCAGGTACACAAGCCTTCACTGACACCAAACAGACAATGGGTGGTATTGTTAACCAGCAATACCATGAAGACTAGTGAAATGATCTGCGCAAAACACCTGAGCGTAAATACTATAAAGAGTACATGATCAAATTAAATTGATCGAAGTTTCTACTATCTAAGTGACATTCACCATGAAAAAGAGTGAGGTGCTGGTGATTGCTTGCAGGGATTTTATGGCTTTTTTTTTTTGAGTCGGAGTCTCGTATTTTTGCTGGGGCTGGAGTGCAATGGTACAATCTCGGCTCACTGCAACCTCTGCCTCCTGGGTTCAAACAATTCTCCTGCCTCAGTCTCCTGAGTAGCTGGGATTACAGGCCTGGCTAATTTTTTTGTATTTTCAGTAGAGATGGGATTTCACTATGTTGGACAGGCTGGTCTCAAACTCCTGACCTGGTGATCTGCCCGCCTCGGCTTCCCAAAGTGCTGGGATTACAGGCGTGAACCATCTCACCCGGCCTCTTATGGCTTTGCTTTGGATGAGGGTGGTTGTGTTGTTCCTTGGTAGGTGGCATACATTTTCTAATACCTGCTCCCCACTGGCTCTCCTTAGTTGGCACCCTCATCTTATCTAAGATTTTATATTAATCCAGAAAAAAGGTTAGAGCTTTACTCCTTACATCCTAACGCTAGAGGCCCTATTTGCCTTTTTCCTTTCCAGGAGCTGCACCCTATTCTTGTAACTGTCCCTGATTTTGTTTTGAGGAAATAATTTTTCCTCTTTGCTATCCCTTGTACTTCCAGGAATAGTTGCACCTCCTCCTCTCTCCCATAGAGCACACTGTCTGGAGTGCACCTCTCTTCTGTTCCCTTCAGCAAGAGTGATTGTTTTAAAGGCTGATCAATGCCCAACGCCAGGTCACTCAGGGCCAGTGAGACTCACTTCAGAGGTTTTGTTGTTTGAGCAGTGGAGGAAGTCAGTGCTCTGTTGTCTATTGACTTCAGGCTGTGAAGATGTGAAGCTGGAGCTGGAGCAGCCACATTGTAAACACAAGGGCCTAAACATGCCTAAATATGGAGCTCTCCACAGCAGGCAAAGCCAAGCGAGATAGGGAAGGAAACAGAACAGGTGACCTTAATGGAGCTCCAGTACAGCCCCAACTGCAGCATGCTTTCCTTATTCTCTGGAATTATCATTTGTGAGCCCAGACATTGTCTTGTTGCTTGCCTAGGACAGTTTAGGCTGAAGTTTCTATTTCAACCCAAAGCATTCTAATTGATATATCATGCAAAATTCTAATTTTAAAAACAACTTGCTTGTTTTTAAACAACAATCCTTATAAAGTCTTATATTATTTCATATCAAAACAGTACTCTCTTAGCTGAATTTTTTTTTTTTAAATTTCCTTTAAGTATTAATTCATTATGAATGATGACGTCTATGTTTAGGGCAGTTCTTATAAAATATGTATGACGTCAGTTGTATCAATGTAACACATAAATTTCATAAGCTCATAAATTTGTAAGCTTGCCAACTTCTCAAATTGCCTTCAAATACTGCTATCTTGTCTCAAAAAAAGTGGTGGAATAAAGTATTATAATTAAGTCGTTTGTCAAGGAAATGAAGTCTGTGATACATGAAAGATCATGCTTACTTCACCAATGTTAAGTGTGAATTGGTAATAAAACATGTAAGTAGAAGAAATGTAATATTCCTACCTTCCTGGAAGGAATACTTGTTCTTATATATTCTAAAACTTCAGTGATTGGTGATGTTTCTAAAAATGTAGCCTAATTCTTCAGAGTTGGCCTCTTCAAATGCACTATAAGATTCTTGTTTCTTATGATATATAAATAATTCTCTTAAAGACGGAGTTAATACTAACTCACCCAGAAAAATATCCACCATGCACAATGTAGTGATCTTAATGAAAGAATTTCTTAAAGAACTATTTGACTATAAAGATGTAATATTATATTAAAGACATTTAAACAAATTATTTGTAAATGCTTTCTGAATTTTTCAATTTTCATCCAATTCTTGGAGAATGCCTATTTAATTAGTAGCTACTTCCTGCAAGTATTTTCGGTAAGCAAACTTCAGGGTTCAGTAATGCAGAATGTACAGTACTCAGCCCCCAGGATGAACTTCCATTATGTTACTCTCAATGAAGTCATTAGCAAAATATTTTCCCAAACCATTGACAGCTTCCTTCTCATTCCCATTCCATATCATGTTTTTTGTCATTATCATAACTGCTAAGAATAAAACTCCCTTAAGCCAGGAAAAATAGTTGACTTTAGCACTGAACATTGCAAATTTTTTTTCTAGACTATTATTTGCCTTTTAACTTTGTTTAAGGGATTTTAGGCTATTCTCTACAAGTCTTTGATTTTAATATTACAATAAAGACAGATCGGAGGTAAAAAAGTAACCACATTTTGATTCCTCAGAGTTCTAGAACCAGAAATACCATTTGATCCAACAATCCCATTACGGGGTATATACCCAAAGGAATATAAATCATTCTATCTACAATAGATACATACACGAGTATGTTTATTGCAGCACTATTTACAATAGCAAAAACATGGAATCGACCCAAATGCCCATCAATGATAGACTGGATAAAGAAAATATGGTACATATACACCATGGAATACTATGCAGCCATAAAACGGAATGAGATCACGTCCTTTGCAGGGACACGGATGGAGCTGGAAGCCATTATCCTCAGCAAACTAATGCAGGAACAGAAAACCAAATACCACATGTTCTCACTTATAAGTGGGAGCTGAACAATGAGAACACGTGGACACAGGAAGGGGAACAACACACACCAGGGCCCACTGGGGGAGGGGGACGGAGGGAGGGAGAACATCAGGATAAATAGCTAATGCATTGCAGGGCTTAATACCTAAGTTATTGAGGATAGGTGCAGTAAACCACCATGGCACATGTGTACCTGTGTAACAAACCTGCACGTCCTGCACATGTACCCTGGAACTTAAAATAAAATATAAAAAACTCACATTCTTTCCAACTTGTTTGCTTTTGGAACAAATGGTCCAAGGGCCTTCAGAGTTAGGTTTTACCATTTTCCACTGCCCAACACAACCCTGTCCTTGCTGGGATAATAGGTATCGGTAAGCTGGATTTTAAACAGCTTTTGCACAAAAGTGAGCATACAGAAAACTATTAGAGGCAATAAGAGCCAAGCAAGTGTTCTTGATCATGTGGCCATACTTGGTTTTCATTTGTTTGTCTTGATATTAGTACATCCAGATTAGTCAATTTGTACATCTAAATCTTATTTGTATCCAAATTGGTTCTAATAATTTTACTGTATGATTTCACTTATATGAGATACCTAGAATAGTCAAATTCATAGGAAAGAAAGTAAAATTGGTGGTTGCCAGGGACTCCAGGAGGGAGAGAAGGATGGGAGGGAAAGGGCGGAGTTGCTGTTCAATGAATGTGGAGTTCCAGTTTTGCAAGATAAAAGAGTTCTAGAGATCTATTGCACAATCATAAACCTAATAAAGTTCAAGATGGTAAAAACAACAACAAAAAACAAACTGATTCTAATTAGTAACAAATCTATTATATGTATAGGTCAAACAGGTAGTTGTCCACTTTCCTCTTACATTCTTTTTCATTCTCTTGCTGTACAATGAATTTAAAGATCTTGCAATGCATCCTCTTCTTTCAGAGGCTTGTGAAAACACTAGCTCCTTTCTGTGTTTGAGCAGACCTTTCTAACAGTTATTAAAACCAGAAAAGTATTTGGTGGTGTTGTGGGAATGAAAAGGGGGGTTAGTGACCTGTTTCTCACAATGCTAATGGATCTATTACATTCATATTGTTGTCCAGTTCCTTTAAAAAAAAAAGAATTGAAGGGTTCTCTCCTCAAATATTGAAAATTCTTTCGAGGTTCAATGAAGTTTAAAATGTTCTCATGTGCCTATTTTGGCTTGAAACAATCATTTTAAGACATAGAATGACTTGTTTCCTTACAAGACCATCAGGCAAAAAAGGATTTTTAAATGAAAAAGATAAAGTTCGAGGATTTATGAGTGACTTGAACAATTTTGAAATTTAAATGGGTATGCTACTTTATTTAACGAAGAATAGCCATGAAGGTTTGTTTCTCAACGTTCTTGAATAAAGACACAGTGGCTTCATGAATAACTCTTGCTTCCTAACCCCTCACTTGTTCCTCTTGCAGTCTTAGCAAAGCTAGAAATTATCCCATCAAAGGTCATCAGCTGGCAACTGAGCCTCAGGGCTTCTGCTGAAGAGCCATGGCTGCTGTTAAGGTTGTGAATTCCTAAGACTGACAGCAATGCAGTTTCGCCCTTAGAGGGGTGGCCGCGTATGTAATCAGCTTAGAGCCGCCTCTCTTTCCCGTGTTGATACTGAGCTGTGGAGCCACTACAAGCAGAAACAAAGAGGAAAAGGTCGTCTTGGAAATTCCAGAGAAAGACAAAGAAGCAGCATCGATTATAATGTGCTTACATTTAAAAAACATTTCCAGAATAAAAAAATACTTCTGTGGTGAAATTAAGTGAAGACACAGGTTATCCGCAGAGACTTCTCTCAGTCATAATAAATCTGACTTTTCAGCTTCCACATTAATTACTGTCATCACAACTCTAAAGCAGACAAATGTATTGACTGGTTAAGAAAGACTTTTTGCAGAAGCACAATATATACATGTTTGGAGGGAAATAACATGATATTAAAAAATTCGAAATGATTTATTTTTTTCTCCACCAGCAGAAGAGAACACTTAGTGAGTTGAGGTGGAGGAGAGGTGGGTGGTGGCTTGGTTGAAAATCTGTCACAAGAACAAAAACTATCTTCAGAGCTCATTGTGGGCAGAGCATAGTACTCCACCCTATGGGTGGGGAAGGGGAAATTTAAAAGGGATACTGTTATTAAGGAGATAACAATGTATTTGAAAACTGTTCATTTACACATATACACATATATGCAAACATAAAGCTAAAAGAGTTTTTAAACCTCAGTGTTCCAAAGCAACAAGGGACAATGAGAGGAGACAGAGCACAGGCATGAGCTAGGCATGTTCACTGAGAAGTCAGTTCAGAGTGGTGTTTGGGCAGCTTAGTGGGTCAGAATACAGGCTCAGGCAGATCTGGATTTACATCCCAAATATGTCTCTTGATCCCCAACCATTCTTGGACAAATCACCCTCAGTTTTCTCTTTTGTAAAATGGGATAATCATCATGCCTCCCACCTCATGCCATCGTTTTGGAAATTAAAGGGTTGGCCCAGGTGTGAAAGTGCTAGCATTCTGTCTGGAGTACAGTAGGTCCTCAATAAGTACCTGTTTACCTCATTCCATTCTACCCCTTCTCAGCATCCACTTGTGCAGGACACCAACAGCTTCAATCCCTTTGGAAAGGACAGTTGTCTAACTTGACATGTTGGCTAACCAGATAGAAAGTGGTTACTTAGTTATAGGTCAATGCTAGTATTGAGGTTTAGTTAGATTTTCCTCTTTCTAAGACAGAAGGACCAGAGTGATGTCCATAAACAACTTATGACTCTTGGACTGAACTCTGGAAAGAGGTACAATTCATTCAAATAGTTCATCTGGTTACTACGGTAGAGGAAAAGCAATGAAATCCAGAGAGAACCTCTAAAACCCATTTTAGGCAGTGGTTTTGATGGTGATTTTATCGATGAGAGAAGTCAAAGCAGAACAGGCATAACCAAGTAACAAAAGCAAGTTTTAGTTTTCTGAGGACTTCAATGTTTTTATTTGTAATAAGGAGTGGTGACTATATTTAACTATCTCTAAAGTTCATTTCAGCAAAGAATCTCTACAATTAGCAGACTGAGCCCTCCTAATGGTACATTATGCCTAAGATTCCACATAGACAATGGCTCTATCCATCAGTAGGCATCTAAAAAATATTTTTCAGATAACTGAATGAATATGTAGGGTAGCCCTAGACATTACTTTTTCTTTTTGCTCAAAGAGCCTGATGTTTGACTATCCTGGTGAGCCTGACGTTTAGTGACAAATCCTACATTTGATGCAAGCAGTAGGGCAATAGAATGACCGGAGTTGAGAGTCCAGAAAGACTCCTCAAGCGCTAGCTCTCCTGGGAAGATGCAAGGGCAGATTGTCCACTGCAATTATAACTGAATGCATTTACTGCATTTATTTCATCTCTCTGTTGGTCTTGCCCTAAAGCAGAAAAATGAGACCGAGTCACCAAATAGGATCATTAATAAACTGACAGTAAGTGTGGTAGTCAGCCTCCAACACAGTCTCCAGTGACTCTCGCCTCCTGGTATCCAAACCTTTGTGCAGCTCCCTCCCACACTGAATATGGCTGACCTGGGTAACCAATGGGATTACAGAATGACAGAATGTGATTTCTGAGGCTAGATCCTAATAAACTTTGCAGCTTCTGCCTTGTTCTCTCAGATCACCTGCTCTCAGTTTCCATGCATGTGGTGAGGACACTCAAGCAGCCCCATGGAGAGGTCCACATGGCAAGGAATTGAGGCCTCCAATTAGCAGCCAGCACCAACCTGCCAGCCTTGTGAGTGAGCCATCTTGGGAGAGGATCCTCCTACTCTAGTAAGTCCCTTAGAACAATGTAGGGTCTGCTCTGTATCTTAGGCTGCAACCTCATAAAAGATTTTAAACTGGAACCATCCAGCCAAGCCGCTCCCACATTCCTGATTCACAGAAGCTGTGTAAGAGCATTGATGTTTATTATTAAGTCTCTTACATTTTGTTTTCTTAAAATGCAACAATAGATAATTAATACAATAAGTTTCTAAAAAAGAGCAATGTCATAAACAACTGAAGGTGCGATTCAGTTTCGTAGTTAGAGGTCGTAGTTAGAGCATCAACGTAGTGCTAACCGTTGATGATTCATAAGAATAGAGAGTAGAGGGGTTCTGAAATTTAGGAGCTACATCAGTGATAGTTCAAAGGAATTTCCTAATGGCTTTCTTAGAAGAACATCACCTCTTTTCCCTTTCATATATCCAAGCATTGTTTTGGCACCTAGCATAATGGTTTTACAATAAACACAGGCTTTGGGGTCTGACGGGAGCTCTGCCCCTTTGCTAGCTGTGACACCTGGCACAGGTTAAACTTTCCGGATCTCAGTTTCCTTATTAGTAAAGCTGGAGTAAGAGTATCAACCTCACAGACTTTTTGAGGTTTAAATAACTTTGTATATGTAATACACTTAGGAGAAGAGCTGGTACATAGAAAGTTCCTAATAAGCATTTCCTTTTTCATTACTAATTTATTTTCACAACCCAAACATTTTAACTCTGCTATAGTTCCTTCTTTTTCTATGATCCGTGAATTCATGTGTCTTTTATTTAGTCAACTAAAACATTTTCCAAATTAAATTTGAAACCTAAAACAGACAGGGAACTACTACCTGAAACAACAACAACAACAACAACAACAAACCCACTGTGGTTCCTCAGCTATCTTGCCTGCTTTCTTCCCTGCTTTGACCAACTGTGAATATGTCTCATCAGGACTAATGGCTTAAATGCCATGCTGTGCTTGTCTTATTTCATTCCCCAAGCTAAATGATGCCCTATCTCAGGACACACTGGTATGACCCTTTCTTCTAAGAGTTGTATGTCCAAAAGTTGGATTTATAAAAGCGAAATTTTAGATAACAAAATATTCCAGTTTTCTGGTCAGAGTTTACCAGTACATAATTAAAGAAAACCAAGTTTTGTAAGAGAAAATCAAGAGGTGTCTCGACTACAAAGCACAATACTAAGTCGACTAATCTTTTGAGAATTTGGATTTTTGCACTTTTTCCATATGAGAGAGATTGGAATCCACGTCTGTCTACAAGCTCTTCCAATCCCATTCCTATTTGGGTAGTGGTGGGAGAATTATTAACTCAAACCCATCCCTACAACTGTCCTATCTCACAGGAATTGCTGAGTTGGGGATTTGGTGTGGTTCAGAATATTAGCATATTTATACCCTCTACCGTTCTATTTGAATTCAGTGGTGGGGAAAATGGTAGAGAAGAACAGCAGGTGGTTTCATCAAAATCTCCCTGAAACTCTGAACTCCTCATTTTTTGAGGTCAAGAGGCAATGTGCCAAAGGTCCTGTGGGGGCAAAGGGCAAGGAGACTGAAAAGGATTAGAGGAAGATAGAGACTGTGCAGTTGGACATAAAAGAGTTCCTGGGAAAGAAAGAAACGGGCTGCATATAGCACATTTTTAACCTAAACTTTATCCTCTCCAAACTGGTCTTTTAGTTTGATGCATTATATTGGAGGAGGGAAGAGGACAATTTTTAGTCAAACTCTTCACAGATTCCCTCCTTCTCATTTCCTCCCTCCTTGTCTCTCTGCTCTCAGCCAGTGAAACACATAGGAATTTGGTTATTTAAACATCATTTTTCATCATGCATTTTCCCTGCAATTCTAAAGAAAAAGAAACACACACACACATACACACTTGCCCACACTAAATGGGTAGAAACCACACAATGAAAATCTCATTCATTTTTAAGCCTTTAAGTCTGTATGGATAAGGGTTGTTTATTTTTTGTTCACTCTATCTATCTGTCCTCTATATTTACTTAGGAACCTGTGCAGAAATACATCCTGTGGAGACACCTGCAATTCTGTTTTTCGCATAACTGGTATTTTAAGTAAACCAAAGCCCTGTGCTTGCTTAGTCCCTAAGCTGCCCAGGAATCCCCCGCTGACACCACCATCCTCTGTCTTTGAGCATCTGGAATGAAGTCTTTCGTCCTCTCTGCAGAGCCCTTTGTGCTTCCTGACCTCTAGTTCTTTCCTCTGGCTCTACTGGTCATTTACCTTGTCTTTCCGCTTGCCCCCAATGACATGGCTATTGTCAGGTTTTTGTATTATTTTGGTTTCTACTACAAGACTTTGTAGGGAGGAATCTGTCTGCTAGTGTTATTTTTTTCCTGTTATTTTCTCTTGACATCTTTTGTTTCTATGCGGTTTACAGATTGATAATATGGTTACGAACCGTTAAAATGAAGCTCTGAATCCAAGCTACTTTTGCACATGCAATTATCTGTCCTGAAGAGTCCTTGTATACTCTGCCTGCCTTGGATGTCATCCTAGGCAAAGCAGATAGAGAGCTATCAGCAAACCGGAAGGGAGTGCTTAAGAAAAAGATACCAGCCAAAGCCAAACAAGAACTGTTCACACCGACATTTTATTATTTGCATTTCTAGAGTGTTTAAAGTACTTTTGGATTAATTCTCTCTTTCAGACACTTACAAGAGTCTATTATTATTTTTTCTATCTTTCTCTTGAAGCCAATCCTGTAACCCGAGTGAAACTCAAGTAGCCTCTTCCTTCCTTTCTTCCCTTCCCTTCCCTTCCTCCTTCTTTCCTTCCTTCCTTCCTCCCTTCCTTCCTTCCTTCCTTCCTTCCTTCCTTCCTTCCTTCCTTTCTTTCTTGACACAGGGTCTCACTCTGTCTTCCATGCCAGAGTACAGTAGTGTAAACAAAGCTCTTTGCAGCCTCAACCTCCTGGGCTCAAGCGATCCTCCCATCTCAGCCTCCCAAGTAGCTGGGACTACAGGCACATGCCACTATGCCTGACTAATTTTTCTTTTCTTTCTTTCTTTCTTTCTTTTTTTTTTTTTTTGGTAGAGATACTGTCTCACTATGTTGCCTAGGCTGGTCTCGAATTCTTGGGCTTAAGTAATCCTCCTACCTTGGGCTCCCAAAGTGCTGGGATTATAGGCATGAGCTACTATGCCTGGCCTGCCTTTTTCTATAAGCTTTAGGAGACAAATATTTTGAAATGGAAGATTTTTTAAAAATTGACTAATAAAATAAAAAGTCAGTCATTTGAACAGATTGACTAATAAAAGAAAATGTAAGAATAGAATGATCTTTATTTAA
This sequence comes from Homo sapiens, assembly GCF_000001405.40. NCBI lineage: Eukaryota > Metazoa > Chordata > Mammalia > Primates > Hominidae > Homo > Homo sapiens. Next base: position 69,526,339 of record NC_000008.11, on the reverse strand, counting down.
ATAAAAAGAATTTAAATTTAAATTCTCTTTTGCATCAAGACACAGCTAACGGCCTTGGGAGAAGTCCTTTATCTTTACAGGAAACTGAAGAAGAGCTCTGTGACTGGATAGGAGAGGGGTTTCGTTGAACTCAAGATGCTGGTCAGTGAGAAGGTTCCTGAGATATACTTCTATGGTACAAAGTGTCCTTAAGCTGGCACGGTCTTGCAGAAGCCAGGTATTTGGTTATGAGCAATTTATATTTCCAAACTTTACAATTCTGCTTAGGATCCTGCACATTTTCATTATTAACTTCTAATCATTTTCAGAGAATATATTATATTCTCAAATTTGTGTAAAACCTATCCAAAGAATAGAGCTAGGGTGTTACTACACCAAAGAGCTTCAAGAAATTTGTTCCAAGTGCTAAAGACGCTTCATCCCTCCTCCAACAACCTCTAAAGAGGCAGTCTCCGATTATCACACCAGGAATTTCAGTGCCTGTCACTTGCAGTCACAACTTCGGCTCACACGGGGGCAGATTGTGGTCATCTGAGAATGTAAGCTCCCTGAGAGTGGAACCTGTGGGCCACATCCCACCATTAAAGTCTCAGTGCCTAGACAATATCCTGCACATGTAAGGCATGCATTGAAATTTGTTGAATTAATTATTGAGATTTGTCATTTCAGATGAAGTCCACGAAATCCACTCTGCATAGAGTTAGGTGCCTGGGAGGTTTATTGCAATTTTTATTATATTGCTATTTGTAGTAAAGAACGAGCAAGAACTTAATTCCTTGAAATCCTCTACTTAATATTCTTTTCCTTTTGAATATTCTTTCTCCCCACTCAACTTCCTTGCAAACCAAGGTTTCCTCTGGTTTACTGATTTGTAAAATGAGCCACCTGCTGTCATCCTTGCCACTGCTCACCATGGGCAAAGACATAATTCATAAACACGAAAAGGAAACTTACTCCAGGGAAATTCTACCTGGCCCTGTTTCTCTATTTTATTCCAAAAGAAAATAGAATTTGTTTCACTACAAAATTGGAATTACTTAGGAGACTTAGTACCATTGAGCAATTTCTGGGCATCTGTGAGCTCAGATTGGTGCAGAACCTGCCAAAAGTGCCATTCCTGATTCCCAGGAAATTAAAAAAAACTTCTCTGGCATCAAGAATGAAATATAGCTTAACTAGGGAAAATAAAAAAATTTGATCATCTCCTCTGACCTGTCACCAGGATAAATACTATGAATTACTTTTGTAGGCATAAAGTCTGTGCAGGTATCATTGAAGTAAGTTCACTTCTGAATGATCTTTTGTCAAAGTAAAGAGAAGATGCAAAACCATAAAAGGGTAATAAAGCCAGTATTATACGTTATAAAGCTATCCACTGCCCTTCAGAGATTTAAGCTCTCTTTCCTAGAGAAAATACTTGCTTTATTATTGTCATAAAGTAAGCCTAGACCATCTACGTGTAAATTGGATTCCTTTTTCTGCAGTATCATTTGGCACCTTTCTAAGGATTTTCTTGTTTATTTCACTATAAAAAAAAGAAGCAGCATGTTATTGGCCCCTTGATACTTTCTGATGGAGGAAGAATCTCATTTTGGCAAACTGTAACTTTATACAAAATGCAATGATTTATTCAGGTTTGTCTATAACTATACTATCTTTGAATAACATAACTCTAGGATATTCAATGCAAATGTGAGTGTATCCATTTGATGTAGTTTGGATTTTTGCTCCCTCCAAGTCTCATGTTGAAATGTGATTCTGTGTTGGAGGTGGGGCATGGTGGAGGGGATTAGATCATGGGGGCAGATCCCTCATGAATACTTGGTGCCATCCTCATGGGAATGAGTGAGTTCTTGCTTTGAGTTCATGCAAGACCTGGTCATTGAAAAGAGCACGGCACCTCACCGCTCACTCTCTTGCTTCCTCTCTCACCATGTGAACTGCTTGCTCCCTCTTTGCTTTCCGCCATGACTGTAAGCCTCACCAGAAGTATATGCCAGCACCATGTTTCCTGTACTGCTTGAGGAAATGTAAGCCAATTGAACCTCTTTACTTTATAACTTACCCAGCCTCAGGTATTTCTTTATAGCAAGGCAAGAATGGATGAACATACCGTTGAATCAGTGTCATGCCAAAATCTTTCTTAAAGCCTGCCGGCCTGCTTTTCTTCTCTGTCCCTTTCTCCCTCCCTCCATGCTCTCTATTGTCCACCTCAAATCTCTTAGCTTTCTTATCTCTAATCTTATCATATTACATAGCCTACTACTTCCCTAGTTATTGACTGACCCTAGGACGTTGTTCCTAATTTCTAAATGATTTCAGCTCCTGCTTCGCTGTCATTTCTTCCTGTCTGAATTTTTGAAGATTTCAAAGCTCTTGGATGTGAGCTCATGAACACAATTGCCTCTTCCTTTCTGGATCACCCCTCCTCTCCCCAAGCCACTCCCTGGCCAATCTAATCAACCCTAGCCCTTATGAGTACTGGTAACTGCCCGCTCCATCATCTTGGTTCCATGCATCCCACTCTCTGATCATTGCTCTTAGTATGCCAACCCCAACAATCCTTTGACAAGGCAGGGCTCTTCAATCCTTGATCCTCCCACTCCTTCACCGGCCCCTGATGTCTTAATTCCCCTCCTTATCAGGGGAGGGTAGTGAATTATAATTCCACCGACAGTCATTATCATCAGTCCTTTGTAAACATTCTCAACCTCCTTCCCCCTCTCTCACTTCACCATCCTTGCTTGGTTTCCCCAAACTTGAGTTAAATCCAGCTCTCTGGCTGCTCCGTATCTGCACCTGTGCAACTCTATGTGCCTGGAGAAGAACATAGAATCCCCTAAATGGTCTCATGTTATGTTCAGTGCCATGAACTTCAAAGAGGTCCTAATACTGCCTCGCAAACATACTTTATTGCCCTAATCCCACGACTCTTCCATTCTCTCAAATATCTGTTTCACACCACCTCATCCCTCCTCATACTCTTCCCTGACCTTCACTCATAACCTTGGTTTATACTTCACTGGGGAAATAGAAGCAACTGGAGGAGAACTTCCACAGGTCTCCCCAACTCCTCAACTTGTTCACCCGCCAGCATCTACTCCACTACACGTATGTTCTTCTATCGGAGTAGATAGGTTCTGCATATTCTCTCTGTCTGAAGCTGATTCTTCTACCCATGGGCCAGATTCTACCTCTTCTCATCTATTCAGAACCACAGCTCCAGCAATACTCTTCTTTTTTACCCAGATGATCATGCTTCTCCTCAAAATTATATCACTCGTGTTACCATATAAACAGGTGGTTATGTCTTCCATTATTTAAACACATATTTTACTGTGCTTCTCTTATCAGCTACTGTCCTTCTCTCTGCTCCATTTGCAGCAAACTCCCTGAAAGAGTTGTCATATTTCTTGTTTTTTTCTTCTTCCATTTTATCTTTGCCTAAATAATCAGGCTTTCTCTCTCTCTACTTCACCATTGTTGCTTTTATACATGTCACCGATGACCTCCAATGGATAAATCCAATGATCAGTTTTCAATCCTCATCATACTGCCACATGCAGTTGATAACATTCTCCTCCTTGAAACACTGTCTTCATTCGGCTTCCAAGGCACCCAAAACTCCTCCACCCATTTGTCTTCATCCTACTTTACTGGAGCTCTTCTCTCCTCTTCTCTTTGACTTTTGAATGCTGGAGTATTTCGGCGGTTAGACTTTAGTGCTTTTCCCTGTCTATACTCACATACTTGTTGACATTATGCTAATGACTTCTAAATGCAAAACTTTATTTCCAAATATAGGCTCTCATCAAGCTAACTGCCTAATTAATGATATTTCCACTGGAAGGTCTAACAGACATCTCAAACTCAACTTCCGAAACTGAACTCTTTATCTATCTCCCCAACACTCTTTCAACTGCAGCCTTTCTAATCTCTGTTGATGGCAGCTCTGTCCTTTCAGTTGCTTGGGACAGCATCTTGAATTCGTCTTTGGCTGAGCACGGTGGCTCATGCCTGTAATTCCAGCACTTTGGGAGGCTGAGGCGGGTGGATCACTTGAGGTCAGGAGTTCAGCCTGGTCAACATGGTGAAACCCCATCTCTACTAAAAATACAAAAAGTAGCCGGGTGTGGTGGTGGGCACCTGTAGTCCCAGCTACTCAGGAGGCTGAGGCAGGAGAATTGTTTGAACCCAGGAGGTGGAGGTTGCAGTGAGCTGAGATCATTCCACTGCACTCCAGCCTGGGCAACAGAGCAAGATGCTGTCTCAAAAAAAAAAAAATCGTCCATGATCCATCTCTCTCTCTCCCTGTCTCTCTCTCTGTCTTCCTTTCTTTCTCTCTTTTTAATATCTAGTTGATTAGGCAATACTGTTGGCTCTATCTTCAAAAAAATAGCTAGCATCTGACTACTTTTGCTACTTCTATTGCTATCACCAAATCTAAAGCACTCATCTTTTTCAATGGCCTCTTACTGTTTCTTTTTTTTTTTTTTTTACCTTGGCCCATCTATCATCTACCCACAACATGATAGATAGAGCCTTTTGAACTTATATATTCTTGTAAGTTGGAATGTATGTTTCCTTTGTACAAAATCCTGCCGTGGCTTCCTTTTCATCTGGAGAAATAGCCAAAATCCTTCCCATGGCCTCCAGGTAATGTGTTAGCCTATTGTGACTTGCCTGACTTCATTTCCTACCACTCTCCCATTTGCTCATTCCATTTCTGACATAATAGTCCCTTGTGGTTCCTGTAATATATAGGTACACTTTCCTCTTGGGGCTTTTGCTCTAGCTGTTCTCTCTGTCTAGAACATTCTTCGTCAAGATCTGGTTGCTACTTCCTCACTCCTTCAAGTCTTTGTTCAAATCTTACCACCTCAATGAGTCTTTCCTTGTAAATCCTCTTTAACACTGCAACCCACCCTGATCTCTAATTTTGCTCTACTTTTGTTTCATAGTACAAATATACTACGTATATTGTGGTTAGTCTTATTGTCTGTCTCCTGCTATTAGAATGGAAGACCTACAAAAGTTGGGATCTCTAATTATTTTGTGCAGTAATGTATCCCATGCCTAGAACAGGGCTTGGCATTGCATGTAGTAGGTGCCCAACAAATATTTATTAAATTAATGAATGCATAAATAAAGGAAAAAATAAAGGAAAAAATGAATTAACCTGGTCTTTCTGAGCTATTTACTTGAAAACCCTTTTGTTGAGACTTCTAAGGAAATTTTTCCCTAAAGTGTTATGCTTGACACTAGAACCTCTATTAAATCTGTCTAGTTTTCAAATTAGAATAGGTTCCAAGCAGCCGAGAAATTTTCCCCCATTTTATACTGAAAGAAAGTGTTGCTGTGCCTCAGTCTCTAGTAACTACTATGTATACTCTGGGGACATTATAAGAAGAGCTTTTTGAAAGACAGAATTAGGTTGAGTGGCCTCATTTTAGGGTCTGATATAAAATCAAAACTCAGAGCAGGTTCATCTAATGCTTGGCCAAGTTTCATGTAAACCTGGCTCTCACTGAAAGAGAACCCAAGCTGATAAATCATTTCAAATGGAAACTATGCAAAATTCAGTGGCTTCATGTGGTTTCAACCCCAAACCAGGTGGAACCTAAGGCTTTGGCAAAGCCTCACTTTAAATTCTTAACTGGCAAATGTAAACCAAAGGGGGAAATGTTGGAAAAAAACACAGTGAAATAAAACCTTTAGTTTTAAATCGTTTTGGGACCATGAACTTAAATCATTATTCTTTAAATGTCATTTTGCTTAGTTTTAAACAAGTACAAACATTACTTTGAAAAATTTCTCTTCATATGCACCAGTTTTTTGTTATCCTATCTTAAAATTTCAGGAGTTCTTAACTCTCATGTGGAGATCAAATTATTATTTCTACCTGGTAGGTTGTGTAATCAAAGAACAAAGATGAAAAGGTGACTTGCTGAAGGTAACTAGAAGAATGAACCAACAGAGTTGACATCTCATTCACAGCTGAGTTCTTAACCTAAAAAAGTCTTCTTTTCATTGGAAAAAAAAACAGAAATATAGTCAAAAAGGAACAAAAGGGAATTTTAAGAATCCTGTGGATCAAATGAGATTATGTATTAAAAGACTGTGTGATTGATAATAACAATATTGTGTGAACCCTGTGTTGACCTATGAAATAGACACAGTGATGTGTGTGTGTGTGTGTGTGTGTGTGTGTGTGTGTGTGTGTGTGTAACTGGAATTTTAGGGACTCTTTAAACAGTGAAGTGCAGGTATTCTAATTATAGATGTGCCCATATCCGCAGATTTTAAGCGTCATAGATTTTTAAGACTTCATCCTTCCAGATGCAGATATTTCTTATACGAAACCTCTTGTACAGATGTTGTATTAAGATTTCAGAAAGAAACCTTTAATGTGAAAATGCAAGACTTCTTTCCTTCCCAATTTCTGTAGTTTACAGCAGTCTGACTGTAATTCTTATTTTGTGAGTCTACTTTTTAATTATTAGAAGATAGCTGCATAGACTTTTAAAAGACCAACTCAATGCATCTTGCTATTTAAATTAAAAGCCACCGTAGTCCTTTAGAAGACTAACATAAATGAAACTATAGTCTGAAAGTTTTTAACCCTTTTGCTTGCATAGAGGCAGAAATCTCTGAAGGTAGATACTCTATTTGTCAACTTCATAGACTGAATGCTGAAAACAGCCCTGCTACTTTTTATTCTAGAATAACGTGTCATTATTGTCCTAGAGATACCTGAACACATATGATATTTGCTTCTGGACACTGGCATCTTACAGCTACAAGGAATGTTATGTAAGGTTAGCATAGAACTAACCTGACTCTAGCATTGATCTCTAGCTTACATATATTCAGTAATTTAATAGATTATTCTCAGTTGCTTAAAAAAACCCCACATGTTACAGAAGCACTTAGATATTCATGTAAATTACTTAAATATAGATACCATAAGTATTATGGATTGGTTTAACAATGGTCAATTATTCTTTTATTCAATAATATTTATTATGCCTGATATATGCTATGCTTCATATGTTAGATACTGAGAATGCAGAGATGAATGAGTCCCTGTCACTGCCTTGAAGGGTCTCACTGCCTTGCGGGGAGAAAAGAAACAGAAACAAAGTTTGAATATGAATGTGGTGGGACTTATTTTTCCAGTTATGATAGTATAACTGGTACCAGACTGGTCCTCCTGCCATAAACAGCCAGAAAACTGGACAAATGACATATGAAGCAACTCTCAGACATTGAACAGGCTGTGATCCCCAAGAGAAGGGACACAAGTAATGTATGCTCCACTAGAGACACTTTCTAGACTATAGCACAGAGAGGAGAATCTAAGCAGAGATGAGGATAGAGTGTGTTTGGGGAAGTGAAGTGAAATTTGTGGGACAGAGCTTGAGAGAAGAGAGACATAAAGAGAAAGAGTTCCAGAAATCTGTATGGGGTCCCCTCAAGTCCTTTGCTGAATATTTAAGCTACAGATATGTAGAGTAAGACTACAAAGATGGCCAAAGAACAATTACTGGGGGCTGTACCTTGAATAACTTACACTTCACACAGCCAGTCGGCCCTCAAGTTCTGACTAACTATAGTGGGAAGAACTCATTGATCACACATGAGGCATTTATGTGAACACACATAAGCAGAAACCTTAGAAAGGTCAAGCCTTAAGAGTAGGACTCAATGAGTCTGAGAGGTAGGTCATTCTAGATCTGACCTAGCACAACTTAAAAACAAGTTTTAAAAGGTCTGGCCCAACTAATCCTCATGTGAATTAACTGCCTGCCAGAACAAAACCCAATATTCTATAAAATAAGAAAACAAAATCTAGGCATTCAACAATGTAATATTTGCAATTTCCAACAGCCAATTAAGTATTACTAGACATGTGAAAATGCCAGAAAATGTGATGCCTAACCAGGAGAAAAATTAGTCAAGAGAAAAAGACTCAGAGATGATGGAATTGGCAGATGAGAACATTGAAGTGGCTATTACAAATATGCTCGAGCATATTAACGAAAAGGTGAACATAATGAAGAGATAAATGGAAACTATTCAGAAGAACCAAATACAATTTCTAGAGCTGAAAAGTACAATATTGGAAATGAAAGGCTAATAAAAAAGTGAATTCTGTCTCAGTGGAACAATTTCAATATCAACTAGTCTGACATACAGTGTAACTTGAGTACTAGAAGATGGCGGTGGTAATGGAAAAATATTTGAAGAAATAATGACTTAAAAGTTTGCAGATATGTTAAAAAATATAAATTCACAGATCCAAAAAGTTCAACTAACTGAAAGCCTAATAAATGCAATGTGATTAATTCTATAACAAAAATATACAAACCATATGCCTATGATAAATGTAAAATATATAACTTTCTTTGATTTATTTGTGCATTTATTATTTTTCTTCCTTCTGCCAATCACTTGGAGGATTTATCAGTTTCCCACCTTCCTCTTTCATCAGTGTTAGCATGATTGTGGTCTGTGGTAATGAAAAGGGAAGATGCAGAAATGCACAAGGAAAACAAAAATGAAAATATAGAGAAACTGTTTTCTATTTCCTCTTTGCTGTCTATTGACTTCTTTTTTACTGGATACTTTTTCTCTTATTTTCTATTCATATCTTAAAATTAACTCACCCCATAGTTACTGTTTGAAGTCCCCAGGACCTGATAACCTCAACTCTTACTGGGCCTCTTCCATCAATGCTATTAATGTTCATTTTGCCCCCACCCATTTACCTGCCTTTTAAATGATAAAACCTTATATCGTTTCCCTACCTCAAGTCTTTTAATCTCCCCTAAAACCCTTACTTCCTGGTTCCTAAATTTATGTCTTATTAGAATTTCAAGCAGGAATATGTCATCAGAATTAGCTTAAAAGGAAAGAAGGACTCTTTATTCTTCTTACAAAAGCTGAGAAAGCAGGTGCTATGGCTTAAATTCAAAACTCACGTTGAAATTTAGTTGCCATTGTGATGGTATTACAAAGTGGGACCTTTAAGAGGTGATTAGGTCATGAGAGTTCTGCCCTCATGGACAGATAATTTCCATTATTGTGGGAATGTGTTGGCTATCATGAGAGTGGGCTCCTATTAAAGCAAGAAGTTTTGCCCCATTCTTTCTATGTCTTGCACACTTGCTTGCCCTTCCACCCTTCTGCCATGGGATGATGCAGCACAAGACCTTCACCAGATGCTGGCACCATGCTCTTGGACTTCCCAGCCTCCAGAATCATGAGTCAAGTAAACCCTTTTTCTTTATAAATTACTTAATCTATGGTATCCTATTATGGAAGCAGAAAATGGACTAAGACAGCAGGGTAAAGGAGAGATAAGCACAGGTGAGAAGATGTTTTTGGTATTGTAGACTATCACAAGAAATGTCTTTTCCCACCAAAACTTTAAACTTTATGCTTAGGTTTTTAGGAAGCTTGTTAAGGTATTTGTTTTTTAATGTATCTGTAAAACATATAATATCAATGATAATATTACTAGGTAATATTATAATATAGAACCTCTGGTAGTTTATTTACAAATTATCATCCTTAACATTGCCTGTTTGTAACAAAGGATTTGCCTCTATTTAGAAACATCTGTATCAACAAAGATTCTATCTCAGTTGTTGAGAAATAAATCTAGGGTCAGCTTGAATAAGAAAACATAAAGTAAAAATTATTTATGGTTTCATTTTTTATTCTCATTGCATCATTTTCCTGACAAAACTTAAATGAAAGGTGCAATTCTCATCCAAGAGGTATGATATGGTTTGACTCTTTGACCCCACCCAAATCTTATGTTGAATTGTGATCCTGAATGTTAGAGCTGGGGCCTGGTAGGCGGTAATTTGATCATGGGGGTGGATTTCCCTCTTGTTGTTCTCATAATAGTGAGTAAGTTCCCACAAGATCTGTTTTTTTTTTTTAAGTGTGTAGCACTTCTCCCTTTACTCTCCCTTCCTCCTGCTTCAGCAATGTAGGACAATGCCAGCTTCCCCTTCACCTTCTGCCATTCTGCCATGATTGTAAGTCTCCTGAGGCCTCCCCCAACCATGCTTCCTGTACAGCCTGCAGAGTTGTGAGCCAATTAAATCTCTTTTATTTAAAAACTACTCAGTCTCGGGTAGTTCTTTATAGCAATGTGAGAATGAACTAATAAAGAAAATTGGTATCAGAGAAGTGGGGCATGGCTTTAAAGATACCTGAACATGTGGAAGTGACTTTGGAACTGGGTAATGGGCAGAGGTTAAGATAGTTTTGGAGGGATCAGAAGAAGACAGGAAAATTAGTGAAAGTTTGGAACTTCCTGGAGACTTGCTGAATGGTTGTGACCAAAATGCTGATAGTGATATGGATAGTTAAATCCAGGCTGAGGTGGTCTCGAATGGAGATGAGGAACTCATTCAGAACTTGAGTAAAGGCCACTCTTGCTATGCTTTAGCAAAGAGACTGGTGGCATTGCACCCTTGCTCTAGAAATCTGTGAAACTTTGAACTTGAGAGAGATGATTTAGGATATCTGGCAGAAGAAATTTCTAAGCAGCAAAGTGTTCAAGATATGGCCTGACTGCTTCTAAAAGCATATATTCATTTGCATAAACGAAGAAATAACCCAAAACTAGAACTTATATTTAAAAGGGAAGCACAGCACAAAAGTTTGGAAAATTTGCAGTCTGACCATGTGGTAGAAAAGAAAAACCCATTTTCTGGGGAGGAATTCAAGGCTGCAGAATAAGTAAGGAGGAGCTGAATGTTAATAGCCAAGACGATGGGGAAAATGCCTCCAGGGCATTTCAGAGACCTTTGTGGCAGCCCCTCCAATCACAGGCCTGGAGACCTAGGAGGAAAAAATGGTTTCATGGGCCAGGCCCAGGGCCCCACTGTTCTATGCAGCCCTGGGACATGGCACCCCACATCCTAGCTGCTCCAACTCCAGCCATGGCTAACAGGGGCCAAGATAAAGCTTGGACCATTGCTTCAGAGGATGCAAGCCCCAAGCCTTGGTGGCTTCCACATGGTGTTGGGCCTTCAGGTGTGCAGAAGACAAGGGTTGAGGTATGGGAGCTTCCACCAAGATTACAGAGGATAAATGGACATGCCTGGATGTCCAGGCAGAAGTCTGCTGCAGGAGTGGAGCCCTGTGGAGAGCCTCTACTACGGAAGTATGGAGGGGAAATGTGGGATTGGAGTCCCCACACAAAGTTCCCACAGGGGCATTGCCTAGTGGAGCTGTGAGAAGATGGCTACTGTCCTCCAGACCCCAGAATGGTAGATCCACCAACACATGCACTCTGCACCTACAAAAGCCACAGGCACTCAATGCTAGCCTGTGAAAGCAGCCCAGGAGGTTGTACCCTGCAGAACCACAGAGGCAGAACTTCCCAAAGCCTTGGGAGCCCACTGCTTGCAGCAGTGTGGCCTGGATATGAGATATAAAATCAAAGGAGATTATTTTGGAGCTTTGAGATTTAATGACTGCACTCCTGGGTTTCAGACTTGCATGGGGCTTGTAACTCTTTTGTTGTGGCTGATTTCTCCCTTTTGGAACATGAGCATTTACCCAATACCTGTACCCTGGCTGTATCTTGGAAGTAACTAACTTGTTTTTGATTTTACAGGATCATAGGCAGAAGGGACTTGCCTTGTCTCAGATGAGACTTTGGACTTGGACTTTTAGTTAATGCTGGAACAGCCTCCTCCCACTCCCCCACTTTAGGGGGCTATTGGGAAGGAATGATTATATTTTGAAATGTGACAAGGACATGAGATTTGAGAGTGGCCAGAGGAAGAATGATGTGGCTTGACTCTGTACCCCCACCCAAATCTCATATTGAACTGTGATCCTGAGTGTTGGAGGTGGAACCTGGTGGGAGGTGATTAAATCATGGGGGTGAATTTCCCCCTTGCTGTTCCATGAGTGAGTTCCCATGAGATCTGGTTGTGTAAAAGTGTGTAGCACTTCCCCCTTCTCTCTCCCTTTCTCCTGCTCCAGCCATGTAGGACAGCTGCCCCTTCACCTTCTGCCATGATTGTAAGTTTCCTGAGCCCTTCCCCATCCATGCTTCCTGTACAGTCTGCAGAACTGTCGGTCAATTAAACCTCTTTTCTTTATAAATTACCCAGTCTCAAGTAGTTCTTTATAGCAATGTGAGAATGGACTAATACAAGGTGATACAATCTGGGGTAGAATACAGTAAAAGCATAATCTTAGAGTTCAGTCAGCAATCTCAGTGCTGAAAGTGAGCACCTCCATGTTACAGATGAGAAATGGAGGCCCAGAAAGATTAAGTGACTTGACCAAGGTTACACAACCAGTCAGTTATGCAGCTGGGACAAAGCTCAGGCCTCCTGAAACTTTCCCTTATACTGTTACCTTTTCATTATCTTTTTAGACAACAACAAAAATACATTTTAGAGCCTTTTCACAGAAAACTTATTAAGAGTGTGTGTTACTATTTGTCTCTCAACTATTAGCATCTGTTGGAATCTTTTCTTTCCTTTTCTGTAATGTGGCTGAAATGATGGAAGTCCAATTAGAAACCCTGGCCACACCAAGGGCATGGGCAGGCTGTCCTTCAGTCCAGTTGAGCTGATGAAACAACAGGTGGTGGCTGTGCCCTTTTCACCCCCTGGGATTCACAAGGGCTTTGTTCAAATTAAATTACCTCATTTCAGGCACCTGATCACAAATGTGGCTTTTCTGATGCCTATATCTTATTATTTCCTAGCCATGAATGATTGTACCATTAGGCTTAAAGTTGTCTATGTAGTGTTCCTATGACCAAAGGTTGATGGTCTTCCACAGTAATACTTTGTAACATGCTACTTTTAAGAGACATTGGTGTATGGCAAAGAGCTTTGGGGATTATTCATTCATTATTCCATGGAGTTCTTGCCTTTCACAACAGCTCTTTATGTAGCTGTATTTCTCACTAAACTCTCTAAGACAGATGCCAGCCCAGAGGTTCTTCTCAATATTTATTTCTGGCTCTATTTCCACAGGAGTCTTTTAGATATTCAAACACATAAGCAAATAGAAGAAAAATTATGTAGGTGATCTTAAAAATTTACCACAAGGGGACTGGCCCAAGTCAAAGCATGGATGCCTCTTTTTGGCAGTTCACAAAGCTCAGTGTTTTAAAATTTAAGTTGCAACTTTGTTTTTTAAATTAACAATGAACATTTATTGTGTACTTAACTACCTGCAAGTACTGTGCTAAATCTAAGAATAAATAGACAGATAATATCCTAGTCTAAAAACACACAGAATCTAATGTGAAACACAGATATATAAATGACAGTAGGGTACCAAATATGAATCATAATTAAGGTATAAAGTCCATAAGAGGTCAAAGGGAGAAATAAATTCTGGATGTTAATAATAATAAGTTAAGGAAATCAAGGAATATTTTACAAAGGTTATCACATTTTAGCTTTTCATAAGTGTGGCACAAGGGTATTCTGGCCTATGTCAGTTGCAAGGCTCTGCCCATGAAGGGTATGTCTGAGGAAGCAAGAGCAGTCTGGGGTGTTGTGTAGGGAACCTGGGGAACCTAGCTAAGATGAGATATGTTAGGGCCAAGTTAAGAGGGGGGAGGTGAAGGAGGAAAGAACACTCGTGCTAAGACAAGGTGAGGAGAAAAATGAATGCTTCTCGGTTATACGCTCTCCAACCAGCTCTAGGCTTGACGTTCTGCACACAGCTTCTCTTTGAGTCCCTCACAACGATATTATGAGGTAAATGCTGTTATCCACATTTTACAGAAAGGCAATCTGGGACCCAAAAGAACATGCGGCTTGCCCAGATTCACAAGCTGGTAAGTGGTGGAGTCTCTCCATTGTCTTTTTACAATACCATATTTCTTTCCTCATACCGATGGTCCTTGGCTGGCTTTGAAAAGATTTGAACTGGATTCTGTACATATAAGAAGCCATGGCCCTGTTGTTCATTTCAGGCCATGCTGATGATCACCTTTAACTTTCACTTGGTAGATGTTGGTGGGCTGATGGGGTCTACAATACTCGCTCAAGAGGCACTTTTTCTACTCTCCCTTTGGTGGAGCAGGGACTTGCCAGCCCTTGGCACTGTCACATACTTAATGACAAAGAAAGAGAAGTAGGGAAACCGAACACTATGTTTGTTACTTTGAGATCCTATGGCAACATTTGATATGTGACTTGAATTTTGAATTTTAAATATAAAGTGTTGTTTTCAAAAATATAAAACACAAGCAGAATTAGTGCTCTATGCTGTGTGAAACATCTCCATAATACTTAGGAAACTTCTCTTCGTGATGCTTTTTTTCATCATTCTCTAGGAATTTTATTTTCATCTTTCAATGAGGGAATCTTAATAATGGCAAAATAGAAGGGCAGGATGCTATTCTGTGCAGTGTTTAACCTGGAGCTTTAAAATTAGATCATTTAAATAGTGTGGCTAATTATAGTTGTAGCTGTAAAAAAGTCATCGAATGTATATAACTTGCAAACCAGTAAAAAATGTTCTGATAATATATGTTATTATACATTTGTCCAAACCCATAGAAAAAACAACACTAAGAGTGAAAGCTAATGTAAATTGTGGACTCTGGGTGACAATGATGTGTCAGTGTAGGTTCCTCAATTGTAACAAATGCACCACCCTAGTGGTGGATGTTGAGAATGGAGGGGCTGTGCATGTGTGAGGACAGGGGTATATGGGAAATCTCCGTACTTTCTTCTCAATCTTACTGTGAACCAAAAATGGCTCTAAAAAATTAAGTCTCAACAGATGTTTTGATGAGGCAGATCTATTTTACTCTTTCGTGAAGCTCAGCATGCAGCTCTGTGATGTTGTACTAGGGGAGATGCTAGACCAGAGTAAAAATATCCAGCCAGTTAGGGCTCAGAATCTGGACCCACTGAATCTTAAAAGTCTCCATCAGGAGGATCTTTTTATCGGATTTTCGTGATTATTAGTTGTTATTTATTAGTATTTGTCAAATCATGATTGAATGGGAGAAAAAAATCTGAACCAAAGGGTAAACAAATCCAAAGAGAAAACAAAAATTAGAAAATTAAAAACTGGTTTAAAAAAGGTTTTCCATCTGTACAGATGCTGATAATATATTCCCAAAGTAGTTTCCCATTCATTGCTTAATTTGGTTTTCTCAATAAGTGTCACAAGTGTGCAAATGTACATTTTAAACATGTAAGATTAAGGTATTGTTATTACTATTATGTGTGAGGCACATGCATAGGTCCTGCTCCTGTCTAGTACTGGTTTCCAGAGGGTGGGTGCAGAGTCCTGAGACAGGTTTCTACAGAATACCTGATACATTGACAATATGTGTGTGTGTGTGTGTGTGTGTGTGTGTGTGTGTGTGTGTAATGATGATATGGACTAACATTATTATCAGGCTGGGCATGGTGGTTCACGCCTGTAATCCCAGCACTTTGGGAGTCTGAGGTGGGTGGATCACTTGAGGTCAGGAGTTCGAGACCAGCCTGGCCAATATGGCAAAACCCCATCTCTACTAAAAATATAAAAATTAGCCAGGCATGGTGGTGCCCACCTGTAATCCCAGCTACCTGGGAGGCTGAGGCAGGAGAATCACTTGAACCCAGGAGGCGGAGGTTGCAGTGAGCCAAGATCACACGACTGCACTGCAGTGTGGGTGACAGAGTGAGACTTTGTCTCAAAAAAAAAAAAAACAAAAAAAAACCCACCAAAAAACCCAACACAAAAACATTATTTTCTGCTTTGTGAATTACTGGATTTTTGAATTTCTATAAATAAAAATAGTTACTGTGCATAAAGCACTTTACTAATTGTTAAGCATTGTATGGGCCCTTTATACATTTGAAATCATCTAATCTTCAGAACAGCATAATGAAGTTGATGGCATTACTGGCCCCTATTTTTCCAATAAGGATACTGAAGCATAAAGAAATTAAGTCACAGTTAGCAAATGGCAGAGTGGAAATTCAAACCCTGGCAGTCTGGCTCCCAAATCTGTGTTCCTAACCATTAAACCATACTTCTCTCATGGGTCTCTCTAAATTAGGACAAGAAAGAGCTTCCCATTTTGAGAAGACAAGTTCACTTTTGTGGGTGATAACTCTTGAACGCCTCCCAAAGGCTTCCTAAGGTAGGAAGGGCTCTTTCTTGCACTACCCTGACATATATCACTGCATATATTTTCAGACATCCACAAAAGCCAATAGCTCAGCTAGTTATAACTAGGTGCATACATGGTATTACTGTCTACATGAGTTACAGAGAAAAAAAATCAATGTTTTTATAGTCAGAATTATTGTCTGTCACATTTAGAGGTTGGCTATCACTAGAACAGTCGTTCAAACATGTATGCACAAGTCATGTCATACAAACTCTGTCTTAATATTTTCACAACCAGAAAGCTGTTTAACCTAAATGGACTTTCAAATGAGAAATGTAAACTACATTCCTCTCCTTTTACCCAGGAGGGACATTTCAGCACTTACAGACTACTAAGCTGATACTGTATATGACATTTGAAAAAATTCCTCCATAAGTCAGTGCTTGGGGGTAGAAAAGGCAAAAAGAAAATTGAATATTTCCCTGTGAGAAGGGCAGCCTCATGACACGTATGGACAGTGAGCAGAGGGATGTCATTTTTTGTCTCTGGCTGCTGTTTGGGGAATCCAGATGATGACAATTTTTCAGTCACTTTAGTGCCCAACAGGAGCCAATCAACAAATATTAAAAGCAGCAGCACATGTCCCAGGTGAGTTAATTATAGAAATTTTTTCTAATCCTAAAGATGATTTGAAGTCAACCCTCAGCTGAATTCCAACAACAAGTATCTAATACAGTATGTGCTATATTTTTCACTTTTATTTTGAAGGCTTAAGCCAGTAAAGATTTTTCATTCTATTTTGTTTTGTTATATTATTTTTTATTTTTAATGCACTGAATACATAGTTATAATCCTGGCAATTCTATGGCCTTCCTTCTTTTCAAGAACATTTTTGAATTTTTGCCAACCATTAAAAAATACACATTGGGATTAGTTTACTGGCAGGCAGAGACATAAAACTAAAAGGATAATGAGAGAGAAATAAGGTGATGGAAATAGCACAGTTATGATGGGAACTAATGATCACCATGTAATGCCTTATCCTTTAAATATTACAACAATAACAATCGGTTGTGTTTGAGTGGCTTCATATGTCTACTCCCCCTACAAGTGCTTTTATGTTCTTGGTCTTTACCACATCCTAGTGAGGGAAATGGGACAAGTACATTCTAATTTTGTAGGAAATTATAGAGTAAATTAGATGACTAAAACCAGAGCCGATATCTTGACTCTCAGCACAGTGTTCTTTGGAGAGAAGAATCCTATGAGTCATTATATTATGGCTACTTACCATGAAGAGAGATACTCACAATACCTATAACGCCTCCAGCACAGCACCGACTGCTCTGAATGGCTGCTAACCTTTCTCCTATGGCCACTGTGTCCTGCTGGGCATCATACCTCGGGCTAGATCAGGCTCCCATGAATATGGCAGGATGGATTTAATCTCCTGGGGTATTTATACTTCATGTAATAAATACAGTTTTTAATGCAAAAATGCATCAAATCATTTTCGGGTAAAAATTTAAAACCTAGTAATTTTAAAATTAATTTTATGGTGAATCCCATTGTCAGATACCAGGACTCACTTATTTGCTTTGTAAATAATGAATTTGCTTAAAATTCCATCTGTATTTTCAGTGCTAGTGTCAACTGACTGCAGATAATGAACTTAGATTTCTTTAAAGGCTACTAATAAACAAATAGAAAAGAATATTAAGCACTTTCTTGGAAACTTGAGAACTTCTGATGGTGCTGACAATTTGTTTGGAAATATTTTAGTTACTTTTTATTTTTAAATAATTACCTGGCCGGGCCTGGTGGCTCATGCCTGTAACCTCAGCATTTTGGAAGGCCAAGGTGGGTGGATCACCTGAGGTTGGGAGTTCGAGACCAGCTTGATAAACATGGAGAAACCCCGTCTCTACCAAAAATACAAAATTAGCTGGGCGTGGTGGCGCATGCCTATAATCCCAGCTATTCGGGAGGCTGAGGCAGGAGAATCGCTTGAACCCAGGAGGCGGAGGTTGATGTGAGCTGACATCGTGCCATTGCACTTCAGCCTGGGCAACAAGAGCAAAACTCCATCTCAAAAAAAAAAAAATAATAATTATCTTCTCTCAAAAACCCCACAGCTGAATTACCTTCTTTTTAAAAATAAGGGTAGCAGGAATCCCTGAGGTTTACTTTAGTGTCTGCCAAAAAAGGACTCCTTCAAAATGTGCCTCTTTTCATTCTGATGGCCACGATCCAAAGCAGTCTTCAAATATATTTGTCCCATACACATCTCAGCTTCCCCTACATGCCAGATTATGACACAAGGTTCTTGAATAATTTGAGAGCAAAATCATAAAACAAATATGAATTTCCACTGTAATCCATTTTTTTTTACATTTTCATGTAATCTGCAAGAGAGAGAAGGACCTCATATCTCAATATGTTCGTACACCTGAAGACCAGTGGCTTACTAAAAAATATTTTTTTTGCAAATTCTCTAAACTGCAGATACCAATGTAAAAAGCCTATAGTACTTCAATTCTCCTATTATAAATATTCCTGCAGTAAAAATATCCTCAAAAAAGGCCTCAGCCAATGGCTTATTTGTTTTAAGCCCTATTTAATGCAATAATGACAGAATCTTAATAACAGGATTTGACCCCACCACCTAATTATTCCAGGAATGGCTTCTTAGAAAGTCTACTCTTCATTTATAATTATGATGCACTCTTGTGAAATCTAAGCAGATAAATGCGGTCAAATTAGGACACCATTGAGAAAAGGAACCTAAAATTGAATATTTGCCATTGGAACTAAGGACTCAAGATCAACATAGATCAAATGCTTCCTCTGTAAGTGGAATTAATCAGCCCTACAAATTCTCTAGCACGATACAAGGCAGTATTTCTTCTTGGGAAGTGACTTCCTGAAACCTTCCACTGAGGAATATATTCCATGTTAATTTCAGTATGCCATTTAAAATTATCCTGCAAAAAAGGAACCAATTTAAAACATCTGGCCTGATACCAGATTGAACCACTATATTCTGCCTCTTTGAATTCATGGTGTTGTAAGAATCCAGACACTTTTTCTATCCTAAACTGTGGCATGGTGATCTGAAACAAATGATGGTCCAGTGTGGGCCATTTCAGCACTGGATGGAATGATTCTGCACTTCTTGACCTGTCTTCAAGATGTTTGGGGAAATAGTTTCATGTGAGCACGGCCCCTTAGGCCCTTCCTGAGAGCATCACCGCAAAGTAATGTCTCATACCAACTTGCGCTTTTGAGCATAGAACAAGACCATTGTTGTGTGAGCTGATTTCATTTTAGTGACTGCCTCAGTAAAGAATGACATCATCCCATTCTTTTTCCTTAATATCCACTTGTGAATGTCCCCCAGTCCCCACCCTCATCGTAATTAAACTCCTTTCCTTGCCAGGGGAAGAGCTATTTTTCTCTTAACTTCCTGCCTGAATGTATCATTATGGCAAGAGCAAAGAGTTTTCCTTGGGTTGGTCAACATCTCTGGAGTTTGCTTCCTCACCATTATCAGGCAAAGCACAATTTTACTGGCAGCCGAAGCATACTGACAGAGCCACCTGCTGGGACAGGTCTCAGTCAGATGGGAGGAGAGAGGAGCCTGCAAAAGATGGCACAGCCTGATGGGCACAATGTTTCTCATCCAATTGGAGTTTGGCATTTTCTTTAAACATAAGCTCACTGGCTTTGAGGACTGTGGTCTAAGCAGATCCATTTAGCTATGTACATACATGGGTGCAAATCTGTGTGCTTGTACATACTAACATTTGCTTATCACTTAGATTTGCATTGAAGTCTCACATGTGAAAGTGATTAGTCTCAAAGGGATAAGAGGATGGTGCAGGAGAAGACAATTTAAAAACCATCATTAAAATGCAACTAAACAGAATGGCTACGTGAAGGGAGGTATTGATTGTGTGTGTGTGTGTGTGTGTGTGTATGTTTAGTGTTATCTCTCTTATAAAGAAAAAGCATGAGCAACTTATATGTCCCACATCCATGTAATGGAACACAATGCACAAATTTAAAAGAACTAAAAAGACAATGCAGAAATTGTATGAACCGTTTTGACACAAAGGTAGGTGAAAACAAAACAATAAACATTGTACATTCTCCATGTTTCCAATTTTATAAAATATTAGATAATACCCTATGAAATCACTGCTTTTGTAGGCCAACAATAGTTAAATAGAAGCAATTTTCTATGATTCTACTTAGTATATACTTATAAAGAAAAGACCAACTGATTTGGGTTAAGTGTGTGATTTAAAAAAAAAAAACTCTTAAGCGACTGTTATATGGTTTTTACAACAAATACCTAATTTTAAATGAGTTGATATTCTGTGTAATAAATTGTCCTCTTCAATGAGAAATGTTTCAAAATATGTAAGGGGAATCACAAAGGAAAAGAGTCTACTTTTTAGCACCCCCAAATATAGGTCTCTATATTCTGCAGCAAGACAAATTATCATTGTCTTGGTATCCAATATGCACTTAAAGCAAGACAAGGATAAGTTTTAGGGTCCACATCTGATATTGATTCCTTGAAAAGGTTTAGTTTACTGTTACAGTCTACGGGCAATTTTAAAAACCACCTACATTTAGATTAATATACTAAATTTAACTTAATAATTAAAATAATATTAAAAATAAAGTGCCAGGCACAGCTAAGCCATCCTTATAATAAAATTTTCCATCCCAAATAGGTATTAACAAGGCTAGGAAAAATCTTAATTTTCTCAAAAACAACATAGTTGCTGTTCTAAGTTATCCCATCTGTGCGCACCAAACCTTGTCCAACAGTGCAATATTAGTGTCCAGAAGGTACAATAAAGGCCATTCATATTTTGGCAGGTGTATTTTAAGCTGAAAACCAGGCTTCACACACATACACAAAAGCAATCTGTTCCATAGGTGTAAACATTTTTGATGAGAACCCTCAAAATCTCCCCCAAGCTGTGAAATTTAATTGTCCTTTTGGTGTCTTCTCATATGTGAATACAACCTATCTCTCCTTGGAACAAGGGACAATCTGGCAATCTGAAAGACAGGAAATGCTTGGGCAGCTTCTGAGATTTGCTTATAGTATCTCCTTGAACTTTCTCTTGGGTTATGTAATTTAGAGGTGATGCCAAGTTCAATGAGCTACAGGTAAGCAGTTCTGAATATTAAATGAAAGAACTTTATACCCAAATGATATGAGCAGAGAGGCAATCAAAAATGCACAGGGCAGCATTTTGAAACTCTAAGGTCCAGTAAAGTGGTCCCTATTTTATAAACATGATTGTCCAAGCACATACCCAAAAACATCCATTTCTTTCCATAAAATTGACTAGAAGGAGGATTGTGGATATATAAATACAGAGGTAGTGGTGGGAAGTGACTCGTCTGCTTATCTAATTCAGCTCAAATCCTGGAGTTGGTTGAAAAGGGGCAGAGATCTCTGAAGCCAAACATTAAATTTGAATTTTCCAGCCCCAAGATTAAAAAAAAGTAGATTGAAGCCAGGTCTCATACAGAATCCATAGATTTTCAAGAAAAATGTTCTGTATGTTAAATTTGAGCAAGTGAATCTAAATGATCCAACATTAGACACTTATTTTATTTATTTATTTATTCAGAGACAGAGTCTTGCTCTGTTGCCCAGGCTGGAGTACAATGGCACAATCTTGGCTCACTGCAACCTCCGCCTCCCAGGTTCAAACAATTCTCCTGCCTTAGCCTCTTGATAAGCTGGGATTACAGGCGCGCACCACCACGCCCGGCTAATTTTTTGTATTTTTAGTAGAGATGGGGTTTCACCATATTGGCCAGGCTGGTCTCGAACTCCTGACCTCAGGTGATCCACTGACCTCAGCTGATTCACCCACCTCGGCCTCCCAAAGTGCTGGGACTATAGGCGTGAGCCACTGTGCCCAGCCTAGACACTTACTTGTATTTTCCCATAATAAAGATGTGCTGAGAAGTGAAGAAGACATAACACAGTGGTGAAATCACACATTAGGGGGAGAAAAGTGCAACATGAAAGATTACCAGCTAGATAACAAACAACATGGCATTGTAGAAAAGTGGCCTTTTCATGGGCGCAGTGGCTCACGCCTGTAATCCCAGCACTTTGGGAGGCTGAGGCTGGCAGATCACGAGGTCAAGAGATCGAGACCATCCTGGCCAACATGGTGAATCCCTGTCTCTACTAAAAATACAAAAATTAACCAGGCGTGGTGGCACGTGTCTGTAGTTCCAGCTACTTGGGAGGCTGAGGCAGGAGAATTGCTTGAACTCAGGGGTCGGAGGTTGCAGTGAGCTAAGATCGTGCCACTGCATTCCAGCCTGGCAACAAAGGAAGACTCTGTTCGTTTTGAAAAGAAAAAAAAAAGGAAAGAAAGAAAAGTGGCTTCTTCATAGCATAAGAGAAACTAAGAAAGATACTTTGAGAAATCAGATCCTCAGGGACCTCTTCAGAAGATGAAGGGTGCTCTTGTAGTATCAGGGGTTTTCCAGTCTCTTCTACGGTTAATTTTGAATGGTATGGCACTGAAGGCCAACCTTGTTTTTTCCAACATAAAAATTGATGCATCAGGCTAGAGTTTCACAAAGAAAATTGTTCACAACCTGATTCAAGAGATAAATAACTCTTGAGAAGTTCCAGTTCTGTTCATTGAACTTATTAGTTATTCAATGAACTTGTTCATTGAATTATTAAACATTTATCTTTTGAAGTTACTGTTTTAGAATATTTCCTTCTTACGTTAGAGCTTTGAAGTAAGGAGACCTAACTTTCAACTTATCTTCTCTTACTGTGGATTCAGCTCGTTTATGACAAGCATCTGATACAGTGCTGTAATCAGCCATGGGGGTTAATACCCCATGCCATCTTCAGACAAAGCTCC
This sequence comes from Homo sapiens, assembly GCF_000001405.40. Classification (NCBI taxonomy): domain Eukaryota; kingdom Metazoa; phylum Chordata; class Mammalia; order Primates; family Hominidae; genus Homo; species Homo sapiens. Next base: position 69,503,284 of record NC_000008.11, on the reverse strand, counting down.
AAGAATTCTAGAAAAACTGCTGATGCTTATAACTTTATGTCAAAGAACTAACCTGTCTTATACACTTTGAACCATTCACTTTCTTCACGTAATACTTGTAGAATGAAGGCAAAAATGTTTAATTCGATAAGTATTAGAAAGAGAAGCTGGATAAAACAACCCTCAAAAGGCAAACCTGAAATTCGGGCCAGACTTGAAGACGTTGCTTTTTAGGTGAGGTTCATGAAAGTTTTGGTGATTACAGGACTTATTCCAAGCCACCTTGGGCCAACGGAAGGCTTAGAATAAAAATCAAGCAGGCTGGTTGTGGTGGCTCACGCCTATAATCCCGGCCATTTAGGAGGCTGAGGTAGGTGGATCACTTGAGGTCAGGAGTTCAAGACCAGCCTGGCCAACATGGTGAAACCCCATCTCTGCTAAAATACAAAAATTAGCTGGGCGTGGTGGCAGGCGCCTGTAATCCCAGCTAATCGGGAGGCTGAGGCAGGAGAATTGCTTGAACCCAGGAGGCGGAGGTTGCAGTGAGCCAAGATCACACCACTACACTCCAGCCTGCGTAACAGAGCAAGACTTCCTCTCAAAAAAAAAAAAAAAGAAAAAAAAAGAAAAAGAAAAGAAAAAAAAAATCAAGCAAATAGCAATGATTCTGAAGAGTGACTAATGAAATAGAGAGGAACTGAACATTTTCATTGCATTAGTTTTTAGGGGTGAAAGGGAGCAACTCTCAAAGTTGACATTTGAAAAAGCCTCATGAGGTTGTACCCTCATATGAACCCAAACCCTAGAAATGTTTTTGCCACCAAGGTGAAATTGCTGAGATGGGTTGCCACAACTCTCCCTGGCTCCATGAAAGCTCTTGGCACTAATGTTTATCTGGCCAAGGAAAGAAACTGTGAAGACGAGCTGTGAATAAATCAGATATCTGTACAGCTTTCACTCCTGACACTGTGGAGTATGTTGTGGATGGCTGTGCATGGCGGGCCTACCACACTGCCCCCTAATTCCCCTGAGCTTCCTTCCTGAGCAGCTCATAATATGTCAATAGTCATATGATTGTTTAGATTCCCATTTTTCAGATGGTTCTTCTGACATTTCTTAGGACTGATTTCGTGACATGGCTCTACCACGTGGAAGGCCCCTTTTAGCTCTCTCAGTCAACAAGAATGAGAATGTGATGGGAAGGTAGAGGACCATTGACTTTTCAGTTTCTGCCAGTTCTTAACAATTCCCCAACCGTGAAATGTTCCCCTCTTCAAGTGACATAGAGTGCCCAGGTGGTCCTTGGTTTAAGCTAGAGATAAAAATTTGATGAATACCTTTGAAGATTTTCTGCAATTATTCTGCCTTGAAGAACCTGCATGTCATTTGCCAAGTTTATCTTCTTTAGATGATGGTGGGTGGCCGTCAGCACCTACGATGGAAAAGAGCAAAATTGCCATCAGTTACGTTTTATCAGCAATTCCTCTCATCTTTCAGATGTTGCCCTTTCACAGCCTCAAAGGGGGTGATCATTAGGAACAATATTCTCTAAATTTCATCCAGACCGATTTTCTTACAATCACTCGCAAGAGTCTTTGAAGCATTGTGGGTGATTCGGTCCTTTTGTAGAAGTTTCTATTTTGACTGCTTCTCCAACAAGGAAAAGACTTTCCATTAGATTCATTTCATATCATTCTTTGACTGGATTTCATAGAACCATTAAAGAAGAGTTTCCTTTTAAAAGTTTACAAAGTGTTCCAAGTTTAAAGGTTGAGTGCTGTCTAATTTCAGGTTGGGAGACCTATTTTAAAGGAAAACGCGCTGAATCATGGAATCTTTTAAAGTTGCAGCAAGCTATTATTTGATGACTAGCAAAGTAAGCATTTCCAAGTGGTAAAATTTGTTTATATTCCACATTTTTGACAGCTGAAAAATGTAAGTGATTAAAATAAATTTGAACACTTTGAATATGAGGAAATTCCCATTTTAATGTTTTAAGTATCAAATGAAGCAATCTTGCTGCCATGAACATCTGACATATACATACTGTATGTAAATGTGCATATGATATAAAAGAGAACATAATATAAGATAGAATAAGGAAATGAGACCTCTTATTTAACAACTCAGAATTTCCTTCACATTTAAAAAATATTGATCATGCCCATGTAAATATTAATGTTTAATAAAGCATTTCATTTAAAGTCTTCATACTTTTCCACTGGTGACTACAGTTGTACCTTCGTATACATATGGGGGGATCTCAGAGGTAATGGGTGCAGATTTTTTCCCTCCATAGGCCTGGAATCTCTTTTTATCCTGAGCTGGCCTTGGCGAGTCAGGTTAAGCCCCAGGTCCTTTGCTTTGCTCTGGATGGATCACTCCTACCACAAGATTGCTGCAGCAGTGCCTCCTTGGAGCTGGCCTGGTGCTGCAGGATTCACTTTCCTCCCACACGACTCTCATCACCCCTCTTTCCACTCCAAACAGCAGTGAAACTCCGCCGCCGCTAGTTTTATGCCACCCTCTGCAATGTGGCCCACCTCACCCATTAGGCCTCTAGATCACTCGCTTCACTGTGCTTCTCCTCCTGGGGGTTGGGGAGTTCTAGAAGAACTTTTCCATCCTGTCTCCATGGTGCTGATATCACAAATTATTAGAAGCATCATGCAGATGCCCACTTGTAAAATATGTTCTGAGAGGACATATACATGTTTGTGCTTATAATTGTATGTGCACCTCATGATCTCCTACAGTGAAAGTTTACATCTGAATGTGATGTCAAAAGTATCTGGCTGTGGTTAGGCTGGCACAGTCTGATGTCAAAGAATACCTTTTCTGAGACTGTTCTGAATATGCTACCGGGCAGCTGAGTCTGGAATGAGATGCCGGAATACCAGGCTATGGCATTCACTGGCTATGTGGCCTTGAGCACATTACTTAATTTCTCTATGCCTCAGTATTCTCCTCTGACAAATGGGAATTTAAAATGGTATCTACCCCATAGGGTTGATGTGAGGATTACATGAAAACATTCATGTGAAAAACTTGCAAGACGACCTAGCACAAAATAAGGGTTCAATAAACATCGGCAATCATTATTACTTGGACTGATTTTTTTTAGACCAGTAATAAAGATACAACCTTCCTTGCATATTTGCAATCAAAAGACATTTTCATGAAATGAGACCAGAATTTTCTTAAATTTTATAAATGTAGACTTTGATTTCTCATCATTAAAATGATAATGTGTAGGCCAGGTGAGGTGGCTCATGCCTATAATCCCAGCACTTTGGGAGGCTGAGATGGGAGGATTGCTTGAGGCCAGGAGTTCAAGACCAGCCTGGGCAACACAGTGGGACCCTCATCTCAACCAAAAAATTTAAAAACTAGCTGGGTGTGGTGGTGTGCACCTGTAATATCAGCTACTTGGGAGGCTGAGGCGGTAGGATTACTTGAGCCCAGGTGTTTGAGGCTGCAGTGAACTATGATCACACCACTGCTCTCCAGTCTAGGAAACAGAGCTAGAATGTCTTTAAAAAAATAAATAATAATAATGTGTGGTATAATCATATAATAATTTAATTGTTATGGGCTATTGAAGAAAGAACAGAGGCAGCCTAAGTTCCTGCTGATATGTGTATGCACGTGAGAGTCAAATACTTCCTGCTGTGTTGTATGAAGGTTTGTTTGTTTCCCAGAATAGAGAAGGGTGATAGGATGACTTGGCCCTCACAGTTCTCAGCTCCAAAATCTCCACCCCAGAGGACTGATTGCCTGGATCCTTTCTTCTCTATAGGTGCCATCTTGTAACAGTTCCTTATAAACAGGTGTAATTCTTAATATGCAATAGAAATTCCTTTTGTTAAAATGTTTTTTCCAATTTCATTAATGAATACTTAGTTAAAACAAATTTATTCTTTAGTTTCAGCAAAACAGCATCATCTGGCAAAGAGGATTAATATGAATTAGAGTATTATTGGTGTATGGGTTTCGTTTATCCTTAGAGACTTATTTTGAAATTTTAATAGTATAAATAGAATTATGCTAATGTGTATTTATAGCTATACAAACATAAAACAACTTATACATAGCTTTTTGGGTACATATTTCAGTAACATTTTAATAGATAATAATGTAAGTCTGGGACCCGTTGCAGTGGCTCATGCCTGTAATCCCAGCAGTTTGGGAGGCCGAGGCGGGCAGATTGCTTGAAGTCAGGAGTTCAAGACCAGCCTGGGCAACATTGTGAAACCCTGTCTCTACTAAAAATACAAAAATTAGCTGGGCATGGTTGCACATGCCTGTGATCCCAGCTCCTAGGGAGGCTTAGGTGGGAGGATGGCTTCAGCCCAGGAAGTCAAGGCTGCAGTGAGCCAAGATTGTGCCACTGCACTCCAACCTGGGTAATAAAGTAAGACTCTGTCTCAAAATAAATAATTTTAAGTCTGTACTGGAGCTCCATGGTCCATTGCGTGGGTGGAGAAATGTTTCCTCAGGCCAGCTTCTTTGGGGTCCCACCCATAAACAGTCCTCTCTCTGCTTTCACTCCTCTGTTCTTTATCTGGAAAAGTCCACTTTTCTCTCCTCCACATATTAAAACTCTAATCTCCCCTCTGGGATCAGCTAAAATCTCATTTTCTGACAGCCTCTATTTTCATTAATCCCTGTCACTAGAACTCATAACATTTAAAACCTGTGCCACATAGTGTGGTACTTAGTTTACCGTCTCTATGGCCTGCATGCAGGATGGTCTCATCTCTCTGGTCAGGTTTCAGGATCCCTCAGAGTGAGGGTTGTGTCTTGGGCTTTGTCTCCATCTTATGGGATCACAGTGTGGCCCCAGTAACTATTGGAAGGTGGCTGAGCCTCACTGTAAAGGACAGTCAGGATCTGAGTCACCGATGGATCCTTGGTTTGTTTTAGAGTTTATTCAAGTTTTGGTTAAAAATATAGACTCCAAGACTCTGAATGTTTTCTCAAGCAATAATAAATTGTCAGCCCACAGTGCTGAAGCTGGCCACACAAACTTGAAAGGACCAGGAAGCCAGTGGCCTAGCTGTGGATCATTGCATCCCTTTCTTTTGCTTAAGTCAGACTTAGGATGTTTTCTGTAAGTCATGACTCAGTACAGCTCTGATGTGTGTGTGCTTGTGAGTGTGTGTGTGTGTGTGTGTGTGTGTGTGTGTGTGGAGAGAGAGAGAGACAGAGAGAGAGAGCACTCATGAGTCTCAGTTTTTCTGTTCCTATAATGAAAGGATAAGGTAAAACTGGAAGACCTCCAATATCTCTTCTTACTCTAAAATTCTATAAAATGTTGGACATATGGTGATTAATTTGACATTACCATCTTCAAGTAAGTGTGGGTGTGTGCCAGAATTTCACCTGTTGAGAATATATCGAGAAGTTAAGCTTGATAGTTTAACAGCTGTACTTTAAGAGTTTGGTTTGGCTTTGCTCTCTGTGTCAGTGTGTTACTGCAGTTAGCACTTAGGAATCCATGCTATAAAGCAACTAGATGATTGAACTTAACTCTCTTGGTTGTCCCCGTTGTTCAGAAATCAAGCTGCATTTCCTGGCTCTGAAACTTTGTAAACTCATCAAATTTTGCTGCAGAGAAATGTCATTAAAATAACAGTCCTTAGTGGAAAACACTAGCACCATTCATCAGTAGCAAAATGCTGAAACAGTAACTGATATTTTTAAACTGTGAATTGGAGGCATTTTTATATACTTTACACATACACACATTTAGACAGATGTGTAAGGTAAATGTTCATTTTTCCTATGCAGTTGTCCTTTAATTGTCTCTTAAAAGTGGCTTTAGTCTTGTTGCTTAAGAACATTCTGGGCCGGGCCTGGTGGCTCATGCCTGTAATCCCAGCACTTTGGGAGGGTGAGGTGGGTGGATCATGAGATCAGGAGTTTGAGATCAGCCTGACCAACATGGTGAAACCCCGTCTCTACTAAAAATACAAAAATTAGCCAGGCGTGGTGGCAGGTGCCTGTAATCCCAGCTACTCAGGAGGCTGAGGCAGGAGAATTGCTTGAATCCAGGAGACAGAGGTTGCAATGAGCTGAGATTGTACCACGGCACTCCAGCCTAGGTGACAGATCAAGACTCTGTCTCAAAAAAAAAAAAAAAAAAAAGAGAAAAGAACATTCTGTTTTAGCTTCCGTCACCTTGGAAAGTAATAACTGGTTCCAAACTGCTTTTCCTAAAGGGTTGTTGGAAGGTCCAAAGTGTGCTCATTAGAAAACTCATGCTGAACCACACAAATCTTGCCATCGTGGATGGTGCACGCATGTGGGACTATTACTTCATACACAATTGACATGGGGCCAGAAAACATGTGAACAGGAAGCCAAACCCAAGAGAAAGTTGAGGAGCTTCCAGCTTTCCATGGAGCACAGAAAGAAGCAAAATCCAGCAACAGTTTGGACTCAGGTGTCTGGGGAACTTCACAGCTGCGAACTATCCACTCTTTAAACACTGCAGAGGCAAAGCACAGTGGCTCAGGCAGCACCCAGTTGGGAGTAAATCATTATGTCGGCTAACCTAAAAAGATTGTGAGGGTGTAGTACTTGCTTATGAAGCCAAGTTTAAATGGCTTGAGTAACCTAAATGTGGAATGACCAGCACCATATATGGAAGCTCAGTATATTCTTCATACTTCAATTGTGCTAATGGGAATTTCCCCAAATATATCTTGTTCCTTCCTTAAATAATGAACTTTCCCATGATGCAGTCATCTTATTCAAAAGTATATATTTGGTGATTATTTTGCATAGCTGAGATGTTAACGGTTCCTTTTTGGGACACTTCTTTTTTTATGGCAAAAGCATTTTAGCAAAAATAGAAATGTTTTTCACCATTTCAAAAGTCAAAGATGATTTCCAAAGTTTGGTGAATTAAGTGAGCCATCAGAAGTGGAAGAAATTCAGATTGTTATCAAATGCTATCTTTCTAATAAGTGGTAAGGCTCTTTATATTTAGAGGTGGAAATAGCTTTTTAAATCTGTTTTTAAATGTGTTGATACAGTTCACGTACCAGAAAGAAATATTATACCACTTTGCAAGACTAGCCATAAAGTCTGGGGCTAAGCCCCTTTTATAAGAAATGGCATTTGCTCTGAAGTGCTCAGGTAGGGTAACAGCTCTGAAATCCAGGAAATCCGATAGAGGCTTTGCCTAGAAGATTAAGTGCTGAGCACAGAAAGGGTGAAAGGGTATAAGAAAACCAGGGTTATCAAGTAATCAGACCTCAAGATTTAAAAAGTCACAGCTTCCTGCCTGCTAATCAGATTGATTTCTATTCATTCAAAATGTTAAAATTCTTCCAGTTGTCATCTTTAAAAAATTTGCGAATGTTACCCACCTCTCCATTCCAATTATGCTCTCTTCAAGAGTATGGGAAGAATTTACTGGTCACACTGAAGAAGGATGAACTTATTGTAGACTAAATAATGACCAGGTAAGAAATTACTTCCTTTGTGTTAGTCTCTGAGTGAGTTCCTTGTTCAAGAGAAGTGAAGAATCCCTGTTAAGGAAAGGGTTTGTTTTTGATAAGTATTACTTCTTCATGCATATGTGCTTTTTATGAATAAGTATTCTACTAGCTCATAGATCTTTAGTCTCTGCTCATTTCTGAAGTCTCTGAAGAAGTAAAAATTACTCTCTTTGAGGATACACATAGCTACAGGCAAGACTGCCCTAGACATGGGCTTCCTATTGAAAAGTTAATGAGAAAAAAATTCATTTGGCAGCAGGGACACAAGATTAAAGCTCTGATTTCATTGAGTCCAGATAGTGACCATTTCTTGGGGGGCATTAGAACATAGTAGGGAGAGCTCAGTCTTTATGTATCTCCTCAAAATTTCAAAGACAAAAATCTAGCATTTTTTTTTTAAAGAGCCAGGGTCTCACTATGTTGCTCAGGCTGGAGTGCAGTATCTATTCACAAGCTTGATTATAGTGCACCATAGCCTTGAACCTCTGGGCTCATGAGATCCTCCTGCTTCAGCCTCCTGAGTAGCTGGGACTACAGACACATGCCACCACATCCAGATGATAATTTTATGCTTAAAAAAATTGCTTTTTATTTTTACTCAGCGTTGCAGTCTAACCTCTTAGTGATATCTCAACCTGATATTACTCCAACTAACTCAATTTTCTTCATAAACCAGTACCTCCTCTTGTTCTATGGTATTCTATTACAACTACCCAGTAGCCCAGGCCCAAAACTAATATTATAAAAGTTTCCTTTTCCTCCATTCCCTTCATCCAGCCCTGAGTCAAGAATGTTCTACCTTCTAAATATTTCTGGAATCTGCGCCCTATTGTCCACCTACACTGCTCAGTGCCCCCAGCAGTTCTCACTGGAACACTACAATAGTCTCTCTCTTTTTTTTTTTTTTTTTCCTTTGAGATAGGATCTCACTTTGTCACCCAGGCTGAGGTGCAGTGGCACAAACGCAACTCACTCTAGTCTCCACCTTCTAGGCTCAAGCGATCCTCTTGCCTCAGTCACCGGAGTAGCTAAGACTACAGGTGTGTGTCACAAGGCTCAGTTAATTCAGTTTGACCAAACTAAGCCTGAAATCCAGATCTCATCAAAGCTTGTGTTCCTTCTATTATGATTGAGTTTGCCTTTGAGGCTAATGCTGAGATTATGTGGTTCATCTTTGTAATCAAATTAGGTAAAGTATAGAATTTAGTGTTGAAATATCACTTTTAAATTTAGGGGTAAAAGCAACTAGAATCCAATCTTATTTTTGACTTTAATTATACCTTAGAATTTCATGGGAGCCACAGAGAATTCTAAGGGAAAATATCATTTAAAGAGAATCTAAAAAAAGACATAATTTTATAATATTTCCCATGTGTGTTAATAAATACTGAATAAACATTGCAATCTGAAAGTTGATGTGAAATAAATTTCTCCACTTGATCCATTTTGGATGTTGTACTATCATATAACATACTGAGCACTAGATAGATACAACAAATGTAAGAATTTAAGATAAAGACACATATACACACTAACATATACATACATACTATACATGGTTTTCACATCTATTCATCTAGAGGTAAAGATGATAAAGCCTTACAAATGAATCACAGCACTTACAGCATTAAAAGTGAGAGGCCTTGCTTTTCTACATTATTACCAATTTATAGTTCTTAGTTTTCTTACCTGAAATCTTATTAAAACAATAAATCTCTGTATCTCATAGCATACCAAGTTATAATCACGGTTTTATAAATGCAAATTGTACAATTGCCCAAAATAGACCCTTTGTTTTTTGGCTTGTTCAAATAGCAAGTCAGAGTTGCTAAGTATTCAGAAGTTGTGTCTTTCTTCATGTTATTCTAGAGTTTTAAATTCACCTCTTGTTGAAAAGCAGTTTCTCAAAGCAGTGAGCATAATCTCTGAGAAGAGTACTCTGTTAATTCAGCACTCTTTAAGACACATAGTTTGATAACAGGGCTTTGAGTTTTGCCTGTGCTTAAAAAGTTAGTGTCCATGTTTCTTTAATATTAGAACCTTCGGTTATGCAGTGAAAAATTTAATAAAAATTCACATGTCCACTATAGCTACAGTGTTTTGTACAGTTTACCCAAGCCAGTGCAAGTTTCAAGCCTGCACTGAAAGATGGGATTTATTTCGTAGTGTGAAAAGAAACTTTCAACAATTACAACTGATTGAAATTGTGAGTACCCAAGGCAGAGAAACTGAAGACCAAAGTGGCATCATTTCTCCTTGTCTAACAAGCCAGGTGACTAGGGCTCCTCTTAAGGGCAAAAAGGAGTGTGTGTGTGTGTGTGTGTGTGTGTGTGTGTGTGTGTGTGTAGTGTTGTGTGTGTGTGTGTGTGGTGTGTATCAACAGCCAGACATCACCAGAATGCTGTGAAAGTGGCCAATTTCAGTACCTCGCCTGGGTACTATTTTGTTAAGTGAATTAATTATCAACAGAAACCTCTTTCCCCTCTTATTATCATTACAAGGGACCAAATTTGGGTGGAAGACTTTGGCCAGAAACATACTTTCCATCATCTGAGAATATAATGAATAATAATATGATGAATAATGAATAAATAATACGAAAAGGACAGGGACAGGAAGGAAAGTTTGTCTTCTTTCTTTTTAAAGTAAAAGCAGAGCACGATACTTACAAAAGCCGCCTTCAAAATCTTCTCTAGAGAAAAAGCTCTGGGAACAGGGAGGAGGCAGAGGAGCAGAGATAAGGTGGCAGCGGGACTTCCTTCCTCCTCCGAAGGGGGAGAGTCATGTTCCTCATCTGCCCTGACCTCCGAGGAGCGCCGGCAGCCGGGAAGGCCTGGCCTCTGATCCTCGCTGCCCTCGCTCCTGGCCTCTGCGCCTGGGGTTTCCTAGTTGCCGATCAAGCCGCCCCGGCCCGACACCGGCCCCAAGATTCATTAGCGACGGTCTGCGAAGTGCTCGCAAGATGAAGACGGTTATATAAGCCCGCGTATTATTATCATCACACACCCCCATAGAACCAACGCTGCCAGACAAACAAAAGGCAGTTCCAAGAAGAGGAGGAGCAGAGGCAGAAGTTACACTAAGGGTGAATTTCGGGACACGGCTGAAAGGACTGGGGGAAAAAAAAGGGCAACTGAATATGTGCATGCAAACCTCGGCAAACAAACTGCGCTGCAGCCGGCCGGCTTGGACGGCGGCGGGCAGGGGCTCAGGGTTTCCAGGCATGTGGTTCCGGCTCCCTGAGCACCCGACACAGTAGCTGCCTGTGGCAGGATGGAGTGGATGGGAAGATGTGGTATTTGGAAAGCCAGGCGTTCCAGAGACCAAGTGCTTAGTAAACACTGATGTTTCTTAGACTCAGACCAGGTGCTTCTGCTGGTTCTCTTTATTCCTGGTCTCTTGTTTTCCTAAGGATGGTTGGCCAGGAGTTCCCTGTGCCCTGTCGACCCCTCTAATTTTAAACCTCTCTGGGTCTCTCCTCTCTTCTCTGTGGGAGCAATAAACGGAACCAGAGCGCTCTTTCCACTGAGCCTGGGTCCACTGAGAAAGTTCTGATTATTCTGAGCACCAAGCTTCCCTCCCCGCTCCCACAACTTGCTACTCATATTTTCTTTAAATTATTATTATCCTGTCCTGCGCCTGCCACTGCTTCCCAACACGCAAAGAAATTCCTCATCCTGGCACTCAAAGCCCACAATTTCTGTCTCCACACTAATTTCCCACTTCCCATCCCGCCCTCCCGCCTCACCTACTCCCCAGCACGTTATAATGTGAATCATTCTCTAAAGACGGCCTTTCAATTCTCCATTTCCCATCTTTACTCATACCCCCATCCTCACACCCACTTCCTTCAAGGCTCAGTTCAAATCCCGCCTCCCCCACAAAAGCCTTCCCCAATTTCCCCTCTTTTCTCCGTGTGACTCTGTTTCTCTGTTGTCATTCCGCATGCGTTGTCTGTCTCCATAGGTTTGGAACCTTGCGTTGTTCTCCCTGGTGGCCCAGGACAGGGCCCTGCATAAAGCAGGTGCTCAGTGAGTATTCACTGAATGAAACTGACAGCTGACCAGATCTTACCTGCATTGTCGCCAGCTATATGGGCATAGGTGAGAGCCACCACATGGTACTAAAATATGGACGGTTGTCGGATATATGCAATAGGTTCATGAGGGTGTGTAAATTTGCATAAGTTAAACAAGAAAGCTTTTCTAAAACTTGAAGGGGAGCCTCTAAACTTTACTCAAGTCAGCTTACTTTAGGGCTTAAGTTCATGAGGCAAACAAGAATGTTGGCATCTGTTGTTCCTTTGCTGCTGCACATTAGAGGACCTGTAAGTGCAACTTCCTTTACAGAATGCCAGGAAAATTCTCCAAAGGTGAGATTTTTCAGACATCACTGGCTTCTGGGACTGATTTTATGGAGGAACTCCTCCATTATTGAAATAATATGTGCTATCACAACAGCAGCTCAGCAAATGAACAACTGCTCTCTGGTGAATTGTTTTATGATATGGGGTGAAATATAGAACATGAGCTGTCAGATACTGAATTTCTTGTGGCTTTGTATTAAAGTGTTCTTAATGACATTTCCCCTGTTATTTTTTGGTAAAAGTAACATGCTTCAAATTCCACCTGTGCTAGTTGGATCGACCGTGGTGTCATTTAAGAGACTTGGGGTGTGTCTATGCAGTACATGCTCTCCACGCATACAGATTGTTCAGTGAATTAGAAGAATTTTCCCCCCTCTACTAATTTGGAACAATTAAAACCAATTCAGGTTTTAAAGAATTTTGGCCTCAAGTTCCTGAGGATTCGGCTTCAGGAATGACAGCGATCTTACTGCAAATTTGTAGTTCAAGTGTAGGATCATCTCTCATTTTGTTATGCTCAGGTGAGGACCATAACCTTTATTATAGCTACTATTTACAAATCCCTCCTGGGTTTCAGGAACTGGCCTAGATGCTTTACATGTCTTTTTAACCTAGCAGAACTATTTTTGTTTTCGTTTACAGATGGGTAAATTGAGTCTGGTCATACAGCTTAGAAAGTGACAGAACTAGGATTTGAATCTAGGTCTGATTCCATAGTCAATGATTTTTCTATTCTACTGAAAGCTGGAAGAAACCTGAGATATTATCTCATCTGGTGGTTTTCAAACTGGGTTCCAACAAGCTTTAGGCTTTCAAGGGGTACTTCAGGAACCTTGGCAGTGTGTGGGAAGGGGACGAATGTGAGGGAGGCCAGGCAATCTGGCTTGGACTTTACTCAGTTGGAGTCAAATGGAGAAATATTATCTCCATCTGTTTTATAGAGTGACTTAAGACTTTGTTTGAGACAATGGTTTTGTTGCTAAAAAAAAATTTTTAAACTCTTGTTTAACTTCCTCATTAAAGAGTATAGCCATGCATGGTGGCTCATGCCTATAATGCCAGTGCTTTGGAGGCCAAGGCGGGTGGATTGCTTGAGCCAGAAGTTCGAGACTAGCATGGGCAACATGATGAAACCCCGTCTCTGCAAAAAATAAAAAAATTAGCCAGGTGTGGTGGCGCATACCTGTAGTCCCAGCTACTTGGGAGGCTGAAGTGGGAGGATCACTTGAGCCCAGGAGGCAGAGGTTGCAGTGAGCCCAGATTGTGCCACTGCATTCCAGCCTGGGCAACACAGTGAGACCCCATCTCAAAAAAAAAAAAAAAAAAGAAAAGTATGGAACTTGGGATCCAGAAGATAAAATGCCTTGTCCAACGTGGTATAACTAAGGATGACAGGCCCAGCATTAACTTCAAATGTCCTTTATCTAAAGGATGCAAGAGGCCAGTAGTTTCAGACAGAGCCTGAACATCTCAAGTTTTGTCTTTTATATAAAGGACATTTGTTAAAAACCAGGGGAAATGAGAGAATCTACATTTCCCTGACCTGTGTGTGTCCCGACAGTATTCTTGAAAAACGGAAGGCGGGGGCCGGGCGCAGTGGCTCATGCTCCTGATCACAAGGTCAGGAAATGGAGACCATCCTGGCTAACATGGTGAAACCCCGTCTCTACTGAAAATACAAGAAATTAGCTGGGCATGGTGGCAGGCACCTGTAGTCCCAGCTACTTGGGAGGCTGAGGTAGGAGAATGGCCTGAACCTGGGAGGCGGAGCTTGCAGTGAGCCAAGATCGCCCCTCTGCACTCCAGCCTGGGCGACAGAGCAAGACTCCATCTCAAAAAAAAAAAAAAAAAAAAAAAGAGAAAGAAAGAAAAATGGAGGGCAGAAAACAGCCACAGTGGCAAGCTAGACTTATTTTTTTTTTTTAGCCCTCTGGCTATAAGTCTAAAGTTTGTCAATATTTACCTTGTGACAGACTAAAATTAAGTAAAGAGTTAAAGATGTAATTTGTCTGGATGATTTAGGGCTCTCCTACTCTTTTCATTCAAACCAAAGGGAGGAGTGTAGGATACTTCTGCATGAGTCATTTAGCTAATTACATGGTCTTGGCCTGAGAGTCCTCCTGCTAGAAAAATTGCTTAAACTCCCATTTTATCAATCTAGTCAAAAGTGGCTCTTTTCCTGTGAGACAAAATAGGTGTGGAAAAGACCTTAGAGAGATCAGGCATGGTCAAGGGAACATGAGTCTCATATAAGTCGGTTTAGTTTGTATGGATCGGCTTGTAACGCCTAAAATCTCACGTGTTACCTTGGTATTTATTATCTTTGAGCCTCATCAGGACCCCCCAAGGCCTAACTGTGAGCTCCCCTGCTTTCATAGATATGTCCCCTCCAGCAAGAAAGGACGCCCACCTGGCTCATTCCTCTGTCAGCTGGGCCAGCCTCACTCCACCAGGTCTTCAACCTTATGGGTTTTACTTCCTTACCAGCCCACACAATTATTCAAACAAGCCAATTACACCTTCCCCGGGGAGCCTCAGGGCACCGCATTCTCTTGTTACTACTGCCTCCTGCAGCCTCTGCTTGTCCACTCTGTTCCCGGTGCAACCCCTGTGTGCCCTGCATGGTATGTGTTATCCTCCTTCCCTGATCCTCCTTCCCTGGGCTGTGAGTTTATGTGACTTTTAAGCTGCTGTGGCTGTCATCTGTCCACTGTTGGGTGCTGTGTATTTGGCCATCCCCAGATCCCTAGGATGGCCTCCCTCCCTCACCAACAGGGTGAAGAGGAGGCTGAATAGAAAAAGATCAGACAGTAGTAGTAATACTAAATGGAATTTTCACCGAGAACTAGTGCCAAACAGCCCATCCGTTGGAGTTTTGCTGTTAGGCTATTTCCAAATAGAAATAAATTTTAACTGAAACGATGTGAGCTGGAACTGACCTTTATTAATTTCAGGGCCCCTGAGTTTTCTCACTTGCTGTTTTTAATTTTTATCATTCTCACCTGGAGAGTTTTGGGAGCAATAGCACTCTTCTCTTTCCTGAGATGGCTTAACTGTAGTCCTGCCTAGAGGCAAAGGGACAAAAAGATGACACTTCTACTCTTGTCATTTAAATCTTTGCTAACTGCATTATTTCAGTCAAAGGTAGCAGGAAGAATTTTTTCTCATCTCCACAGGCAAGAGATTGTAATAGACGGATCTTTTTTTTTGCCATCAGAAACAACCTAAAATTAATATATTTCCAGAGTCTCAGCCCTAGAAACAAAGCTTTAGATGTTATTTCTTCTCCTATTCATGAGATTTACAATAGGAAGGTCATGTTTGCACTAGACTTTGGTTTGAAATTAATCTTCTTTTCTCCTCGGCATTTCTATAGAATCCAGGCACTTCATTATTTAGTCATTTCCAAATATTAAATAGTTGTCATTCTTGAACAACGATCTAATCTTCTCTTTATGGGTGGAGAAACTGAGTTGTGGAACTTACAAATCATTGCCAGGACATAGATCACTCTGAAGGTTATGGCTACTCACTGACATGCTTTTCGACACACGTTCTTAGACTACAAAATAAAAATGTAAATTGTTTTATAAACAGCATGAAGACCATCCTCTGAACATTAGATTGTATTAATTAAAAGCTCATTTGCATTGTGCCTTATGAGAGAAACTTTATGAAATAAATAAATATGTTTAAACCCCACAACCAAACTCAACACTGAGGCTGTGCTGTAGCCACCTCCCCTCTCTTCTGAATTGTGCCTCATACAGATCACAATATATTCTTGGTTCAGTTGAACAAGGGTTCATTTAAACCACATCTGTTGCTCATCAGACCTCTATTTTAGGAGTGGGGAATTCTTTTTCAGAGATAGATTCTGTCTGGAAGGTCTTATGGCAACAAATAGTCCTCATTAAATTTCACAACATTTTACCAACATACATACAGTACTCGCTGTTACGTGATTATAGAATTCAGGCGAAACTCTGCACCCCCACTTCAAAGGATTCCTCACTTGACTAATTCTAAAGAGTAAATTGATTTTCCCATCATTTGTTGTGTTTGACAATAGAAAGGCTGACACAGCAAGATTGCTAAAATGACAGCTCATTTCTATTCAAGGGGAAGGAATTTGTGTTAATATTCTTAATGACAGGCATCTTTATGAGAAATGTGAAATCATTTATCCTTAGCAATAACCTGACTAGGATTAAAAAGTACTTGGTACTTAGAACGGAAGTAATCTGTCAGGAAAAATTATTTAGACTGATGCAAATTAACCAAATAAATTGGCCTGCAGTAGCTTCCTAATTATGGCGTGCAGATTCAAGTTTGTGAAAATCAGTTTGAACTGAAGAAGAATCTGGAAACGATCTTTCAAGAAGTGATCTGGCATTCTGTTGGAGGAAAAGATAACATATTTATTTGAGAAATTCTTTTCCCATTTACTAGGAATTTCTGGAAGTGATTTAAAAATCAAGGACGTGTAAATCAACAAAGAACATATTAAGTAAGTGCGCGCATGCCTTGCTTTTTCAGAACAACAGTAGTAATACCTTATGAAAATACTGAGCCATGTTCATTGTGATGCCCTAGATTCTAAATAACCAGTCGTGTTTTCTGCAGGGGCGGGGGAGTTGTTCCAACCCTCTCAGGGCTGGCTTGGGCATGGGTCCAAGGGACAAGTCTGAGACATGAGCACTTGGGCCAGTACTTAACAAGCAATGTATAGACTCGGCTGTGTGTTCTGTAGGAGAGTTGTTCTACTCTTAATAGGCACGGTGTTGCACGCCAGTTAACAAGTTTTTATTGGAATCTCAGTCTTCTCTTCCTCGCCAGCTTCACAGCAAACCTTCTTTTAGCTCTTTACCAAAAACTCTAGTAAACTGTGGGAAGAAGCACTTTACCAGCGTAGGAAATTTAATTAGTCTGGAAAAAAAAAGGTGTAAATTGCAGGAAAATGTAAACTGCCTCCATGTAATTAATGACTGGGTTTTCTGTTTAGCATTTATATAGAACTTTCTTTTGAGAAAACGCATGAATTTTTGGAGACAAACTGACTTGGGTCCAAATCCTAGCTCTACAGATTTGTGATTTTTTTTTTTTAAAAAAAGCCTGGTTTCTTTACTTAGAACTAGAATGACCAGTATAGGAATTACAAAATCTGAAAGGAAATAGCCGTGTCCTGCATGTGTAAGGACTCGGTATCGTTCAGTTTCTCCTTCCTTTTCTGAGAGTCTTTTATGGCATGAACGTTCTTAAGCACTTGTTCAGTATTATCTGCCTTGAGTGAGCAAAAAGCATATGCCCTTTCCAGGGAGCATTAGCTGAGGAGTGACTCTGACAGTTGCCCAAGTTTCTGTGTTTAAATAGAAATATTAAATTATATGAAGGCAAAACAACAGGGACCCAAAAAGATGGTGATTGACAATCATTAATAATAACCTGAATGTTGTGACTTCAGCCCGAGGGACAGGCAGTCATTCAAGCAGGTAAACTCAGAGTGTTAGGGTTGGTGTTTGAAATCTTAAGAAAGTTTTTGCTAGAAAACAGTGGATTCCAGACACAGAAAAAAATGAACACGGTCCAAGAAATTCAATATGTGCCAAATCCAGTTTTTCACCTCCTCTTCTTGTAAGTACGTAGAGGCATAGATTACAAATGTGAAACTGTACATGCCAGAGGGCAGGAGTGTGGGAACGCACAGGAGCAGGCATTGGGCGGAGAGTATAAAGAGGAAGCAGTGATGGGGACTAGGACCCTGGACACAAGCCGACTGCAGAGGTTGCAGTCTGTGTGAGATGCTGATAAGGATGTGCTGAGACTTAGACAGGAAAAAGCCTCATTCTGCAGAATCTGGAAAGTACCCATGTCTGGGGCTGGCAGGTGCATTAGGAAGAAGAAGCTGAGGCTAAGGCTGGAGCCTGAGGCAAGGGTGACAGACAGCCAAGGGAGTGACAACAGGCAGCGCCTACGAGGAATTGCTATAAGGCTTTGAACCATGCCAGGCTGAGTAACCTGAGCCCCATGTGTGATTGATTTCACGAATGCAGTTTTTACCCCGAAATTCCCTTATGTTGCAATAAAGTTAAGTTCTGCACTTAAGATGTCTGTGTGCTATACTGGAATGCACAGGGTAGAACAATGATGCTATTACTAAAGTGGGAAGGGCGGTAGGTAAATGTGGTCCTCTCAATATGCCTAGTCATTCCTATTTTGGGGAAAATTTATGCAAATAAATATTATGGGAAATTTTGGAGTGGGAAGAAACCACAAAAGGAAGGGCTGAAAGCACGGGTTAGAAGAAGGAGGTTGCAAGGTGTATCCTGACACTTTTCCTGAGCTCCCATCTTCCCTCCAACTGGTCCCTTCCTGAGTCATTGCTCAGAGGGCAGCTGTGATGGGCACCTTGGAAAGCTGGCTGTAGCCGGGTGCTGTGACATGCACCTGTAGTCCCAGATACTCAGGAGGCTGAGGCAGGACAGTAGCTTGAGCTCAGGAGTTCCAGATCAGACTGAGCAACATGGTGTGACTCCTGTCTCGAAGAGGAGGAGGAGGAGGAAGAAAAGAAGAAGAAGAAGAAGAAGAAGAAGAAGAAGAAGAGGAAGATGAAAGCAAGCTGTATATCCTGGAGGTGGTTCTCCTCCTTTCCTGAGACCATGGTCCTTGCTTGACTGTTTCTCCTTTTTTAAATCCTATCTGGTTACAGCAAAAGGAAAATAATGAAATGCAGACATTAGTGAGCCTGGGCATCACTTTTTGTCATGCAGACTATAGATTATAATCTAAAAAAGATTATCCAGATAGTTAAAGGCCACATTTGTTGAAACATCCACAGAGCAGTTCAACTTTCCAAGGGCAGAATTAAAAATTTCTTAAAAGTGAAATTTGTTTTCTGCTTTCATTTATTTGTTTTTCTGGGACCAAAACTGTGTGCTTTACTATAAAGTTGAGATTTGGTGAATTGAGCCAACTTAATTTTTAGGTCCTGTCTTTAAGTATTTAGATCATGTAAGAACTTTTTAATAGAGAACTCTGAACATTATTCATTCATTTAACAAACATTTATTGAATGTTCCATGTGTGCCAGGAGCTGCTGTTGATGCAGATAAGATGTGGTGCCTGCTTTCAAGAGGTTGCAAATAAGAAGGAGGGTCTATTTTTTCATGCAAATATTTTTCCATATAAACTATGTTTCTAGAAAGCATTATCTTAATTTCAGAATTTAAAAATTACTAAATATGAGGAAAAGACATTCGTTAAAAAGTCAACTGAGCTTAAAGGAAAAAAAGGAAAATGTGGAATAAGGACTAGTTAATGGTAGCGGGTATGGAGTCAGATTTCTGGGTCCATATCCAACCTTGGCCCCTGCAAGTCTGTAAACTTGGCCAAGTCAGTCAAACTCTCAGAGCCTATTTCCTTGCTTGTAAGACTGGGACCAAGATAATTCTATGTCATAGAGATGTTGCATAAATTAAATTAGATAATGTATGTATAGCACTTACTTGTACATGGTAAGCATGTATTTAATAAATCTTAGCTGTTATTGTTACATATAACATTAGTAAGTAAAACAGACATCTTTCTCAGTCATTTTGTTTTGTTCTTTAAGAGAATGTTTTTGTTTTTTGCTTTGTTAGGGACAGGGTCTTGCTCTGTTGCCCAGGCTGGGTTGCAGTGGACACAATCATAGCTCATTGCAGCCTGGAACTCTAAGGTTCACGTGATCCTCCTGCCTCAGCCTCTTGATTAGCTGGGACTACAGGTGAGGTGTGAGCCACCGTGCCGGCAAGAACATTGCTTTTCTATTGCGAAATATAATACGAGCCCTAGAAGTTTTAGGTATGGTCAGTAGGAGTATAAAAAGGCATTAGAATGCTAAGAAGGCATATTGGAATTTAAATCCTAAATTCCAGAACCAGTGCTCTTTCCAGTATTCTCTCTTGGCATCCTTCTAAATTCTGCCGTTTAGTAGCTGTGAACATTAATGGTATAAGTAACCTTCACAGCCTGTTTCTTAGTCTGTAAAATGGGTCCCACAATGCCTGTCCAATCCACTTCATTGGAAGCATTATGAAGACCAAATAAAATAAGGTCAGTGAAAACAGTTTGCAATAAGTAGTATGATATATAAATAAAGGTTATTAATAAATCATTATGAGTTTCTCGTGAGCTATGGTATTGATTATTGATGACTGACTGGCAAAACGTATGATTGTGATTATAAATACAGTCTCCCTCGTTCCCTTGGTCTCCTTGGAGAATTGATTCCAGAGCCCCACTGTAGATACCAAAATCAGGGGTGCTCAAGTCCCTGATATATGATGACATAATATTTGCATATAATCTACACACATCTTCCGATATACTTTGAATCCTCTCTAGATTACTTATAATACCCAATGTAAGGTAAGTGCTATGTAAATATAATATACTGTATTCTAAAATTTGTATTTTTTTATTGTTGTATTTTTTTCCCCTGAATAGTTTTTCTATCCAAGGTTGGTTTAATCCACTGAGGTGGAACTGTGGATATGAAGGGCTGACTATAATTTAAGTGGAAATTACTTTCAGTTTACAGAAATAGATTATAGTTAGGAGACCTGGATCCTAGTTGTTCACTTTGCCTCTAATCAGCTGTTTATTTATACAAATTACTTAATTTTCCTTAATTAATTTTTAAAAATTTGTATTTGAAAATAATTTCAAACTTACGGAAAAGCTGGAAGAATAGTAGAAAGAACACTTACATACCAGTTACCCATAGTCATTTATGGTTAACGACTTGCCCCAATGTCTTGCCTTATCAATTTCATTCCCTCCCCCTGCCCCTCTCTCTCTATATATACAAACAGAGATTTTATAAAATTATATATATATATATTCCTCCCTTGAACTATTGACAGTAAACTGCACACATCATGATCTTATACCACTATACATTAATATTTCAGTATGTGTCACCAAAGATGTGCCTCTGTTTCTATTTCTTTAAAATGGGCACAAGTACTTAGTTATGTGGCATGATCCATAAGGTTGTCAAAACCAAATGAAATGTTTAAAGGCATGTTGAAAAGTATAAATTGTTATATAAAACTAAAGGTTGTATATTTCATAAACTATGGGGAAAATCAAATTACTTAAAACTTCAGAGGATTTACAAATGGTAGTAGAGTGCAAATGAAGAGAGCCCATTATCTAGCCGGTTATAGTGCCAAATTTTTCTCAGTGGTGAGAGCAAAAGAGTCTGATGCCCTCACCCTCTGTGTCATCCTTTTTGAGTTGCATTCCTCCTGCAAGGACTTACATCTTTTCTTGGTGCTCTTTCTCATTTCAACAGTTTGCTATTTTATGTGGTCTTTTTGGTGGAGGTTATGACCATGTTTGAGGCAAGGTGATAGAAACTAAAGAGCAGTTGCTACTCAATGGAAGATCAAGAATACAGCTGTTAAGAGTTTAGTAAGAGCTCAGCTTTATTTCTTCTGGTCTTTTCTTTGAGTAGTGAAAATGGCATACTTTATTTTCATTATAAACAACAACTGAGATATAAATAGGAAATAGGGAAGCACTGTTTTATAGAAGTGTCTAATGTATAGGCTTAGCTGAAAATAGTATGAATATAAAAAAGAAAGAGATCATGTCCTTCACAGGGACATGGATGGAGCTGGAGGCCATTATCCTTAGCAAACTAACTCAGGAAGAGAAAACCAAATACCGCATGTTCTCACTTATAAGTGGGAGCTGAATGATGAGAACACATGGACACAATGGCGGGGAGCAACACACACCGGGGCCTGTCATAGGGTGAGTGGTTGGGAGGAGGAAAAGCATCAGGAAGAATAGCTAATGGAAGCTTGGCTTAATACCTGGGTGATGGGGTGATCTGTGCAGCAAACCACCATGGCACACGTTTACCTATGGAACACACCTGCACAACCTGCTCATGTATCCCTAAACTTAAAATAAAAATTGGAAATTTAAGAAAAGGAAAATAGTATGAACAAAGTATTCTTATGGATCAAAAAATAACTTTCATAGAATCCCTTTTTCAACAGCATTCACTATTATAAAGTTTAGATATAAAAAAAGATAATTATTCTGCCACTTTATCTTCACATTCTCAACAGAATTCACACTTTCATAAGAAGTTGTAATACTGGTAAGCCTGATATTTTTATAAATCTAACCAGATTTGCAATCACATTTTCCAGTGGATTGAAATATGACCAATAACCTAAAAATATGAACGAAAATGCTCTTTTTCCTATGACGTATTTCTTTCATTGCTCTGGAAATCATAATGGCTTTCTTGAGATACTTACAACACCAAAAAGGAAATCTAGAACATGTCTTAAAAACAAAACTTTTATTTTTATTTTTATTTTATTATTATTATACTTTAAGTTTTAGGGTACATGTGCACAATGTGCAGGTTTGTTACATATGTATACATGTGCCATGCTGGTGTGCTGCACCCATTAACTCATCATTTAGCATTAGGTATATCTCCTAATGCTATCCCTCCCCCCTCCCCCATCCCACAACAGTCCCCAGAGTGTGATGTTCCCCTTCCTGTGTCCATGTGTTCTCATTGTTCAATTCCCACCTATGAGTGAGAACATGCAGTGAAAAACAAAACTTTTTTAAAAAGTCAGAATCATACTTAGGATATTCTAAATTAATCTTTTTATTTTGAGTTATTAAATTGTTATTCCTTATAGTACAAAATAACAAATGGAAGTTATGACTAGGAAATACATTTATAATCTAATAATGAATACTGCTACTTCTTTTACAAATAAATCAGCTTCAAATGCAAATTATATAGATGCATAATTGTATATACAATCATGTAATTTATTAAGCTATGAAGAATATTGCTCATATACTTCTCTTGGGAAAGTTCCAGTACTTGAGGAAGTATTCAAATGTTTATTTCCCAGTAAGGTGACATTACTAAGGGGACAGTTCAACTGTTCTAATGCAATAGGTATCCCTAATATTGACCAAATATGGTATATTTGAAATCATTTGAAGTATTAGGCAGTGAAGTGGGATCCAGAAGACATGAGTTCTAACACTAATTACCTCACTCAGGTGTTTAGACTCAGGCAAATGGCATGCTGTCCCTCAGCTTCAGTTTTCTGGTGTACAGAAATGACACACTGCTTTCCTTACTCAAATATTACAAGTTCCAGTGGTTTAGTGCAAGTGAAAATTGTTTTGAAGTCGTAATGGTTAATATTGTCATCATCAACAGTGGATAGTGTGTTCTTTAAGTGTATGTTAAAAAATGCTTTTACAAAGAAGTTTCTCTATGATAAAGCTGCATGTTTGCACAGATCATCCATAGCAACGGTGCTTGGTGATCTCAATTAGAACAGATTTTCCATAAGGAGTACATCTGAAAAAAAAAAAGCTTTTTCTTGTATTTGTTCCAGTCCCAATCATCATTTACACTGCCTGATTACTCACGGTAGCCCTCAGCAAGAAAGTCCATGGTCGAAAAGGGAGCTGGACTCATCTCTTTTCCTTGTCGGGTCCCAATGTAAAGTGGACACATGAACTCATTTTCATCCCGGTAGAATTTACCGACTCATACTTTTTAGAAAGATAAAGCCTGGATTTAGAACTCTGCCTTGTAAGAATGAGTTTTGTGATTTTAGGCAGGTCTCCCAACAAACCCAGTCCTGTGTTTCCTCAGATGTAAACTGAGAGATTCTGCTTAGATGATCTCTAAGGTATGCCTCCAACATTCTGCTTAGATTTAGCTTAGATTGTTGGAGGTACGCCTCCAACATTCTGTGTTTCTATGATATCCTTTCCTGGAAAATCCACTGCAAATTCTAAGTTATTGAAGCAACAACAACAAATAAGATTCAGTAGTTTTGACAGTGTGCAATAAGTTCGTCTTTCTTCTAAGTAATATAAACCTTTTACCTCAGTTGCTAATTGTCCTACAAATGAGAATGCCATTCCTAGACAAAATTTTTACAATCCATTCACACTGCAGAAGAAAAAAACACCCAATACGATTTACTATGAAATTAACAGGGTGTTTTAATTTATGCTATGCGGCAGATAGTGGACAGGCCTATATATCTAGCACTATCCATAAAAATCTGGTCTAGCTGTTATTTTACAGGTCCTTGAAAACAGAATTGTCACAATCTCCTCAGTTCAGCTCTCAAGAGAAATTAATTGATAACATAGAATCCTGAGTGGCTGGCATGTGAGTGACACCCAGCTATACAATTTCACATCTAATCAAGGAAGATGGGAATTCTAGTTGGCCTATTGTCTATTTGAATCTGTTTCTGGATGGAATCCAGCTGGCGCAAATGCAGCCCTGGAGAGTGATGTGGGCAGAAGATGGAAACAAAAAATCTGAGCCAGAGAATCAGTGCATGAGATGGTGCCTTCCACATTGTCAAAAGAATGCCCGGGGTAGTTGTGAATGTGCTGCTGATTAGTTTCCTAAAATTCTCAATGACTAAAATATAATGTTCTATCCCAGTAGTCCTTGATCATTCTAACTGTGAATGTGTAATGAAGGCCTTTAGGATGTACTGGCTCTACCACCTTGAAGCTATGCTTGATAGATGCAGAGGCTCAAAACTCAACTTGTCTTACTGTTTCTCAAAATATAAGAGAGAGAAGGCAATTTAAAAAAATGATGAGAATAAGAATAAATGCAAAATTGTACATAATTAAGAGCTAAAATTATGTGACAAGATTTTAAGTGGAAAAAGAGCACAGATGAGAGAGAGATTATTGATGGTTGGAAGAGTTAGGAAAAGAAAGTTCCATGGAGGTAATGAGGCTTGAGTCTTTCTTTTCAAGGATGGATGGAATTTGGACATGCAGAACCATGATGGGAGGCAGTCCTAGCCCAGAAAACAGTGTGAGCACGTGCCTTGTAGCAGAAGTAAAGATGTAAATTCAGGACATGTTGAACCACTTTAGGAAAGAGCAGAAAGTGTATAGGGGGAGTGGGATGGTCATAGTGGAAAAGATCATGGAGGTTCTTAATTGCTGGTCATTTATTTAGACTGGATGCTGCAGAAAATTGGGAGACAGGTGTTTTAGAGTAGTGGAGTGATATGATGAAACAGTGTAGAAATAAGATGAGTTTAATGGCAGTAGGTAAGATGAGTGGAGATAAGAAAGAGATAAGGTACAGAGCTTATTTCAGATGCACGAGGTGATGCAGAACTGGATTGAAGTCCTTCCTCTTTCCTCCAACCATTCTTTTTAGTTTCAAGGAGAATGCTTAGGCTGGGTACAGTGGCTTGCACCTGTAATCCTAGCACTTTGGAATGCTGAGGCAGGGGATTGCTTTAGCCCAGCGGTTTGAGACCAGTTGGGCAACATAGGGAGAACCCATCTCTATAGAAAATAGGAAAAATTTAGCCAGGCTGGTGTGTGCTGGAGGTCCCAGCTACTTGGGAGGCTGAGGTGGGAGGATCTATTAAGCCCAGGAGGTCAACACTGCAATGAGCCATGATCACACCACTGCACCCTGCCTGAGTGACAGAGCGAGACACTTTCTCAAAAAAAAACAAAGGAGAATGCTTTATTTATTTAAGCTTGTCTTAAAGGAAGAGCAGAGTTTGCCAGTAAAGAAGGAGAATAATGCCATCTAGGTGAAGGGAATGGCAGAATGCAGGCAAAGAGATGATGGCATGCTCCTGAAATCTTAACTAATTTGCTCAAAATCACACTATTAATAGTAGCCAAGTTCTAGAATCCAGATTTCTAATATCTTTCCACTGTACCACCCTGCCTCTTTTTCCTGGCTCCAACACTGCTGTCATTATTCAGCAAATTTTATTTCATTGCTAATAGTGTGCTTAATTATTTTTTCAGACTTGAAAAGTTACCAGGGGAATAATAAAATATACATTTTAATTTTATTTGCGCAACAAGAAATATGATTTGCCTGAAGCAGATGAGGAAGTTAAGTGGAGTATTCTAAGCTTCCAAAGGGGTTATGACAGTGGTAGAAGCAATTGTAGGAACACTTTTAATTTCACTTCTGAGACTACTGTAGTAGTTCACCAGAATGTTAGATGAATAGACAGCTATTTTTGTAGAAGAAAGGCTAATGAGAATAACAATTGCTATACATGAAGTTTTTCATATAGCTTATTTTTCCCCCCGTTTTCTGTCCTGGTTTTTACATCGAAAAGGTAAGGTGACTCTGTATGACAGAACATGTTTTGACTGCATTGTATTCTTTTTTCTGACTTCTCTACTTATTCATTTTTCTCTTCTTAGAAGGACCAAACTTCTCTAATTCCAGAAGTCTTTGTACCTCCAAGACAGATCTAAAAGCGTAACATGTAGGAGTAGAATCTTGAATTGAAATCTGAACTTAGACAATCCAAAATTAAGAAGTTTGGAAATATCAACTCATGTTTCAGTCCCTAATCTCTATACCAGGACCCTGGCCCATTGACCTAAGTGGGTACTAGATGAAGAGACCTAGTTTTAAGTTTGGCAGCTAAACCCAACGTTTGTGCTTGCCGAAGATGATGTTTATTGATCTAACTATGGCACTTGTGTGTTATTCTTTCCTCTCTGGTTCGTTGCACTGGATGTCTCAACAATTCAGTTGCTAGCCATTAATGGCTTCCAAATATAAACTGGCTCATGTCAATTAATCCCTCATGTCTGGCAACCCTGAGTGAGAAATAGATTACAGGTGCTGATACTTAGGCTGGCGTTTCTTCCAGGGGAACTAGGGAATATGGTTCAGAAAACCCAGTTGGGTAACATAGAACAGGCCAAAGTCTTCATTAAAAACTTGAATGGGACCCAAGTCTCTTTTGAGGAACGAAAATGCTGTCAAGTCTCCATGGTCAATGCTATTCCCACAAATTTTCAGTAACAGGGCTACATTTCAGTTCCAGATTTTGCTGACTCAAGCTCTGTATTCTTTCAGTCATGCTGCCTCCAACATATAATGCACGAGTTTGAAAAGGCAAACACAATCTTCTACTTCTAAGAAATCTATACCTAGTTCTGAAAACTGCCCATTGATTTAGTAGGAAGACTTGACTAGAGAATGGCCCTCTTATTTTGAATAGGAAATGGTTGAAACAAATAAAACAAAAAAGGACAAAACAAAAGGGGATAGAAAGAAAAGCAGGGGAATGGGGAAACCATTCCCAAATCATAAAATTAAGGATGATTTGTCTTTGTAGTGAAGAAGGGAACGTGTATTTCATTTGTGAATAAGTCATTGGTACATTCTGTGAAAGGATGTCAATCAGCCTCCTCCAAGGTAGAATATGAAGGTTTGTGAGCATAGGCAACTTAAATATTTCATCTCTTCTTGCCTCTAGACTTTTTAAATTTCATGTTCCGCTCCACTAACAGTCTCTTAGTCAAAAGAAGAGAATTATATAGGTGTTATGCAGATGTAGTTGAGTATTTTGACTCGAATATCCGTAACTTCCCCAAAGTTATAGAAATGCTAGATTGTTACTTGGCCAACCATTTTCTTAATCTGAGAAAATTTTTTTTTAAATCTAAGGCGGCATATGCCTTATGAAAATCACAGTTGTGTATTCTGTCTAATGCCCACCAATGATCAGAACATTAGATTGTATCTATTTAAATTATATTATTAAACATTGAGTGCTTGCTTCAGCAGCACATATATTATTAAACATTGATATACACATATATTTACATATGTTTGCATTATAAAGTTCTATTGAGTGTAGTCTGTTCACAGATAACAGATAAACATTTGTTCCATAATGACCATTGTCACTTTGGGAATGTATTGTGTTGCCGAATGAAATTCCATTTTCAGTAGCTTTAGATTGAGCCACCATTTCCCTGTGTCCTGGGCTTGATACCTCAGTATTTTTCTCTCTTTTGTCCTCTATTTGACTAATCACCAAGTTGCATTATTGTTATTTATTTCTTCACCATGTTTCTTACACCCATCCTTTCCTTATTCCCACTGCGTCGATGGGAATAGACAACATTTTTTTTTTAATTTATTTGAACTCTGGGGATCAATTGTCTTGTTATCCCCCTCTCTCTTTCTCTCTCTGTCTCTGCTCACTCACTGTCACTCTCATTTTTCCTTAATCTCTCTTTATTCTTAAAAACCTACTGCTTGAACTTCCTAAGGCATCTGTTTAGCTATCAAGTCCAACCTCTCTACCTGATGTGTTAGGACACTCTAGAATCTGGCCTGACTTAGCTATGACATGAAATGCTTATTATAGCAAGGCACAGAGCAGAGGCAAGAGAGGATCACAATGTTTCCCCTCCTCTTCCATTCCTTTTTTTCTCTTCTTTGCCTCTATCCTCTTTCCCTCCCTCTTCCTCTTTCTCTTCTTTGCCAAGTGGCCACCTTCATTATATTTCCAAATTGTGTCATACAGATCATGAGATTAAGAAGGGCTATTTTTATTTGAAAAGGACATACTCACTTTATCACCAAGCCTCAGCTCAAGCCATGTCTTTTGCCATCTTGGAACAAAAATGTAGCTTTTGTGTTTTGTGTTTGTGCAGTTTCTCTGTTCTATATTCTGTGTTAAGCATCTTATTTTATTATCTCATCTAATCTTTATAACAACCTTTTGTGATAAACTTAACTCCATTTTACAGAGAAGGAAACTGAGTCAAAGTAAAATAAAAAGATTTAATCTGTTTGATATTGGGTCCATATCATAAATCTCCTTTACTAAATCTCAATATCACATATGAAAAAGAATGTGATAACACATGTAAAGCCTCTAGGCATCCCAAGTAAAAAATATTACATGTCCTATGCTTTTATTTATCTGTTATATTCGGAAAACTTTCTTTTCTTTTACCAGCATAAAGTTCTCAGAAGAAAAAAAGAGAACATGATTTGTAGGGGGCCTGTCTTTTGTGGGATGCACTTTTTATAAGATGAAAGTTAAAAGCTGGTTTCAAGAATTTCTGGATGCACGGTAAAGCACATCTGTTTACAGGGACATTCTATTCAGGAGAAGATTGATTATTGGCAGGTGAAGGTTAAGGGTGAAACTTTAAATTGGCAAGAAGTCTATTCAGAACACATGTTATATGACAGAAAGGTGATTGGGAAGCAAAGGCATATTTGTGATAGGAGTTTGAAGATAATATCTAGAGGTGCACACTTCTAAAGTAACTGATCAATAAATGTACATTGGAATGCAATTAGTCTTTTCCCACCATAATTCTGGTATAGCTAATATCTTTTAATTGTGTAACCTTTAGTTTTACTTTAAATTAATATAGCAGATTATGCCTGTAACATCATACCAAAAAAACTGGACAATAAACAGAACTCTTTGTATTTCAGATTTCCATTTTGGTTTTTAAGAATGGGCTAAATGTGCCAGTGTTGTTCAGGAAAATGGGAAGACACTTAGACTGAATAATCTTTGAGCCTCTGTCATCAAAGGAATACAAGGAGATTTTCCTGAGTTCTTGAAACAAACCTGTCTCAGAAATTATTTGCGTACTATGAAGTGGAAAAAGTTGCATGTATTAGTAACACTATTTACTGATTGGAAAGATCATAGGACAAAATAAAAAAATTAGTTCAGAGTTTCCATTAATTCTAGCAACAGAACTAGCATCTGGTTACAGCAGTTTGTTGCTCAGCTGAAGATTTGGTCAATGCCAACAAAAGAATAGAGCAAAACAAAGAAGAGCAAGAGGAAAACTACATGACAGTAGATGAAATCTACATCAGAGTCCATTGCTTAAGAACAGACAATTCAATTGTTATGGTATAATGTGATTGGATATGTAATAAGACAAATCCCCATCTTACAAGGATACTGTTTTATGAAAATGTCTAGGCTTGCTCATGAATTGATTGTCCATCCAGCTTTAGAATGTTTTTTAGTTTATATTCAACAAGAGCCATGTGGACTCTTGCCAGTTCCCAAACTCCACTCCCATCACAAGCCTTCTAACTTTATTTTAGAATTTGATTAGTACGACCCAAAATTTATAGATTTATTTTGAGAGAGTCTACCTTTTACAATTAAAACTTTTGATTGAGAAACACAATCTGTCTGTTCATTTATTCCGCACAGAGATTTAGTATTAATCTCACCGACAGCAGTTAAACAGTAGCATGTCCAAGTCCCTTAGATTCATATTTTAGAAAACGTAGACATAGTTTCCTACAGGTTTGTACCTGTGTAGTAAACAAAAACAAAAATAAAACAGCAAAAGAAAAATTTAACCTTTGAAGGTAAAGCGAAGAGCTACATTTTTTTTTTTAATTAAAAGTGGCTTAGGGCCGGTGTGGTTGCTCACACCTGTAATACCAGCACTTTGGGAGGCTGAACTGGGAGGACCACTTGAGGCTAAGAGTTTGAGACCAGCCTGGGTACCATAGTGAGACCCAGTCTCTAAAAAATTAAAAATAAAAAATAGCTGGGTATGGTGGTGCATGCTGGCAATCCTAGCTACTCATGAGACTGAGGCAGGAGGATCACTTGAGCCCAGAAGACGGAGGCTGCTGTAAGCTATGATCTTGCAATTGCCCTCCAGCCTGGATGAGAGAGTGAGACATTGTCTCAAAAAATTAAATTAAATTAAAATTTAAAAAGTTTAATACACTACTGTGCAGGAGTACATGGACCACATATTTAGAGGGCAACGAAGACTAGCTTAGCGGCTACAGGTGACGATGGTGTCAAATGTGATTGTTAATGCCTCTCTTTGAAAATTTGATAGATATGTTTGCTAGGGAGAGGGAGGGATCTCCAGAAATACTGCCTTACCCATCATCCCAGGCAGTTCCAGTTTCTTTCCTCTCCCTGGCTGAGGGCAGGTGCAGACCAGATGATCAGAAAGCTAGAACTGAATATCCAATGTCTAAGGACATATTTGCTAAGTGGCATTCAGTGCCTTGTTAGAGAATTTCACAGTCAGCTGCCCTTCCAGGGAAAAGGCAGAAATAGAAGGTTCAATGTTTGATGATGGGTGCAGAGTTTGGGAATGGTAAGGGGCTCAAGCTGATTGCTTTCAGCTTTTTTGTTAAATTTGGTTTGAAGGTGAAGTCTAAATGGTATCTTGCTTTATCAATTACTTCTGGAAGCTCGATCTGACTCTCTACAATGTTTTGCCAAGTTTTTATTAATATTTCTTTCTAGATGGTGAGCCAGGAGGAAAGAAGGGAAGCACATGACCCTTAGAGAATCCAAATCCCTGCTATGGTACAGGGATGGGGTCCTTTGTTCCCCAACAGCATAGCACAGTGGCCCAGGGCCTGCTCTTTATTATCCTTGGTGCAGGACCCAGGGCTTCATGCTTCATTTCTCCCTCAACGTGTATTTAACTGTCACTACTGTCCCTACAGAGCCATTAGCTCAGTTGCTCCAAATCCCTAAATGCCAAGAGCACCTCCCTCCTTCTCTCTCTCTCTCTCTCTCACTTTCTCTCCCTTGCTCTCTCCCTCCTTTCCTTATTCCCCTGCCTTTGGTGGCAGAAGAAAATGCTAAAGGAAGGCACATCATAGATACATAGGATTAATGACTGACATAGCTGAACGTTTGTCATTCCTGCATCCTAGGTCTGGATCTACATATGCACCAATCAACCCTCTCTCACTTCCATTTATTGAACATACAATATTGGATATGCACTGAGCTAGGTGATTTATGTGTTTTCTTTAAAATGTTCCCAAGATAAGTACTCCTATCTGTATTTTACAGAGGAAGGAGCTGAATCTCAGAATGGGTCAGTTCGCTGTCCAAGGCCACACAGCTAGAGAGGTGGTCCCTGGATTAGAACACAGGTCTGTTTGAACCCAGAGCCTGTACTCTCCTGCTCCAAAGCCATATTTGGGATTTTATGATAGAGCAGCAGCCAATACATGTAATTTCTACTACAGTTAAAGCTGAACTTCATAGGGATTTTTCATATAATACTCAAGCTTAATCTGGGGCAATTATTTCACTTTCTGCCTTAGGGGCATTTTCCTTAAGTTTCCCCCAAATAAAACCCACTGAGTTTCATTTTTTTTTTTTTCGTTTCCTGTCCTGGGTGGGGAGGAAGCTACCGGAGCCAGTGAATGGCTCTAAATTGGGGTAACTCTAGAGAGGAAAGTGTCTTGAGTGTTCGAATGTCCTGGTGAGTTTAGTAAGCACACTTATTAGGGTCTTCTGTGGGTCATTAAAGTGGACCAGGCCAGTCCCTGTCACTCCACCTGAGAAGTCAAGGAATAAAGAAGCAAACTATAGAGCAGAATAAAAAATAAAGCAATTGTTTTAAGTGCAATCCATAGATAACCAGTGGTCAACATGAAGGGAAGAAAAGCATTGCTGGAAGAGGTAGCGGTCAGAGAGGCTTCTCAAAGGCGGTGGAACTTAAGCTGAAACTTTGAAGGATGAATATATAGAGGTGATAAGGATGAACTGAGTGGGGCATTTTACACACAGGCTTATGAATGTAGACTTAGAAGGAACCGTGCACATGATGACAAACTCATTTTAAAGACAAGATAGAAAACTAGAGTGGTTAGGGCTGAAAGAAAAGGCTAGAAAGTAGAGATGCTGTGCTGCCCACTTTAGCTGGAAGGAAGGGTAGACTTCTGAGGTTGTGGGGATTTGGCGGGGAGAAATGGTTGGAAAGTTCGGGCCAAATAATAGAAGGCCAGCACATTAGAATAGGACTGAAATTCATTTTATGGGTAGTAAGGGTTTATGTGGTAATTTTCAGACTAGAAGAGCTTTGATGAAACTGACATTTTAGGAAGCTGAGTCTGCAGTAGTAGACAGAAGAGGGAAATGGAGGCAAGTGGACCATTTAGGAGGCTGTTGCAATGGCCCACATGTGAGATGATCATTGCGCTGGGATGGTAGCTATGGGCCACATGTGGGAGATATTTTAAAGGAAGGACTCACAGAATTTGATGACAGACTGGCTATAGGGGAGAGGAAAATATGAGAGGGGAAAAAAAGGCTAACTGGCGAATTCCCCACCTCCTCAGGATATTAAGATAGATTAAAAAGAATTTAAATAGGAAACATATTTCAGGACAATTTTTTTCCATAAGATATCTCCTTTCAAAAATTTTCATGGTTCTAACCTAAATAAAAGCTGAATTTACCACATGATCATAGACTTAGTTTCATACATGAGCCTCCTTCTCCCCAAAGTCAATAATGATAAAAGCGACCATCTATTTAGAGTCTGGTTTTAAAAATTTTAATCCCCTTAAATTTACTTTATGTTCTCCACACAAAAATATTGCACAGGGGAAAAAAAACCGGATGTCCTGAGCTGACTCTTTGGTTGGCCTCATCTATGTGGCGATGGTTGGGGAAATCTCAATACTATATATAGCTCAGTATCAGAAATCTTGCTTTATGGTTTTTTTTGTTTTTTAGACGGAGTTTCACTCTTGTCACCCAGGCTGCAGTGCAATGACACGATCTCGGCTCACTGCAACCTCCGCCTTTCGGGTTCAAGCAATTCTCCTGCCTCAGACTCCCAAGTAGCTGGGATTACAGGTGCCCACCACCGTGCCTGGCTAATTTTTGTATTTTTAGTAGACTTGGGGTTTCACCATGTTGGCCAGGCTGGACTTGAACTCCTGATCTCAGGTGATCCACCCGCCTCGGCCTCCCAAAATGTTGGGATTACAGGCGTGAGCCACTGTGCCCGGTCCTAGGATTTTTAAAGAATAAACCCATTTTCAATATAAAACACAGAAGAAACAAACCTCTAACCCTTCCAATATGGATACATAATTAGGGAAGGAAATAGGAAATGTCCCATTTGCCACTTGTCTCTACTATTATGATGGAAATGGCTACAACAATCTGCATGAAGTCACTTACATTTTCTTAGAAGGAAAACAGAGTAGAACCCTTCTAGTTTCCTGATGGAGGTTCCTACTCATAACCTACCATGGATTCAGTGAATACCTGGACTAATGTATTTTGGTATTGCACACCACCATAAAAATGAATTTTGTCACTTTCACAAATCAAGCTTTCAGATCACTTTTCACCTCTAAGATCTGTCACCTTAATGCATACCGAGTGCACATTTCAGATCTCCTCAACCTCCATTATTTTTCGCTTCTCTGGAAGGGATATCCCGTGTGCTCAAACACTTTCACAGCTGGTAGAATGCTGATGGGAACTTCATGTGTATTACCAGCACAAGTGCTGTCAGGAAGAAACCAAATGTCAAACTGAGGTATGTAGAGGTCGCCATAAATATGTCTCTGCATGTTTACCACCTGGGACAGTAGATTTTGATTTTGACAAGAAGCTGGGATTGCCCTGTGGACACTGTGTTTCAAGCAAGCCCTTTCAGTTCACGAAGTAACTTCACATTACCCTGTTAGGGGGACAAAAACACGGCTGCCGTTTCAAGGTGTGAATTTATTATCTCTCCACACTTCCTTTCTTGTTTCTATCCTGCCTAATCCTGTGTACAATTGTTTTTTTCAGGGGAATTGTCCCATACTGTCAAAGTCCTGTCCAGGCAGCCCTGTGATCGATCTGCAACATCAGGGATGTATGCTGGTGGGGCACCTGTTGCTAAATAGCACCTTGCCTCTGTTAGATGCCATCATGCCACATCTCAGGGAGGAAAATCCGATCTGTGAGGAGGCACTTGACTTTCTTGTGAAATATTTCTGCAGTAGTGAAAAATGGTATTGGTAGTTAGCACCATGCATGCTATATGCTGTCCATGTAGTTCTAATCCTGATACAACACGAGATATTAGCTTGCCTTTCTGTCTTTATTTTTTAAAACCTCATTTCCATTGTAAAGCCAAAATGGAATGACTGGAACTCCGAAAGACTTCAGCTTATGAACTTGGATCTATTTTGGTTATGTAATATTGGGAATCAGATAATACTCAGTCGGAATAACTGCCTGGGTATTTATGAGGATAATTTCTCATTGAAGGAGAAGTTTGAGAGTATAACTGGAGAACATTTTGAATAAAAATTAAAGACCATATTAAAATATTGTTTTAATCTTAACTTTTTTAAAAAAAGGATTTTAAAAAAATTATCTGCATGGTTGCAAAAATATGTATAATGCAACTTGAAACATAATTTTACAGGCATCTTTATGCAATCGAATACTAAAATCACAAAGCACTAGCCATAAATCCTGTTATTCAACCTACCAAACAGCTCTTATTTCAGAACAGCTTATATACAATATTATTCATAGAATCTCTCACCTGCAAAGGGTGAGGATAATGCTGGATTTCTCTGCCAAATGTGAAAGTCCAGTAGGAGCCAGAAGCTCTGCATACCACAGGTATATGAATGTTGCTATCGGAGGGCAAGTATATTAGGGTAGCAGAAGTCTCATTGGCTCACCTATCTTGCTAGAAAATTTGGAAAATAAAAAATTTTATGTTTTGATCCCTGTGAAAATAGAGCCTGAATTGAAAGGCCTTTTTTTTAATACTATAAATTAAACATAGCATATAAACCCCCTTCTTATATTTATAAATAGTTCAATTCAATATTGGTGGGTGCTTTTGGTAGAGCCGTTACGGCTACTCGCATATATGATGACAACTCATTTTGTGTTGCTCAGGCACCAGATGACTATTAATTTCCAATGACTAGTTTATAATTAAATCCTTTCTGTTTGTCTGTTTATAACCAAACCTGAAAATCTATTTACGTTTAATTAACACTTCACTTAGCCGGTCTAAAACCTATAAATGTAGTGACTCTTAATGATCCATTACAGAGATGCTACTTTAGTTTTCCATGACTTGTAAAACTTTCACAAACAGATCTGCAAATCAATTACCTCCATCTGCTTTCCCTGCAGCTGCAAGAGGGCTATGTTAAAGAGCATTTTCCTCCTTCTTCCTTCTCTGCTTTTCTTCCAGCTCTAAGCATTTTTGTTTTAAAGCCGACCTAGTGGCTGTTCAGAGGGTAGCCCCTTCTCTTCAGGAGTTTCCAAACTTCAGAGTCAATCTCCAAAAATATTTTAAAACACCCTTTGCTCTGTCATAAATCAGACATAATCTACCTTGCACAAATCGGTGAAGAAAGCACTTCCACCTCTGCCAGCAACTCAGTAATAGACCCTTCAAAGAATCTTTATAAATTGAGCAGTAAAATGCAACAGTTTGAAAGTGAATTTTAATTTTGAAAGCTAAAATAAATCCTTTCTCAGCCTTATCTATCCTCTACAAGCAAGTTATAGCTCCTGTTTTGAGTATACAACGGGGATATGAAAAGGTACAAACGCGGCTCCCAAAGGTATTTTCTTAGCTACACCTTCAAAAGCAAGGCATGAGGAGTGTTAGTTCTACAAAGACAGCCAAGCATCAAGCTATGCTCACCGTCATCTGTCAGCCGTACAATAGCAGCATTGATAGGACAGCAACAACTGGCTTTGACAAGTGTGCCGTGCTAGCATTCCATTCAAAACTATGCTAAAAGAGAGAGGGGGAGAGAAGCATTCAATGTCTTTTACTTTACCTGAAAAAAAAACTGCTTTTCTTGTGTCTGCTGAAAATGAATTCCTCCTTTTCCTCCAAAAGCAAAGTAGTTCTATTGCCTGCGACTCTCACTTGGAGAAGACCACACAGCTCCAGCAAGGCAGCCTTCCTTCTCTTAATCCCCACTCGAATGTGATGACACACACTAACCCCAACCATCTGTTGAAACACGTCCTCAAGCACTCAGCACAGTGGTGTGTCAAGACGGGCTGCCCAATCCAATTGCTGGGGCTGGGTGTCTCTTACGGATTGGAGGCTGAGGGCAGGGCTGAAACTGGAGGTCTGAGAACTCCCAGTCAAGTAACCTGAGATTTTCAGAGAGAAAGGACTGCTATAAAAAGAGGAGAAGTGGGAGGTGCTACAGAGAAGGTGGAGGGAATGAATTATTCTGATGACCAGTTGTGCGTTACTTTTCACAACTCCTCGTGCTCCCCCTGAGATGATGGGGACCCTCAGTGGGATGCACAGAAACCCTAAACATTTTTACTGCCCGTCTATGGAAGGGCCATCTCAGCAAGACGTTTTCCCTTCCATAGGAGATAAAAGGTTCATCTTGACTTGCTGATAAAGGGTTAATGTAGGAGTAGTTGGCACTGAAATGTGACATCTACATTTTGAAATCTAAACTCCTACCTTTCTTTGATTAGATCGTGGCTGCCTCCAACATTCTTGGCAAGGAGGGGGTGGGGGCGCAGCTAAGAGCAGAAACTTCTCTATTCCCACACACAGCTCTTCACTGTTTGCCACAGGCTGAACTTCAGAAATAGTCAATGAAAATCATTTTCGTTTCTACTCATGTAAAATAGCACGCGCTCCCATAGATAAAGGTGGCTTTTTTAATCACTTGCTGCTTTCACAGACATCTCTTTGTAAAAGCACTTTGGTACCAGAGGGCTGCACTCTGTCATTGATTATTTTTATTGGCTTCTAGTTAATTGCACTTATAATGTCCATATAGCTCAAACAGCTCATTAACAATTTTGCTTTGAAATGTTTTCAATTTTTGGTCATTTCAATACCTTCTTCTTAGGGGCATTTTTTTTTTTTTTTTGGTTTTCTGAACTGTTTAATGAAAGTAAGTACTTTGACAGCAGTCTGAACCAGAAAATGGCTATACTTGTTACAGTACTTTAAGAAGATATCTGGAAATCAATTAATTGCCACAAATCTCACAATTTCAAAAATTCCATCAGATATCTAAGGAATTTTGATAAACTGAAAGAGAAAATAGGAATTTTAAACACTACCAACTTCCTGACAGTGTCTGTGGGAAGCCAACATTTTAAGTATTGCACCTTTTGTATTTCTTTGAACTGGGAGGGGGATTGTTTTAAAAAAAAAACAAAAAAACTCTTAAACTTGCCTAATGCCTTAAAATTTAGACTATAAATAGTTATCTAATATGGGCATGCTAGTATCACAAGGAGAATTATTTCAGTTTCTAGCAACATTGATTTGACTAGCTTGTGTTTTTCCAGAATTTTTGTGTGTGGTATTATATTAAGATACTTAAAAATTATTCTGGGTGCAATTTTCTGATGTACAAAATTAGAAAACTAATTTTTCTGCAGTGCATTTTTTTCTTATAATTGAGTTATAAAGAAGAAGGAGGGAAGAAAAAGAATCAGAAGTTAAAGTCCTGATTCATTTGCTCAATTGCTTCTCAGAAGTGATTATGAGGTGTCTGTTTCACAATATATTGTGTATTCACTAAACTACTCCTAATCAGCTAAGTCCAGATACATAATCAACACAAACATTTTCAACAATGGCAAGTGGCACAACGGGGCTCTAACTTCCCTTGGGCATCATAAAATTTTTAATAGTGCCAATTATTGTAAGGTATTTTTTTTTCCTGTTTTGGCGGGAGGGGGGTTAATCCAACCAGACCCATGTCTGGAAATCTGGATTACCTCAACTGCATAGATTTTGAAGACCCCAGAGACATTATTAAGGTAGTTCGCATTCTCTTAAACTGTAAATTGAGTTACAAAAGTAAAACCTAAGAAACTGTACAGATGCGGAATCAAGAAGCTTTATCAACCCTGTGCTTGTAACACACTGTCTATGAGGCATTCCCAAATGGGCCTGGTTCTGACCTACATTATTGTTTAAAGTGCTTTTTAACACGGACATTTTATTCTATTATTAATTGTAGATCTTTTCATTAAAACTCAGTCACTGCTTCTCTTTTATTGATAACTTCAGCTATTTACACGATTTAATACTTGCTTTAAAATAAAAAATACAAGGATGCAATAGATGTGGTTGTTTGCTATGATCTTAATACTTGCTTCTGCAGTAGCTGTAAATGCTACCTTTGGAAAGTATTGTAAGAGTAAGTCCACAAAGGCACATTTTTCGTTGTTGTTCTGAAATGCTTTTGTTAGGGAAAATCAACTCAAACAAAAACCTGAAGTTGGTGCTGCAGGATAAGGTCCCAGCTCCCCTTCTCTCTGTAGTCTGCTTTAGTGCTCAGCGGAGTGTCAGTTTAGAAGTTAAGAATTTTCCATTACCTCCCTTCCTTTCTCTTTGCCATCTGCAAACAGTTTATTTTTTAAGAAAAAAAAAAAAGTGAAATTGATTCTGTCTTGAAAGATCTAAACCTAAAATACAGCACATTCTAAAAGATGATATGCCGAATTTTCAAGTACATTGAGCAGGGTGAGGTTGTGCACAGAGTGAAGCGCTTCATAATAAGAATTAAGTAAAGACACTCCTAAAATGAAAGATTAATTGTAGGTAACGGTGATATTGAAAAATAGCCCCTCCTATTCTGTTCCCACAGTTAAAATGTCCCTTTACTTATTAGCTCCAATTAGTTTCCATGGTAACCGACCAGCCCTTGTAAACCCCGCACTCTGAGCTTCACTCATCTTTGTCTAGACTGAGCTCACCAGCCTTCTTCCTCCACAGATGGCAGTTTAGCTGAGTCTATATCTATATCTATATCTTTTGCACACACATAACTGGCACATAAGTGTCCACATTCACTTTATTACTTGCACAATGGTGGCCAAGGGAGAATGGAAGTGGCATTTAATCCCGCAGCTACAACGCGTGCATCTGCTGCCACACTAATTTTTTCCCCCTCTTGGTTATTGTTTCTTCCAGCCTTTTTCTATTATCAGCTGTTTGCTGCTCGTAATTTCTTTTCAGGGAAGCCAATACAGTATAATAAAAACCTCATTAAACAGAAACACCTATCAGCCTCGGAGAAAGCCCTAAACTACCCCTTTTTGTTTAAAGAATCATTAAAGTGAAAAAGAAAAACCACTTGTTTGTCATGCTTGAAAAAAAGAGAACAAAGCCAACATAAAGGTTTACCAAGCCAGGGGGCTAATATGAAGATTTAATGCACTTAAGACACCGTGTTTCTTTCCCCCTTGAGCTGCCTATTGGCCAAGAATCCCAACTTGAGCACAGTAAACAAATGATCAGGGAGGCGGAGAGAGCTGGCCCCTCCACACACTTGGTGGGGAGGGAGGTGACGGGGATCTGCCGGCATCTTCGTGGTCGCAGGCTGCTCTGTGCCACTGTGCCACTGGGGGCCGGCAATACTGCTGGATTCCCCCGAAGTCAGCTAGTGTGAGTACAGAAGAAGTGAGTGAGGAAGGCCTTAGGCAAATGCTTGAAATTGTGAGAACTCAGCAAGCCATGGGCTGTTATAATTTGTGCTGACTTTAGCTCTTTGGACACAAGTCACTTTTAATTCAGTGTTATTTTGAGGTAAACCATCCCTTACTTATAAGAACTGGGAAGATGTCCACAGTTTAGGAAGCCAATCTTTTGTGATGGCCATGTTTAATCTTGGTAAAAGTAAGTCAAAATGGTAGCATTAGATTTCTCCTTTTTGTATCACCTCCGCTACCACCATTTTTCCAACATGCAAATAATGATTGCCAATAAGATTCCCGCAATTGCAATGATGGAATGTTTTATTCTTAAAATAGTTTCTGAGGTTAGCTTCTGAGCTCATCTGTAATCTAAATATTAGAAATAGAAAAGAAAAAGTTCTGATCTCCAATGTATATTATAACTTATAGGATATAGGAACCTGTGATGCTCCTTATGCTGACACTTTCTTTTCTTTTGATGATTCCTAAACCTAACCTAACTTCCTTCAGTTTTGTCCTTTAAATAAATGACAAATGACATCTAAAGTTCTATGACACCAGAAGCACGTATAACTATTAGCTCATTGCCATTTGTATCATAAAGTGTCTGTAGATACACAATAAATCTTGTAACTTGGAACATCCTGCATATCTCAATTACTCCAGGCTACACAACTTCCAATATTCTCTTATTCTCTTCCAACTAAACTTTACGGCCTTTATTTACATTGAACCAAGTCATTCTCAGAGAGAAAAGGGAAATTACTGCTTGTTAAATGAAATCACGTGCGATGCAGCAAGCATTAGGCTTGCTCATGTTTGCAGTGACTGCATAGCTACATGGGAGGTGGCACTGGAGCTAGTGGTAGTGTTCATCGCAGATGAATAGTTTTGTCACTGAAGTGAAGTTCCCTCCAGGAAGTACAAGCCTAAAGCATGCTGAAAACGGTTGTGTAGCTGCACTGTAAATAATTTTAGGAGGGCAAGGTTGGGTGGTAAATCACTTAGGGCAAAACAGTGACCCACACACGGAATAATTTAATGAAAGATAATAGATTCAATACAATTGTGACAAATAGGATACTGAAATTTTTAGAAACCTATTCTGAATCCGTATTTGTGGAAATTAGTGTTTGGGGCATTGGGCTTCAGTCTTCATTTTAGCAGATAATTAAATTTATGAGACATAAAAATAGAACATGTTGATATCAAGTAAGAGGAAAATGTGAATTTCAGCAGTAGGAGCTCGAGGTTTTGTTTGATATACCTGGAGGGAGGGTTGAGGGTATTTGACATGTATATACCCTAAACCTAATGAGTCAAATAATTATCTTTAATTTGTAATTAATACATTCCCTGATTAAGGTGAGTAGTATGAATGAAAGTGGAAAACTGAACGCAGCCGTAAGTATCACACATGTCTCAGAAATGCAGTAGAATTTTGCTTTTGGAAGGAATAATAGACAAAATTAAATTTCTTTATTTTAGAGAGGAGCAAAGTGAGGCCCAGGAAGGCATAAGGGTAACATCTCAGTCATTGGTGGAATTGGGAATATACCCCAACATTTAATCCATTAGCTCTTATAGCTTTCTCTCAATAATAGCATGTACTTTTATTAGAAACAATATTCAGAACGGCAAAGACTCTCTTAAACTGGAGTAGTTCTGTT
This sequence comes from Homo sapiens, assembly GCF_000001405.40. Classification (NCBI taxonomy): domain Eukaryota; kingdom Metazoa; phylum Chordata; class Mammalia; order Primates; family Hominidae; genus Homo; species Homo sapiens. The sequence continues at coordinate 69,461,643 of NC_000008.11, read as the reverse complement.
TTCTTGGCGCTATATAATTTGAGAAGTCAGTGTGAATTTAGATGCACAAAATACCTATAGACACGCAGTATTTCTTCTTTTTTATGTCTTTATGTAGTATTTCTTCTTTAAGCCATCAGAGTGCTTAAAAGGCATGAGAATTGTTAGGCCGATGTAATAATAAACACAACAGAGCTTTACTTAATAATTATTAGATAATGTGATTTTTTTTTTCTTATAGCCACATTTTATTGTAAAAAGTAGAGTAGATCCCAGGGGATACATCACTTCCCTTTCTTACTTTTATGTATTTTTTTCAATACTTCAGATTTGGGATTTTGGGGTATCTCAATGAGATTAATGCTATATAGATTTTGGAAGAGACAAACATCTCATCCTGAACTGAAAATTTTTCTTGCCAGACAATTAGAATACAGGGCAGGAACACGCCTCACTTATTTACCTAATGTTTGGGAAATTAACAAGGGCACGTTGCCCCTCAACCGGGATCAAGTCTTAAAAAGTTAACACTGCTTTTCTGACATTTATTTGAAATGTTTTAATGTAAAGCTAAGTCTCAGACGAGTTGAAGAAATAAAAACTTTAGCAGCAAAATCATAATCATTGAACCAACACGGCAGAAAATAATAGAAAGATGGATACAAAGGGCAAAAGAAATACTGTTAAAAAACACAAACGAAAAACTGTCAGTGCAAGAAAAGGAGGAGAGGGGAAAGTTTCTTTTAGGCCTCAAAGGCAATTTACTTTAAAACCTTAAAACTCTTTGGGGGCAGAAACCGTATCTTATCATCTTTGCTTCCTTTCTCTCTAGAATTTAGCATAACGCATTTAAATGATAGGTCTTCAACACAAGTTTCCAGTGTCAGTGGGTTGCTTGTCTTGGGAGAATTTACACGTGCTGCTTCTGGAACGACATGTTCAGCCTGTCTAAAAAGATTAAGTGACTTTTGAAATCAGTTTGCTGTAGGCTCTTACTTCTGAGTAAACTACTTGCTAAGTACATAGCTCTTCAGAAGCAGAATGCAGTCCCTTGACATACTTTCCTTTCTCATTTTAAGGAAGGTAATGTAGGTCTAGCACTCACTCAACACTACCAGGAAGTAAGTACTTGTGTAAAAGTTTCTGAGTAACATATGGAAAACAGCTGGCCACTCAAACTTACTACTATTACTGTCTTTACCAAGAAACCAGGGCTTACAGATGTTTAAAAAATGTTCATTTCCATGGACATAAAGATGTTCTTTAAGTCAGCCGCAATGCCTGGTTGCTTACTCAGTAGGCCGATGTATTTCTGCAAGCTAAATGGAAGGTGGGATTGTGTTAGATTCTTTTAGGAAGATATCCTACGTATTGACATTATCAACCTATCTGTATGGTAGTCAGTCATCACACACTAGGATATGCTAAAAAACAACTTTATAAAGTAGAAAACTGATATTTTTCTCTTGATAGTTATAAAATGTAGTTTGCTTATTATTTTGACAACCATGATTTTTTCAGACTGTCAAAAGGGCAGTGACAATATTTTTGCAGTTGCTTTTACAGACAGATTTGTCAAGTATTTTCCAACAAACTTAAAAAAAAGGGCACCCCTAAGCGAGTGTTAACTCTTTCTTATGTTAAACGGCTCTTTCTAGTTTAACTTAACAAAAGCTTTGATTTCAAGTGTAAATATGTCAGAAGCTAGTTGAAGTAGTTTATTTCCCCTCTCCTTTGCATAAATGCAGATTTTTAATTAATGGATTAATTGCCTTTAATGTCATCAGTTACAATATTAAAGCCAGAAACTCTAAGACAATACACCTTTGAGGTTCATTACCATGGTTCTTATTTATTTTGAAAACAAACAGAATTAATCTAAAACATCTATTCTCTAAAAGAACTTTTTGGATTTTATTTTTTAAGTGTATTAATGTTCTCCTGCTGAAGGAAACCTTGCAAACATTGGCATAGCTCTTAATGGATTATAAAGATATTGTTTGTTGTTCTTGACTCTTTATTCCCAGGCATATCCCCCCAAAATAACTGTTTCTTCTTCCAAATTTTTACCATAATAAAAATAATAATAGCTAATAATTTTGGAACTGTCACTGTGAATGAGACTTTTTAATGTATTTACCCCAGCTAATTTCATTAACATTCACAATACTCCAATAAGGAAGGTCTTAATAGGATCTGTATTTTACAGACAAGAGAACTGAGGTTTAGAAATATTAAATGCGTTACTTAAGGTCAAACATCTGGCAAGAAGCCGAGCCTGAAATTGAACTCCTACCTTCAGAGTTTATCTCACTAATGAATGTGTCCTTTATTAAACCCTCTAATTCCTGTTTATAAAAATTTTAAGGGGGTAAAACCATCATCAAAAGTCTCTATTACTTTACTACAGCCTAACTGTCCTCATGTTATTTGCATGATTATACAGTAAAAGGGAGAGATTTCTGCAAATTGTAGAAATAACTCCCCGTTTTTGCTCTGAAATGAGAGACACAAGTGAACGCTAAAGAAGAATTTTCCTATAACTATCTGTGTCTTGCATTCAATGGGCGGGGTCTCCTTTCTGCACCACACCAGCCCAGTGAAACTGGAATGCTTGGACCCAGCAGGTGCTTAGGTGATATTACATAGCATCGAGACAGGAAAGTCCACCTACTTACCCTTGAGATCCCTACATTGGGGCCTTGGTTGCCTTTCATTTCTCTAAGCCTCTACATGTTTTGCAGGGCCTACTAGCTACATGTATTTGATTTTTAAAAATACGGCAAATATCCCCATGGCAGTCTTAATCATTTCTGACTCCTTTAATTAATCCCAAGGGAATTTAAGTTGGCCTCCATTACTTTCTCAGGACAATATCATGAGTTCTAATACCTAAAATATGTTTGATATCTGTTTAAACCACTGTGAACTCAATTATGGGATTAGAAATTAGATTTAAAAGTAGCCAAAAGGGGACGGGCTTGGTGGCTCACGCCTGTAATCCCAGCACTTTCGGAGGCCCCGGCGGGCGGATCACGAGGTCAGGAGATGGAGACCATCCTGGCTAACACGGTGAAACCCCTTCTCTACTAAAAATACAAAAAATTAGCCGGGCGTGGTGGCGGGCACCTGTAGTCCCAGCTACTCGGGAGGCTGAGGCAGGAGAATGGTGTGAACCCGGGAGGCTCTGGGCGACAGATCGAGACTCCGTCTCAAAAAACAAAACAAAACAAACAAACAAAAAAACAGTAGCCAAAGGGTAAATATAAATGGTTACAGCATTTTTAAAAAACACTATCTACAGCTTTAATTTTTTTTCTCAGAAATATTTTTTAAATGATTTGTTGCTGGGCGCGGTGGCTCACGCCTGTAATCCTAGCACTTAGGGAGGCCGAGATGGGTGGATCACAAGGTCAGAAGATGGGGACCACGCTGGCCAACACGGTGAAACCCCGTCTCTACTAAAAATACAAAAAAAATTTAGTTGGGCGTGCCTGTAATCCCAGCTCTAGGGAGGCTGAGGCAGGAGAATCACTTGCACCCGGGAGGTGGAGGTTGCAAGTGCGCCTAGATGGCGCCACTGCACTCCAGCCTGGGCGACAGAGGAGACCCCTTAAGTAAATGATTTGCCGAAATAAGTTAAAAAATTTTGATATGGTACTCTACCTACCACTTTTATTGCCCTGCCAATATCACGTAGGATATGAATTTAAGTTGCTTATTTTCCTAGGGGAAATACTTCATTTTTCATAGTCTCCTTTATTGACAAAATTTTAAAAAAAATGCTTTTCCAAAATAAAATATATCTGAGACACAATTTATAAAGTATCTCAATGGACTTAGGAAAGTATACTTTAGCATTTAAGCATGAAGTCAATCATAATTTTTGTTGTTTGTTTAGAGACAAAGTTGCTCAAGCCCAGGCTGGAGTGCAGTGGTGCTATGGGCTCACTGCAACCTCCGCCTCCAGGGTTCAAGCGATTCTCCTGCCTCAACCTCCCAAGTAGCTGGGACTACAGGCATGCGCCACGACGCCAGCCTAAATTTTGTATTTTTAGTAGAGAAGGGGTTTTGCCGTGTTGGCCAGGCTGGTCTCTAACTTCTGACCTCAAGTGATCCGCCCACCTCAGTCTCCCAAAGTGCTAGGATTGCAGGTGTGAGCCACTGTGCCAGCTGAATGAAATATTTTCTAGAAAGAGCCATGTGAATAAATGTAGGGTCTTTTTTTTGGAGAAAGTAAGTTAAAATCAAATAAATCAGTAGACTTGAATTCAAGAGACGTTTATTTTTAGAGAAAAGCCCTCTCAGGGCATCTGCTGGTATAAAGTTCCAAATATCCCACATGTGGAGAGCTCACAAAGGAAGACGCTTCCAAATCCCTATTTTCTGATCATCTTTTACAACAGAAACATTAATCAAGTATTTATATTTTGCAATCTTGGAAAGCAAAATCTTTAGAAGGACAACAGTGTATTTTATTATTGGCTTAAATGCTACGGTTAGCTACTCTTTAGTGTATTATGTAATCACAATTATCAGATACTAAGCTCAAAGAGTCAGAGTCCCTTTGTCACAGATAGCCATGGCTGCAAGGCAGGAAATCAATCAGGAGAGAAATATAGAATTAAGTGGAAAAACACATTGGGCTCTATATTAATGCAGGCTGTTTGAATCTCATTAAAATGAATTCAATATAATATCAAACTCAAAATAGAAGCCCAACCTTCTAGGGGAGAGAGAAAAAGACTGCTTAGACAGTCTTTAACGAAGGGACATTTGGTGTTTGAAATTGTTCAGGTGCTTCTTCTCATCCACACTCTTAAGTCTCTGAATTTGAAGCCCTGAGAATCGCTGTGAAAACCTTGGAATTCTGGCTGGGTACAGTGGCCCATGCCTGTAAACCCAGCACTTTGGGAGGCCTAGGCGGCTGAATCATTTGAGGTCAGGAGTTCGAGACCTGCCTGGCCAACATAGTGAAACCCCATCTGTACTAAAAATACAAAATTAGCCAAGCATGGTGGTGCATCCCTGTAATCCCAGCTACTTGGGAGGCTGAGGCATGAGAATCACTTGAACCCAGGAGGGAGAGGTTGCAGTGAGCTGACATTGCACCACTGCACTCCAGCCTGGATGGCAGAGTGAGACTCCATTTCAAAAAACAAACAAAAAAAAACAACCTTGGAATTCGATATGATCTGAGAGTTATAAAGTAGAAATTTGGAGGCCTGTTCTTAACAGAAAACTGATCTTAACAGCCAACTCTTAGCATGGTTGACTTCTATCTATTATCTGAGATTTTTCTGATGAAGATTTAGCTGGTTTAATAGGTGTAGTTTTAAAAATGAGAAATACTTGCCCGTTATTCCTCAGAGAAGAAATTCCTGACTCATGATGAGGGTATTGGAGCTAGCATGGAAGAGGCACTGAAAGGAGGGTAGAGGGTAGGGACGGTGGGCGAGGCAGGAAGGGGAGTGGAAAGACTGAAGATAAAATCTTTAGCTATCCCCAATTAGAATCGACCTTATCACTAAGCAAGGGAACAAACTCTGAGACTTCTTGTGACATATTTAGTACTGCATAATTTAGTTACAGGACATATCAATCAGGCTTCTGACACTTGTCTCAGAGATAACCACATTTATAACATCCTGCCATTGGGAAAGGGTTTTCATAGTTTCTAGACACCAGGAATCCAAAGTGACTAGGACACTCTGTGTCTTATATATTATTCATGCAAGATTTAAAAATATAAATTAGCCTAAAGTTCATGTTAGCAATATACTTTATAAACATTCAGTCAGTTCCCAAAGTCTTGCTGTATACCCTTGAAAATTAATGCACTTTCAATTTATAAATATTCAGGCGGTTTCTAAACTCTTCGTACATAACCTGAAAATTAATGTGCTTTCTCATCTCTCTTAGCTTTCTTCTTTGATTCTCACCTCTGCGGTAGTGTCTGGGGACCAGGTTTTGCAGACCCCTGCTGGTGATGAGGGAGGAAGATAGGTTGGGGAAAAGTTTCTGGCACATTAAAAAAAAAATGGGGCCAGGTACCGTGGCTCACCTATAATCCTAGAGTTTTGCGAAACTGAGACAGGAGGATTGCTTGAGGCCAGGGGTTTGAGACCAGCCTCGGCAACATAGTGAGACCTAGTCTTTGCAAAAAGTTAAAAAAGTTAGCAGGTCATGCTGGCTTGCTCTTGTAATCACAATGGTTTCCTGTTCTCCCGGCATGAAATTATTTTTTCTCTCCAATCATCATGAACTGCCAAGTCCAAATCAAGCCTGTAACTAAGACTACATCTCCTCCCACCTAGCTGAGCTTTCTAAGTCATCAAGACGCCGGTTATTCAGGAGGCTGAGGTGAGAGGATCACTTGAGTCCAGGAGTTCAAGGCTGCAATGGGCTATAATTATGCCACAGTAATCCAGTCTGGGCAACAGAGCAAGACTGTCTCAAAACTCAAAAAAAAAAGGAGACTGCCATAACCTAATACTTCCTTGTGGAATATATTATGTGTTTACATTTGAAAATGTATGCTTGTAACCAACAAATATGTAATGCAATATAATTGTACCACTCACACTGTGATTATAAGATTTATTAGAAATAATAATTTCTAGTGCACAACAGGGAGCATGGGCTAGAAATAGGACACATGTTTAAGTTCAGTAACAAATATCTTTTTCTGAATCTTTCAGAGTACCTCTGGGTCAGTGAATGTAATAGAATTTGTAGATACTACAAATGGCTAAATTTGGGTCTATTTGTTGTTGTAAAGTTTGGGCCTGTTGCAGAACAAGGCCATGCGCAGCTAAGGAAAAGGACATATGAAAAGTGTCAAGATGGGGAGGTAAGCAGGGAAAGGGGAGACAGAGAAAGAGATGAGGGGAGAGAAAGATTAGAGTTTGAGGTCCACTAATTAGAGAAAGTTCAGAATTCAAGTGGATTGGCAAGAGGCCAGGAGTCATGATGCTCTAGAGAGCTCAGCTAGGTGGGAGGAAATGGAGCCTTGGTAACAAGCTTGGATTGGACTTGGGGGTTCATGATGACTGGAGAGAAAAAATAACTTCATGCCAAGAGAACAGAAAACCATTGCAGAATCTGGAAGAGGTGTGTGCATTTGCTTAACTAGTATATGACGGCTGTCAAGCCAGCAGCTTTCTTCTCGCTGCCTTGATTTTAAGCACTTTCCTGGAAATGGTGGGTAAAGACTAAGAGGACCAGAATTTTAGTACAGACTGAATGAAGTGGCATTCCTGGGCAGGAGCTCAAGATGAGAGCAGCAAGCGCTGTTCCCCAGATAGGCTGATTCCAGGAGCTGGGAATGAGGGCCAGTGTTTAACATGCTGGCGTGTTTCCAGAACATACACACTTTCCTCTTGCCTATCTGTAGAACTCCTATTTATCCTGGAAAATCCTGCTCACATACCACTTCTGAGAATATTCTCCACCCTCATAGACAGAGACAAGTGTGCCTTTCTTTTCTCTGCTGATTTTATTCATACCCCCATTATTGTATTTAATGAGGCAGAATCTGTGCACACTGTTGTCTCCTCAAGACAGTGAACTCTTCGAGGGCCAGAGCAGTTCTTACACTTTTGGGCTCCTCAGTGTGTATGGCAATGAATACCCACCTGCAAAGGGGCTTTCTGAGGGTCATAAAATCAAAAAGGAGGGAGCCTGTGACAGTTATCTCACCCCTGGGGTTGGCAGGAGTGGAGTTTGTGGAAGACAGAACATTGTGGATAATAGAGCTGCTTTGATATTTTTCAATTGTTACTCTATTGGGACTACTGCCCTAATTATGAGAGACTGATATAGAGCACAATAGAAAGGTAAATGCTCACTAATTTGGGAAGCAGGTAATCTTAGTTCTTTGCTGCTACCAGTTGTTTGAGTGAGCCTGGGTGAGTTACTTTATATATCTGGGCCTTGGTTTTCCCATCTGTAAAATGAAGATGTTAGAACACTTCGAGGTCCAGTTTAATGTCTTCTGCTACACTTAAGGACCCTCCGCTAGGCAGCCACATACTATTGAAGTGTGGCTTCCAGATTCCCCAGAAGTAATCCTGGGAGCCTTCACTTTCAGGCAATTCCTATATTTACTTCATTCTGATGTTGCAGACCCAATGTGATGGGAGAAGTGCAGATGGCACCCAGATTGCAGAGCTCTTTTTCCTTTTTTTCTTTTGAGGCAGGGTCTTGTTCTGTCACCCAAGCTGGAGTACAGTGGCACGATCTTAGCTCACTGCAAGCTCCACCTTCCAGGCTCAAGCAATCCTCCCACCTCAGGCTCCCAAGTAGCTGGGACTACAGGAGTGCACCACCTGTAGTGCATTCCTGTATGTGTGTGTGTGTATATATATATGTATATATTTTTTTTTTTTTTTGATAGAGTCAGGGTTTCATCATGTTGCCCAGGCTGGTCTTGAACTCCTGGGCTCAGGTAATCCTCCCATCTCGGCCTCTAAAAATGCTGGGATTACAGGTGTGAGCCACCGCACCCAGCCACTTGCAGAGCTCTTAAAACCACAACTCTTGAGTTGTCTTTGGGCACCCTGTTGTGTGATTCTATAGAACTGTACTCCTTGCTGGTCCTTTAAGCTTGAGGCTGGCCCTGCTGACAGTCTGTGAGGGGTCATGACTATCTTGAAATGTATCCTTTATTCCTTCTTTTCCCCTATCTTAGTAGTTGGGGAATCAGCATGGACCCAGGCATCATGTAGAGGTTTGTGTTGGCTCTGGCATTTTCTCTGTTTAGTGCAACAGATTTGATGATCTCCCAAATCCTTTCTGTGCAAACATGCTGTAGTTTCAGGCAAGCTACCGAGGCCTGTGTGCAGGATGGATTTAGAGGCCTGCCAGGAGCTGTCACAGGCACTGAGGCGCGAGGTGTTGAAAACCTGAACAGGGGGGTTGGCAGTGGGGATGGAAGGGTGCAGATGGATACAAAGACCATTTGAAGGAAAAATCAACACAATTTAGTGACTAACGGGAGATCCTGGATGAAGGAAGTGAGTGAAAGATGACTACAACCTTTCAGAGTTGGGATTGCACTAAGCTGGCTATGTGGCTTTAAAAACTCACTCATACTCCTTGGGTTTCAGATTCTGTAAATTAAGATAACTGGTGAAACAGGTACAATAGTAAAGTGGTAGATGGGGATTGTTTTTGGGGAGGAATTGTGAATATGTTAAGTAAGAATTGATGGTGAGGTATTCCAGTAGAATTATCCAAGAAGAATTAGAATTCCCATCTCCAAGCTCAGCAGCGAAGTGTGAACTAAACATACAAATTGGGTGACGGCATGTGGAAAGTGGAATCTTCTTGGGGAGGAAGAATATAAACAGTAGGTCCGTGCCCAGGGACTAGTTTGGAAGAAGCACTTCTTTTTGGCATGGAAGAGTCTGGGAAAGTTTTAGAAGACCTGATTGCCTGTATAATCAAGTATTAAGAGTTGTCCAAAAAAAAAAAAAAAATCTGGGTAGTTTGTTCTCACAATAAATAAGCTTCTCTTCTCTTCTCTTCTCTTCTCTTCTCTTCTCTTCTCTTCTCTTCTCTTCTCTTCTCTTCTCTTCTCTTCTCTTCTCTTCTCTTCTCTTCTCTTCTTCTCTTCTCTTCTCTTCTCTTCTCTTCTCTTCTCTTCTCTTCTCTTCTATTTCCTGGGTGAAGTTTTGCTCTTGTTGCCCAGGCTGGAGTGCAGTGGCACAATCTCAGTTCACTGCAACCTCTGCCTCCCAGGTTCCAGCGATTCTCCTGCCCCAGCCTCCCAAGTAGCTGGGATTACAGGCATCTGCCACCATGCCCAGATAGAAATGGGGTTTCATCATATTGGCCAGGCTGGTCTCAAACTCCTGACCTCAAGTGATCCACCTGCCTTGGCCTCCCAAAGTGCTGGGATTACAGGCATGAGCCACTGTGCCCGCCCAAGAGTCCCCTTTTATCTTGGTTTCTTTGTCTTTATCTCTTTGTTTCTGTGTGTTTCTCTTTCCTTTTACTTCTGCTTCTCCTTCTCTTCTTTTTTTAATTGTAGTATACACATATGCATAACAAAATTTATCATTTTAGCCATTTAAAATTGTATAATTCATTGACATTTAGTACATTCATTATGTTGTATAACCATCTTCACTATCTAGTTCCAGAACATTTTTATCACCCCAAAAGGTAACCCCAAACCTATAAAGCTATTTTACTTCCCATTCTCCCCTCCCCACACCCCCTGGCAAGCACTAATCTGCTTTCTGTGTCTATGAATTTACCTGTTCTGGACATTTCATGTAAATGGAATGGAATATGTGGTCATTTGTGCCTGGCTTACTTCACTTAGGATAATGTTTCAAGGTTCATCCACACTGTAGTGTGTATTAGTATTTCATTTCTGTTTATGACTGAATAATATTCCATCCTATGGATATGCCACAGTTTGTTTATCCATCTGTCTGTTGATGGACATTGGATTTTTTTCTACCTTCTGACTATAATAAATAATATTGTTCTACACATTTGTGTACAGGTTTTGTGGGGGCATATGTTACCCTTGGGTACTTACCCAGGAGAAGAATTATTGGGTCATATAACAGTTTTATCTTTGACTTGTTGAAGAACCATCAGACTGTTTTCCACCATGGCTGTATCATTTTATATTCCCACAAGCAATGTATCAGGGTTCCAGTTTCTCCATATCCTCATGAATGCTTATTATTATTATTATTATTATTATTATTATTATTATTATTTGAGGTGGAGTCTCGCTCTGTTGCCCAGGCTGGAGTGCAAAGGCACGATCTCAGCTCACTGCAAGCTCCGCCTCCCGGGTTCACGCCATTCTCCTGCCTCAGCCTCCCGAGTAGCTGGGACTACAGGCACCCGCCAACATGCCCAGCTAATTTTTGTATTTTTAGTAGAGACAGGGTTTCACCATGTTAGCCAGGATGGTCTCGATCTCCTGACCTCATGATCTGCCCGCCTTGGCCTCCCAAAGTTATTATTTTTAAATTGTAGGCATCTTGCAGGGTCCAGAGGGTATGTCATTGTGGCTTGGATTTGCATTTCCTTGATAGCTAATGGCATTGAGCATCTTTTCATGTGCTTTACTATCTAGTTCCAGAACATTTATTTATCTTTGGAGACATGTCTATTCATGTCCTTGCCCATTTTTAAATTGGGTCGCTTACTGAATTGCAAAAGTTCTTTATATATTCTGGATATTCCCACTGGGCTTATCCTTCAGAGCCCAGCTCAAAAAGGGAAGTGGGAGACATCCCACTCTACACATTTGCATACAAGGTTTTGGGTGAACATGTATTTATCGAAGACCTGAAGTGGGAGAAGTCTCGCTTCCCTTTTTGAACTGGACTGTGAAGGATAATTGGAAGTTAACTTGGTGACTAGTCCTGAGAAGACCTTTCCAGGCAGAGAGCATAGTACGTACCTGCTGTATTTGTCATCTTGGGCTGCCATAACAAAATCTGGTAGCATAGGTGGCTTACACAACAGAAATTTATTTTCTAACAGTTCTAGAGGCTGGAAGATCAGGGGACCAGCATAATCGGGTTCTGGTGAGAGTACTCTCCTCCTGGCTTGTAGACAGCTACCTTATCTCTATGTCCTCACATGGAAGAGAAAGAGAGAGAGAGAACCCTTTGGTGTCTCTTCTCACAGGGCACTAATTCCATCATGAGGACCCTGGCCTCTTGACCTAATCTAAGCCTAATTAGCTCCCAAATGCTCCATTTCCAAATACCATTCCATTGAGGGATAGGGTTTCAACATGTGAATTTGGAGGAACAGACACATTTAGTCCATACACTTGGCAAGGCTTTGTGGAGGAAAGGGGCGTGGTTGAGTGAGGCACTGAAGCTAGGTCTCTGCTGGATCCTAAAAAGCATTGAGAAGGCTGGTGAGGCTGGTGGGGGCAACACAGGAGCATGAAGAGTGAAGAGCAGACCTTCTCAGTCCTTGTCTTGGGTAGAAATCACCTGTGATCTTGTAAAAATTCAGACTCTGATTCAGTAGTTCAGAGAGGGAGTAGAGGTTCTATATTTCTAACAAATTCCCAGGTGATACGAAGGACATAACCACATCGAAGTAGCAAGGACATAAAGCTCCAAAGGGCCTGCTAAGGACAGTAATATTTTCTAAGAGAAAGAAAAGTTATTGAATGGTTTTAAAAAGGAGAGTGACAAGATCAAGTTTTTGAAAGATCACTCTAGTTGCTCAGTGGGAAAAATACTGGAATGGGACAAAAAATTGGGGGAAAGAGTTAGTAGTTGAATTGATTATGGTTAAGTAAATTAAAGTCTGTATATTCATGTGACAGAATGCTCTATAAACACAATGGTTATGAAAACATTTTCATGACATGGAAAAATATTTGTGACATAATACTAAATAAACAGAAATCAAAGTTATATATACAAATTGGTTTCAATGTTGTATAACAATGTGTGTATGAGGAAGCAAATGCAACAGTTTGTTAACAGAGACTCTTGGGAGGTTGGATGATGGTTGATTTTTTTCCCTTTATTTATGTTTTTTCCTGTATCAGTTCTACCATTCTCATTCTGATATTTTATTTGTTTAGATTATTTTCCAAACAGCCACTGAACATTACTAAAGTTGTCAAAAACCTGAAGATTTGTATCTGTGAATCTTAAATAAAACTCTACAAAACCGCAGCTCTAATACAGTAAACAGAAATCCCGGTCGAGCTCATTTCCTGGCCCCTCTGACGGTACCATGCTGTTGCTGGTTGTCAATTTCACACATGCAATTTCTATCCATTCAGAGCTGACAGCTTGGATTTCCCCCTCCATTGTAATAGCTGTTCTGTCTCCTGGCTTCCCTAGGCTTGCATTTGGTAACCTTTGCCCTTTTATTTGGTACGAGCCAAAATGGCATCTTTGGAAAACTAATGTTCCAGAGAAAATGGTAGCACGAAGCCATATAACCTACTGTTCTTTTTCTTTCTGTTTGGGAAGGTTATTATTAGAGCTCATTTTAGAGAATTTCAAATCCATTCAAAGTATCATGGGTTTAAATTTTTCTAATGGAAGCAAAGCTTTTGATGTTTGGGTTTAGAAAGCTGCCTGGTCTCTTTAGAGTTCAAATTTTCATACACTGGAACAATTGATCAAAGATTTTATTTTAGGACAGAGAGAAAAGGCAATTTACTTTACCTATAGTTGTTTTGTGTTCTCAACATTATTATTACACAATTTTTTTTTTCTGAACCATCTCCCTGTTTGAAGATCTACTTTTTAACTAACATATTGGCTTCACCTTCTTTTTGATCAGTCTGATAAGCCATCTGGAAACAATTGAGAGTGACGTCACAAGTCCAGCATTATGATTTCAATGTAGGATCAAAGAATAGAAGGGGAAAAAATGAGGAGTGGAAAAGCTCGATTTAACCTTTAAGTACAGATAACTATCAGGGTATGAAAAGGCAAGAAAACATGACAAAATGAAAGGATTATTGATGGGCAATAAAGGAAGCGTAGTAGGTTTACCTTGAGATTTCACTGAGCTAATATACTGGCTCCCATTTCTATGTTTATTGTAGGAAAAAGAGAAAAACACTAATCCAGGGATAGAGCTGACTAGGGATGCCCAAGTCAAAAAGACTTTGTAGCACTGGGCTTGGCAGAGGGTCCTGAAGCTAAATGCAGAAAACTGCGGGAAATGTCTTCAACTGGGGCTAAAGGTCGTAAGCAAGGACAATGAACCTGGAATTTGGAGGAATTCATACTCCAGTGAAGAATTTCCAGACCCCTCATGAAAATAGCAGATTGCCTACTCACCAGAGAATACTCAAGCTGAAACTAAGCAGCCCCTGGAGGGTAAGCAAATGATTAGAAGGGTAGATTTCAGGCAAGCAAAAGGGTGAGAGCCCAGAATCTCCATGTGAATGACCCTAAAATTACAGGTAATATAGGAAGTGGCTTCCTTGTACCTCTAGAAATTGAACTCTCAGAACCTGACTGACAGTCTGCTCTTAAGAACATTACCTCAATCTGGAGAGAAATGTGTGTTTCCTCTCCTATATGGATTTCAGACAGAAGCAGAAGGAGGTGAGTGAATTTCAGGAAGGATGTTGGGTCTGGAAAGCTATAAAAGCTTTTCTTTGGAGAAATCAGAGACCAGCAACTCCAAATTCTTTTTTATTGTTATTTAAATCAACAACACTGTATTTTCCAGAATTATCAGCAAATATACTGTAGTTCTATATTTTATCTATAAAGGTGATTTATTTAAAACATCCTTGAATGCTATTTAATTTTAATATCTTTGCCAAGTACCTTTCTACCAATAAATTTATACATTTTAAAAATTATTATGAGGTCGTATGTTCCAATTTGAATTTGGAAAATATAATTACTATACTAGCTCATGAACTCCTTTGGTTACCAAGCTATGCCCAAAAAATTTTCCTCTACATTAGTCACTCTTATCAAGATTGAAGTTACTCAACTATTTAAGTAATTCTTATCTAATATAACAATTCTCACAGTAAAGTGAGGGCATTTCCAACCCTTGATTTTCTGTTGCCTCTCCTTATTTAACTATAATATGACCCAAATGAGGCATCAATAAAATCTTATTATTATTATTTGTTTTTTTTTAGAGATGCTGTCTCACTATGTTGCCCAGGCTGGGCTCAAGCAATCTCCCTGCCTCAGCCTCCAGAGTGGCTACTACTCCAGGTGTTAAAGGTTGCTATGCCCAGCCCAGGATCTTATTTTTTAATATTATTGTGCAGTGGCACGATCATAGCTCACTGCAGCTCCAATCTCTCAGGCTCAAGGGATTCTCCTGCCTTAGTCTCCCAAGTAGTCAGGACTACAGGGACTATAGGCATGCACCACCACACTCAACTTTCAAAAAAAAGTTATTTATTTTTATTTGTTTTAGTAGAGATGGGGTTTTGCTACATTGCCCAGGCTGGTCTCGAACTCCCGAGCTCAAGTGATACCCCCACCTCGGTCTCCCAAAATGCTGGGATTACAGGGGTGAGCTACACCACGCCTGGTCTCAGAATCTTATTTTTTAAAGTGAAAAAGCAAGTGGTCATATCTACGAAAAAAAAGTCATTAAAAAAGAACATACACATAACCAAATTCTGCTGCCCTCACTTTATTGTGAGAATTGTTTTCATACTACATATTTGCTTGTATGCTGCTGCCAGTGTACCTAAAATAATTACCCTTGTGAAATAGAAATTCATGAAAATTCAGAGAGGTAGATGTGAAGGACTGAAAAGGTGTAAGTTTGTATATTATGGCACATATGTTATAGGGATAAGTTTTTGTACAGGCTTCAAATTTCTAGCTCTCTTTTGAATATTCACTGGTTCATGAGAAGTGGTTTGGGAAACCTTTGAAAGGTCCATTTGACCACAAAAGGGAACAGACGTTCTGGAGTCTGGAGAGTTTTGTACTCGAAGATACCCCAGTCAGCAGGAAGTCATGTGGAACATTCTGCAGACAGAATTGTTTCAAGTTTGAAGATCCCTGGGATACTTTGATGAAGTTGAGCCCAGCCTTCAGCCAGAGCTGTTGAAGCCCTTTCTTTATAGCAGCAAGGCTGGGGGAACCAGATATGACTCAGGCCAGAGCCGAGCCAATCTGTGGGGTGGTGGCTTGTGGGTCAGTGGGACCAGACAGTGGGGCAATGTGTGGCCTTGATGTGATAATTTTTAAAAACATTCAGGCTTTAGAATCATTTTCAACACAGTACCCTAGGAGCCACTAACAATTGACTGGAGTTTGCATTTAAGTTCAAAAAGCATTTGTCATCCTGGCCTGAGATGAAGAACATATCATTTTTGTCGACAATTTTGGAGGATATATGTGATTTTATTTATACATGGAATGATTTCATATTTTTGCTTAGCACAATTATAAATTCATAAACATTCCCAGTTTACAAATGTCCGATTTGTAGGTTGTTTAAAACTCATAACCTGGCCGGGCGCGGTGGCTCACGCCTGTAATCCCAGCACTTTGGGAGGCCGAGGCGGGCGGATCACGAGGTCAGGAGATCGAGACCATCCCGGCTAAAACGGTGAAACCCCGTCTCTACTAAAAATACAAAAAATTAGCCGGGCGTAGTGGCGGGCGCCTGTAGTCCCAGCTACTTGGGAGGCTGAGGCAGGAGAATGGCGTGAACCCGGGAGGCGGAGCTTGCAGTGAGCCGAGATCCCGCCACTGCACTCCAGCCTGGGCGACAGAGCGAGACTCCGTCTCAAAAAAAAAAAAAAAAAAAAAACTCATAACCTGTGGGCTAGGCGTGGTGGCTCATGCCTATAATCCCAGCACTTTGGGAGGCCAAGGTGGGTGAATCATGAGGTCAGGAGTTTGAGACCAGCCTGGCCAACATGGTGAAATCCCATCTCTACTAAAAACACAAAAAATTAGCTGGGCATAGTGGTGGGCATCTGTAATCCCAGCTACTCAGGAGGCTGAGGCACGAGAATCACTTGAACCCAGGAAGCGGAGGTTGCAGTGAGCCGAGATTGTGCCACTGCACTCCAGCCTGGGCGACAGAGTGAGACTCCTTCTCAAGAAAAAACAAAAACAAAACCCTCATAACCTATGAAAACAACAGTGGCAGTGGGAGGACAAAAGAAAGGAGACAGAGGACAGAGTATGTTTATCTGTATCTGTCAGCACAGCAAAATACTTCATAACCAAATCTCATAGAGTCTGATGCTTCTGGCTTCAACTTGCTACTTCATCATGTATTAAAGCTGCGTGACTTCTTTTTTTTTTTTTTTAAATCTGGTTCCTTCATTTGTAAAATGGGGTGCTTTTCAAAATTAAATATGGCAGCTTAAGCAAAACACTGCTTAGTACATAGTGCATACTAAGACCTCCATAAGAGTTAGCTTTGATTAACAGAGATATTTCTGTTCCTGGTGAATTGAAGAAAATCCTAGCCAATTCTCAACTTTTTTTTTTTAAATAGGATCCTTGGCAACTTAAATTTTTCTAATTAGACACCACCTGGATATCAGTGTGTACTAATGCAATGCAGGTGGTGCAAAAGGAAGTTTACTAAGAAATAGGAACCATTGGCCCTTGGCCCAGTTGGTTTTCAACAAATTGTTGAACAAGTTATTTACCTTTTCTGGGTTCTCAGTTGTTCATATGTAAAATTGTGGTTCTATAATGTTATGATATCAGGTGGTGTTATTTTAGAGGGATTTGCAAATTGGGAAATTAGTGAAGTAAGTTCTGTCTCCTTACTGATATCGCTCTTCTTTGATTCCCTCTCCTCTTCCTTTCCAGGCATGGACACACCCACCCAAGTCATTCAGGCTCAAGTCTAGTCTGTATTAAGTTAAAATGTTTATGTGAACACAAGAGAACTGAAAACATACATCCACACAAGAACTCATACACATATGTTCATAGTAGCACTTTGCATAATAACTAAATGATGGAAATGACCCAAATGTCCATCAACTAATGTATGGATAAATAAAATGTGGTATATCCATTCACTGGCCATAGAAGGGAATGCCATATTCACTGGCCATAGAAGGGAATGAAGTGATGATATATGCTACAACATGGATGAACCTTGAAAATATTGTGAAAAGTGAAAGAAGACAGACACAAAAGAACAAATATTGTGATTCTATTTATGAAAACTATCTAGAATAGACAAATCCATGGAGACAGAAACGAGATTAGTGGTTGCCAGCAACTGGGGGAGGGGGAGGTGGGGAGTTACTCTTAATGGGTATGAGGTTTCTTTTGAAGGTGATGAAATATTCCAAAATTCCAGAATTGATTGTGATGACAATTGCACAACTGTGTGAATATACTAAATACCTTTAAATTGTACATTTTAAAAAGATGAATTATACAATATGTGGATTATATCTCAATAAAGCTATTATTTCAAAAACAAATTCTATTTGAAAGATGCAGAAGACAAAATGGTGACTCATTTGGCTTCTAGTTGAGAATCTGAAGAACTTCCTGTGATACAAAACAAGCTTGTCTAAAAGGGTCTGTAAGCCAACATTGAGTCAGGAGATATATCTTTGGAATCTTCCATTAAGAACAAAAGAAATCATTTCTTAGGAAATAAAGACAAAACAAAGAGAGTATCTGAATTTTGTAATAGGATAGGAGGCAAATCGAAACTTTCACTGTAAAACTTAAGGTGAATAGTCAAATTCATGTCATGTGTTCTTAGGTTTTCCCTAGAGATAAATAAAAATAAATCAGCTTTGAGGATTCTGAGTGCTTACATTTGCTCCTCACTAAATGTATGTATGTATGTATGTATGTATTTATTTAGTTAGTTAGTTATCTTGCTCTGCCACCCAGGCTGGATTGCAGTTGCATAATCTCGGCTCACTGCAACCTCCGTCTCTCAGGCTCAAGCTATCCTCTCACCTCAGCCTCCTGAGTAGCTGGGATTACAGGCACGCGCCGCCACGTCTGGCTAATTTTTGTATTTTTAACAGAGATGGAGTTTCACCATGTTGACCAGGCTGGTCTCAAACTCCTGACCTCAAGTGATCCTCTCTCCTTGGCCTCCCAAAGTGCCGGGATTACAGGCATGAACACTGCTCCCGGCCCTCACTAAATTTAAAATGTCAAAATACTTTATTGTCTATTTCTAAAGATAAAATTTTCTACTAATAAAAACAACCCAAGTAATCTGTAAATTTATAAGCAATAGTCACCTTTTCTCTCTCTTGCAGACACACAAACATCAAATGCTAGCACCTCAGATTTCTGTTTTAGATTTTTTTTTTTTTTGAGATGGAGTCTCGCTCTGTTGCCCAGGCTGTAGTGCAGTGGCACGATCTCGGCTCACTGCAAGCTCCGCCACCCGGGTTCATGCCATTCTCCTGCCTCAGCCTCCCGAGTAGCTGGGACTACAGGCACCTGCCACCACGCCCAGCTAATTTTTTGTATTTTTAATAGAGATGGGGTTTCACTGTGTTAGCCAGGATGATCTCGATCTCCTGACCTCCTGATCCACCTGCCTTGGCCTCCCAAAGTGATGGGATTACAGGTGTGAGCCACCTTGCCCGGCCAATTTTTTTTTGAGACAAGGTTTTGCTTTGTTACCCAAGCTAGAGTGCAGTGGCACAATCGTGGCTCACTGCAGCCTTGACCTCCCAAGCTCGAGTGATCCTCCCACCTCAGCCTTCTGAGTAGCTAGGACTACAGCCGTGTGCCACCACATCTGGCTAATTTTTAAATTTTTTTTCATAGAGATGGGGTCTCTCTATGTTGCCCAGGCTGGTCTTAAACTCCTGGACTTACGGAATCCTCCCACCTTGGCCTCCCAAAGTGTTGAGCTTACAGGCTTGAGCCACCGTGCCTGGCCAGAATTTATTTTTGTTTGGAATCCTACCATAGATATTAAAATAAAGTTCACATGATTTTGCCTATATGAGTGTAGCAGACAGTTAAGAATCATCTATCTACTCATTAATGTTAAGTTCCTAAAGACCCTTCTGCAATTCTTATCACTAGCTTGTTCTAATTATTAGGCACAGTCCTTGCCTGCTGTGGCTAAGAAAAACAACCACAAAACTTCTTCAGAAACTAAAGAAGTCTTGCCCAGTCAGCAGATAAAGGCAAACACTGAGAAATAGGGAGATAACAGATTACCTTTACTGTCACTCTTCTCAAGAAAACTGGAGATAGAGGTGGGGTGGGAGGAGTCCCAAGCCCAGTGCCAGCTCTGAGGCACTGTCAGCTCCTGATTACCAAGGTAACTTGGACCTCTTCCTTCAACCTCTGCTGGCTACATGTGAGAAATCTCTCATCCTTAGGAATCTTGCCAATCGGGCCTCTGCCTCTTTGTTCATCCCAAGGAAGAGATATGTGGGCCTTGTAGCACACAGAGCCCTGTAGATAATATTCTCTTCTCCAAGTAAGAGAAAGGAGAGCAGGCGGGGCTCTAAGCGCCGTATATGTGTGTGTGTGTATATGTGTGTGTGTGTGTGTGTGTGTGTGCGCGCGCGCGCATGTTAGGAGCCTGAAATCATGGAATGAATTGGAATGAGATTGCAGCTATTTATATTTAAGAGGCAATTTTAATAGAAGCTGTGAAAGATTTCAGCAGTCAAAATGAAGAAAGAAGTTCAGACATGGAGATGGGAATGGCTGAATTGTCCACGGGGATTTTCTGCAGAATATGTCACCCAGTTAAACTCTCCTGTTAGAACAAGTTGTTTTGGGCACTTTCTCCCTACAGTTTTAAGTGACACACAAGTGCTGCTGAGAGTACAGCCTTTACTAAAGACCTTACTAAAGGCAGAGAAGAGGAAGCTGCCCGGGCAAGCGAGAGATAGTGGGAGCAAAGGAAATGAGACTTCTGACAGAAGAAAAAGGGAGCATTATTATGGCAAATACACAAAACATGACATTTACTATTTTAACTATTTTAAAGTACACAATTCAGTGGCATTAAGTAGGTTCACGATGCTGTGCAATCCCAAAGTTATATTTCAGAAAATTTGTCATCACCTCAAAAGGAAGCCCTGAACTTAGTAAGTCAGTCACTCCCCCTGCCCATTTCTCAAGTCCCTGGCAACTGCCAATCTGTTTCCTGTCTCCAGGGAAACTTGCAAACAAATGTCCATAGAAGCACTATTCACAATAGCCAAAAGGTTGAAGCAACCCAGATGTTCATCAATAAATGGATGGATAGACCAAATATGATCTATCTGTGCAAGGGAATAGCACTCGGCCACAAAAAGAATACACTACTACTGCCAATGGGTATGAGGTTTCTTTTTGGGGCAATGAAAGTGTTCTACAATTGATTGTGGTCATGGTTGTACAACTTTGTGAGTATACTTAAAAGCTTTTCACTTTAAATGGTTGAATCATATGGTACATGAGTTAATATTTCAACAAAGCAGCTTAAAAAGAAACTAAAAGAATGAAGTACCGACACACGCTACAACACAAATGAACCGCCAAAACACTGAGCTGCTCCATTTCTGCTCTTAGAGAGTGAAGGGATGGGCAGGGTAGTGGTGGGATATCACATAAGGGTCCACAGGCTTGGGACCTGGGAAGGGCCCCAAGGGACAGCACCATTCAGGCTGTCAGGTTATATTCCACCCAAGGAACCCAGAGGAGCCAACTAACTTCTACATAGGTTTATTTTACGAATTTTTTTCCAAGGGCTTTAAAATTTCCTAAAAGCAGGCAATAATTTAGGAGTTAGAGGAAGTTGGGAAAAATTAAACATGAAGGGTAGTCATCCCTGCCTTCTTTGATTTTTATGAGTCATCTTTCCTTGCCACCTCTCTCCTCTCCTCCCTTCCTGTCCTCCCTTCCACTCCCTCCTGTACACCAGCCCAGCCAGCTTGTCTCCTTTCTTTGGACTTGCTCTGTGATGTCTTCCTTTGCCTGTGCTCAAGTACACCTTGTATACTCAGACCCAGTCCAGTATCTGGTACAGAGTAGGCACTTAATATATGGCAGTTGAATGAAGGAAAGAATTATGAGTGAACAGATAAATCAAGTATTCTGCTTCTGGAAGTCAATGAACAGATAGACACTTAATCACGTCCCACCTCTCAAACTGCACTTTCCCAAAGCTCCAGATCCCTTCTCTGGAACAACTGTCTGTGTCCACTCCCCTGAAGCTCTCTGAACTTTTACGTTAGTGCTTATTTTACTCTCTTATATTTTGGGCCAGCAGTAAAGACCTTATCTTCATTCATCTTCATGTTTCCTATAGCCTTTAGTAGAGTGACATGCACAAAGATATACTCTTTAACATTCATTTCACTGAATTACCTTGAGAATGTACAAAGTAAAATAAAAATCTACCTAGTCTCCTCTTTCAGGTCTTTAAAATCCCTTTGTGGAACTTTCTGAGATACTTTCAGGCAAATCTATCCCTGTCCTGTCCTCTAATGACACATTTGATATTCTTTTCCTCGGGCAGCTGGGGGATTTGTAATTTAATGTTCCCCCTGAGGTATGGTGAGCTCCTTTAAGGCAAGGATGCCTTGATATCTATTTATTGATTGAATAAATAAATGAATGAACTGTACTAATGCTAATTTTGCTTTAATGAAGACAGGATAGGCTCCATCAATGATAAAAGAAGTTGACAAAGAAATAAATTATGGAAATAAGTTTTGAAGAAATACCTTTTATCTCATTTGGGAAAGAGAATTGTAAAATGCAGTTTAGTTATCCTATTTTCATAAAAGTGATTTCAATTTTCCTTTACTTTTACTGCAATTACATGTACATATAGTTCAAAGAGCTAGATAGTTCTACAAGTTATGTTATGAAATATACCAGTCCTCTCTGCCCTGCCCCACCCTGATTTCCCTTCTTGGCAGGAAACACTTTCATTTACTTTAGCTGATTTTAGAATTTACCTCCATATCTCTAAATTCCATGATTTTCTTGCTGTTTCTGACTTTGAGCTGAGGTATTCCATCTGCCTCTGCAGATGTGAGAGACTGAATTCTATTTCCTCCTATTGTCACCATAACCGTGCACTCTTTCCATGTCTTCATCCTTGCAACATTGTCCTATAGTTTTGATTACATCAGAATTCAGTGTTTATATTACCATAACATGACAATTGTATATGCTATTCAAAGCTGAGCCATTGTATTAAGTAAGTCTTCCTTTTCCCAATCTGTATGTTTTGTTTTCTCTGAAGAAAATAATTGCCTTCTTTCTGTTTTTATCAGTAATTCAACTTCAAGGCCAGTCTAAATTTCATGGTATGGGGAAATTAATAATGTGAACATCTAGAGGAGTCAGTGACACAAGGGACAGCAAGAGGCATGAATCACAGTCTGAAGACCTTCTGATGGATCAGATCTTCTCCCGTTTGCATCTTCTTGAAAAAATATCTATCACAGCCCTTGGGGCTGGGCCCATCTGGCCTGCTTGGCTTGTGTGCCAGATCACAGCTGCCATCCTTGGTCTCTCTTTTTCATTATTCCTCCCTCGTCTCTTCATGTGCCATCTCCTGTTTTCTGTATTTTATTCTTCATTTTTCCTGTGTTACTCCTTAATTTTTGTGGCATGTATCCTCCAGTAGTTTTCATAGATAGGTTGAAAGCAAGGTAAAATTTCAGAGATGTTATTTGTCTGGAAATGTCTATCCTGGCCTTCTGACTTGATCTGTAGTTGGACTGGGGGTGGAATTCTAGGTATGAAACATGTTCCCTTCAGAAGTTTAAAGGAATTGCTTCACTGTAATCCTGCTTTAAGTGTAGCTGTTAGGAAGCCTGAAGCCATTCAGGTTTATGGTTCATTTCATGTGATCTGTTTTTCTCTCAAAAAGCTCTTATCTCTCAGTGATCAGCAGAAATCTGAGGATTTTCTTTTTTCTCGTAGCATCTATTTTATCCACTGTGAGGGGCATTTAGTGGATTCTGTACTTTGAAGTCATATGCTTCAATTTTCTGAAATTCCCTTGAGTATGTTTGTGGATGATATCCTTCTCCCTGTTTGTTGGCTCTCCCTTTTAGGGCCTCTTGGACTAGTCCTCTCTCTTTTTCTTATATTTTTACTCTTATTTTCCATGTCCTTCATTTTTGCTTTACTTTCTGTGAGGCCTATCTTCCTTCTCTTCTATAGAATACATGTAATTTCTGCAAACAGAATTTCAATTTCCAAGAGCTTGAGACCTATGCTTTTTGTTTTCAGAATCACTTTTTAAAGAGCATTCCATTCTCCTTACATGGCTACAATGTTTTCTCTAATTTATTGGAGGATATCATTGATAGTTTTTGCTTTTTAATAACGTTTCTTCCCCTACATTGTGTCTGCTTCCATGGAGTTGTTCTCTTGTTTGTTTGGTTTTGTCTTTATCTGTCAGGTTAGCGGCTTTTCCTCAGATGTCTGATGATCCTCCTTGCCTTTTCATATGGAAAGGTGGGGTGACAGAAGCTCTGGGTATTTTCTGGTGTAAATTACATCTCTCTCTGATAAATCCTTTGATTTGCTACTCACTCGTCTGTCTGCTTTCCAGCTTCTGAAATCTTGTTTTTCTTGCTTCCTTTCCTGTTCTTTACAGTTTTGTTGGTTTGTTCATTAAAGAAAATCTTTTTATTCTTATTTTAGTGAAGTTTCAGGAGGGATCAAAGTAGATACAGGTGTTCAACCCACCATCTTTTTCATGATATAATTATTGTATATTTCATAAGGCACTTAATACAATTCTATGACAAAAGTCTTTGCACAAATATATGTAGATTTAAGTTTGACTGAGAAAGGATTGAGGTGGATATAATAAAAATATAAACTTGCAAAGTTAAGAATTCTAATGTTGAAAGAAAAAGCACAATAGTAGGAATGTGTAAAGAGCACATTGAAATTAATAATACTAGTTTACATTTACTTAATGCTTATTATGTGAAAAACTGTACACATTTAATGTATACAACTCGATGAGTTTGAGGATAAGTATACACCCATGAAACCATCATCACCATCAAGGCTATTAACATATTGTTTTTGTTTTTTGAGATGGAGTTTTGCTGTTTTGCCCAGGCTGGAGTGAGGTGGTATGATTCAGCTCACTGCAACCTCCACCTCCTGGGCTCAAGCGATTCTCCTGCCTCAGCCTCCTGAGTAGCTGGGATTACAGACGCCCGCCACCATGCCCAGCTAATTTTCATATTTTTAGTAGAGATGGGGTTTCACCACATTGTCCAGGCTGGTCTCGAGCACCTGACTTGAGGTGACCCACTCTCCTCGGCCTCCCAAAGTGCTAGGATCGCAGGCGTGAGCCACCGTGCCCATTCAGCCATAAATATATTAATTGCCTCCCAAAGTTTCCTCTTGCCACCTTTGTTATTATTGTTATTGCTTTCTTCTTTGTTGAGAACACTTAACATAAGGTATACTCTCAGCAAATTTTAAGTGTACAATTAAGTATTGTTAGCTATAAGCAATATGCAAGAACTTACCTTGCATAAATAAAAATTTGTGCCCTTTGACCATCACCTCCCCAGTTTTCCCTCATCTCAGTCCCTGGTAACCACCATTCTACTCTCTGCTTCTATGAATTTGACTATTTTGGACTCCACATATAAATGAGATCACACATTTAGTATCTGTCTTTCTGTGCCTGTCTTATTTCAGTTAGCATAATGTCCTCCAGGTCCATCCATGCTGTTGCAAATGGCAAGATTTCCTTCTCTCTCTCTCTCTTTTTTTTTCTTTTATCTTGAGATAGACTTTCCCTCTTGCTGTCCAGGCTGGAGTGCAATGGTGTGATCTTGGCTCACTGCAACCTCCACCTTCCAGGTTCAAGCGATTATCCTGCCTCAGCCTCCCGAGTAGCTGGGATTACAGGCATGCACCACTATGCCTAGCTAATTTTTTTTTTTTTTTTTTGGATTTTTTAGTAGAAACAGGGTTTCGCCATGTTGGCCAGGCTGGTCTTGAACTCCTGACCTCAGGTGATCCACCCACCTCGGCCTCCCAAAGTGCTAGGATTACGGGTGTGAGCCACTGCACCTGGACAATTTCCTTCTTTTTAAAGGCTGAATAATATTCCATTTTATGTGTATACCACATTTTCTTTATCCATTTGTCCACCAGTGGAAATTTAGGTTGTTTGCATATCCTGTCCATGCTGCAAAACACACGGGCATGCAGGTATCTCTTCAAGATCCTGATTTAAGTTCCTCTGGATAAATACCCAGAAGTGGGGTTGATGGATCATATGGTAGTTCTATTTTTAATATTTTGAGAAACCTCCTTACTGTTTTTGTTTCCTAAAGGCTGTACCAATTTACATTCCCACTAGCAGTGTATCAGGGTTTCCTTTCTCTCATATCCTCATTAAAGCTTATTATCTTTTGTTTTGTTAATATTAGTCATCCTAATAGGTGTGAGATGGTATATCCTTATGGTTTGGTTTGCATTTTCCTGATGGTTAGTGATACTGAGTACCTGTTCATATATCTGTTGCTCATTCACATGTCTCCTTTTGAGAAATGTCTTTTTAGGTCCTTTGCCCATTTTTTAATCAGGTTGTCTGTTTTCTTACAGTGAAATTGTTTGAGGTCTTTATATATTTTGAATATGAACCCCTTATCAGATGTATAGTTTGCAAATATTTTCTTCCATCCTGTTGTATTTTCTTTTTCTTTTTCTTTTTTTAAAAGACAGGGTCTCACTCCTGTTGTCTAGGCTGGAGTAGAGTGGAGTGATCACAGCTCACCGCACTCTTGACTTCCCAGATGATAAGGTTTGGCTCTGTGTCCCTACCCAAATCTCATCTCAAATTGTAATCCCCATAATCCCAACATGTCAAGGGAGGAAACTGGTGGGAGGTGATCAGATCATGGGGATGGTTTCTCCTATGCTGTACGCATGATAGTGAGTGAATTCTCATGATAGCTGTTTGTTTGATAAGTGTGGGGGTCTTCCCCTTTCATGCACTCTTTCTCTCTCTCCTGTTGCCTTGTGAAGAAGGTGCTTGATTTCCCTTCACCTTCTGCCATGATTGTAAGTTTTCTGAGGCCTCCTAGCATATGGAACTGTGAGTCAATTAAATCTCTTTACTTTATAAAAATTACCCAGTCTTTGGTATTACTTTATAGCAGTGTGAAAATGGACTAACACACTAGACTCAGGTGATTATCCCACCTCAGCCTCCCCAGTAGCTGAGACTACAGGCATGCACCTGACTACAGGCATGCACCACGCCTGGCTAATTTTGTGTATTTTTAGTAGAGACAGGGTTTTGCCATGTTGCCCAGGCTGGAGTCTTTTCATTCTGTTGGTTGTTTCCTTTGCTATTCAGGAGCTGTCTGGTTTGATATAATCCCACTTGTTTATTCCTGCATTTGTAGCTTGTGCTTTCAGTGTCTTATCTAAAAATCCATTGCTAAGATGAATCAAAGAACTTTTCCCCTGTCTTCTTCTAGAAGTTTTATTTTTGTCACACCTTACACTGAAGCCTTTAATCCATTTTGAGTTGATTTTTTGTGTATGGCATAACACAATGGCCGGGTTTTATTTTGCATGTGGATATCTAGTTTTCCCAATACTATTTATTGAAGAGGTTGTCTTTTCTTCATTTTGTATTCTGGGCACCCTTGTCAAACATTAGTTGACTGTATATGTGTGGGTTTATTTTCAGGCTCTCAATTCTGTACCATTGGTCTATGTGTCTGTTTTTATGCCAGTACCATGGTGTTTTTATTACTATAGCTTTCTACTATAATTTGAAATCATTAAGTATAACGTCTTCAGCTTTGTTCATTTTGTTCAAGACTGCTTTGGCTATTTGGGGTCTTTTGTGGTTCCACATGAATTTTAGGAGTTTTTTCTCTGTTTCTCCAAAAAATAACATTGGAATTCTGATAGAGATTGCATTGAATGTGTAGATCGCTTTAGGGAGTATGTCTATTTTAACAATACTGATTCTTTCAATTCATGAACATGGCATATCTTTTCATTTTTCTGGGTCTTTTAAAATTTCTTTTCTTGATATTTTGTGGTTTTCAGTGAACAGACTCCTCACTTCCTTGATTAATTTATTACTAAGTATTTTATCCTTTTTCTTTTCTTTTCCTTTCCTTTCCTTTTCTTTCTTTTCTTTTCTTTTCTTTTCTTTTCTTTTCTTTTATTTTCTTTTCTTTTCTTTCTTTTTGCTGAAGTCTCACTCTGTTTTTCAGGTTGGAGTGCAGTGGTGCAATCTCTGCTCACCACAACATTTGCCTCCCAGGTTCAAGCGATTCTCCTGCCTCAGCCTCCCAAGTAGCTGGGACTATAGGCGTGCACCACCATGCCCGGCTAATTTTTGTTTTTTTAGTAGAGACGGTGTTTCACTATGTTGGCCAGGCTGGTCTCTAACTCCTGACCACATGATCCGCCCGCCTCGGCCTCCCAAAGTTCTGGGATTACTGGCGTGAGCCACCGTGCCTGGCCTGTCCTTTTTTTTTTTCCTTATTGTAACTTTGCTTTCTGATTTTTTTAAAAAAAATTTCTCCAATCTGGGGTAAATATAGAAAATTGGCTTGGGTCTCTCTAATACTGGGGAAGCAGCAGGGGCTCTCTTTGGTCCACTCAACCTTTGATACTGTATTAAGGCCTTTATTTTACATAATAAATTTCCATTTACCTCATTCCATTTCCTAATAATAATCTAATGATTCCCACCCTGCTGGGATGGGTCCCATGATTCTCCCCTTCCTTTTTTTCTCTGAGTTTCACCCCTATCAACATTTTTTTTTTTTTAAGTTCTGGGATACATGTGCTAAACGTACAGGTTTGTTACATGGATATACATGTGCCATGGTGGTTTGCTGCACCTATCAACCCATCATCTAGGTTTTAAGCCCTGCATGCATTAGGTATTTGTCCTAATGCTCTCTCTCCCCTTGCCCCCCACCACCTGACAGGCCCCGGTGTGTGATGTTCCCCTCCCTGTGTCCTTGTCTTCTCATTGTTCAGCTCCCACTTATGAGTGAGAACATGTGGCGTTTGGTTTTCTGTTTGTTTTCTTCATTTATTTTTTCAGATAGTTTGTTGTTGGTGTATAGAAATGTAACTGATTTGTGTATTGATTTTGTTGATCAATACAAATAAAGCTCATCCTACAACTTTATTAAATTTGTTTATTAGTTTTGACAGTTTTAGGTTTTTTTTTTGGTGAAATCTTTAGGATTTTCTAGATATAAGACCATATCAACTGCAAGCAGAGAAAATTTTACTTCTTTCTAATTGTTATGCTCTCTCTTTCTTCTTTCTTTGCCTAATTGCTCTGGCTAGGACTTCCAATACTATATTCAATAGAAGCAGTGAGTGTGGGAATCTTTGTCTTGTTCCTATTCTTAGAGAAAAAACTTTCTGCTTTTCACCATTGAGTGTAATATTAGCTATGGGTTCAGCATATATGTTCTTCATTATCTTGAAGTGCATTCTTTTTATACCTAATTTGTTCAGTTTTTTTTTCTTAATCATGTAAGGATGTTGCATTTTGTCAAATGCTAAAGCTGGCATAACTTGTTTTAAGAAGGTAAAATAGCCATCCAGAGGGTATAAAAATGGGCTCAAAAGTCTGTGGCAAAAGATATGACCATTTAAACAACATAAAAGGTAATAAACACACTGGATTGAGACATACCAAATATGTTTACATCCATAAATTTATATTTATACTTAGAAATCATTGGATATTTTTGGAGGGTATAAGAAATCTTATTCATTATTTTGAAAAGAGGTAAGCAAAGGGAAATATTTAAGCATTTGTTCTCTCTTTCCTATATGAACTCCTCCTCAGAGTAAGAAACTTGTTGATTAAAGGCCTTTTCTTTTTATAGAAATATTCCAGGCAATGAATCAAGAAAAAGTTGTATCATTAGACTATTACAATTTTGCAACCACTAATAAATTAATAGAAGTAGGCAATGATTATCAATGGCTGCTAATATCACAAAAAAAGAGACTAGCAGACATGTGCATTCTGGAGATATATACAAATCCACCTGTGAGTTATTCCTGACCAAAAAAATCCATATTGTGAGACATTCTGTAGCACCATAAGACTTCATTTATGAGAAAACTGGACGTTTGAATACTGGCTGGCTATTAATTTTTAGATTGTTAAAAAGTATTATGGTTGTACTAAAATATTCATCATTTCTATTAATAGGTGCACCTTAAATATTTATGATTGATGTGGCATGATATCTAAATTTGTGTCACAATAATTGAGTAGGGAGGGTAAGATGCAAAAGATATTGTCTTTTAGTTGATCATTGTTTAAGCTGGTTGATGGGTACATGGGGGTTAATTTTACAAGTCTTCCTACTTTTGTATATATTTGAAATTTTCTGTAATAAAAAGTTAAAAAAATTCATCATACAAATCTTCTATGACATATTTTCAAAATAAATAACACAATTTGCAAAAAACCCATATGATATGATTATTTTTCACTTAAAGTATTACCTTCAAATCTCTATGTATGGTATAAAGAATATGTAAACATAGCAGCATAAAAGGATATATCAAAGATGGCCAACATCGGTTAACTCAGCGGGGTGAGATGGTGGTAGATGGGGGGTGAAGTGGGGAGTATACACAAAATTATTTCTGCACCTCTACCTTTTTATATTACACTATTTTAATTGTTTGTAACAATCTTATAATACTGTTATCATTGGAGAAAGATCAAATAAAGAAATGTTTTATATACATATAATGCATGTAGCTGTTTTTATTTTTTAATTAAAAATTTATGTTATTTGTTGAAAGATTTATTGCTTTTTTTGAATTAAAAAAAGCCTTAATTTCTTTTGAATGTGATTCCCAGAACAACGAAACATAAGGAAACTAAATTGTCAGAGTGAACTTAAAAGAAAGATGCAACCATATATATATAATGAAGCTACACCACAGAAGAAAGCAAAGAAAGATCAAACAAAAATTTCCAAGTAACGGTCAACAATAAATTTAGCAATATGCACTCAGTGTCACTAATTCTGAAATCTCTCCTCTTTGAAAAGTTACTTTAATGAATATAAAAGTGGCCATTTTCTCTTGTTGATCACTCAGTTGATGAAACTCTGATTAGGGAATTTTCTCTTTTTTTCCTTTTCTTTTATCACCAAGCAACCTAAAAAATGATGAGAGAGCAGCATGACCTGAAGGCTGGGGATGTCCCATCACCCTGAAATTATTTCTATTTCATTTTTGTTTCAAAGAAGACTTTCTCCTTACAAAAGAATAGAAGGAACTAAATTTTCGTCTTAGCACTAAATGCATCTCAATGCTGTGGAAACATTTCATTTTCTAGCGATTGCAAGGTCTGTATATCCCCTGCTGTTTGTAGTCTTTATTTAAAAAAAAAATTAAGAAAGGAAAAAAGGACAGAAGAAAGGAAGGAAAGGAAGAAACCCTACATGACAAGAGCATTAAACTGCAAGGGTGGTTCATTTCAATTTTGAAGCCTTTCTTCACTACTGCAAGGATACCGCTTTGGATTCATGTCAACGTCTTAATAGGGGAAGTAAAGCAGTTTATACGCCTCAGAGCACGGGTCCTCAAACCAGAAAATCAGCGTGAAGGGGAGAAGGCCAGCCCTGCCTTGGACCGATGGAAGCCACATAGTCACGGACTCTTCTGGTGAGGACCAGATGGCACAATTTGCAGAGGGCAGGTTTAATGTTGCTACCATTTAGACTGGAAGGAAAACATCTTTGAAGAAACATTTGTTTTACACCCCCTGCTCCCAATCTTGAATTCATCTCATACATATGTTGGAAATAATTCTACCCAAATTCAATTAAATTCTATTTTTATGTTGTTGGAATAACCTTACACTGTAAATTGAAAAGACGTTTCTATAACCTAGCGTGATTTTACTCTAATGAGCACTGCTATATCAAGGCATAATATTTTAATTTTGACTATCATGAATTACTTCTATACATAAATCAATTATACAACATGGCATATCAACAACTTTGTCCCTTTGCATTTTGATAAACATAAAAGCAAATGGAAAATTGAGAGCCGTTAATTTGTTGGAGTTTAAAAATATTCTATAAGTAATATTAATATTTATATCATTAATTATTTTCATTATCCCATTTTTTTCTTTATAATTTTTAGGCTTAGAGGTTCTTCGTCACAAGTTGCCAAAATGAAACAGAACTGTGAAAAGAAAATGGAGATGCTTCTTCAGGTATTGTAAAGTATATATTTCCTATAAAGTTTTTTTTTTCTTTTTTTTTATTGCTAAATCTGCCTGAATGAAAGGTTCAGAAGGTTAGGGATAGCTTACTCAGGCTAATCCCTTGTGGGTCTTATCTACAGGACTCACTAATTAATGACAGCAACATACATATCCTTGGATTGACAGATGATCTTCAATGGTCAAGTTCCGATACAATTTTAAAATATATTTTATATATTAATGAAAGTCTACAAAGATCTATTAGCCAGAATTCTTTCATTTGCAAGTGACAGAAACAAAATTAAATGGACATGGCCAGGCGCAGTGGCTCGTGCCTGTAATCCTAGCACTTTGGGAAGCCAAGGAGGGTGGATCACCTGAGGTCAGGAGTTTGAGACCAGACTGGACAATATGATGAAACCTTGCCTCTACTAAAAATACAAAAAATTAGCTGGGTGTTCACCTGTAATCCCAGCTACTCAGGAGGCTGAGGCAGTAGAATCACTTGAACCTGGGAGGCGAAGGTTGCAGTGAGCCGAGATTGTGCCACTGCACTTCAGCCTGGGCAACAAGAGCAAAACTTCATCTAAAAAAAAAAAAAAAAAATCAAGCACATTTCAGAGAATGGAAAGACCAGTCACAAATTGAGGGAAAATATTGGCAACACATATCTGATAAAGAACTTGTATTCACGCAGGCGTGGTGGCTCACACCTGTAATCTCAGCACTTTGGGAGGCCGAGGCGGGAGGATCATGAAGTCCGGATTTCGAGACCAGCCTGGCCAACACAGTGAAACCCTGTCTATACCAAAAAAAAAAAAAAAAAAAAAAAAATTAGCCAGTGCAGTGGCGGGTTTCTGTAGTCCCAGCTACTTGGGAGGCTGAGGCAGGAGAATTGCTTGAACCTGGGAGGCAGAGGTTGCAGTGAGCCAAGATTGTGCCACTGCACTCCAGCCTGCGTGACAGAGTAAGACTGTCTCAAAAAAAAAAAAAAAAAAAAAAAGAACTTGTATTCAAAATGCACAAAGAACTATTAAAACTCATCAATAAGAAAATAAAAAAGTCAATTAAGAAATTGGCATAAGATTTGAACAGGCACCTTACAAAAGAGGATATGGCAACTAAACATAAAAAAGATGCTGAAGATCATATCATCAGGGAAATGCAAGTTAAGACAAGAATGAGATACCACTATACATACCTATTAGAATGGCTAAAATCCAAAGCATTGACAACAACAAAGGCTGTTGAGGCTATGGAACAACAGAAACTCTCATTCATTACTTGTTCAACCTTTTGGAAGACAGTTTGCCAGTTTTTAAAATTATTTTATTTTATTTTATTTTGTTTTATTTTATTTTATTTTATTTTATTTTATTTTATTTATTTTTGTGAAACAGAGTCTAGCTCTGTCAGTAGGCTGGAGTGCAGTGGCACGATCTCGGCTCACTGCAACCTCCATCTCTCGGGTTCAAGCAATTCTCCTGCCTCAGCCTCCTGAGTAGCTGGGACTACAGGTGTGGGCCACTATGCCCAGCTAATTTTTGTATATTTAGTAGAGACAGGGTTTCACCATGTTGGCCAGGATGGTCTCAGTCTCTTGACCTCATGATCCGCTCGCCTCAGCCTTCCAAAGTGCTGGGATTACAGGTGTGAGCCACTGCTCCCGGCCCCTTTATTTTTATTTATTTTTTACTAAGTTTAACTTTGTCTTACCACATGATCTACCAATCACACTTTTAGGTATTTCCCCAAATGAGTTGAAAACTTACATCCACATAAAAACCTGCACACAGATGTTTATAGCAGGTTTATTAATAGTTGCCCCAAACTGGAAGCAACCAAAATGTCTCTCAGTAGATGAATGTATAGATAAACTGTGGTACACCTATACAAGGGAATATTATTCAGCTATAAAAATCAGTTGGCTACCAAGCCATGAAAAGACACGGTGAAATCTTAAATGCATATTTCAGGTGAAAGAAGACATTATGGAAAGACTGCATACTGTATGATTCCAACTATATGACTTATGAAAAAGGAAAAACTATAGAGCCAATAAAAAGATCAGTGACTGCCAGAGTTAGTGGGGAGGGAGAGGGATGAATAGGTGAAGCCCAGGGGAGGTTCAGGTTGGCAGCATTATTCTGTATGGTGGATACATGACATTATACATTTGTCAAAAGCCATGGAACTTAAACAATAGAAATAGTAAAAAAAATAAAAAAATAAAAAAAAAGTAAATTACGGACTTTAGGTCAGAATAACCTACCTACATTGGTTCATCGTTTGTAACAAGCATACCACATTAATGCAACGTGTTAATAATAGGAGACTGTGTAAGGGAGAGTGGAATAGGGGAACTCTATACTATCTGCTCAATTTTTCTATAAACCTAAAACTGTTTTTAAAAGTAGCCTATTAATATAAAAAATGTAAAAATAAAGAGAAAGAAAGAAGAAAGAAAGAAAGAAGAAAGAGAAAGAAAGAAAGAAAGAAAGAAAGGAAGAAAGTAAGAAAGAAAAACCTTCTCTGCCCACCTTACCTCCTAGATTTAGTGTTAGTAAGAACCGAGGTCAGATCCACAAAGTATGTTGCGAAAGATAAAATGTTGCTTTACACAATCTAGAAGTGTTATTTAAGTAGCCAAATTGCTAAAAATAGAATCAAAATCAATGTGGGTATTTAACACCAAACCAACACTTGGCATATGCTGAGAAGTATCTCACAGAACAGCAACAACAAAAAACATGATAAGGAGGAGAATGCAATACTGGAATAAGAATAAATAAATTTATAATAAACAGTGAAGTATATGACCTATAGAAAATAAACTGTGTAGATAAATAATGAGAAAATAAAATCAACCTACGTCTGAGAACTGTTTTAAAAATCTAATAATATATTGGATAGTGAATGTTACAGCTGAATAAAAGCAGATAAGACTAATACACTAAGATATAGACTAATGGGTAAAGAACTACGATTTTTAGTGGAATACTAAGTTCTGACTGTATGATAGACAAAGCTATGTGAGCTGTGCAAAATTCAACCACTTATAATTTTTAGATATTTGTATAAACAGTGTTATTGAAAGATATAGAAGAGTGCATGATTCCACCAATGCAAAGATTTTTTGATTTAGAAGCAAAAGCCATTGTGAACCCCCCCGTTACCTGAGCTTGATGGCAGGACTCCATCATCACGTGACTAGAGCAGGCCCTGAAAGCACAAATTTATTCAAAGAGCAGGTGGTTCACAATGCCCAGTGCGTCTACTCCTTCACAGCCTTCTTCAATCTATACTCATTCCTAATGGGATGTTTCCTAAGGCCAGTTGAGTAGTCATGCATGATCTGCCAACACTAATTGGAAATAGACTAACTGTGGCCTTATACACCCCTTCCTGCTGCTGAAGTTTATTGAGGAAGCAAAATCTTCCACGTAAAGGGCATGGACAGTTGTATCTGCTTATCCATTTGCCTGGAAAGAGATTTCGCTTTTGTATTGAAGCTCCACTGATTCTTAGATAATGATCAGTGGTTTGGTCAAATGGCTAGGGACTTCGAAGATAACACAGTCGGAACAGATGAAAAGAAAGTTTGGGGAAGAGGAGTGTGATAGTCTTCTTAAAATGGGCAAATATTTGTGTTCCAAATTAATAATCAACATAAAATCTTGCAGAAGAGGTTCTCAACAGTCTGGTGCACAAAATGACCTGCTCTGCAGGTGTTTGTCAGCCTAGGTAATAGCTACCTCAAAGCTTGCTTAATGTGCTCATGAACAACGTGGCCATGGTGGGAAGAATGGGGGCTTAAAACCTAATTTTATCATCACCATAGTTGATCAAGCTACTGCTTTTTATTAATGCACAACATATCAATAGCAAATATCAAAGCTGGTCCTTAGTAGGGCATCACACTCTGGCAGAAGGTGAATAATATTAGATGCCTTCTGTCTGAAGGACTTATATTCATGGGAAAAAACACTTGTTTAAGATATGCACTTGCCTTCCCTGCTTGCCAAACTTCTGACATCATGCACTGTCCTGGTAATCTCAATTAACATTGATTCTGAACAAGGAATATAGCTTACAATAAAGGAACATGGAGCAAGTGGAGAAGGGGATTTATAAAATTGTGGAGTATCAACTGTGTTATCATGACTATTACATTTTCTTCTTTGGTTTGGTATACATAGATATACACACATAGACACATACATGTGTGCATTTCCTTACATCCCTTTCCTTTCTCTTTTATAGGAGGTGCCCGTGATGTGATTTACTTGATGATTATGGCCTGCAGGGTATTGAGATGGGATTATGTAACTTAAATAAACTGGATATGAGTAGAGATCTGAAAGATTTTTCAAAAACATTCAGCTTTACTTTTTTTTTTCTCCTAAGGAACAAGTTGTTCACTCATAGAGCTGAAAAGGATAAATGAAGTGTTCAGTTCACAGAAGCAAAATATGAGTAGTTCATATATCTTTTGTAAATGTTCTATGTATCACTGTAAACTAGACATCTTCCACATGCCCCTATGTTTTTCCATTTTGAAATCAATTTCTAGTTCAAACTTGTCAATAGACAATGAATATTTGCAAAGTTATAGTTTCACTGAATTAGGATGTAACCTGTAGCTCACAATGAAAATGCCATTAGCTTGAGTTTAAAATTTATGTTGCTATTTTTTTCTTTTGTCAATATTTTCCTTCTGTGGGACTTATTGCACAAGGGTCGGATATCACAACTGAGGGAAACTGCAGAACAATGGTTCTTCCAATCATTCAGACCCATTTAAGCCATAGTCTTTGTTGGCTTTGCCAAATGACTGAATGCTTGGGTCTATTAGCACTGTCAAATAGTGTTGAGTACATACTTGTGGCATAAGCAAGTTAATATTTATAGGGAGCACTTTTGCATGTCTTTTAAGTCACATACTAATTTTGGAAAGTCTCTATGCTTTATATTTTGCCCTGAAAACAGATATTCTAGTTTAAAAATGTTAATTTAGTGATTAGAAACCGCTGTATATATTATTACATATATTGTCTAACAATTGAAGATAATTATGTTTATTAATTGCAAATAACAGGACACATAAATAATAAACTTTAAGATCTCAAATACAATGGCTAAATATTGCTGATTCCTTTTTGCCTTCTTTGACTTATTTTTTTCCATGTGTTCTCTTCCTTTATAGAAGTGTATTTTTTAGCTATGTGATGTAGATTGCAAATCAGATTAATAGACAGACATATCTTCCAACCTGTAGTTTAGGTAGGCTTTCTGATAATCCTTCCATGTAGTGAATATTAAATAATTGTCACAAAGTTATTGTTATTTGATTACTATTTTTATTTTTAAACTTTTATTGAATAATTTTATAAACTAGATTTTTAAAATAAAAGCAATGCATACTTATAAGAAAAAGAAATTCTAACTGTATATGAAAGGTTGTATGCTAAAAGTGAAAAGTTTCCTTACCCAAATTTCTCTCTCTCTCCTAAGAGGTAAGCACATTTATATACTTTCTCATATATCCTCCCAGATATTTATATGTATTTTAAAAAACATATATAGGATTTCTGTCTCTGGAAATTGCAAGCTAGGTAGCTTGGACAAACCCTCCCACTCCAAACAACTACAGAAGCTGGAAAAATTTTGAAAATTCTCTTAAGGCATTGGAAAGCTACCAAGATGGTGAGAGATTGTGCAGCCAAGACCCTGGAGAAGAAAAATGCCATAGAATTGAACTTGGCATTTGGAGACACTTCAATCCCTAGAGGTGCCATCAATTCTGAAAGTGTGCTTCAGTAGATACATAGGCCAGAGGAACACAAATTGTAGTCCAAATTGCACTCCAATTTGTGTTCCTCTGGACCAATGTATCTATTTGTGTTTCTTTTTCATGTTGGAAAAGAAAACATGGTAACTCTCTGAAGCTTTGGAGTAGGATTCAGAATGATTACATTCTAGGAATGACAATAAATTTAGAATCAATCAGCACTTCCAGGGAGAAGACCCAGCTTTAAATTATCCTAATTCTTGATTGGATTGAGGTTATTTGTGGTTGCTAGTGACTCTAGCATACCTGTCTGTCTGAAGCAAGTAATTATTTCAGGACAAAGATTACAATCTCTAGAGCCTAATATTAGCACCATAATTTTTTATAAATAATTTTCAGCATTCAAAAAAAAGGGAGGCATACAAGGAGATATGATCATGTGAGTAGAAGCCAGGGGAAAGGAACAGATAACAGAAACAAATTTAGAGGGGATATAGATCATATAGATACCAGAAACTAAATTTAAAATATCTATGTTTATGTTGAAGAAACTAAACAAGATTGGAAATTTGGCAGATTTAGAAACTGAAAAAGAAACAGAAATTTTAGAAGTAAAAAAATACAATAAATGAAATAAAGAACTAAATAAATAGATTTAACAGGAGATTACATAAAGCTGAATAGAGAATTAGTGAACTGGAAGATAGATCAGAAGAAAATATTTAAATATTTACATTATAAACAATGAAAAATACAGAAAAGAGCCAGAAGCAACAGTGAAATGTGTTGAAAATGTCTGACTCTAGAAGGATGAGAAACACTTTTTGAAAAGATAATTGCTTTAAGCTTTCCCAAATTATATGACAATGTATGTGTGTATGTATGTGTATATATACACATACATATACACATACACACATATGTGTACATATGCTGCTTATATATAAGTGTGTGTATATATATATATACACACATGTAGAGGGGATATAGATCATGTAGATACCAGAAACTAAATTTAAAATATCTATGTTTATGTTCAAGAAACTAAACAAGATTGGAAATTTGGCAGATTTAGAAACCGAAAATGAAACAGAAATATATAGATACACACAATATGTGCACACATTGCAAAGTGTGTGTGTGTATTTACATGAACACACTTTTTAAAATTATTTTATTATTATTATTTTTTGAGGCAGAGTCTTGCTGTCTCCCAGGCTGGAGTGCAGTGGCGCGATCTCGGCTCACTGCAAACTCTGCCTCTCAGGTTCATGCCATTCTCCAGTCTCAGCTTCCCGAGTAGCTGGGACTACAGGCGCCCGCCATCACGCTCGGCTAATTTTTTGTATTTTTTTAGTAGAGATAGGGTTTCACCGTGTTAGCCAGGATGGTCTCGATCTGCTGACCTCATGATCGGCCCACCTCGGCCTCCCAAAGTGCTGGGATTACAGGTGTGAGCCACCACGCCAGGCCACACACTTTTATTTTTTAATATAAACTTTTTTTTTTTTTCTTTTTGAGACGGAGTCTTGCTCTGTGGTCAGGTTTGAGTGCTGTGGTGCAATCTCGGCTCACTGCAACCTCAGACTCCTTGGTTCAAGCGATTCTCTTGCCTCAGCCTCCTGAGTAGCCGGAATTACAGGCACGTGCCAACACGCCCAGCTAATTTTTGTAGTTTTAGTAGACACGGGGTTTCACCATGTTGGCTAGGATGGTCTCGATCTCCTGACCTCGTGATCCGCCTGCCTCAGCATCCCAAAGTGCTGGGATTACAGGCGTGAGCCACCATGCCCAGCTAATATATACTTACTTTTAATATATACTATAGTTAACATATACTTTTAAAAATATACTTTTTTGTGGCAATGCCTTTAGACTATACCCTCTGTTCTGCACCTTAATTTTATTTTATTTAACAATATGTATTGGACTTCTTTCAATATTAGTTGTAATGTAGAGCTACCTAATTTGTTTTTTATGAATTCCCAGTATTTGATTACCAGTTGGAATTGGTTCCTTCAATTTTAGGCATAGATGAGATAATAAATAGAACTTGTATAAATTCTACTTACAATCAATAAGACTATCAAATTCAGAACTCTGAAACATAGTTTTGCAAAGAGGGCCATTTTCTCTTCTGCATTCAGAGAAATGCCAGGTTAATGATGTATACCAGAACACACAGGGAGCCCAAATAGTCTATTTCAGTCTATTTCCACAGGTTCTGTTAAACCATAATTTGAGCAGAGAAAGCCTAGGATTTTATTTTTTAATTTTATTTTTTTTTCCTCTTTAGGTCTTTGCCTACTTCTTCCTATCCAAAAGCTAAGGTATAGATCTTACTTTCATTGAACATGAGGATTTGGGAATTTTATAATAAAAGAAACTCAGATGTCTTTCAAAAAAAAAATGCAGAAATGGAGGCCCAAATTGCCTCCATTTAGGATCACAGAGTGAGCTGGGGGTGAAGTCGGGACTGGAATCTAGGCATTCTGCTCTTTTAATTCTGTCCTCACATGCATTTTCCTTTCCTTCAGCACAACAGAAATACATTTTAATAATGCTTATACATCATTTGAATAAAGAATCTAATTCATGCTGCTCTATGAGTTAGGAATATAGGGTGAATAGCATAATTCTACAGAGGGCTAAATTAATTGACAATTTAAAATATGATGATAAGCTTGTAAATGTAGTGCTTAAAGGGCATACCTGTTTATCTACAGAAGCCAACATATCAATGATAATGCTGTCATTAAATTATATTAGATTAACTTTGCTATATACCATTTATTTTATGTCAGTAAATTTTACACATACTAAAAGTATAACTCTAAAGTAATGAGTCTAATTTTTAACTCACAAATGAATACCTAACATCATTTTTAATTTTTGTTTTATCATGTGGTGCCATTTCTTTATGCTGTATAACTCATGCATCTACTTAGGGAGGAAATGCAGCATAAAAATTAGGAACTTGAGTTTTGGAATTCTACAGCCATAGTTCACATACTGAGTCACTACCCTTCCTAGTTGTATAACCTTATGCAAGTCTTATTACTTCCTTAAGGTTCTTATGCTAAGGCAAAGATTTCTATCTTACCAATATTCATTTTATTTTTCATTCTTAGTTACAGAATCATAATTTTATTTGAAACAGCAAGACATCAGATAAAATAACAAATTTTCCAGCCTCCCTTGTAGTTAAGTGAGGCAATGTGACTAAGAAAGTGAATTCATCTAGAAGAAGTATCTTTTGCTTTACTGACTGGAGTATGGTCTTGATGACTGGAACTTCAGCAGCAATTATGAACCATGAGGAGACTTTGTGTGTAGTAGCCCTTGGATTAGGATGATGGAATAGTATGATAGAAGGAGCTTGGTTAGTTATAATTTTGTGAAGCCACCTTACTAGCACAGAATTGTGTAGTACAAAATTCCTTTTATATGTAAGAATAAACATTTGTATGGTTAAACCACTGTAGTTGGTTTTCCATTATTAACAGCCAAATTAATTACTAACTTGCACAAGATGCTTTATTTCTAAGGTGTTGATGATAGTACATTGTAGGGCTGTGGTGAACATCAAATGTGAAGATGCATAAAGTACTTTGCACGAGTTTTAAAGCTAGAGGATCCCAGATTCTAATCATAATTCACTCACTGATAACAAGATATTGTGAATAAGGTACCTCATTTAAAAAAAACTGTATTAATATATTTTTTAAATTACTTTAAAATTGGTAAAATATATATACATATATTTTTGAGGTAAAGCACTTAGTTTCTTTAAACTCATTTTCCTCATCAATTAAATGAAAATTAGAGCAGAGCTATATTGAGAATTAGGAATTTTAATTTTTGCTGCAATATCTGGCAAATGGTAATTTCTCAAATGATTAGTGTTATTGTTCTTATTCTTTCAGTTAAGATGCTTTTTTCAAGGGAAAGAAAAACTCTACTCAAACTAGCTTAAAAATAGGAAAAGTATTATTCTTCACATCAAGAAGTTCAGAGATTTGGTGGGCACCAGCCATGTTATATGAGGACTCCAGCTCTGCTTCTCTGATATTCTCTGGACCCTGCCATTAGCTGTGTTTATTCCTTTAACCTCAGGCTGATTTCCCTCATGACTTCAGGAAAACCAACCTGTCAAAGACTGCTAGAAACGGGCAAAAACAGGCCTCTTTTTTCATGTTCAGAGAGAGGAAGAGAAAAATCTCCTGATCAGGGAATAGAAATCTTTTTTGTCAGTCTAATTGGGCCAAAATGACATGCCCACTTCTCACCCAATAAGAGCTCCTAGGGTAATTCCATGTGTACTGATTGGCTTAGATTTATGAGGATCTAGCCCGGGATCTGGGAATGGGGTTGACTTTGCTTTGTTTTAGTTAGCAGGGGAAAGGGGAAAAAAACTAAATTTGGGGTTTTAGGCAGAAAAAGAGGATTGGAAACCAGCAGTTTTACTATGTGGCAAGCACATAGTAGATGCTAAACAAATGAACACTTTTTTCTCTACCATTCACCAAATCCTGATTAGCTTTATTATTCATCAGAGTTTGCTTTTAATGGTCTTGTCATTTCTGAACTTATTCTTGAAGAATAAATATTTATCACCATTTTTGATGTTAAAAATATCACATGGTCTCTGAGGCAATCCATTCATCTGTTCATTCATTCATGTTTCAGCATTTAGCATATAATGAACAATGAATACACATAAAGCAATAGCTACAAAACTATGTCACAGTATATCATTTGAAGATGTGTATAGTTTCCTAATAAGATTACATCAGTGAGACTGCATTTCTGTGGATATGTAGACTACTTTCAACATCCTTCGTATTATTTTATTGTCATTTCTCATAAATGGTTGTTATTTCTAACTAAAACACTTTTAATTATTATTAATTTAACACTTTCAGAATAAATTTAATGTAGGAAAGAAAAAGTAGTGTCACTTTAAATAGATTAGTGTTTTAAAATGAATCCTTATTTGTGTGGCAAATGCATTTTATAAAATTCACATCTTATTTTTTGCAGATAAGGACTCTGTGTAGGTCCTATGAAAAATTGTAAAAAAATTATCTAAACCTCAATGGTAATAGGTGTTTCTTTGGCTCCAGTTGAGAACATAAGCCTTTATATTACTCAAATAGAAATTGACAAAGAAAGGGGAAGATAAAAATGTTTTAATTTACTAAGGTACTTCTAATAGATGTCAATGAGATGTCTTGCTCTCATTTTTCCAGGATTTTAAGAAGTCACATTGATTTGGCAATCTTTGATCTCATCATGTGTACATATTTTAAGTATCAGCTCTTCTCGATGACTTATTCATTTTGTAGGCTATAAAATTTTATTTTTTAGGTCAAAATTAGGTCTGTGAAATAAATGTTGCTATCTAATGGAGGGTGTGTGCTTTAAGAGCACTTCTGATCTGTATTAGTGAAATAATTCTGGTGACTCTGAAGAAAAGTTAAAAGAATGGAAAGGTTGAAAAAATTTTTATTTAAATTATTAAATAATAAACACTTCATACTAATTTACCAATGAATACATAGATGTTTTGTGTGTATACACAGCCAGTCACTAATGTGGCAGTTTGAAACACACACACACACCATGAATGCTTTGTTGTAGGCTTTCATCAATGGAAACCCTGGGTTATGAAAGTAATGAAACACAATGAAAACAATAGCACTGCTACCCAACCAGCACATCCGTTTTACTAAACTTCAAAGCTTGGTATAGATGTTAGATTATTTGGTCATCCCATCTCTATGTTGTAGAGATGTAATTCCCAGCTAGAAACTGAGGAAAAGAGATTAAGTGCTTTGTATAGACCTCAGGGAGCCAAGTTAAGTCCCTGTTATTCTCCAGGAGGAAAATAATTTTCTTTGCATACTTTCACCTAAAGTGATTTAGAACTTAATTGAAATCATACACATTTTGAGGTATGTAAAATTCTAACTGCCAATCAAGGCTGACCTTGTGTGCTTAAATACTTGCAGCACAAATCATTTCTATAGCTATGGTTTTAAGTTTTAAAAGATTTTCTGGAAGCCTTATTTCTTAAAAAAATCCAGGAGGTTATTTTTACTTACTTGGGTGCACATACATTTTAATGGGGAGGACTGTGAATATTATTTTCTTCAATTGTCTGAGTGTGGGTGTATGTGCATGTGTGTATTAACACTTAGTTGTAAAATGTTATAGAAGATAAAAAAGAATTGTGGTAAGAAAACAAGAGGTTAGTGTTAGACGCCCAGCAGGTGTGCTGTTCCTTTAATATTATAACCACTGTGTACACTGGAACTCTTTGGGATAGAGTTCAAGTAGATTAGAACAGTTTCCCAACATTTTTAATTAATGAATTCCTTTCGAAGTAGTACATAATCTCACAGACCTCCTTTATAAAATTTTTATAATTACTTCATTATTTTTGTGAAGTGATTTATAAATAAGTTTAGATAAAACAATATCACCATATTGTTAAAATTATATTTATAAAGTTTATTTAATGTAACATTTGATAATATTCATAAGATGAAGTAAATTTCAAAATTCCCCCATTTATCAAGTGACCCATGATGCTATTTAATTTAATTTAATTTAAATATGAAAAAATGATTTGTCCACAAACATAATATGATATTACTTAAAATTTAGTGACTTAACATATATTAAAAAGTAGACTGGGTCTGGGAACAGTAGCTCATGCCTGTAAGCCCAGCAGATTGGGAAGCCAAGGTGAGAAGATTGCTTCAAGCCAGGAGTTTGAGACCATCTGGGCAATGAAATGAGACCCCTGTCTCTGCAAAAAAGTAAAATAGCCAGGCATGGTGGTGTGTGCCAGTAGTCCCAGTTACTCTGGAACCTGAGACGGGAGGATTGCTCGTGCCCAGGAGTTTTGGGTTACAGTGAACTGTGATGGCATCACTCTGGGTGACAGAGTAAGACTCTATCTCCACAACAACAACAGTAACAACAACAAAAATCAGACTGAAATCTAATTGACATACTCAACATCAAAAAAAGACAAAAACTGTTATGACATATTTGAAATTTCTGCTATACATTTCAAAAGAACAATTTATTTGTTTTTATATTAAAATTATTTAATGACATTTTTAAGAAATTTAAAAAGTTTTAAGTTAAGAAATTTTAAAATTTATATCTTTTTTTTTATAAATTTAAAATGTTTTAAAAAGATGAATACCTGAGTATGGTATTTGCAAGCACCTATCCACAAATTATATTGTCCTGGTGCCAACCATAATCCT
Organism: Homo sapiens; assembly: GCF_000001405.40. Lineage (NCBI taxonomy): Eukaryota > Metazoa > Chordata > Mammalia > Primates > Hominidae > Homo > Homo sapiens. The sequence goes on along the minus strand of NC_000008.11, from coordinate 69,416,907 downwards.
GAAAGACACAATCCTGAATGCCATAATCTTGAATGCTAAAAATATCAAAAGATGAAAATCCCAAAAGATCAAAATCACTTGATCAAAATTAAGTCTAAAATTCTGTAAATCACTATCCCTAAAGATAAAATCCCTAATGTTGCAATCCTGGAAGTCAAATTTTGGGGAAGGGATTAGTGTGTTTTTGGTTGTACTTGGGATAGTTGCATCTTGTTAGGGGAACTAGGACCTTATTATTGTCTTTATTTGGAAATGTACTAAGGTTTAAAGAGTGCCATATTGACAAAGGGTAGATTTGTGGAGTTAATTCTAGATATCAGCTTGACTGAATGAAAGAATACCTAGAAATCTGGGAAAGCATTATTTTGGGTGTGTCCAGAGGAGGTCAGTGCGCATGCCTGAGTGGACTAGGTGGGGAGGATCTGCCCTCAGTGGTGGTGGTCACCATCCAGTTGGTTAGGGGTCTGGAAAGAACAAATACAAAAAGTGAACTGGTCTGTCTCTGGGAGCTGGGACAGACTTTTCTTCCACTTTCTTGGACAGCAGAACTTCAGGCTCACCAGCCTTTGGACTCCAGGACTTACACCAGTGGTGCCTCGGGTCCTGAGGCTTCATCCTGAGACTGAGGGTTACACCATTGTCTGCTTCCCTGGTTCTTCCAGGGTCTCCAGCTTACAGATGGTCTGTAATTACGTGAGCCAATTTCCCTAATAAATCTCTTCTTTATAGAATCTGCTTGACATAAGTAATTCTATCTTAGAAAAAGACTCCATCTTACATTTTAAAAGACGTCCTGTCAATGAGGATCAAATATTTTGCCTAATCAGTAAAGGCTACATCCAACCAAATAAGGACATAACCAAACATACTCTTTACTATCAGTCCTCACCAGAGGACTCTGTGGCCATAACTCCAGCAGCTTGAAATGGCCGTCTTAACAGACACCATCTTACTGTCACTTATAATAAACACCCATCCTCTGCTGCCAAAGGCTCTGTCCATATCAAAGACACTTCCTTACAAGACATTAACAGACTATCCAGACTAGGCCTGGACATTCTCTTTGTCTACGTCACTTTCCCTGAACTTGTTCATTAACCCATTTTTTTCTATCCCTTTTTCTCTTGATGTTATTTTGTTTGATGTGAAATATTTAATCTAAAACATTTATATTGATTAAGTATAATTTTATGCATGGTTTATGTTATTAACTAACTAGTAAGGTGGCTTGAGTCCACATGCGCACAACTTTGGCTACCAAGTAAATGGAGAGTACTAAAGAAAATCGCCTCCTTGGAAACTCCATATGGTGTGTGGCTTTTATAATTAAAATAACATCAATGAAAGTCTAATCTTATAAAAAGACACAAAGGTGCAAGGTTGTGATTATGTTTGACCTTGCACTGCTCACGACACCCTCTCATATATCTATATGGATATCCTATTGATTCTGTCTCTCTGGAGAACCCTAACAGTCTCTCTGGAGACTAATAAAAATTTGGTATTGGAGGATGATGAATATCATTGTTTATTATTTATTTATTTTTTGAGACGGGATCTCGCTATGTCACCCAGGCTGGAGTGTAGTGGTGCGATCATAGCTTACTGCAGGCTCAAACTCCTGGGCTCAAGGGATCCTCCCACCTCAGCCTTCCAAGTAGCTGGGACCACAGATGCATTTTTTTTTTAACTGTATTCCTTGTTACATGATGGAAGAGATCTGTAAAATTTCCTCACCAAAAGACTATGATAATTCAAGCACATGAGGTTACTTAATGGTGAAATATAAGGCTTAAAAGCTAATAATTATTGGTGCCTGGAAGCGGAAAATTGCTCAATTACAAGAGATGAGCCAATAAACAGACTTTCAAGTGGACAGCATATACTTCCAGAATTTGTAGACACTCTCCAAATTCAAGTGCAGTGAGTGTTTTAAAGATCATAGAAAAAGTGAAAATGCAGGTGAAAAATACAAGAATTCTCTCATGCCAAATTACTCAATTGTATATGAGTTTCATCCATCCACACATAGTATTAATTCACTATGCTGTGTATTTCATCTTCACATCATTTCCAGTACTAGGGTATAAATTGTGTAAAGACTTTTAAAGACTTCTAATTTGTTTTATGCAGGGTTTTACAAATTTGACCCACGAAAGTGCATTATCACAATGTTGACTTTGTGTGTAAGCATTGTACGTGTATGTAAAAATGTTGAAACTTCCTCAATAAATGGAATGATGTTCTTTTTGAACATCTTCATTTGTGAAAAATAAAATTTCTCGAGATCTTGGCTTTTTGGGTGACTGCACATGTGATGGTGATCCATCCAAACTTGACTGATCTCATAAAGACTTAGGCTGTCCTTCATAGTATTTCAGATGATGGCAGATATAAAGCTGGGTGCACACAATTATTCGTTTCTCTTTTTGACTGATTTCTTTCTGAATCTGGTTCATCTGCTCATAACTGTTGTACCTGTGTGACTGTTGTTAGTATACTGAGTATTTATGCTTACAAAAATATGTAAGTTATTATTGCCTAATTTATTGTGTAAAGTGGCCTATGAAATGTTCCGTTATGCTTTCATACATTTTTCAAATAAATTCCCATTTAAAAATGTGAATATATATATATATACACACACATACATATATATATATACACACACACACACACACACACATATATATATATATATTTTTTTTTTTTTTGAGACAGAGTCTCTGTCGCCCAGGCCAGAGTGCATTGGTGCAATCTCGGCTCACTGCAACATCTGCCTCCAGGGTTCAAGTGATTCTCTTGCCTCAGCCACCCGAGTAGCTGGGATTACAGGTGTCTGCACCATGTCTGGCTAATTTTTGTATTTTTGGTAGAGACAGGTTTTGCCGTGTTGGCCAGGTTGATCTTGAACTCCTGACCTCAGGTGGTCCACCCGCCTTGGCCTCCCAAAGTGCTGGGATCACAGACGTGAGCCACTGCACCCAGCCAAATACATGTTTTTAAAAGAATGTTTTAAAATTATTTTTTCTAGAATTATATTTTCAGGATTTTTTTTTTTTTTTTTTTTTGAGACAGGGTCTCATTCTGTCACCCAGGCTGGAGTGCAGTGGTGTGATCACGGCTCATTGCAGCCTCAACTTCCCGAGCTCAATTAGTTCTGCTACCTCACCTTCCTGAGTAGCTGGGACTAAAGTCATGCACCACCATGCCCAGCTAATTTTTTTGATTTTTTTGTAGACACAAGGTCTCATTATGTTGTTCAGGATGGACTTGAACTCCTGGGCTCAAGCAATCTGCCCACCTCAGCCTCCCAAACTGCTGGGATTACGGACATGAACTACCATGCCTGGCCGTATTTTCAGGATTTTGATCTTTTGAGATTTCAATGTTTGGGATTGTGCCTTTTGGGATTATGGCCCAGTTCTATATTGTCCATATATATCATGTTTATATATGATAAATGTAAAGTCAATTTAGATATATTTATCACTACCTTTGCTTTTTTAAATTCCAGCTCTGAATGACCTGGAGACAACTTGGTGTAAAATATTTGATTTACAGGTCTGATAAATAATATATTGAGGTGATTGTGCAGAATTCTTTTTTCATCATTTTATAGTTTTTTTAATGTGCTGCATTTGAAGAATATGTGCCGTTAATCAAAACAATTAAAATCTGCAGAATGATAAAAAACGACTGTAGCTAATGGCGTACAAGCGGGTGGCAAATCAAGAGACAAGTATGAACAGGTATTTTAATTCTCCTTTAATAATTCACTCTGTATTCCCACTCAATAGGTACTGGACACTTTTAAGTTGTTCCTCCTCAAAGTATGAATTATTTAAATTTTTAAAATGTCATTTTCACGCTCTTTAAGAATATGAATCTCCTTGAACTCTTTTCCAACTTTCCATGTTTCCCAAATTATGATTCAGAGTTTACATCCAAGACTTGGGAGGATGATGAAATGTGCTGATGTTACTTTAGTTATTCAATATTTAAGCTATTGAAAAATAAAGATAAAATATAATGATGAAGACAAAAGGATACACAAGAACAGGAAAAGAGAAAGCTAAAAAATTAAGTAAAAATGGATGGCAAGCAAACCTCATTTTATAGTACTTTCTCCACGATCCTCTAATCACCATCCACAGGAACCTTGCAGAGCCTTGAATGCCATGTGGTCCTCCTTCCACCACGGGTCCTCTGCACAGATCCCTCCTTATTCTTGCTCTTGACCTTGACTCCAAGTTCACACTGATGCATCCTTCAGCTCTCAGCCCACCTCATTAGAGAAGCTTCCCTTTATCCGTTACCCAGGTGAGGCTACATCAGCCACTCCCATGTAACATATCATGTGCTTTTGCTTCACAGCACTTAACAGCATTGTTTCTTATTAATTTTATTCATTTATTTATTTATTTAAATAACATCACTCTCTACCCTGTATTGTAAGTTTGCAGAGGAGAGGGAAATGACTCGTTTGTGCTAAGCATTATTTTCTTTTTTTAAAAACATTTTTAAGTTCATGGGTACCTGTGTGGGTTTGTTACTTAGGTAAACTTGTATCATGGGGGTTTGTTGTGCAGATTATTTTATGACCCAGGTATTAAGCCTTGTACCCATATGTTATTTTTCCTGATCTTCTCCCTCCTCCTACCCTCCATCCTCTAGTAGGCTGCTTTGTCAGTTGTTCTCCTCTATGTGTCCATGTGTTCTCATAATTTAGCTCCCACTTAAAAGTGAGAACAGGTGGTATTTGGTTTTCTGTTCCTGTGTTTGTTTGCTAAGGATAATGGCCTCCAGCTCCATCCACGTCCCTGAAAAGGACACGATCTCATTCTTTTTATGGCTGCATAGTATTTCATAATGTATATGTACCACATTTTCTTTATCCAGTCTATCATTGATGGGCATTTAGGTTGATTCCATTTCTTAGCTCTTGTGAATAATGCTGCAATGAACATAACCCTGTATGTGTCGTTATAATAGAATAAGTTGTATTCTTTTGGGTATATACCCAGTAATGGGATTGCTGGGACAAATGGCATTTTTGTCTTTAGGTCTTTAAGGAATCACCACATTGTCTTCCACAATGGTTGAACTAATTTACACTTCCACCAACAGTGCATAAATGTTTCTTTTTCTCCACAACCTCACCAGCATCTGTTATTTTTTGACTTTTTAATAATCACCATTCTGACTGGCATGAGATGGAATCTCATTGTGGTTTTGATTTGCATTTCTCTAATGATCAGTGATGTTGAGCTATTTTTTTCATATAATTGTTGTCTGCATGCATGTCTTTTTTTGAAAAGTGTCTGTTTATATCCTTTGCCCAGTTTTTAATAGAGTTGTTTTTTTCTTGTATATTTGTTTAAGTTCCTTATAGATTTTGGATACTAGACCTTTGTCAGATGCATAGTTTGCAACGTTTTTCTCCTGTTCTGTAGGCTGTTTGCTCTGTTGATAGTTTCTTTTGCAGTACAGAAGCTCTTTAGTTTAATTAGATCTGATTTGTCAATTTTTGATTTCATTGCAATTGCTTTTGGCATCTCTGTCATGAAATTTTTGTCCATGCCTATGTCCTGCATTGTATTGCCTAGATTGCTAAACATTATATTCTTGAGGTTCAGTATGATCTCTGGCAGATAATAGGCACTCAAATAAATATATGTTGGAGAAGGAAGAAAAGAACAAGAGAAAAGAAGGAAGGAAAGAAACAAGGAGAAAGTAAAAAATAAAAGGAAGAAAACGTTGTGATATAAGAAATGAAGATAATATGACAAATGTTAAATTTATCTGACTCAGCAAACATTTATTTGATGTGTATTATGTGGAAATTGGGGTGGAAGCAGTGATAGGCCCACATTTGTGGATGCAGGATTCTAGGACATCCTAGAATAAGCCAACCCCATGACCACATACCTGCTCACTCAGCAATTTCACCTGGATGTCTCAGAGGCATCTTAAATTCAACATATCCCAATGAATGCATGACCTGGTCTCTTCCCCGAATTCCTCCTCAACTGTTTTTCCTTCCTTCCTTCCTTCCTTCCTTCCTTCCTTCCTTCCTTCCTTCCTTCCTTCCTCTTTCTCTCTCTCTCTCTCTCACACACACACACACACACACACAATCACAGTAAATGTAACTACCTTATCCAAGTGTAGACAACCCTTTGGAGAATTGCCAGTACAAGGGTAGTGGGAGAGGGGACAGGTTCTTAATGGAGATATGGGACCAAGGGTGGTTTTAGAGGGGCATTATTGCTGCTAGGAAATAGTGGCCTTTCTTCCTAAACTTTTCTACTAAAATTACAGATAAGATCAAAAGTAGTAATTGTATTAATCTTGGAATGTGTGACCAGTGTGTAGCAGAAGTTGATTCAGGCAAGTGTATTGGTCATTTGATACACTAGGTATTTATTCATCTATTTACTCATTTAGGAACATTCTTCAGTATCTCTGCTCAAAACGCTAGCTTGAGATGGTATCCAGGATATAGTAATAGGTTAAGTAAGAACCTGGTCCTGGCCTGGCGCGGTGGCTCACACCTGTAATCCCAGCACTTTGGGAGGCCAAGGCGGGCGGATTACGAGGTCAGGAGATCAAGATCATCCTGGCTAACACGGTGAAACCCCATCTCTACTAAAACTACAAAAAATTATCCGGGCATGGTGGCGGGTGCCTGTAGTCCCAGCTACTGGGGAGGCTGAGGCAGGAGAATGGGGTGAACCCGGAAGGCGGAGCTTGCAGTGAGCTGAGATCGCACTACTGCAGTCCAGCTGGGGCGACAGAGCGAGACTATGTCTCAAAAGAAAAAAAAAAAAAGAACCTGGTCCTTACTCTCAAGGAAATTATAAAATATGAAGGGAGACATGAAATATATACAAAATTGAAATGCATCTTGAAATATAAGACTCATTGGAGGTGTATCAAAAAGTCACTTAAACCTATAGTCCACAATAATGTACTGGACACTTTAAAAGGGTAGATCTCATGTTAAGTGTTCTTAGTATAATAAAAATAAGAAATGGATAGATTTATAAGCTGTATTCAGAAAATTTTAAAAATTATTTGATGGTTTGGTCATTCACTTATTATTTAAGAAATATAGGGCATCCACTGTGGGCAAGCTAGTGACTCCCGGGCCTCACTATAGCTTGGTCAGGGTCTATCTGCTGCTACAGGTTTCTGCTGATGTGCTCCATCTTCATCATCTGTACCTCTATGGAGCCACAGAAGCCATCTTCTGAGGCACAGAGAGCCAAGAGAGCAAGTAGTCAGCACTATCTTCTTTGGTGAGTTGTCCAGCAAGCCTCTTGTCTCTAGAAATGTCCAGGTGAGAAACAGACTAAAGATCATGTTCTATGGCTTAGTGAGCCTCCTGATGGGAACAGAAGCCAGTCTCCCAACTCATAGGTTCTTCAGTCTGTTCCAGTGATTGCCCTCAGTGCCCCACCTCTCTTGGGAAGGAAGATCTCATTTCATAAATTCTGTAACTCCATGAGACTGATCACCTAAATGACCCTTCTCTTTCTGCTAGTTCTTTCCTTAGACTGACTGGTGGGAGCAGGGTAAGAAGGAGTGGTGAGATTTGACAGAGGTAGGATAGAGTCTGCCACTTCTTAATACAGGTGGTGGGAATGGTTGTGAGCTTGTCTGGATCCAACTGTGGTAGATCATAAAAATTTGAGTACTTCATATCATTTATTTTCAACTGAGACTGTGATCACCACCAATTCTGATGCACAAAGAAAAGTTCTACTCAACATACTTTGCAGAAGTTTTAATGCTAGCTTTTCATTTCAGTTGTTATTTTTTAGTTTAGTTACTTTAGTTGTTTAGTTGCTTAAAAGATACCTTTTTTTGTTGTTTCTAAAATTTTTTTCTTTTTTTTTGTTGTCTGTAAAAATTTTCACATGGATTTATTTATCTATTTATTTTTCCAGATGATTTATAGTGTTAAGTTTCCTGACAGTGATCCTTTCTTATCTTTCTCTGACTCAACATTCAGTTGCATCTGACTTTTGTATTTTTCCAGCATGACAGACATGGTATTTTGAAGGCAGGCATAACTTTCACTGGGAAGAGTTGCTTACCACAGGCCACTGTGTCAGTAAGATGGATAGCAGATTGTGTGTGATTCCTGACACATTCAATGCAAATCCATTCCTTTCTTGCTCACAGATTTGGAACACATGATGGTGGATTTAAGAACTGCTGAACTCTTAAAATTATTTTTAAAAAATGCATTTATTTAAAATTTTATTTTTTGTTAAGATAGTTGACAAAAATTGTATGTATTTATGGTGTATAATGTGATGTTTTAATATATGTATACATTGTGAAATGGTTAAATGAAGCTAATTAACATATCCATCACCTCACGTACTTAACATTTATTTGTGCTGAGAATATTTTAGATCTACCCTCTTATCGAGTTTCAAGTATACAATAAATTATTAACTACAGTCATCATGTTATACAATCAATAAATCTGAATTTGCTTATCCTGTCTAACTGAAACATCGTACCCCTTAACCAATATTGCTCTATCCTCCCTACCCTCTATTGTTCCCTTCCCTTCCCCCCACCCACCCCCCCACCATCTCCTGGCAACCATCATTCCACTCTCTGCTTCTGAGTTTGACTTATTTAGGTTCTACATACAAGTGAGGTTATGCACTATTTGTGTGGCTGTGCCTGGCTTATTTCACTTAGCAAAATGTCCTCTAGATTCATCCACAACACGATTTCTTTGTTTTTAAAGGCTGAATAATATTCCATTGCATATATGTGTGTGTGTGTATATATGCAATATATATGTGCTATTATACATATTACATATATATGATAGTATTTCATTGCCAATATATGGATATACGGATCATAATTTTTTGTTCATTCATCTGTCAATGGACACTTAGGTTGATTCTGTATCTTGGTGTTTTTTTTTTTTTTTTTTTTTTTTTTATTGAGACGGAGTCTCGCTCTGTCGCCCAGGCCGTACTGCGGACTGCAGTGGCGCAATCTCGGCTCACTGCAAGCTCCGCTTCCCGGGTTCACGCCATTCTCCTGCCTCAGCCTCCCGAGTAGCTGGGACTACAGGCGCCCGCCACCGCGCCCGGCTAATTTTTTGTATTTTTAGTAGAGACAGGGTTTCACCTTGTTAGCCAGGATGGTCTCGATCTCCTGACCTCATGATCCACCCGCCTCGGCCTCCCAAAGTGCTGGGATTACAGGCGTGAGCCACCGCGCCCGGCCTGTATCTTGGTTTTTATGAGCAACCATAATGCTGCAATTGACAGGGAGGTGCAGATATTTCTTTGACATACTAATTTCAGTTCCTTTGGGTACACACCCAGTAGTGGGATTGTTGGATTAAATTGTAATTCTATTTTTAATTTTTTGAGGAAATTTCATATGTCTTCCATAATGGCTGTTCTAATTTACATTCCCACCAACAGTTTGCCAGTGTTCCCCTTTCCACATCCTTGCCAACGCTTGCTACCTTTCTTTTCTTTTTTTTTTTTTTTTATAATAGCAGTTCTATAAAAGTCCTTTGCCTATTTTTTAATCAGGTTGTTTTCTTACAATTGAGTTGTTTGAGTTTCTTAGATGTTTAGGATATTAACCCCTTTTTTATATGTATGGTTTGCAAATATATTATCCTATTTCGTAGGTTGTCTTTTCACTCTGTTGATTGTTCCCTTTGCTCTACAGAAGATCAGTTTGACATGCGCTCACTTGTTTATTTTTGTTTTTGTTGTCTTTGTTTTTGAGGTCATATCCAAAAAAATCATTGCTCAGACTAATGTCAAGGGAAAATATCAGATTTTTCCTTATGTTTTCTTCGAGCAATTTTACAATTCAGGTCTTATCTTTAAGCCTTATCCATTCTGAGTTATTTTTGCATATCGTATGTCATAGGGGTCCAATTTCATTCTTCTGCATATTGATATCCAGTTTTCTCAAGACCATTTATTGAAGAGACGATCCTTTTTCCATTGTGTGCTCTTAACATCTTTGTCAAAAATCACTTTACTGTATGTGGGTGGATTTATTTATGGGCTTTCTATTTAAGAATTGCTGAACTCTTAAAGTTAATTTGCTAGTACTTAAGTTTATCAATCCACATTACAAACATGCTTTCTTTGATTGATGTTTGCTTGATTTATTTTTGCTCAAGCATTTACTATTAATTTTCTATGGTAATTTGTTTAACTTGTAAATTGAATGATTAGATTTTTTATGGAACATAATTGAGACTTTGCCTTTTTATATAGTGATTAATATATTTTTTCTTAATTTTACTGTCACATGGGAAATTACCTTTGTGCAACACTACTCCCAAATATATTAACCATGCAAACTCTCCCAGCAGTCATGGAACAGAATCACTCACAGACCAAATTAAAATGTTCAAATCACATGGTTTTATTAAATCACTTGAAAATACGTAGTGAGAGGCTAGGGGAAGAGATGAGAGAGGTAAATTCACTTAGGATAGGATGTAGGCAGAGTGAAAGGACAACACTGCCTGACTTCTGATCCTTTCTTTTTTTTTTTGAGATGGAGTCTTGCTCTGTTGCCCAGGCTGGAGTGCAGTGGCATGATCTTGGCCCACTGCTACCTCCAACTCCTGGGATCAAGCAATTCTCCTGCCTCAGCCTCTTGAGTAGCTGGGATTACAGGAGTGCACCACCACACCTGGCTAATTTTTGTATTTTTAGTAGAGATGGGGTTTCACCATGTTGGCCAGGCTGGTCTTGAACTCCTGACCTCAGATGATCCACCCGCCTCAGCCTCACAAAGTGTCAGGATTACAGGCGTGAGCCACCGTGCCCAGCGATCCTTTGTTTTTGACTCACGTGTCCTCCCAGCTGATGGTGTGATTATGAAGAGGTCCAACAGGTGGAAGTTATCTGGTGTCAACACACTGACTTGCTGTATTCAAGAGACACAGATAAATATGCCTAGCCCCTGTGGTGACTTGCCAATTGGCCTGCTGATCAGTCCTGGCTTTTGTTTGTTTGTTTTTTAATTTCTTGAGCAAAGCACAAGTAGGGACAGAATGAGACCATGATAGGTGTTACCAGTGGGTGGCCAGTTTGGAGATGACATAGCCATCAGGCTACAGGCAACATGATCTATAATTTATTACTTGGTCTTTCCATCTCTTTCTGTAAGTATCATTTTTGTTTGCTCCATCATATAGTCCACTTATTTTATCTATCTTTAACATGTGTTAGTGGCTACTAACTTACTATATATTTAGTAAATCTTGGGTATTCTGTCTTTGTCTCTCAAGCTGCTTGCTTACTTATTATCTACAATTAATACATCTTATGAGTTTCTCTCATGTCTCATAAGCTGTTTGCTCAATAACTGTCTATTCTTAACACATTTATTTTCCCATTTGTTTTGCTAGCTTTCTAAACCAGAGCTGAACATTCCCAAACAATATGGGAAACATACATTACATTGGCATTTGGCAATGATATGGAAGATAAAGAATCTTAAAATTATATTTCTTTAATAACCCAAGTTAAGAATGTACCCAAATTTTTGGAAAGTTACTTAGCTTACTGTTACTTTTTTATCCTTCTTCCTGAACTTAGTAGTTTATCAGTGTTTAATTTACTAAAAATAATATGTGTTTAATTTATTAAGACAATGGCATTTGCTCCTAAATAATTAACTTAATCTAATTATATCTTGTATTCCTTTCAAGATTTATTGCTAGCATTTGCATTTGACTTTGTTTCTGCAGGCATGACACACATTTAAACCTAATATTATAAATGTTAACTTATTTTAATTACCTGAGCAAAAGGACATCCTCTCTTCTCACTACCATTGGATGCTGAGAGCAATTACTTATGTGTTGTCAGTTTGGACTAATAATATTTGAGATAGTGAACAACTTTTTGAAAGTGAATTATTCTTAAAGGGGAGCTTCTGTATTTTCAGATGATAGAATTATCTTTCAGGAAAGTTAAAAAGTCAATTAAAAAACTAAATCATAAATTGATTTAATAATGTGCCTTTTCAGAATAAATACACTGACATCTAATATAAGCAGAAAATGAAATTTCATTTCATTTAGCAATAGCATCAAATTTAGAAAATATTTGGAATAAACAGTAAATAAACAAGAGATTCAAATTTTCATTCATGTATAAGACAGCAGAAACAATTCAGAGATATGGCAAGGTCTCAAAAAAATGTCTATCAGCCTGAAAAAGTTACTTAGAAACATAATTTGGCCAAAATAAAGATAGACAAAAACTCAGAATTCAAGAAGGAGGAAGTCATGTTGTGAAGGGACTGTGATAAACACATGGACTCAACTGTATCTCAAAATGATAACATGACCACCCAGGATACACTGTACCCTGACATACTACTATTAGTGGTACATATTCTAAGAGAATAAGAAGTGCAAAGGAATCTTGCACTTTACTTAGCAGGCTTGTTGTTGGCATTGAAATTAACTGATTTCATATTTAGAATAGGGCAAATGAATAAATAGCATTGAAATAATTGGAAACCAGGGTTCCTGGAGGCTATATAAGTGTGCAATGGAAAGAAGAAAAATCCTGTGGTGTAGGACTTGTAGGAGGTTTAAGTACCAATTCACTTTTAAAAATTCATTTCACAGCTTGGTTCATTGAGTGAGCCTAAAGCAATGACACCCCAGAAGCAATGAACACACCTAGCACTTTTATCTTGGTCTCTAATACCATTCTCCATTAAAAGAAACCAGGGCTCCAAGGAAAAATGGCTAATTTCAGGTCTGGGATAGGAAAGTGTAAGGTGAGCCTAGAACATTTTGTGCTAAAAACAAAGTGCTCAAAGACTAATGGGAATGTGCCAAAAAGGAACTGGCTTAATGAGTGCTTGCATTGACCAAATATGGAACAATTCAAGCATCAAAATGAATAATAGTGGTAAGGGATCATAAGATTCCATTAAAATTAATCCATGAATCTATTATGATACTTAAATTTAAAAGATGAGGGTGTCAGGGACAAAAACCTCTTCAGAAAAATTCTAACTGGCAAAATGTGAACTAGAATTAGAAAATTACTGTTTTGCAACCACCAATGTATTAATTGATTGAAGTAAGTACTAGCAATATTGATGCTGAAGTCATTTATTAATTATAGAGAAATAAATATACCTTTAAAGGATAGAGCTGACAGAAACGACATTAACCAATTGATCAAATTTAGTAGCACCACTATGGGATAAGTTGATTTATATGCCTCCTGCTGTGATGTAGAGAGATACACACAGTATCACCAATCTTGTATTCTTGCCCAAAATGCTTAATCTGATTCTAAGGAATGACCAGACAAATCTAGACTATAGAACATTTTACAAGACAACTCTCCTGGACACTTTAAAATTGTTACTGCTAAGAATTGCAAAACAGAGGCAGATTCAGAGATTCTTCAGTTTTTAGAGGTAAAGTGACAAGATATCTGAAACTTACTTTCAAATGGCTTAGCATCTTTCTTTTACTATCTATTGAACATGAGAGAGGACAAATGTACGATAGTGGTAACAATTGGTAAATCTATAAATCTAGATGGAGGGTATCTGGAATTTTTATTGTCCTATTTGTTTAACTTTCTTTAGGTTGGAAATTTGTCAAAATTAAATATTTGGATAGAGGGGAATGAGATAAAAGTATTCTTGATAGAAAGGGATAATGCATGGTTGGTGGTATAACACTAGACTTTGAAATAAATCCTATATTTAAATATTGATTTAAATTTAATTTTACCACTCAAGCAACCTTACCCAAATTACTAAAGTGGTATCGCCTCACTAAGTAAGTCATACAAGGTAAACATATGATTAAATGCGATATATTTTATTCTCCTTTTATTCTTCCTATTGCTGGGAAAATAGAAAATACTACATAATTGCTGATTTATTGATCCTCACTACATGTAATACAGGAATTTGTAGGCGAGGGTAAAATGGGCTAAAATTCTTGGGAATTCTGGAATTTGCTCAGAGCTTTTTTCTATATTATTGTGATGAAGAGTAAATGAAAATGAACCATAATGTCAAGGAGTTTCAGTTTCCATTTTAATTGCAGTTTTCAGGTTTTTCAAAATCTATATTATTTAGGAATTAGCATTAATTATGTTTCTTTTAGTTGAAAGTGACAGAAAGCCATCTTGAAGTAGCTTAGAGAAGAAGGAGAATGTATTGGAAGGAAGGGTTGAAGAGCTAAGCCACAGGAAGGGTAAAGATATTGACTGCATCTTCAGAGCAACTGGAACTAGGGACATGGATGCTGAGGGTGTCTTTCATTCTATTTCTCACCATGTTAGGTTTGTAGTCATTTTATACTCTCTAACGACTGATGAGGTTCCTTTTTGGGCAGGGAACGTGCTCTTTAAAAATCAGGGAGTTTCTTATTGTGTATCTTCTACCACTAGAGACAGACCAATTTTCTACTTTGGATTCAGGTCAAAAGATCTTGGAAGGAATCTGATTGGCCATTTTTTGGGTCAGGTACCTACTTCTGGACCAATCAACTGTAATCTTGTCTTTGAGGGGTCTGGGTAGATGTATACGATCATGGCCACTCTCTTGGGCCCACCAGTTGGAGTTGGAGAAGGAGGGCTCCTGAAGTGAAGTGCTGGCCAGGAAGTGGGGCAAGTGTTGGCAATATCAGAGTCACAAGTTTTAAGTTGTTTCTAATTTTGATCACCAAAAAATACAGATTAAAATTCAATATTTTACAAAACAAGTGCATTATTAATGCATGTCTTTGAGGAAAATTAAAATCTTAGGAACCTGAAGAACTAATTGAATTTCCAGAGAAAATGTAAAAGCTAAAGTCATCAAGTTACCATAAAAACTAAGCAAAATAATCAGTTTTTTTTTTTTTTCCTCTGAGTCAAGGTCTTACCTTGTCTCCCAAGCTGGAGTGCAGTGGTGCAATCTCAGCTCACTGCAACCTCCGCCTCCTGGGTTCAAGTGATTCCTCTGCCTCAGCATCCCGAGTAGCTGAGATCATAGGCATGCGCCACCACGCCTGGCTAATTTTTGTATTTTTAGTAGAGATGGGGTTTTGCCATGTTGGCTAGGCTGGTCTCGAACTCCTGACCTCAGGTGATCCACCTGCCTCGGCCTCCCAAAGTGCTGGGATTGCAGGCGTGAGCCACCATTCCCAGCCAATAATCAGTTTTTTATAAGTGAGATATTGTATGAATGCTTCTAGGGTGGAGAGAAAAGGTAGTACAGTTTAATTATACATTTGGGTTTAAAAATTTAGAGAGAAAATATATTGTAACATCATTATGACTAAGAAAATTGCAAGTCATATATAGTGAAGAAGTAAAGAGAGGTTACACAGAGGAGTTACCACTTAACATTGTATCTTTAAAGACCATCTAACTTAACCACATGGTATTTGTTTTTGAACTGTGCATGACTCCTACAACTGAATACCTTTAACTACTATATGTCTGGAATTTTATCAAAAATTGAATTCTTTCCATATTATAAGCATTCTTAACCAGTGAACACATCCATAACAAAGTGAAAATAGATTTCCCCTCTGAAGTTTTTTCATACTTTAAAGAGTTTAGCATTCCCCCACCTCCCTCATTCCCCAGATGATAGCAACAAGCAAAAAAGCATGCCTCACAGTGTTATGGATGGCATATACTACTTTCAAAAAAATATTAAGGGTGATTGTCCAATTATGAAGAAGTGGAGTTGTGGGTAGCAAAGCAAGCCAAATTTGTTCAGTTTAAGTAGAGGATGTTAAGAGTGTAAGATTGAGTTGGCATGTTGTATTGCAGGCTGTCCAGTTACAGAATTGCATGGCAGGAACTTGGGTGTACTTAGGTGAATGTGCTGTTTTAAGTGATTCTTGACAAAGTTAATAGATTCAATGCTATTATCTCCAATTTGGTTCACAATGAGAGAATAAGGGAGTAAAGAGAGAAAAAGAAGAAAGATGTCTAAAAGGCATGCATTAGGAAGCTCCTTTCATGAAATAATCTATAATTTTAGATCATTAACTAGTATATGCAATGAATGCCAGCAACTGAGCAGAGGTTTAGGTGAGCAGAGCCTATGCATTTCTGTCTACAGGTGACCCTCATATTGCGCTGTAAAAGGAAGCTGCAAGAAGTTGGTGTACTTATAGAACAGTTGATCTTCCATCTAGAGCCAGAAATATGATAAGCATATATTTTTGTAGAAATTAGAATTTAAAAAACATATTGCCTTGTTTGCTGAAAATGACCAGGACAGAAGAAGAAGAACAAATATTAAAAGAAATGGAAACTTGCTACTTTTTTGTCCTGGTGACTTACGTGGTATTTGCCAAGCTTACCATGTTTTTAATTTGAAAAAGGAAAAAAGTGCCTTCAGCAAATTTTAAAATCACTCTCAACCATAGATTTATAGGTATGTGAAAACACCTAAATGTCTGAATCATAGTTGATATAATATATGAATTAGATACTCACAATATAGGCATTTGATTCAATAATAGATTTTTTACAACTTACCTATAAATCCTAGCAGAATCCCTAACAATCTGCTGTTATACAGAAAATTCACAAAAGCAGTCTTAGCTGAGAGACAGACTAGGAATTGGAGAGCTGGGGGCAGTTAACTCTGAGGAGCCACCAGTGCTCAGTCTGTACCTGATATTTGTTACTTAGTGTTTGTGTTCATTTCAAGGTGGCCACAAAATTCTGTTTCTTTGATTTATTTCCCTCAGTGAAACAGTGAGACTAACTGCTAACATAGGGAAATATTTCCACATTGCAAGAGAGAAAGAAAGATATTTCAAAATAATGTTATATGGAATATACAATTCCAAAGGAGGGTAATATTTTATATAGCAAAAGTAATAGTCAATAAATTTTGTGTCTTTCCCTTATTTTTCCCCTCAAATCTATTTCTAAAAAGAAAAAAGTGCTTTCTGAATCCATGTGACACCATAAATACATCTTAAAATATTGATTCTTCTCCTTTGCTGTCTTGACTGGCTTCTCATATTTTAGAAAAAGTTGAAAAAAAAAAGGGGGTTAGATTCCATAACGTTTAATAGCATGAATTTCTATTTATTCAAAAAAATTCAGCTGGTACCTTTTGCAAGCTTGATAAGGTTTATTTTAAAATTTAAGGTAAATATAATAATTTTTTGAGAAAACCAATTTCTACATAATATAGTTAATATGCAAAAGGTAGCGAAGTTATCTTAGATTCAGAAAACATGCTTGACTATGTGCATGATTTTATTATTTCCACTAGGTTTCTTACTTTCTCTTTTTTTAATCCTTTGAGGAAAAGAACAAAAAGATGGAAAACATCTTTTTTCCCCCATGGCTTTAAAATTTCCAGAAATATTAAATCTCTTTTTAAGATGTTACCGATATTGGTTGCAATCTTCTATAAGACCTGGAATTTTCCTATACTAAGGAAAACCTGGCACATGGGTAAGTTTTGAGATTCTGTGTGAAAGGATTTGGACTCACTTGTAGGAAAGTGTTGTGCCTATCTTATACTTGTTTTAACTATTTAATTCTTAAAACATCAAATTTCAAGTTTATTTCTTCCACGTCACTCATTTTTGGTGAATTGTTACTTAGGCTAGCCTCTCTGAGAAGCCCCTGGTACTGGCATAATATTCATTTGAAACTCTGGTGTTCAGTCTTTAATAACTGCTGCAGAGCAATGAAAACCATTGTTGTACTGAAACACTTTGGCCTTCGTATCTCTGACGGGGAAAATAAAAACTCCATCCTGCTTTTAATTAGCATTTAGCCATATAGAGCACTACTATAAAAATACTTATTTTATTGTATCATATAAAATTTGTGCCACATTTGTGAATGGAAGCACAGTGGCCAGCTTTTAGTAGGTGCACGAAAATAAAACATAACTTCCTAAGTCTGTCAGTGAACATAAGGAAAGCTCTACAAAGATAAATTGAGAACTTGTTCAACCAATACAAAAAGACTAAAAAAAAAAAAAAAAAAACCAGGTGGACCACATATGGAATTATTGTTAAAAGAAAACAGGAGTATTGAGAGTATAGTATTTTGCATTGACTCTGCTGTGAAATATTCAATAGGGTGATTTCATCAGATTTGTGGTGAATAGGTACAAGCTAATAAACTACTGTATATGTTACATAATTTTGAAATAAAGTTCTTGGTAGAAAGAAAGATAATAATCAGCCTCGAGCCATAGGATACCATTTTCAGCAATAAAGGGAAAATAATCAGTGGAGCAACTAGTTGGTTGAAAGAAGGAAACAGGGAGGGAATAATTATCAGTTCGTAATCGCCGTGACCATTACCCTCCTCTCCAGCCTCCTCTTGAGCAAGGCTTCTGCACCTGGCACTTCAGTGCAGTTGCAGCTGAGAGAGGACACAGAGGCCAGGCCATAATGGCCAGCTTCCCGGCCCTCCAAGCAGGTCGCCATCTCAATGGCTGCAGATGTTTGCGAAGAATGATCCCTCCTAGGTACCCTCCTTCAGCCGTAATCCCAGAGTCCTTGTTGCAGCCAGCAGCTTGAGCTCTTGAACATAAAGGCCAGGCCTGAATTAAGGGGTCTTGAGAAACCTTTGATAGTCCCGGCCTCAGATGTTCTAAGCAGATTGTGAAAGTAATTTACAACAAAGGGCCAGGTTAATTTGAAAATAGTTTTGTTGTTGTTGTTATTGTTGTTTCACATTAAATTCATGTTTTGCTGCTTCTGGTGAGTTTCTATAAACTAATAAGTTTGTCTGATGTAGTTTTCTGACTTTTAAACACATACACATAAGCTGGCTAGGCTATAACTGCTTTTTTATTAAACTATTAAAAAGGAACACTAAAAAGGAGCTTAAAATCAGGTGCATTCAATAAAACTCTATTTGAGTTGGCACCGAGGCAGTTGCGTATGTTTTCTAGTTGAGCTGGTGCTGGAAGTTTATCGCTTGTATTACCTATGGTTAAATGTTATTTTGCTTCGATAAAAGTACCATTTGTAATTTCTATCAACTATCGTTAGAGTATATTCATAGTTGGTGAATTAACTTTCTGTTAAGAAGCAAGTAATACTCCCATTCAATTTACTGTATTTTAATAATGATTTGTGCTTTTTGATTAGGCATAAGTTTCAGAAGAAAGGAGAAGAGTTCAAAGAGGGCTTCTTAGGGCAGAATAAGTGCTTCATTTAAACTAATAGATTAAACATATTTATTACCATTATCAACATTGTCCAGCCGAGAGAAGAAACAATTCTTAGTAAAGAAGGCAGTTAACATACTATTTTAAGAGCCAAATTATTGTTCTCTCTGTATGATTCTAACCGAAAGGAAATGTTTTCTTCATTTTTCATAGAATGTTTTTAAACTTTTGGCTTAAGCTGGAATCATTGACCCTTTTTTGTCTGCCCTTCTATGCAATCTATCTTCATCTGGGAAAACACTTGTCCTCCTTCCTGGAATTTGTTAACACTATTTGGGTTGGCCCAAAGGAGTTGCCCAAGAGGCAAACTGGGCTGTGTAAGACTTTAGGATCCAAAGAATGGGATCGTGGTTTCATAAACACACACATTCCATTCCCTGGACTGACAAAACAGCATATACTATGAGCTATTTCCTAGGTATAGCTCAGATATTTTTAAATTCAACATGATATGGATTCTGTCTAGGGTATACATGCTTACTTCCTGGAGCAACTTCCTAACTAAATAGGATATCTGAGGCCTATGGATATTAATTCTGTACAGTAAGTACTATTTTTTAAGGTTAACAACCTCCTGTCCCTGCATTTTTTGAGAGTCATAGTAGCTATGGTATTCTCTTCTGCTATCCAGTGACAGTACTGTAGCAATGCATTACCAGACACAAATTCCTTATGGCCACTTCTGAAATAATGAAATTAAACTACATCTCAAAATCATGTTCATTATTTGGAAAAGATTGTTATGAGGTTTTAATTAGAAGGTATGTCCACTGAGAGATTTATGGCTGTAAATTTCCCCATACACATGTTTTTCATTATGATGGCAGTGAACCAATAACTTTTATGTGATTCCCATCGCCCACTCCTCCCTCCACTCCCTATGAAATTGAAATCATATTAGAGGTCACTCAGGCTTTTGAAAAAAAAAAGTGGACATTTACAGATTTTCTTGAAACAGGAATCCTTCTGTTTAAGAAATAAGCCAGAAATACCTTAGAAAAAGATTAGCTAAATTATTATTTGTCCTGTGTGGAAAAACAGAAACTATCTGAAACTAAGATTTATTCTAACAGTTATACTTTGTTCTCTTTTTCGAAATTTGTATTTTCTATGAAGAATATCTTGATTAACCCACGGTTGGGGTGGTGGTCACAGACTGATTAAGGTGTTCCAGTAATTTCACTATCATTTATATATTGTTACATCTGAGATCAGTGCAAAAACATAAACTTCACCCTCTATGAAACACACACACACACACACACACACACACACACGTTTGATTGCTATATTATAATGTGGTTCCATGTTCTAAAATAACTCCTGTTTCCCTGTTGAAAATTACAAATTTTACGCGTAGTTAAGCAATCTTTGCCTTAGATGTAATTTGGAAATCTCTCTTAGTTCCTTAGGGTGGTCATCTAAATATATGATCTTCAAACCCGAAGACAGGAATTAATGAAAAAATGACATTTGAACTTTTTTAAGCAGAAAGATGTTTTTAACATTGAAAATATTTTCTGTATTCTCATATCATAATCATCTTACTTTCAATAGTAATTGAGAGAATAAATCTTGTTGAAACGACTATGAATGAATTCAGTATGATTTTAAATACATTGATAATTACAATAGTATCTATGTACATTTCAGCGATAACAAAAAAGCAGTTTGAAATATACTATTTATTCAATCTAAAAGCCTGATGAACCTTTATATTCAATAATATTCCTGACTTGGCCCTTCAAGGGTTAGTGACCCACAGAGTTGAAAATACTGTTTTAAAATTAAATGTAAATAGTGCTTGGTCCATTTCAAAAAAATCCAACCATAGCAATTTTGTCAGACCCTTGGGAGATGCCTGTGAAATTCTTGACCCTTATAGGAGAAATACCATCTGAATAAATTAAAACTAAATGTATGAATATGTCTAAGAATTTGCATTAATACTACAAACGAGTTTTACTTATAAAATCATAGTACTGAAAATGCACTATTTGAAAATATTGGTAGACTTGTAGGCTCCTGAAAAATATGTCTGAAGACACTCCAGGTTAAAAAATAATCCAGGTTGAACACTAGTGACAGAGCATGACATTAATTTTGCTCCAAAAACGGACTCTGAACATAGGATATTTCTCAGACTGGAAACAAGGATCTACCAAAATATCTGGTGGGAACTTAAGGTGGCTCACGCCTGTAATCCCAGCACTTTGGGAGGCTGAGGCGGGCAGATCACAAGGTCAAGAGATCAAGACCATTGTGGCCAACGTGGTGAAACCCCGTCTCTATTAAAAGTACAAAAAATTAGCTGGGCGTAGTGGCACATGCCTGTAATCCCAGCTACTCGAGAGGCTGAGGCAGGAGAATTGCTTGAACCCGGGAGGCAGAGGTTGCAGTGAGCCGGGATTGTGCCACTGCACTCCAGCCTGGCGACAGAGCAAGACTCCATCTCAAAAAAAAAAAAAAAAAAAAAAAAAAAAAAAAAAAAAGACTCTTTGATAGAGAGGATGTATCAAGAAAAATTTTTATGGATTCAGTACTTACACTGTGCTGGCCAATAGATGATATGTGTTCTATTGGGCCCCCAAAATACCCCTCTAGTGTAATTGTAACTATCTCCCAAGAGTGGCCAAAGAAGGGCAGTGAGACAGGAGCTGCAGAAGAGGCGACATGCTGGACAAATAAACTCCTGGAAAGAGAGTTTTACCATCTGGACCAAATGGCAGCTAGGAAGCCTTGGCCTAGACATTAACTGAGAATAATAGGTGAAGAATCCCAGCATCACTGAAGGGTGGACCCAGCCTTAGCAACCACATAGCTATTGTGCTGCAGACAAACAACACAGTGTACAGAGAGAACTGGGCCAAGGGAAAGGCTTTCTGAGTACTGAAGCCAAGTAGAGTTATAGAAAGAGTAGAAGAGGCAGCTGCAAGTACTCTGAAGACCAGGAAGAGAACATTTCAGATTTCAATAGGAAAGACCAGTAGTCCTGGGTAGGGGCTGAGAAAGCTAGCTTGTCTAACAAATATTTGGAATTTAGTAATTTTTTTTTAAAGATGAATGGTTGTTGTAACTATTGTTACATTATAACCACCACCACCCCCAATTTAGTGGCATAAAATAATCATTTTATTATCATTCGTGGATTATGAAGATTGGGAATTTGAACAGGCTATAGTAGGGCTGGCTTGTCAAAGCCTGGAATCATCTGAAGTTGTTTTACCTACATGCCTGGAAATGGCTGTTGGCTGACACCTCACTGGGGGCTGTCCACTGGAATATTCCACCTGGCATCTTCTCCGTGTGGTCTCTACCTTGGGCTGCCTCACAGCATGGTTTCCCAGAGCAGGCAACCTGAGAGACCCAAGCAGAAGTTGCATCACCTTTTATGAGCTAGCTCCTGAAGTCATATGGCATTACTTTCACCATCATCACAGATTCAAGGGGAGGAAACAGACCACACTGGAGCAACATGTCAGAATCACTTTGTAAGAAGAGTAAGTAGAAGCCAGGCACACTGGCTCATGCTCGGAGTCCCAGCTACCCCAGAGGCTGAGAGCCCAGGAGTTCCTGCCTGCAGTGCCCTATGATCTTGCCTGTGAATAGACACTGCACTCCAGCCTGGGCAGCATAGCAAGACCCTGTCTCTAAACAGAAAAATAAAAACAAAAGAAGAGCATGTAGGATGGGAAATATTGTTGCAGCCATTATTAGAAAATAATCTGCCACAAAGATAGTAGCTCCAGCTGGGGGTTTTTGGGGGGATGCGGGTGGGGGGTGAGATAGGAGTCTCTAAAGTTGGTTGGGGAAGGTCTGAAGCATAGGGAAGACTCTTTGGAGCGAAGAATAAAAGTGCCTTCTTCATCCAGGCTCTCACTGACAGTCTTAACATTGACACCAGTCCTGCTATGCTTCGGGCTGGACATGAGTCTAAGCAGCTTAGCCTAAAAGCCACAGTCAATTGACAGGAGCCTCTGGCTGAGAGGGTTCCTGGGTATCAGCTAACACATGAAGTTTCAGAAACTAGAGAATAGGGTCAATGATGGAGCCAACTTATTAAGAGTCTAGAACCTTGTCCTTTTCTTATATTTGTTATAACGGCAAGAGGCACTGATCACTTAGTGTGTTCAATTTTGGAGACTGCAAAGAAATGTGAGGCTGGAGAGATTGTTCTCTTCGATCACTCCTTAATTAATTAATTCAACAAATATTTGAGTGTCAGCTATGTGCCAGTCTAGGGGGAGGGGAGATTGAAAGGTGGAAGAAACTGGCTGAATCCCAGGAGGTCAATGGGAGCAGGAAGAGAGTCCCAGCCTCTTATAAAGAAAGAGCCCTGGGGGTTTGACTAGCAGGAGGCCTACCACCTGCCTTATTTACAGTCTAGTCAAAATGACCAGCCAAAGCTCACTAAAAAGCAAAGATAGGCTAGATCCCACTTGGCTGAGGCTCTTTGGCTGGAACTCAAATTAGTTCCACTGCAAACGTTTGAAATCAAATGCTGTGATTCAGATTAAAATATCCCCTCATGGCCCTTTGGCCCCCACTTTTTTCTGTATGCTTTAAAATGTCTATTTAAAATTCTCTTTTGAACTCTTTTGCTCAAAAGCCTCAATATTTTTAATTTTTTGCACATCTTTTTGTCTGTATTCTTAAATGTTCTATCGTTGGTGTAAACATCAGTGTGGAAACATTCAGCCAATGCTCAGTTTTTCCGTGGCTGATTATCCGATGAATTAGTGATCTAAGCATTTTGTTTTTCTTCCTGACAGCTGTCTTCCTTTCAGCTTTTACTACTTATTAGTGCACTGTGGGAAGAGTCATGCAGAAGCCAAAATTAAACTCAAAACATTTTGTCACTTATTACCGTTTCCACTAAAACGGTCAGAGAGTGGAGGAGATTGCAAATGCTGGTGAAAATAATTCCCCTCCATTACCTATAGACTTCAGTTATCCATGCTGCATTTTTCTAGCTTCTGAACACAAATAAACAAGATGCTTTTGTAATAGCTATAAATTTGCAAATCATATCATTTACACAGGAGTTCTCATTTTATATACTCCAAGTTGCTTCCAGGCCCTCTTCTGCAAGAACTCTGGATGTCATTTAGGTTTGTCAATCCTCAGATGCTCTTTTAAAGTTGAAAGCAAGGGAAAGCCTCAATTTCCATAGTTTCTGCTCTTTTCTCTTAGGCAACACTGTTGTGGCACTGACTGACAGCTTCCTGATTGTGGCAGTGGTGGTATGGTTCTAGAGTTTACCAGTCTTGTGGGTGGCTTCTTGATTTTAGAGGACAGCCTCTTTTTTCTTTGCAGCACGATTCCTAGGGATGTCTGTCTATCTGGACCTATGTCTCTTTGGCCTTTTCAATAGTTCTCTAAGCCATTTGATAACCATTGATTAATCTTTCAGTCAAGGTTTAATAAACTAGCTAGAATAGATTCTGTTCTCTGAAACAGATCCCTGATTGAAACATGTGGGAAGTTTTGCTGGCCAAGCTAGGGAAATAAACTTCCTATATTGTCTTGGCTATGCAATACTATTAAGACAGGTTTACATCTGGTTTTCAGAAAACTGATTTAAATGCTAGTTTTCTAGAAAATATCAGCCTATACACCAATCTACAGTGGCTTATGGTCCTTAAGAATCTGTGATGGGCTTGACTCCAATAATCTGTTCTATTTCAAAGTGAAGGAAACCTTACTTGTTTTCAGGAAACCATGTGGCCCACATTTCTCAGCCTCCCTTGGAGCTAGACATGGACATGTGACTAAGTCCCACTCAATGAGATGTAAGTGGAAGTTATTTTGCATGTCCTCTGGAAAGTCATTTTAAAAAGATAACTTTCTTCCAGCTACCTGTAGAGCAGGTAGAGCCAACAGGACATGCTAACAGATTTGTTGTAGGATGTGAGAAAAAGAGAAGAACCAAGACAAACTTCAGGGAGTTTGGTCAGAGCTACTGGAGGGATAGATATGTCATCAACTGAAATGGGGAAGGCTGTGGGTGAAGGTTTAGAGGAACATCATGAGTTCAGTTTTGGACGTGGTGAGTTAGAGATGTGTATTTGAAATCCAGGATGGAAACAGCAAGTAGGAAATTTGACATAGAAGCCTGGTGTTCGGGAGAGGTCTGGGCTAGAGAAGTAATTTCTAGAGTCTTTAAAGCTAAGAAATCAAATGAGATCTTTATGGGAATGAGTATAAAGACCATAAAGGGGATCAAGAACTGAGTCCTGGGTACTACAAAATTAAGAGGTCAGGGAGAAGGGGAGAACCCAACAAAGGAGACAAAGAAGGTGAACATAGTGACCTACGAAGGAAGTCAAGAATATATGGCATCCTTGAAGCCGAGTAGAGAAAAAAGAGTGTTCGTTTGAACCAAATCTTGCTGATGGGCCAAGTGAGGTAAATATTGAGCACTGGCCATTGGATTCACCAATGCAGAGGCAAGTCCTCGTGGAATAGTGAGGATGAACCCTGGTTGGAATTGGCTTAATACTATAAGAAACCCCTACCCTTGCCTCATGGACTTTTCCATTGACTTGTGTTTATTTAAATGTGGCAGGAGGCCAGAGGTAAGTAATTCATGACTTTGTCTTTTCTTTCCAGCTCCCCCCCCATTATATTTATTTGTTATAAGTATTTTTCTATGATACTGTTATTGTGCAGGGCACTCTATTTTTCAGAGCTCACTCTGTCTTTGTCAAACCCTACATAAGTGCTTTTGCTATCTCCATTTAAGATGAAAAATCTGGAACTCAAAACCTCAGTCAATATGAGACAACTAAGAAGTGGCAGAGCTAACATTTGAAATTAGTCAGTTTGGGTCCAGAGCCAATGTTGTTAAACTCTACCCTCAGATATTCCTCTGAGGATGAATATGACATGTTCTTAATCATCAGAGATCAGTTTAGAAGATAATTCAGAGCAGTAAATGGATAACTTAAATGCAGTTTGACAAGGGAATTTAGGCAGGAGCTCCTAAATCAGCCTTGAGTGTTCTAAATGACCTTCCTCAAGAAGGAGGGACTTAACTGGGTCTTGAAGAGCAGGTAAGAATTAGCTGGATGAAGAGGGGACCATGAAGGAAGAAGATTCCAGTAGAACAGTCAATCTCACAAAGCTCCATAAGTATGAGAGAATGCAGCACATTCAGACAACAGTCTTATCATAAAAGATTTCTTTTAAAGATTCTGGATTATATCTGAAGGCAATGGAGAGTCATTAGATAATTGAAGTAGGAGAATGATGTGTTCAGATTTGTATATCTGAAAGATCATGCTAAACTTCTGCTTTTGAATAGGATGTTTTAATTTTCTGCATTCCAATGTTTCTCCTACAATAACTAGAGGAAACAAGCAAATATAAATACAAGTTTAAAGACAGCAGAGAGCTGAAGAAGTAACCAGATGAACTGGAATTCCTCAGAGTTAGAGTCCTTCTGCAATTAATTGAAAATGGTTAGGCATTTTCTTTCCTGGGGACATTTGCTAATTCTGGGTTCACACTGAACATGGGGCTTGGCCCATCCAAAAGAATGCTACTAAGGGAAATAGAAGGCATTTCAGCTTTTGGCAGCCATGTAGGGCTATGTGACAGATTGGAAACGTAGAGAGTTCTAAATGCATGGAACGCGCATGGGAGGCTGGGGAACTAGGCAAAGTTTTCTGAAAGTTAAAGTAAAATTTCCCATAATCTGGTGGTGCTTAAGAAACAAAGTCAAACTAGAGGGAGTGGGCCTGCCTCAGGCTCATAGTAGGTCTCTCCTTAATGAATCTGCCAGATTTTGAGACCAAAAATCAGGACTAAAGAGCAGGACTGAATCTCCTTCCTTTCAGGGATACGAAAACGGACACAGCAGGCTGTGGGTCATACTTAAGGAAAGAAAAGTGTGGCAAAAAACCTTACTAAGACTGCCCCATTTCAAGCCTAGTTCAATCCTTGATTATGAGTTAAGTTGATCAGCTATCTGAAGTCTCTACAGTTCTTCTATACACAATGTCTGCTATAGAATTACTTGACATGCAAAGAAATAGAAATATTTGCCTAATAATCATGAAAAAAATAGAAGATCAATAGATGATGTAGATCTTGAAGTTACCAGACAAGAACTTTAAAATAATTGTGGGAAATTTTTACGTATTTCTATAGTTTGGATGTTTGTCCCCGCAAACCTCTTGTTGACATTTGATCCTCAGTGTTGGAGGACAGGTCTAAAGGGAGGTGTTTGGGTCATGGGAGCAAATCTCTCATGAATGTCTTGGTGCCATCCTTGCAGTAATGAGTGAGTTATATTAGTTTCTGCTAGAGTTCGTTGTTAAAAAAGAGCCTGCATTGCCCCATCTCTCCTTTGCTTCCTTGCTTGCCATGTGATCTCTGCACATGCTGACTCCTCTTCACCTTCCACAATGAGTGGAAGAGGCCTGAGGCCCTCACCGGATGCAGATGCTAGCACCATGCTTCTTGTGCAGCCTGCAGAACTATGAGCCAAATAAATCTCCTTTTAAAATAAATTACTGAGCCGCAGGTATTCCATTACATGAACACTAAGTAGACTAAGACATATACCTCTCACAGTAATTGATACAGCAACTGGGAAAATCTGCAAGAATACAGAAGTTATGAACAACATTATGAATCAACTTGATATAATCAACATATATAGAATACTAGACTTGCAGCTGCAGAGAGCACATTCTTTTCAAGTACGTATAAGACATTTACCTAAAGAGATTTCATACAGCACCATAATGCAAGTCTCAGTGAATTAAGTCATGAAAAGTGTGTTCTCTGACCACAGTGGAACTAAGTTACATCAGTTACATAAAAATCCCCAAATGTTGGAAATTAACCAATATACCTCTAAATTGGACAGAGCACAGAAGAAACCACAATAGAAAAGAGAAATCTTTCGAACTGAATGATGATGACAATATCATACTCATGGAATGTAACTAAAACAATACTGAGAACAAAATTTACAGTTCCAAATGCATGTATTAGAAAAGAAGCAAGTTAAACCCAAAGAAAGTGGAAAGCAGAAAGTAATAAGAACAATGATTAATAAAATAGTAGAAATACAATTTAAAAAATCAACAAAGCTAAGAATTGGTTTTTAAAAAAGATTTTACAAATTGATAAGCCCTAGAAAGACTGATCAAGAAAATGAGAAAATACAAATTGCCTATATTAAGAATAAAAGAGGGACAAAATTATCGATATTACAGACATTATGAAAACATCAAAAGGATATCATGTGAACTTTTATGTAAAGTGGGGGAAAAGGCTGAGGGTCCTCAGTTTTGGCATGTAAAAATTCATGTAACCCCCTCTTTTCAGTATGATATCCCTGCACTCAATTGTGTTCAGTGTTTTCCAGTCTCTTTTCCCAAAAAATAAACCTCTAGTAATCTGCTATGGTGAGAAAAAGACTAATACTCACTCTCCAAAAGAAGGAAGAGATATAAGAGACTTAGGCTTAAAGCAAACTTTCAGCAGATCTTGCTGTTTTTAGTCTCAGTTAATCACTAATTCTAGAAGAACATGGTGTTTTTATTTTTAAGACTTTCTGAGATTGTTTTTGTGGTAAAAATTGGCTTACATCTTGACTTTCTCCTGCTGGTTAAGGATTTAATTTTCTCAGAACAACTAATTTAATTTAATTGCCATTCTTCTGCTTTCTAGCTTCTAGAATTGGGAATCCCTCAACTGCCCTTGCATTTCTCTATTCCTGTGAAAGTATGCTTTTTTCAAAATTTGGTAGAGATGTTTCTGGAAGGAAGAGCCTTAAGTGCTTTCACTGGAAGTTCCCCCTTGGTATCTCTTGAACTATGCTTTGTGTAGCCAGAAAATTGGACTCAGTGTCTTAGGTGGAATGAGGGCTACTCATTTTCACAATACATCTTTAAATATGTTCTTGTGTAGCTTTGATAGAGAAAAAAATAAAACCACAATAAACACCAAACCAAAACAAAAGAGGTATAAAGACACAAAGAAGTAAGAATATTTCACTGGATAGGATTACTGTAGGATGAAATGAGATCACACGTATGAACACTAGGAAGGTGCTCAGTAAACAGCAGTAGCTGTTTCTCTGTGCTTCCTTAAAATTTTTATAAAAAATATTTTAAGTTCAGGGGTCCATGTGCAGGATGTGCAGGTTTGTTACATAGGTAAATATGTCCAATGGTGGTTTGCTATACAGATCATCCCATCACCTATGTATTAAGCCTAGCATCCATTAGCTATTCTTCCTGCTGCTCTCCCTACCCACCACAACCCTCCAACAGGCCCAATGCATTGTTCCCTCCCATATGTGCATGTGTTCTCATCATTCAGCTCCCATTTATAAGTGAGAAGATATAGTATTCAGTTTTATGTTCCTGTGTTAGTTTGCTGAGGATAATGGCATCCAGCTCTATCCATGTCCCTGAAAAGGACATGATCTCTTTCTTTTTTATGGCTACATAGTATTCCATAGTGTATATGTACCACATTTTCTTTATCCAGTCTATGACTGATGGACATTTAGGTTGATTTTGTGTCTTTGCTGTTGTGAATAGTGCTGCAAGTGCATGCCTGTATCTTTATAATAGAATGATTTATATTTTGGGGGGTATATATCTAGTAATGGGATTGCTAGGTCAAATGGTATTGCTGCCTCTATGTCTTAGAGGAATTGCCACACTGTCTTCCACAATGGATTGAATTAATTTACACTGGTACCAATGTGTAAAAGCCTTCCTTTTTCTTCATAACCTTGCAAACGTGTTGTTTTTTGACTTCTTAATAACGGCCATTATGATTAGTGTGAGATGATATATCATTGTGGTTTTGATTTGCATTTCTGTAATGATCAGTTATGTTGAGCTTTTTTTTCCTGTTTTTTGGCTGCGTGTATGCCTTCTTTTGCTAATTGTCTGTTCATGTCCTTTGCCCACCTTTAATGGGGTTGTTTTTTTCTTGTAATTTGTTTAAATTCCTTATAGATGCTGGATATTAGACCTTTGTCAGATGGATTGGTTGCAATTTTTTTCTCCCATTCTGTAGGTTGTCGTTTTACCTGTTGATAATTTCTTTTGCTGTGCAGAAGCTGCTTAGTTTAATTAGGCTTATGTGTCAGCTTTTGTTGCAATTACCTTTGGTGTCTTCCTCATGAAATCTTTGCCCATGCCTATGTCCTGAATGGTATTGCCTAGGTTGGTTTCTAGGGTTTTTATAGTTTGGGGCTTTATATTTAAGTCTCTAATCCACCTTGAGTTGATTTTTGTATATGTGTAAGGAAGGGATCCACTTTCAATCTTCTGCATATGGCTAGCCAGTTCTCCCAGCACCATTTATTGAATAGAGAATCCATTCCCCATTGCTTGTTCTTGTCAGGTTTGTCCAAGATCAGATGGTTGTAGGTGTGCAGTCATATTTCTGGGATTTCTACTCTGTTCCATTGGTCTATGTGTCTGTTCTTGTACCAGTACCATGCTGTTTTGATTAATGTAGCCTTGTAATATAGTTTGAAGTCAGGAAGTGAGGCTTCTAGTTTTGTTCTTTCTGCTTAGGATTTTCTTGGCTATTCAGGCTCTGTTTTGGTTTCATATGAATTTTAAAATAGTCTTTTTCTAATTCTGTGAAGAATGTCAATGGCAGGTTAACGGGAATAGCACTGAATCTGTAAACTGCTTTGGGCAGTATGGCCATTTTCACAATATTTAGTCTTCCTATCCATGAGCATTGAATGTTTTTCCATTTGTTTGTGTTACTTCTGATTTCCTTGAGTAGTGGTTTGTAGTTCTACTGGAAGAGGTCCTTCACTTCTCCTGTTAGCTGTATTCCTAGGTATTTTATTGTTTTTGTGGCAATCGTGTATGGAGTTCGTTCATGATTTGGCTCTCAGCTTGCCTGTTGTTGGTGTATAGAAATGCCAACGATTTTTGCACATTAATTGTGTATTCTGAGACTTTTCTGAAGTTGCTCATCAGCTTAAGAAGCTTTTGGGCTGAGACGATGGGGTTTTCTAGATACAGGATTATGTCATCTGCAAACAAAAATAGTTTGACTTCCTCTCTTTCTGTTTGAATACACTTTATTTCTCTCTCTTGCCTGATTGCCCTGGCCAGAACTTCTAACACCATGTTGAATAGGAGTGGGAAGAGAGGGCATCCTTGTCTTGTACCAGTGTATTAGTGTGTTCTCATGTTGCTAATAAAGACATACCCGAGACTGGATAATTTATAAAGAAAAAGAGGTTTAATGGACTCACAGTTCCATGGGGCTGGGGAAGCTTCACAATCATGGTGGAAGGCAAAGCAGGAGCAAAGTCACGTCTTATATGGCAGCAGGCAAAAGAGAGGGCATGTGTAGGGGAACTCCCCTTTATAAAACCATCAGATCTCATGAGACTTACTCACTATCATGAGAACAGCATGGGAAAGACCTGCCTCCATGATTCACTTACCTCCCACTGGGTCCCTCCCATGACACATAAGAATTATGGGAGCTACAATTCAAGATTTAGGTTGGGACACAGCCAAATACTATCAGCTGGTTTTCAAGGGGAATGCTTTCAGCTTTTGCCCATTCAGTGTGATATTGGCTGTGGGTTTCTCATACACGGTTCTTATTATTTTGGGGTATATTCCTTCAGTACCTAGTTTATTGAGAGCTTTTAACATGAGGGGATGTTGATTTTATCAAAGGCCTTTTCTGCATCTATTGAGATAATCATGTGTTTTTTGTCTTTAGATCTGTTTATGTGATGAATCACATTTATTGATTTTCTTATGTCAAACCAACCTTGAATCCCGGGGATGAAGTCTACTTGATTGTGGTGGATAGGCTTTTTGATGTGCTGCTGAATTTGGTTTGCCTGTATTTTGTTGAGGATTTCTGCATCAATTTTCAGCAAGGATATTGGCCTGAAGTGTTCTTTTTTTGTTGTTGTTGTATCTGTCAGGTTTTAGTACCAGGATGATGCTGCCTTCATAGAATGAGCTAGGGAGGAGTCCTTCTTTTTCAATTTGTACCTGTGGTAGAATTCATCAGTATATCCATCTGGTCCTGGGCTTTTTTTTGGTTGGTAGGCTATTTATTCCTGCCTCAATTTTAGAACTCATTATTAATCTATTCAGGAATTTAATTTTTTTTCTGGTTCAGTCTTGGGAGGATGTATGTGTCCAGGAATTTATCCATTTCTTCTAGATTTTCTAGTATATTTGCATAGAGGTTTTTATATTATTCTCTGATGGTTTTTTGTATTTCCATGAGGTCAGTGGTAATATCCCCCTTATTTTTTTCTCTCTTTTCTTTTTTATTAGTCTAGCTAGCAGTCTATCTATTTTACTAATTTTTTAAAAAAATCAGCTCCTGGATTCATTGATTTTTTTGAGGGGTTTTTTGTGTCTTTATCTCCTTCAATTCTGCTCTGATCTTGGTTATATCATGTGTTCTGCTAGATTTAGGGTTTGTTTGCTCTTGTTTCCTTAGTTCTTTTACTGGTGATGTTAGGTTGTTAATTTGAGATCGTTCTAGCTTTTTGATGTGGGCATTCAGTTCTGTAAATTTCCCTCTTAACACTGCATTAGCTGTATTCCAGAGATTCTGGTATATTTTCTCTTTGTTCTCATTAGTTTCAAAGAATGTCTTGATTTGTGCCTTAATTTCATTACTTACCCAGGAGTCATTCAGGGGCAGGTTGGTCAATTTCTATGTAGTTGTGTGGTTTTTAGAGTGAGCTTCTTAATCTTGAGTTCAATTTGATTTCACTGTAGTCTGACATATTGTTTGTTGTGATTTCAGTTCTGTTGCACTTGCTGAGGAGTGTTTTACTTCTGATTCTGTGATCAATTTTAGAATAGGTGCCATGTGGCGATGAGAAGAACGTATATTCTGTTGTTTTGGGGTGGAGAGTTCTGTAGATACCTATCAGGTCCACTTGATCCAAAGCTCGGTTCAGGTCTTGAATATCTTTGTTAATTTTCTGTCTTAATGAGCTAATATTGTCAGTTGGGTGTTAAAGTCTCAACATTATTAGTGTGGGAGTTAAGTATCTTTGTAGGTCTTTAAGAACTTGCTTTATAAATCTGAGTGCTCCTGTATTGGGCGTATATATTTTTAGGATAGTTACCTCTTCTCGTTGAATTGAACGCTTTACTATTATGTAATGCCCTTCTTTGTCTGTTTTTTTATCGTTGTTGGTTTAAAGTCTGTTTTGTCAGAGACTCGGATTGCAACCCCTGCTTTTTTCTGTATTCCATTTTCTTGAATTTTTCTCCATCCCTTTATTTTGAGCCTACATGTGTCTTTGCATGTGAGATGGGTCTTTTGAAGACAGCATACCAATGGATCTTGCCCCATTTATATTTAAGATTAGTATTGTTATGTGTGGATTTGATCCTGTCATCATGATACTAGCTGGTTATTTTACAGACTTGTTTATGTGGTTGTTTCACTGGTCTATGTACTTCGATGTGTGTGTAGTGGCTGCTAATGGTTTTTCCTTTCCATATTTAGTGCTTTCTTCAGGACCGCTTGCAAAGTAGACTTGATAGTAACAAATTCCCTCAGCATTTGCTTGTCTGAAAATGATCGTATTTCTCCTTTGCTTATGAAGCTTAGATTGGTCTGATATGAAATTCTGGTTTGAAAGTGTTTTTCTTTAAGAATATTGAATATTGGCTCCCTATCTATTCTAGCTTGTAGGGTTTCTGCTGAGAGGTCCACTGTTACTCTGATGGGCTTCCCTTTGTAGGTGACCTGGCCTTTCTCTCTGGCTGCCTTTGACATTTTTTTCTTTCATTTTGACCTTGGAGAATCTGAAGATTATGTGTCTTGGGGATGATCTTCTCATGGAGTATCTTATTGGGGTTCTCTGCATTTCCCGAATTTGAATGTGCCTGTCTTGCTAGGTTGGGGAAGTTCTTTTGGATGATATCCAGAAGTATGTTTTCCAGTTTGGTTCCATTCTCCCCTTCTTTTTCAGGTACCCCAATCAGTCTTAAATTTGGTCTCTTTACATGATCCCATATTTCTTGGAGATTTTCTTCATCCCTTTTCATTCTTTTTTTTTCTATTCTTGTCTGCCTATCTTATTTCAGAAAGATAGTCTTCAAGCTCTGAGATTCTTTCCTCCACTTAGTCTATTCTGCTATTAATACTTTTGATTGCATTGTGAAGTTCTTGTAGTGTGTTTTTCAGCTCTAACACGTGAGTTGTGTTCCCTCTGAAATGGCTATTTTGGTTGTCAGCTCCTGTGTTGCTTTATCATAATTCTTAGCTTCTTTGCATTGGGTTACAACATGCTCC
Organism: Homo sapiens; assembly: GCF_000001405.40. Taxonomy (NCBI): domain Eukaryota; kingdom Metazoa; phylum Chordata; class Mammalia; order Primates; family Hominidae; genus Homo; species Homo sapiens. The sequence goes on along the minus strand of NC_000008.11, from coordinate 69,382,371 downwards.
TTTAGCTTAGCCAAGTTTGTTATTACCCACCTTATGAAGCCTACTTCTGTCATTTCAGCCATCTCAGCCTCAGCCCAGTTCTGTACCCATGCTGGAGAGGTGTTGGCATTTGGAGGAAAAGGGGCACTCTGGCTTTTTGAGTTTTCAGGATTTTTACATTGATTCATTCTCATCTTTGTGGGCTTCTCTTTCTTTGATCTTTGAGGTTGCTGACCTCTGGATGGAGTTTTTATGTTTGTGTTGTTGTTTGTTTGTTTTTCTTTTAACAGTCTGGCCACTCTTCTGTAGGGCTGCTTGGTTTGTTGGGGGTCCACTCAAGACCCTAGTTGCCTCAGTTTTTCCCATACCAGAAGGTATCACCAGTGAAGGCTGTGAATCATCAAAGATGGCAGCCAGCTCTTCCTCTCCAGGCGGGGGCGATACTGACCTACTGTCATCCCAAATGTACCTGCAGGAGGTGGCTGGAGACCCTGGTTTGGAGGTGTCACCTAATCAGGAGGAATGGGGTCAGTGACCTGCTTAAAGAAGCAGTCTGGCTGCTTTCTGGTAGAGCAGCTGTTCTGTGTTGATTTCTTCAGCTCCCAATTGGTTTGGGCTCTCCATGGGCCCACAGGCTGGACTGGCTGAGAAGCCCCAAGGCGAAGGTGTCAGCCTGCCTCTCCCCTCAGGCATTCCATCCCAGGGAGAACACAAGCAGGGGTGGCCGGAGGCCCCAGCTTGGAGGACCCCACTGGCAGGACCCATCCTGTGAGGAGGAGTGGATCTCACTTAAACAAACAGTCTGGCCATGCCTCAACAAAACAGCTGTGATACGGTAGGGACCTGCCTCTGCCCCTGTCAGCTTGGACTCTCCAAAGCCCGCAGGCTGGAACAGCTGAGTTGTCCAACCAACCCACGTGGCGGCCCTCCCCTCCCTTGGGCACTGAGCCCCAGGGAGCGATCAGAGAGCTCTGTTATTAACACGTGCTGGTGGGTGTTGCTAGGGGGGTCTGGCCAGGAGGTCCTGCCCAGTGAGGAGGAATGGATTGGGGCCTCACTTAAAGAAGCAGTCTGCCCATGATCTGGCAAAGAGGCTGTGTTGCGCTGCTGGGTGGACCCTTTCTCTTCCAGACCATTTGGACTCTCCAAAGCCCGCAGGCTGTAATGGCTGAGTCCCGACCTAACAGCAGAGGTGGCGACCACCCTTTCCCTGCCCCACTGCACCAGGCTCCGCCCTATCTCAGGCAGGCTCCATCCTGTTGCTGGGGGTTGGCTGGAATTCCAAGCCAGTGGGTCTTATCTTTGGAGGTGTCGTGGAAGTGGGGCTTGCAGAATGAGGCTGCTTGGCTCGCTGGATTCTGTCACCTTCCTAAGGGTATGTATGGACCTCCCGCCTTGCTTGAGTTGCAGACGTTTGTTGGGGAACTCAGGGCTGGCGTATGCAAAGCTCCTGGGTCTCTCTGCATGCCTGAGCAGCTGCTCTGCTGAGACTCCACACAGCTCTGTGTGTCAGACCCAAGGCCCAGGTGGGACGGGCTCACGAGGGGATCTCTTGATCCATTGGTTGCAAAGACCCATGGAAGAAACATAGTTTCCCAGGGTCACACACTCACTCACTGCTTCCCTTGGCTGGGGTTGGGGGTTCCCTTTGAGAGAAGAGAGACAGACCCTCTCATATTGTTTTATATTCAGAAAAGGAAAGAGAAGCAAAACTAAAAGCAGTTAGCCTGGCGCCTAGGAACCAGACCCAAAACCAAGGAACCAGACCCGAAACCAGGCCTGGGCCTGCCTGACCTAAGCCTGGTAGTTAAAGATCGACCCCTGACCTAACCGGTTATATTATCTATAGATTCCAGACATTATATGGAAAGGCATTGTAAAAATCCCTGTCCTGTTCTGTTTTGTTCTGATTACTGGTGCATGCAGCCCCCAGTCACGTACCCCCTGCTTGCTCAATCAATCATGACCCTCTCATGCAGACCCCCTTAGAGTTGTGAGCCCTAAAAAGGGACAGGAATTGCTCACTTGGGGAGCTTGGCTCTTGAGACAGGAGTCTTGCTGATGCTCCCGGCCGAATAAACCCCTTCCTTATTTAACTTGGTGTCTGAGGAGTTTTGTCTGCGGCTCGTCCTGCTACATCTTGGCTCTGTATCACTCCCAGGTGGACTGTTGCCCCACCCTGCCTTTCTTCATTCTTTGTGGGTCGAGTTGTTTTCGTAATCAGTCCTAATGCAAGAACCTGGATATTTCAGTTGAAGGTGCTGTGCTCACTTGCCCCTTTCATTCCTCTCTGTGAGTGCCCCGGACCTCAGCTGCTTCTAATCGACCATCCTGGTTCCTCCCCCTGCTTTCCTTCAATGCTTTGGTTTTCACTCTGAAGTCAGTGGGTTTCAGCCTTGCTTGTACATTGAATTCACTGGGGAACTTTAGAAAATCCTAATGCCAAGCCACACTGCAGACCAATTGCGTCAGGTTTCCTCAGGGTAGGGCCCAGACATCAGCATTTTCCAAATCCCCAAGGAGCTGATCTATCTGCTGAGGTCAATGTGAGTGAAACCAGGGAGCTGAAAGAGAGATCTCAAATGCTTTGTCAACAGTACCTACTGACTGCTGTTCCTTCCATTCTGGGAGCAGAAAATGTTACTATCTTTGCAGTGATTATTAATATTTATGTCAACTCCAGTGTTGACCAATTTTTCAATTCGATATTCCTCTACCACAAATGCTGGGAACTCTAGTTATGGTTGGGACAACATAGGGACTTGGGAAAGTATTTGCCCAGCATTCCTAAAATGGGGTTTAAAAAACAAAACAGGCCAGACATGGTGGCCCACTCCTGTAATCCCAGCACTTTGGGAGGCTGAGGCAGGCAGATCACATGAGATCAGGAGTTTAAGACCAGCCTGGGCAACGTGGTGAAACCCTGCCTCTACTAAAAATACAAAAATTAGCCAGGCATGATGGTGGGCACCTCTAATCCCAGCTACTCAGGTGGCTGAGGCAGGAGAATCACTTGAATCCTGGAGGCAGAAGTTGCAGTGAGCCGAGATAGCACCACTGCACTCCAGCCTGGGTGACAGTGAGACTCTGTCTCAAAAAACAAAAACAAAAAAAGTGTTAGGTATTTGCTTATTTTTTTTTAACAGTTGTGATGAGTGAGTGGCCCTTCTCAGCCACCCTGCTAGTAGATAGATGAGCCCTGCCAGCCCCAGTTACCATGGACCTTCCAAAAAAAGAACCTGCCATGCTGCCATGCCTACCAACACAGACCTTCAGTGGAAGAAGGAGGGAGTAAGGACTGTGAATGGAGAAAAGAGGAAAGAAGGAAAAGGAAGGAAGATGAAGAGACAAGGAATAGAAGGAGGAGCAGAAGCGGGAGGAGCAGGCCAGTGGGATACATGCTGCTGGGACGTTTGAGGTCTTGCTGCCCCAGTGCCTACGTTGGCTAAGGGTAGAGGAGAAGCCAGAAGGACCCTCTATGGGTCCACCACTGAGGGACCCATTCTCCTCCCCTAAGCCCCACCAGTTTCAGTATTTCTGACTCAGGTTTAGATAGAGACTAATCTGAATTTTTTTACCCTGAAGAATTAAATCAGATTAGCATTTAGGGTTGAAAAGTTCCACTGAGGCCAGGTGCTATGATGAAATGCCACATATTGAGACAGAATCGGATCTTGTAAAACAATAGAAGTTGCAATATGCCACTTACTTAGTTTAACCCACTCTGTGATTCAGAATTTTGGTAATGTCTAGAATGTAAAACTTAAGAAATTTGACATAAGTATTTTCCAAAAATGACTGAACTCCAACGTAAAAACTAAAAATGCTTTAGTACTGAGTTAGCCTAAACACATAAGTACATACAATCAACTCTAAATAATAGATATTGAAGGCTTGTTTTACACTTCTAGCTTGCTTCTATATAGATGTATCTATTCTTAATTAAGGATTTGAAAATTCCTCACAAACTGAACAGCTGAGAGAAGATGGATTCATGTATTCATTACTCCATTCCTCAAAACATCTATTAACCACCTATTATGCCTTAGTTCTTGGAAAACAAAAAAAGAGGACACCTTGCCTACCCTCAGTAAAGAGAAAATCATAGCCATGTGACCCCAGGGAGCTACAGGACCCCCTGGGAATTGTGTCTTTTCTGGTCTAGTCTACACTTCTTTTCCTATACAGTCAAAGCCTGCAGATCGTTCTTTGCAAATTGTTGCAAATTGTCTTGTTCCTGATGGATTAAATGCAGATATGGAAATCTGCCTTGGGCCATGCAATTTTGTAAAATATATATTTGGTTTTCATCCCCATTTCCTGACATACAGCTCCTAAAACCCCTGGAATCTCTGGAGTGATAAGAATGTCTTTTGTATGCTAATGAGATGACTGGTGGCTGGGACCTCCAGGTAGCTTCAGGATGGAGTCTAGTCACCAGAAAGATTAAGGCATGATTAGAGGATTGGAACTTTCAGTCCCACCTCCCAAATTGCAAGGAGGTGTGAGAGCTGAAGGTTGGGTTGATCACCAATGGCCAGTGATGTAATCAATCATGCCTATGTAATGAAGCCTCCATATAAACCCCAAAAGACTGGGTTCTGGAAGCTTCTGGAGAGCTGAACACATGGAGGTTCCTGGAGGGCAGTGTGCCTGATAAGGGCATGGAAACTCCATACCCCTTCCCTCATACCTCGCCCTATCCATCCATTCATCTGGCTGTTTATCTGTATCCTTTGTAATATCCTTTACAATAAGCTGGTAAACACAAGTTAAGTGTTTCCTTGAGTTTTGTGAATAGATCTAGTACATAAAGCTAACCCAAGGAAGGGTAGTGGGAACCCCAATTTATAGCTGGTCAGTTAGAAGCACAGGTCACAACCTGGGGATTTTGACTAGCATCTGAAGTGGAGGGGGGCAGTGTTGTGGGACTGAGATCTCAATCTGTGGGATCTGATGCTGATAGATAGTGTCATAATTAAATTGAATTACAGGACACCTAGCTGATCTACTGCAGAATTGATTACTTGGTTGGTGTGTAGGGAAAACCACCCCCGCACCTCTGGTGTCAGAAGTATTGTACTGAATGGTGAGAGACAGTAGGAAAACACATTGGTTTTTCCTGTATCTTTCTTGCAGGCTTTTAGTGCCATTTTCAGATAGTCCTAAGCCTCTTCTATGCTTGTTCTTGCAGGGCAGTTTTTATCAATAACATTGCTAAGGCTTTTGCTTTTCTCTAGCATGCCTTGGAAAAAGTGTGCTGCTGGGCTTCCTTTCCTCTCTACGAGTGATTTCTTTCAGTCTATGTCCCTGTGTCTGCACACAACAAGTGATACAATCTGAGTGTTCTATGTCCTCTTTCTCAGGAAGAAATACGGGATGTTTTAAATTGCTTTGGGTGGAATTAAATTGTAGCTAATTGAGATGGGACTAAGGGCGAAACAAGTAGATTATAGGCGAGAAGACCACAGCAAGGAATGAGGGCCTGAGACGCACATGGCAGTGTTGAGCGTATTTATTCCTTCTTTCCGTGAGTAAGGACAATCTGGTTGGCAGAACCAAATCACAAATCAGAGTTTGATTAACACTCCTGTGTTAGGCCATTCTCACATTGCTATGAAGGAATACCTGAGACTAGGTAATGTGTAAAGAAAAAAGGTTTAATTGGCTCACAGTTCTGTGAGCTGTATAGGAAGCATGGTGTTGACATCTTCTTGGTTTCTGAGGAGGCCTCAGGAAACTTACACTCATGGAGGAAAGCAAAGGGGGAGCAGACTTGTCACATGGGCAAAGCAGGAACAACAGGGAGGCGGGGAGAGGTGTCACACACTTTTAAACAGCCAGCTCTTGTGAGACAGCATGAAGAGGATGGTGGTGACCCATTCATGAGAAATCCACCCCATGATCCAATCACCTCCCACCAGCCCCACCTCCAATACTGGGGATTACAATTCAATATGAGCTTTGAATGGGGACACAGATCCAAACCATATCAACTATTAATAAAATGACAGCAGCCATGCTGCCCAGTGAGATGGAAGGGCAGGAACCACGGCTCACAGAATGAGGCCCATTCAGGTATTGTGCTTTCCAAAATAAATTTAGAGATAGCTGCTGCAATGGAGGGCTATTAACTGGCCTTCTACAATCCCCTAATGAAAGAGATGTTTTGCTGAAATAATTATGGTGGTTTAATAACACAAACTTGGATTTGTCCAGGCAGAGTTACAGGGTCACAACCAAGTGGTGGAGTCTTAGAGGGTTAGCTACCCTATTCAGTGAGGAATTAGTAGTCTGACTTCTGTAATCTTCAATTTACAAATCCTCAGTGATGTACCATTGTTTAACATAAATAAAGTATTCCTCTGGCCCAGTGCAGGAAGACCATTTTCAGTTGTTTTATTCAAAATGGTAATGAGTTTATAGTAAGCCATCCACACTGGATCAGTCCACTTTGTGATTTAAAAAATCCCTTCTGTAAGAGAGGTATCCACGACTGGCATGCTGCCAAGGTACTGGAACATTGTTTTACTTTGTGCGAAGCTCACCAGTTTGAGTGAACCAAAGCTATGAACTTGCCTTCAGAATAACCACCAAGGTGAAAAGCCCAGGCTTGCCCAGGAAGTGCTTAAAAAAACTGCTTATAAAGGCTTATAAAGGTCTAAACTACTTACAGAGTTTTGAAAACATCATTTACTGGAACTTCAATTTGAATTATTGCCTTAAGCTTGGTGCAGTAGTATAAAATTCTTATTTCATATGGAAAAAAGGAAGAAAATACTGTTCTTTTTAGAATTGCTTCCTCATATTTAATTACATAAAATTTAAAAACATACATATTTATTTATTTATTTACTTTTTCAAGATAGGGTCTCACTCTGTTGCCCAGTCTGGAGTGCAGTGGTATGATCACAGCTCACTGCAGTCTCGACCTTCACAGGCTCAGGTCCTCCCAGCTCAGCCTCCCAAGTAGCTGGGACTATAGGTATGCGCCACCACACCCGGCTAATTTTAATACTCTTTTGTAGAGAGGGAGTTTCACCATGTTGCCCAGGCTGTTCTTCAGCTCCTGGGGCTCAAGTGATCCGCTGGCCTTGGTCTCCCAAAGTGCTGGGATTATAGGCGTGCACCATTGTCCCAGCCTAAAAACATATTTAATAAAAATTATTTTTAATTAATTATTTTTGAGACAGAGTCTCACTCTGTTGCCCAGGTTTGAGTGCAATGGCGCAATCTTGGCTCATTGCAACCTCTGCCTCCCGGGTTCAAGCAAATCTCCTGCCTCAGACTCCCGAGTATCTGGGACTACAGGAGCCTGCTACCCTGCCCAGCTAATTTTTTTGTATTTTTAGTAGAGACGAGGTTTCACCATGTTAGCCAGGATGGTCTCAATCTCCTGACCTCATGATTCGCTCGCCTCGGTCTCCTGAAGCGCTGGGATTACAGGCGTGAGCCACCGCACCCAGCCAATAAACATTATTTCTTAGGGCAGTTTTAGTTTCATAGCAAACTTGAGCAGAAATACAGAGCAGAAATGTGATCTCATACATTTAAACACTTTGCATTTATTTATTTATGTAATTGGGTTGTTTGTCTTATAGGTTTTGAGAGTTCTTTGTACAGTCTGGACATAAGGTCTTTGTTATGTTTGTGAATTGCAATATTTTTTTTCCCAGTCTGTGAATTATCTTTTCATTTTCTTAACAGTTTATTTTGATGAGCAGGTGTTTTAAATTTCAATTAAGTCCAATTTGTCCATTTTTTTCTTTCATGATTTTTGAGTTATACTTTTTGTGTCCTATCTAAGAAATCTTGCCTAACCCCAGGTCATAACTATTTTCTTCTTTTTTTTTCTACAAATTTTATAGTTTAAGTTTGTCTGTTAGGCCTATGATCTATTTTGAATTAATTTTGTATATGACGTTAGATAAGTTAAAAAAAATTGTGTGTAGCTAATTAGTCCAGCACCATTTGTTGAAACGACTATCTTCTTTCCATTGAATTACCTTGGCACCTTTGTCAAAAAATCAATTGACCATACATGTGTGTGTCTATACTCCATTCTGTTCCATTGATCTATATATCTTTGCTTGCTAGTTTGTTTTGCTAATACCACACTATCTTGATTATTGTATCTTTATAGTAAGTCCTGAAATCAAGTATTATAAGCTCTCCAACATTTTTTTCAAAACTGTTTTGGTTATTTCTATTTTTAAAAAACATGAGAAAGAGCATAATTTGTAAATTAAGAAGGACTTTTATGCAGAGCAACTATAGACAGCATATGTTTCTCTTTTTAATAGATAAGCAGGTTATCTCTGAGAAAGGAAACAGATTATGAAATAACTTGCTTAGAGATAGAAGACACTATCTGTTGAAATCCTATCTGTTCGCTTGGGAAGGAGGACTTATGCCTGGTGGTGTCTGGGGTGCTGGGATCCCAGTGGGGCTGGGGTGATTTTTTTCCTACAGGGCTTCTGTGGCCATTCTGTCAGCCATTCTTTGAACATCTCTGACTCACAGTCTTTGCCCTCACACATGGATCTTCTACTTAGAATGTGTTCCCTCCTTACATACTCACTGATCTTTTGTTGACCAAGTAAGCATTGACCCCCACCATGTGCCCACATGGCTCCCTGTGAAGGTTTCTCTGGATAGCTCCTATCTGGGATTATAATTAAATGTATGTCCCCATTCCTTCATCGATTCACTCAACATGAAGCATGTACTATGTACTAGTCAGGTCCTGTGCTGGTGCTGGAGACATGAGAATAAACAGGTCACAGTCTTTGGTCCCAGTGCAGTGGTGTCTAATGGAAGAAGCCTGCCATGGAGACAGATATGTGTATGCAAGAAAGTGTTACCCATCAAGGGCTATCGAGGGCAGTTCTGGTAGAGACAAAAGGGGAATGATGAGGAGATGAGTCAAGAAAAAATATCAGGTGGACAATTGTTTACATTTGCTTTGTTTGGATTACTTGGAAAAGATTTCACTTATTTAAGGTATTTTTAATTTAGATGTTTCTATAATTAGATTGACTGCCTCTTATCCCTTCATTGTTCTGAATGTTTAATGTCTTTATGATACTTGTATAGTAGTGGGGGATATGCAGTTAGGATTTTTGTAACTGTCAGTTTTAATCAACAAAATAGAGCTAAAATAATACGAAAGATCTGTTAAGCCCCTAATAATTTTGAGATGTTCTCCAAAGCACTATGAGAAATACAATAAAACGTATAAAAAAAAGAACGCTTGCTGTGTACTTGATGTGATCAATCACAAATACAGATGAACACGTAAGAATTTATAACATGTTTCATTGATAAAGGGATCTCACAAAGTGACATTATTCATCAATTAAATTGCCTAATAAATAATTGCTCTGGAAGTTCAAAGGACAGAGGTGGTCAGCAAGTTTTCATGAAGGAAGTGGAATCTGAGCTTGGTGCTGAAGTACAGGTAGAATTTGTATAGGCCAAGAGAATGAAGAGATGAGGAAAGTGAGTAGTACAAACAACTTTGGCTTTAGAATCAGAAAACTGGGTTCCTCCTCATCTTACAGGGCTCAACTCCTATTACCTTTTTCATGAAGGCTTTACTGACACCTCTCTCCCTTTCTTTCCCACCAGGTAGAATGGACCACCCTCTTCGCACTCTTACCATATAGTATATATACAAAAATGACAATGCTTTATTGCTTTAAAAAAGTTATTCTGTCACTTATTTGCTCTGTGACTTTGGGCAAGTAGACAAATCTTTCTGTGCCTGTTTTTTTTTTTTTTTAATTTGTAAAATAGAGATTTCTACCTCATGGGGATGGTTTGAAAGTTGAATAGAATGCTATTTACAATGTAACTCATATAGATAAGGTGCACGCAAAGTCTTGGCAAAATATTATGTTTCTGTTCTTTGAAAGAAGCAAAAGCATGCAGGGGGGAAAGGCAGAATGTGTCTTGGGGAAAGGGAGTGGGGCAGATAGGCACATCCCAGAGGCTCTGTAGAGGAGGGTGGGGAGCTCATGCTGGAAGGCGGCTGGGCCTTTGTCCTGTTGGCAACTGAACGTCTTTTCCCATGTGGCACATTGCTAGTTTCTAAAATCAGTATCTTCCTTTTCCCCCCTTCAGTTTAATCAACAAAAATTTGAAAGTTGTACCAAACATAAGAGGCTTAAGTTAGACTTATGAAATTCCAGTTTAGCCACTTCACGGTTTAAGTCATACAAGTAAAAAGAAAAACAATAGAGATTTTATTTTTTATGTGAATGCTTTCTATTGAATATCTACAAATGATTTATGTCAAGTTGAAAAGAATCAGACACTCATTTTCTGACCATAAATTTTAGCATTTGCAAATGTAGTTGTAAATAAGAAAATAAAATGTAGTTGCTTACGAACCAAAAAACATTGGGGAACAAAATAACTATGTTTAGAAGACTGTCCAGGAATGAAATAGTCTAAAATTAAGTCTATTACTGATTTTGGTCAGTTAGTGTTAGAGCATTTAAATTTAATGTTTAACTTCTTCAAAGTCTATGTGAAACATTTGTTTCTAGCTAGAGATGCTCATGAATGAAAAACAATTAATACATTTACAAGTATGAAAACCATAAACCAGCATAAGGAGTTCTCTGTTTGGGTCTGGTAGATGTAGGTATTGTAATGCAGGGAATATCAGTGAGTCACTGAAATTGAAATTGCTGGGAACCCACAGACATCCTGCAATCAGAAAAACGTCAGTTAATGTCAGTTCAGCAACCTCCGTATAATTGTAACTTCACTCATTATTTGCACTCTTTTATCAAAAAAGAAAAGAAATGGGGTGGGGAGGAAGGAAAACAAACCACCCTTTTCCCATGCCAAAAGCACGGGGAATAGTTCCCACCGTCAGCCTTGGAAGACAGTGGGTGCAACCTCTTGAGAAGAGGCAGTGGATTAAAAAAAAAAAACAACCCTATAACTGAGGGGAACAATACAGTTAGATCACCTCTCTCTAAATCTCTTAACCATCCTCTTTAGATTAAAATCCAGCCCTTTTGTCAAAGACCATGCTTTTGTGATATATTTTGACCCACAGTCATTAAATACGCACTTGTACACAAACAGAACAGGGGATCTTTTTCCTTATCCTTCATGAAACCTTCCTGCATTGAAGTAAAAAGTCATCATTCAAAAAGGGGGCAAAGAAAAAGAACTTCGTTAAGGCCTATTGTTCTTACTCTGGCAGTCTAAGCCAAAAGGCTCCTGCCTTTTTTATTTCCCTGAAGAGGATCACAGTAAGGATCCTAAGTCTGCAACTGAATTAATCTGTAAACCTCACAGGACTCCTGGAGAAAGGCAGAGACTCGATTTGGGGAATTAATTATACTAGCATATTCACAAATGCTACAGGTCAGTCTGTGTTTCTATTGGGTTTAAAACACGAGAAAATTCAACCCCAGAGAGCTCCTAATTATTGCCTTAAAGTATATATCAAAGAAAAACTTAAAATCAGTTTCTTTAGGAACCAACTAGACCCTGGAGCAGCTAGGCTGGGGACCACAGCATTGCTCTGTTATGGTGTTTTTATCCTAAAGATGCAGAGAAAGTGGAAAGTTTTTCTTGCTTTTTTGAATTTATAACCTCCAATTCAGGCTGTTGTGGCCAAGTGAGGGCCCTGAGTAGCAGCTCATGTAGTGAAGGCAAGAGGAAAGCGCTGGAGGAGGGGGACCCACCCCCATGGCAAATCCGCCTTTGAGAGCAGCAGCCTTGAGAGTCCTGAAATTGCCAGAAGGTGGTTCATCAGGAAAACCAGGAAAATAGAAATAGTGAACCACTGTGGTGCTTCTTTTACTGTATTGCCAATCTTTTCATCTGGCAAAAGACATAAAATATGTATGCAAGCTAGGAAAAATAGTATCTGAGCTTTTCCACTGATTGCAGCCAGGGTTGTAATTCATATAGTTTTTGCCACTCAGAAACACCTAAAAGGGTGGGGAGTTGGGCAGGCAAAGAGCCTGGCAGGTAGAAGAGCAAATGTGAGTCTGTCTCTTTTTTTACACCTGCTACAACCACACAACTAAAAATACCTTAGAGTGAAATGCTTGTCTATCAAATGCTACACACTTCCTCATAAGATGCCTGAAAACATGGCAAATAGTAACCTAAAATATTGTTCATTCCTAAGTAATAAAGCACCACAAAGCAATTACATTCGGAAAACTAATTGATATTATATGCTAAATCTCTTTCCCAAAGTACTGACGATAATATGAAGAGAAAAGAATATCTAGTTTTTTTTTTTTTTTTTTTTTTTTTACAACTTTATGTGGCTCACACAGTTTATAGAAGGGTAAAAAAATCTCACTGGAATCTGAAAAATGCATTCCTATCTTATCTCATTATAGTTTTAATAAACCACTAAATGTTAATAAAACAAAGTTATCACAAAACACACTTTTTGAAAAATATATTCTGCCAGTTTAAGCATTTAGCCCATGAGCATTTTCAAGAGGTTTATCTGAGTTTTGTAGTTAGAAAAAAAAATACTCATTAAAAACAAAACAAAACAAAACAAAACAAAACAAAACAAAAACACCCAGAGTGAGCAAGGCCTTTGTTCTTCAGGGAATCCTAATGTCAGGCTCAGCGATGGCCCCAGCGACAGGGCCACAGCAACAGGGCTGCTGCACCCCCAGCCGCCTCTACCCAAAAGCTCCCTCCAGCAATGGCAAAACTGACTCTTCCCCTACTTGGGAGCTCCAGAAGATGTGAAACCAATCTGAAGGTTAATACTGGGACCTCTTGTTACAAATTGCAGCGAGATTAATGCAGAAAATGCAAACAAGAAGAAATGCAGGGTCTGGCTCATTCCCCTGAGATAGCAGAGGGGAAATTTCTAGGGAGATCAGGTTTCATTTTTGTGTAATTACATACTCTGTTGAATTTAATTATTTCATAGTTAAATTCCTGGAAGATAAATGTCTCCTTGGTATATACCTTCATTTTCTTTGTGGTGAAGTCAAACTTTTTCTAAGTTTTTTTTCAATGAGAAATTGTGTTTTAGGTAATGTTCAAAGTATGGTATGGAATGAGAGCTCTCTTTTCCAAGTGCTTTGGTTTTTTGTTTTGCCGAGCTCATTTTATGTGAAAAATTAAAACTTGGTTAGGGCTCTTTATTGTCATACTACAGGCCCCGATCCTCATCTCATCTGGCTTTCTGAGGCTACTGTTGGACTTTTCAAGGTCTGATTATTAGGCCATTTAAAGGGTCAGCTCCTGCCTGAGCCACCCCGCTGGGCTGGCAGTAACCTGCAAGGAGATGAGGTTTTGAAAGATTTAACTCAGAGGCTGGAGAGTTCAACATAAGGCCAGACCTTCTGTAACTTTTCTCGTGCGAGTTTGACAACTTCGTCTGTCTAAATTGGGTCCAAGGTAGATTGCTGCCAAGTGTGGTCATGGGAAGAACACTGGTGGGACACCTGGTTTCTTTCTACGTTCAGCTCTGCCGCTAATTTGCTACGTGACTTGAACATTCATTCAGCATTTATCCAACATTCGTGAATGACTCTCAGGTGGCAGACTGATGGTGCGTTGCCGGTTTTCCTCCTCAATGTTGGAAAGAACTATAGCATAGTAGCTAAGAGCCGGTCTTTGGAATCAGATAGACCTGGTTTTGTGTCCCTAATGTAGGGGCCAAGGGAGAACTTCCCCTTTACCTGCTGAAGTTTACTGAAAAATAACTCACTAAAGGCATATTAACAGGAGAAAAGGTATGTAAATTTATTTAACATGTACTCATGGGAGCCTTCAGAATGAAAACCTAAAGATACAGAGGGAATGGTTCATTTTTATGGTCAGGTTCAATAAAGTATGGACAGCCGTACAGAAATATGATTGGAAAAAAAAGGTCTGATAGGACAGACCTTTATTCCAGACCTTTATTGATGCCTTTATTCCAGAATAAACAAATGACCTCTGGATTTTGATCAATATATATATTGATTGTGTTATATTCAGCTTTGCATCCCAAGATGCTAAAAAAAGCCTAGCATACCGTTGGCATTCAGTACATTATTTTTGAGCAAAAGAAAGAAGGAAAGACAGAAAGCATGCAAATTATTATTATTGTTGAATTCATTTTTACGTAACAAACAAACTTACCATTTTTTAAGTTAAAAAAAGAAAAGGCCGGCCAGGCTCGGTGGCTCACGCCTGTAATCCCAGCACTTTGGGAGGCTGAGGCAGGTGGATCACGAAGTCAGGAGGTCGAGACCATCCTGGCTAACACGGTGAAACCCCATCTCTACTAAAAATACAAAAAATTAGCCTGGCATGGTGGCGGGCGCTTGTAGTCCCAGCTACTGGGGGAGCTGAGGCAGGAGAATGGCGTGAACCCAGGAGGCAGAGCTTATGGTCAGCCGAGATCGCACCACTGCACTCCAGCCTGGGCGACAGAGCGAGACTCCATCTCAAAAAAAAAAAAAAGAAAAGAAAAGGCCACAGGCCCTTGGAACACATTGCTCCATAGATTCATTCTCAGCTGATCTGGTACTTTAGACAAGAAAACACTCTCTAAAGTCAACTACTTGTAACAGTTGAAATTTCAACAGTTATTGATACTAAAACAACAAAGTGGTGAACCTTTTCTTTCTTCTAGTACATATCATTAATACAGAGATGTTTCTAAGGAAAAATCATTAACTAATTAAAAAATGAATTAAGTGTGTGTGTGTGTGATCAATACAAGGATTTTTCTTGGTTTAGGTCTTAATGAAAATGCCTTAACTGATCTTTATAATGACTTGAAAACAAACCATGGTCAGCTGTCATAAAATTTCAATGTAAAAAGTAATTACTAACTCAAGATGAAAAAAACACGTGGTGGGAAGGGAGGAAAGTAGGTATGACAAGAAAGGAACACAATTTTAGAGCCTTGAAGCTTTCCCCTGTATGGCGGGCAATAGTGTCCAGGCCCGACTTTCTGACTCCTCCACAAGACATCCATCGCCATGTAAAATACTGGGGTAAGATAAGTTTGACTTGGGTCTATTTCCAGTTTCCTTTCTTGTCTTCTCTTTCACATCCAGCAGTACAAAATATTTTTACTGCTTGGTACCCCCTACTCTCCCCAGGCCTCAACTGATCTGTGACCCTCTGAAGTGACCCAGGTCCCTAAGTTCCTTTTCCTCTGCATTTTCTTCTGAAAAACCATGGATCTCAAGTAAAGCAAACTGTTAAGCAAAGCCACCCTAGGGTGCAGCTGTACCAGGGGGTTTTAAGTTTGAAAAGAGGTCAGCAAGTTAACCAAAATGCATTTCTAAGGGATAGAATTTCAAGGGGTGTGAGAAAGTCAAGTGTGGAATTTCATGCCTCTTGAGAAAGATGCTTTTAGCCCTGGAAGCCTTTTCAGTACCTTGTTACTCAGGCACTTATCAGCCATAGATTGTTGCCACTGGGTTTCCTGTGGCTCAGGAAAGTGGAAAAATGGGAGGAAATGTTGCTGCTAGGGCTGGTGGGGCAAGAGCTGGTGGTAAATGGTCATTGCAAGTAATAGGAAATGGTAATGTACAAGAGTGTTTTAACTTGCTCAGTGAGTGCACCTAAGCTTTTTGCCTACAGTCACGAACAACATTTCCTGAAGCCCAGTATTAAGATTAGTAATATATACTTTAAAAGTTCACTGTTTTTCAAAGACAGGTATAATAAAACAGAGACACAGAGCAGTTGGCTTCTGATTGTTGGTCTGGAGCGGAGACATAATTAGGGAAATGGTTTCATGTGTTCATTAAGCCATTAGCTTTGACTTTAACCAGAGAATGAACTATGCCATTTTAAACGCCAAATGAGTCTCCTTTTAGAAGGATGCAAAATCACTATAAAAACTCTAGATGTTGACTAGCATAAAATTACAGAATCCAGAATTGGGAGAAATTTAAAAATCATGCTCCCTCGGTCTTCTACAAGTTGCTATCACTTGAAGAAATGGGAGCCTGGGGTAGAAGAAATGGGAGCCTAGGGTAGAGGAAATAATTGCCTTGAGATCCAAAAAAAAATCTCAATTATTCCTTCAATGTTGCTCCTTGCTCTTTGCATGATCTTAGATAAGTCTTTTATACAAAGAGGTGGAAAACTGGCAGGCAAAGGCCAAGATTCACTCCAAAAATACATTATATTTTTCTTATAGTATTTAGGAAATTGGAAAATTACACCTAAAAATATGGATTTCCAGTTCCTCTTGAAACAAGTGGGACAATCGGTTGATACTGGGCCTGCATGTTTTCCAACCACGTTTGATCAGAGCTGAATGTGGCCATCCCTTGGCTCTGGAGCTTTTGCTGTCTTGGCCATTATCCTCACCGCTCCCTATTGTCTTATCCTGGCCCAGCCCCTCATTTACCATCTGTCTCTTAAAGCACTAAGCTTACACTCTTGGAGCTACATATCCATGTAACCAATTTTATTATCTATAAAATGGGCAGTGGGGAGGGTGATAGGCAATTCTAAGGAAGTAGTTTCCAAATTTAGTTGATTATAAAAAATTGCATATAAAATATATAAATCCTTGGGTTCTATTAATGCTGATTCTGCTTCATCAGATATAGAATGAGCTTTTTTTAAAAAATTATCCAGCTTATTCCACCAATAAATGAGGATTAGAATCCTGACTTAAATAATCTCTCCAATTCTAGCTCTAAAATTCAATCGATCCAACTAAACCCAGAATTGTAGTTTGACAATTCTTTTTCAGGTCAATGAACCTGATGCACTTAATGCTGTGGTGTAATTATTAAATCCAATTAGCCACTGAGTTAAATTATTTTCAGTCAGACTCCAGCTATTTAACATAGCATCCCCCAACCTGTAATCCGAATAGGAGCAAAGGGACATGGGGAGTGAATAATACTCATCTATCACTTCCACATTAAACTGACGTATTCACACAGCAGGTGAATATTCCCACAGCCTGCTCTCACTCTTCTGAGGATATTCATATTAAAAAAAAGTTAGGGAAGAGAGGAAATTCTTATCAATGCACCGTTCGAGTGTAAATAACAGAAAGGGACATTTAGGATATTCAGGATTAAGGGCACTCTGATAAGAGGCCCGTTTCACATGGGCCTTTTAAACTTATGTTAAGAACACTTTCTTAGAAACATGAAAAAGACCAGGAAGGATTTAAATTTGATGCAGTGAGGTCTTTAAAAATTTGGCACAAGTCTTTCTGTTCTTTCAACTCACCCTTCAAGGTATCACAATGTGAAGGAATGCAGGATTCTGGCTCTGACTGCCTAATATCAGAAAACCCTGTTGACTGATGGATGTGGACAAGGGGCTTGGGAGCTGAGCGGTTTCTATGGAGATGGGAATTAGTGAGGAAGTGCTTTCCTTTTGATTATTCTCCATCCTAATAGGGACAATTGCAACCATTTATCTTTTTCTGAAGGAATAAGGACATCTTTGGGAACAATAGCAAGGACTTGAGTGAGACTAGACCCTGTTAAATATCCTAAAATACAAATCTGCTGCTTTTTGCATTGTAAACCCTGAGTTCTTTGATGGTGGCCTTTGCCTAAGAGGCATGACTTTGATTTTGTTGGAGAACAAAATCAGGAAACCCATATTAGTTTTAGATTTGTTTTGTAATATTTTATATGTGATTATAATATTTTAAAGTGAAGATGTATACTAAATATAATAATAGCCAGAATTCATATTTGACCTATAAGCGATACATAATACTTTTACTCATATCTGAGAAGAGATTTGTAACCATCATTCCTATTTTTATGATAAACTAAAGCATTTGTTTTTCATAATTTGTGGAAAATGAAGGTGTGAATACAAATAATGTTTTTGGAATACAAATCTACTGACTTTTCCTGCTGTATTCCCATTCATATCTTCTGTCTTATTCTTTGCTAATACATAATTGTAATACATAATTGAATGAAACAGAAATGTACAAAGAAAAAGTGAAAGGTATACAAATTCCACTACCCATAGCTGACAACAGTCATCTTTTTAGTTGCTATCCTTCCAGATTTTTTTTTTCTTAGCCTACACCCACACACACCCACACACACTCACATTCTCTCTCTCTCTCACACACACACACACCAGTAGTTATAAGGATGATTTATTTACATGTATTTTATAAGAATGAGATTCTATAAGTTACATGGTTCTGAAACTTTTTTCTTGACAATATCTCATGGACTTTTTTCTAGGTCAGCACATCTAGTTCTGCATCTTAAAAACTGACTGCATAGTAATCATTACATAAACATACAATAATTTACTTGATAATTTTCTTATTTTGGACATTTAAGTTGTCTCCTCTCCTCTCCTCTCCCCTCCCTCCTTTCTCGCCTCTGCCTCCTCCCCTCCCCTTCCTTCTCCTCCTCTTGTCCCTTTTCTGCTACTTCTTCCTCTCCCTCTCCTGCTACTTCTTCCTCTCCCTCTCCCTCTCCTTCTTCCCCCTCCCTGCTCCTCTTCCTTCTCCTTCTCAAACAATGCTGCTGTAATGAACTGTAATTAGAAGTTTGGTAAGTACTATTAATATGTCCTCTAAACAAGGACCAGTTTTTATTTCAGCAAAACTTGAGAAGGCTCATTCTCAACACGCTGACGAGCCCTGGATGGTTTTAACAAAAAAAGAGACAACTTCTTTCTAATGGTGTGGTATAAAGTGGTAACTCATGTCCTAATACGTACTTCTTTGATTATTACTGAGTTCTTTAATTCACTTTGAAAAATAATGTTAGACTCTTCTAACCCCAGTGTTTCCCAACCTTGCTTGCACATAGAATCTTTTGAGAGTTTGTAAAATTTCTGATGATCAGACCTAGGCTACAATTAAATCACAACTTATACAGATGAGTCTCAGGCCTCAATTCCTCAGATGAATCCAATGTGCATGGTTGGCTTCAGGGACTGGTTCTCAGAGGGAACCCATGCTTAGTTTAAGGCTCTGCTGTCACTGTCTTGAAGTTAATAATTATTTTATTTTTGAAACTGAGTTTTTTTACATGTGAAGTTTTTGTTTGTTTGTTTATTTGTTTTTTGATACAGAGTCTTGCTCTGTCACCCAGACTGGAGTGCAGTGGTGTGATCTTGGCCCACTGCAACCTCCGCCTCCTGGGTTCAAGCGATTCTCCTGCCTCAGCCTCCTGAGTAGCTGGGATTACAGATGCCCACCACCATGCCCAGCTAAATTTTGTATTTTTAGTAGAGACGGGGTTTTACCATGTTGGCCAGGCTGGTCTCGAACTCATGATCTCAGATGATCCACCCACCTCAGCCTCCCAAATTGCTGGGATTACAGGTGTGAGCCACCACGCCTGGCCACATGTGAAGTTTGATGGAACAATGAAGCATGCCTGTGAGCAGAGGGGATGCACATTATGTTTGTGTGTGCTGTTTCTTTTTTTTTTCTTTTTCTTTCTTTTTTTTTTTTTTTGAGACGAGTCTCGCTCTGTCGCCCAGCCTGGAGTACAGTGGCGCGATCTCAGCTCACCGCAACCTCTGCCTCCCAGGTTCAGGCAATTCTCTGCCTCAGCCTCCCAAATGGCTGGGATTACAGGTACATGCCACCATGCCTGGCTAATTTTTTTTGTATTTTTAGTAGAGACAGGGTTTCACCATCTTACACCACTCACATATTGCCTTCACCTATGGCCCCATGAGCACTGAATTCTGCTGGGCCCAAGATATGTAGGAGGAGTTCGGTGACACTCACAGTGTGCACAAGTTAAGCAGGCTACATCTACAGCTTAGTAAGTGGAGAGATGACAGCCCAGAGAGGCTATGCTTTCCATTCAAACCAGAAAGTGCAATGATGTGTTAAGAACTACAAATGACCAAGGAGCCCCACTGAATCCTTTTGTACTATGTCACTCGTCATCTCAGCCATTTCATTTACACTGAGGCTTTCTCTTATAGAAAGAAAGGGAAAGAGAGAGCAACCTATAGTACCTTTTCCTCTTGGACCTTCCTTAATCATCTGTAAACCACAGGTAGAGAGTGTTGGTAGAATGTGTGGGAATTGAAAAGTGAATTGAGTTAGTTTTGTGTGGTATGTCCACTCATTTTGTGAGAACAAAATACACAGTGTATTCATGCATGAGGTATGAAAAGCAAATTGGGTAATTTGGTGTTTTGCACATGAGTTACATGCTCTTATATTTGCTTTTAAAACTGGCATTGTATAATATAAAAGAAAAAGATAATTAATGCTAATAATTAGAGATTTTATCTTTTCTTAAACCATGATCAAATAGTGTAGGGGCAAAAAGGTGTGATATCTTTCCTCACTCATCCCTAGTTAACAAAAGAGAGGTTAAAAAAAAAGGAAAGCATAACAAATTTATTGAATGAAAATTTTACATGCCGTGAGAAGTTTCAGAAAGGAAGACCCAAAGACTTAGGAAAAACCATCTAATTTTATGTTTAGGTTTGGTGAAGAATGGACAGCCATGTAGAAAGAGATTGGACAAAAGGGTCTGATCTCATGGTAATAGACCGACAGGGAAGTCCAGCAAGGCCTGTCTGCTCAGATTCTTTTTGTCCTGTCTATGTAGCATTCCTCTGTTTGGACTCAGAAAACAATACTCCAAAGTCAAGTTCTAGGAAGCAGCCTCAGAAGCAGAAGTTTTTCTCTTACCTTCTCTTGCCCTCCTGTCTCTTGGCTCCATTTTCCCCTAAGGCAGGCCATAGAAAATGGAACCCTTTTTTTCCAAAGCCAGCCATAAAGTTGAAAAATGTTACTCTACCCCTTCCCTACCCATGCTTTTCTGTGTAACAACTGGTCATAAAGAAATTAAGACCCTCATTCCAGAGGTATCCTACCCTATAACCGGGAGGAAGAAATGCTGCCCAAAGTCAACAGGAATAAGGACAGGCCTCAGTGGTTTCCCCACGCAGTCTACTGGCATACAGATCATAACCTTTTTGTCCAGTCACATTTCTACATGGCTGTCCATTCTTTGTTGAACCTAAGCATAAAAATGGATAGTTTTCCCTGTATCTTTGGGTCTTCACTTTGAAGGCTCCTGTGTTTCATAAAACAATGATCAAATAAATTTGTTATGTTTTCCTCATTAATCTTTGTTATAGAAGGTTGGGCCATGACCTTTATGATAGGGAGGAAGGAGATCACTACTGTTCTGCTTCTACACCTTCTACCTGGGTATAGGACAAGATCGCTCTGGAATGAGGGTATTCAAGGGAGAAGGGAGGAGGTGACCTTTTTAGGTTTTATGGCATGCTTTGGGTGAGAGGAATTCCAGTTTCCATGGATCACCCTGGGGAAGAGGAATTCCGGTTTCTATGGCTCCCTTTAGAGGGGAAAGAGGGTCAGGAGACAGGAGGGTAGGCAAAGCTCAAAGAGACCTTGGCTGTGAGGCCTTTCCAATGTCCTTCAGATCAAAGTACTCAGAATGCCAAGGTGCCACATGACAATAGAAAATAAAAAACACCATTACTAGTCAAGAGAGAGAATGTGGAAGAAAGAAAAGAAAATTTCACACTTTAATTACACTTTTTTTTCCCTGTGTTTGAACAAGGGGCCCTACATTTTATTTTGCACTGGCCCCACAAATTAGGTAGCCAGCCCTCAGCCAAGTTCGAGAATCGCTGGCTTACTCCTTACCCTACACAACTTAAGCGGTTCTCCTTCAAGTTGATCTCCTGTATTACTGTGTGTCATTGTACTCCAGTGGCTTATGGTTTCTTTTAAGAGAAATTAACATGTTTTTCCCCCTGGAAGACAGTTAGAAATCGAGGAGCTGTGAAGAATATAGAAGCATATGTGCACAATTGCTCTTTTGACACGAGGATAAGTGGTAGAATTCAAAGTAATTAGGATTATGTTTTTAAATATAATTATAGGATATATTGTACCATTCTCAGTGGATTATAAACTCCACAGAGACATGATTTTTGTACTCTTCCCAAGAACTAGTAGGATGCCAACTGTATAGCAGATGTTCCATAAATATTGCTGAATTAATTAATCACAAAGTTTGCAAAGATCTAGTATTTTAATATTTAAGGTTGTTTCTCTCACACAGTTATGTATTCAAGTGAAATATTAGCAACCGTCTAACTAACGATTCATTTTTGAGTAGTGTTTTTGGTATGTTTGTTTTGCTGGTTCTTAGTTCTCACTCTGCATCTTGGAACAGCTCTGTCATCTCTTGGTGGACCTGAGGAAGTTCCATGGCTCACATTATTGTCTTTTGTGGCTATGATAAAACTGCCTTTGAGGAGCATATCTAGAGATAAAAATCTTGTTGGTTAAATGGAGTTATTTGGAGATTCATGATGAGCCTGGAAATCCCCAAAACACTTGGAGGTACTCACTGAGTCCTAGGAATGAGGTCCTGCAGAGGACTGATGGCTGTCCACATGACTTTGCCCACACCTGGCTTCCTTGTCTGTGAGACCTGGAGTGGCCACAGCTGGGTAACTCTCCCTACTGCTAGATCTGAGCCTGAGCCTTGGTTCAATAGGTACGTAGCCAGTGAAAATGGGGGTAGTGGAAATGCTACCCTTGGAAAAGAGGATAAGGATCTAAAGTGAGGAAGATTGGTGGGAAGCACATGGACCAGTAAGACAAAATGATGGACTTTTTTTGTGAAAGAAATAAATCTGAATAATTTCCAAACTTCAGAGGCAACAAAATTAAAATGTTTCTACATTCAGATTTCTTGGACTGCCTGTCCCTGAGTGTATGTTGTGAATCTCCTTGAAGAGATAGAAGTTTAATTAATTGCTGAAGGCTCTTGTTAGCACTAGAACAGAGGCACGATATGCACTCTGCCAGTAAAACTTGAGTTTTTTGACATTACATAATCAGATCAAGTGGTGCTGGCCCCATGGAAATTAAAGAGAAGAGGATTATCTTTAGCTTATTTTCAAACTAGTATTAGTGGGAATCACAGACACGGATATTAATTTTATAAATGAAAAATAGACTGTTAACCGTGCACAAAGGATCACTTGTGCCACCCAAATCTATGCTAATCTCTATTCCAAATCCCTTAGCAACTGTTACTTGGTTAGAAAGGTTCAATTTCCAAAAAGGAAGAAAACTTTCTGAACATGTTGCAGCGAAATTTGGTTTTCGGATATCAAGTTATTAAAAATATAAAATATTACATAATGTAATAAAATGATTTTCTAAAATGAGTTTGAATTATCCTTTAAATGCAGCAAAGTTCTCCTAAATTACATGCTTTAACTTCTGCATTGTAATAAGAAGTAGTAAATAAGAGAAGGACAAAAGTGTACCAAAACAACTTATGAGCTGAAGATTAAAAAAAGAGCTTCATATTGTTTTCTTTAAGTGGACATTCATTCATTCATTCATACATTTGCACACTCAATAATTTGTACATGAGTGACTACCATGTGCTAAGTTCTAAGGCATATACAGAATTTATCTAGTGCCTGGCCTAAAGAAGTTTATAATCCCGTAGGAATATGAATTTAAACATTATAATTGTAAGAAATACAAACATTGTTATGATGGAGTTATGAAGAACCTTATTCACACATTTAAAAACTAAAGTGTATATATATATATATCAAAAACATCATGTTGTACGACATAAATATAAATAATTTTTGTCAATAAAAAATAAATAACATTAATGACTTTGCTGCAATGAAGTTAAAAAATAAATTGTATAAAATATGTATTAATTTTAAAAACAAGTGAAATGGAAAATTGCTAGGAAAATGTAACTTACTAACATTTACCGGCACATGCCTGGAGTCCTTGCTACTCAGGAGTCTGAGGTGGGAGGATCTCTTGAGCAGAGGAGTTTGAGTCCACCTTGGGCAACACATCAAGAACTTGTTTCTAAAATATAAATATAACAAGAAAAAATAAACCGGTAAAGATATTATAAGATATTGTAGCAGCAGTTAAAAATATAACAACAACCATAACAAAAAAACAGCTAAAGAAAAAACCCACACAAGGCCTAGATCATTCATAGGCACATTCTCCTCAACATTTAAGGAACAAATAATCCGTATATTTTACAGCGTGTTCTAAATAAATATTTGTTAAATATATTAATTACTGAATACTGAATAAGGAGAATGAGCAAAGAGGGAATACTTTCCACCTCATTTTATGAAGGTAGTATAACCTTGATAACAAAATCAGACAAGAACAGCACAAGAAAGAAAAATTATGGTTTAGTAACAATTATGAAATAGACATTCATATTATATTCACATGTATGTATATGTTTGTATATTTTTGTATGGGTGTGCATGTCAGTATTTGTGTACAATATTGTAACACATTATGGTCAAATTGAGCATAGCTCAGGAATATAAAGAGGTTTAAAATTATAGACTCTATTGATGTAATTCTCTATATTAAATATTAAATAACACAAAAAATTTATCTCAATAGATGCAGAAAAATTATCTGATAAAACTTCATATTCTTTCACTATAAAAACTCTCAGCAATGTAGCAATAGCAGTGAATTAATTTTACTTGATAAAAAGAATTTATGAAAATGCTATGGCAAATAGCATCCTTAATGATAAACAGAATAATTCCCTTTGAAGTCAGGAACAACAGCAGGAAGCTCACTAATTATTGTATTGGAGATACAAACTAGTTATAGCACGACCAGAAAAAAGGCATAAAGATTGGAAAAACAGCAAAAATGCTGTCAATATGTATATATAATATTTACATATTTGTGATTAAAACCCAAGGGGATCTCATTAGAATTAATAACAGAATTCAGCAGAATCTGAATATCTGTATACAAAAATCCAATAAATTAACATACTATGAAAACAACTAATTTGAAAGGTTATATTTTACAATAGCAATACAAATTCTAATATGTTGAGAAATCTAGTAAAAACAGCAGTTTCAGCTGTTTGAAAAAGAAAAGTGGGCTTAAATAATGAGGGCATTTATTCTTTAGTTAAGAAAATACCTGGGAGGAGGAGCCAAGATGGCCGAATAGGAACAGCTCCGGTCTACAGCTCCCAGCGTGAGTAACGCAGAAGATGGGTGATTTCTGCATTTCCATCTGAGGTACCGGGTTCATCTCACTAGGGACTGCCAGACAGTGGGTGCAGGTCAGTGGGTGGGTGCAGGTCAGTGGGTGCACGCACTGTGCGTGAGCCGAGGCAGGGCGAGGCATTGCCTCACTCGGGAAGCACAAGGGGTCAGGGAGTTCCCTTTCCTAGTCAAAGGGGTGACAGAGGGCACCTGGAAAATCGGGTCACTCCCACCCGAATACTGCGCTTTTCCGACGGGCTTAAAAAAACCGCGCACCAGGAGATTACATCCTGCACCTGGCTCGGAGGGTCCTACGCCCACGGAGTCTCGCTGATTGCTAGCACAGCAGTCTGAGATCAAACTGCAAGGCGGCAGCGAGGCTGGGGGAGGGGCGCCCGCCATTGCCCAGGCTTGCTTAGGTAAACAAAGCAGCCGGGAAGCTCGAACTGGGTGGAGCCCACCACAGCTCCAGGAGGCCTGCCTGCCTCTGTAGGCTCCACCTCTGGGGGCAGGGCACAGACATACAAAAAGACAGCAGTAACTTCTGCAGACTTAAATGTCCCTGTCTGACAGCTTTGAAGAGAGCAGTGGTTCTCCCAGCACACAGCTGGAGATCTGAGAACGGGCAGACTGCCTCCTCAA
Organism: Homo sapiens; assembly: GCF_000001405.40. NCBI lineage: Eukaryota > Metazoa > Chordata > Mammalia > Primates > Hominidae > Homo > Homo sapiens. The sequence goes on along the minus strand of NC_000008.11, from coordinate 69,356,727 downwards.
GTGGGTCCCTGACCCCTGACCCCCGAGCAGCCTAACTGGGAGGCACCCCCCAGCAGGGGCACACTGACACCTCACACGGCCCAGTACTCCAACAGACCTGCAGCTAAGGGTCCTGTCTGTTAGAAGGAAAACTAACGAACAGAAAGGACATGCACACCAAAAACCCATCTGTACATCACCATCATCAAAGACCAAAAGTAGACAAAACCACAAAGATGGGGAAAAAACAGAGCAGAAAAACTGGAAACTCTAAAAAGCAGAGCGCCTCTCCTCCTCCAAAGGAACGCAGTTCCTCACCAGCAACGGAACAAAGCTGAACGGAGAGTGACTTTGACGAGCTGAGAGAAGAAGGCTTCAGACGATCAAACTACTCCGAGCTATGGGAGGACATTCAAACCAAAGGCAAAGAAGTTGAAAACTTTGAAAAAAATTTAGAAGAATGTATAACTAGAATAACCAATACAGAGAAGTGCTTAAAGGAGCTGATGGAGCTGAAAAGCAAGGCTCGAGAACTACATGAAGAAGGCAGAAGCCTCAGGAGCCGATGCGATCAACTGGAAGAAAGGGTATCAGTGATGGAAGATGAAACGAATGAAATGAAGTGAGAAGGGAAGTTTAGAGAAAAAAGAATAAAAAGAAATGAGCAAAGCCTCCAAGAAATATGGGACTATGTGAAAAGACCAAATCTACATCTGATTGGTGTACCTGCAAGTGACAGGGAGAATGGAACCAAGTTGGAAAGCACTCTGCAGGATATAATCCAGGAGAACTTCCCCAATCTAGCAAGGCAGGCCAACATTCAGATTCAGGAAATACAGAGAACGCCACAAAGATACTCCTTGAGAAGAGCAACTCCAAGACACATAATTGTCAGATTCACCAAAGTTGAAATGAAGGAAAAAATGTTAAGGGCAGCCAGAGAGAAAGGTCGGGTTACCCTCAAAGGGAAGCCCATCAGACTAACAGCAGATCTTTTGGCAGAAACTCTACAAGCCAGAAGAGAGTGGGGGCCAATATTCAACATTCTTAAAGAAAAGAATTTTCAACCCAGAATTTCATATCCAGCCAAACTAAGCTTCATAAGTGAAGGAGAAATAAAATACTTTACAGAGAAGCAAATGCTGAGAGATTTTGTCACCACCAGGCCTGCCTTAAAAGAGCTCCTGAAGGAAGCGCTAAACATGGAAAGGAACAACCGGTACCAGCTGCTGCAAAATCATGCCAAATTGTAAAGACCATCGAGACTAGGAAGAAACTGCATCAACTAATGAGTAAAATAACCAGCTAACATCATAATGACAGGATCAAATTCACACATAACAATATTAACTTTAAATGTAAATGGACTAAATGCTCCAATTAAAAGACACAGACTGGCAAATTGGATAAAGAGTCAAGACCCATCAGTGTGCTGTATTCAGGAAACCCATCTCACGTGCAGAGACACACATAGGCTCAAAATAAAAGGATGGAGGAAGATCTGCCAAGCAAATGGAAAACAAGAAAAGGCAGGGGTTGCAATCCTAGTCTCTGATAAAACAGACTTTAAACCAACAAAGATCAAAAGAGACAAAGAAGGCCATTAAATAGTGGTAAAGGGATCAATTCAACAAGAAGAGCTAACTATCCTAAATATATATGCACCCAATACAGGAGCACCCAGATTCATAAGGCAAGTCCTGAGTGACCTACAAAGAGACTTAGACTCCCACACATTAATAATGGGAGACTTTAACACCCCACTGTCAACATTAGACAGATCAATGAGACAGAAAGTCAACAAGGATACCCAGGAATTGAACTCAGCTCTGCACCAAGTGGACCTGATAGACATCTACAGAACTCTCCACACCAAATCAACAGAATATACATTTTTTTCAGCACCATACCACACCTAATCCAAAATTGACCACATAGTTGGAAGTAAAGCTCTCCTCAGCAAATGTAAGAGAACAGAAATTATAACAAACTATCTCTCAGACCACAGTGCAATCAAACTAGAACTCAGGATTAAGAATCTCACTCAAAACCGCTCAACTACATGGAAACTGAACAACCTGCTCCTGAATGACCACTGGGTACATAACGAAATGAAGACAGAAATAAAGATGTTCTTTGAAACCAACGAGAACAAAGACACAACATACCAGAATCTCTGGGACACATTCAAAGCAGTGTGTAGAGGGAAATTTATTGCACTAAATACCCACAAGAGAAAGCAGGAAAGATCTAAAATTGACACCCTAACATCACAGTTAAAAGAACTAGAAAAGCAAGAGCAAACACATTCAAAAGCTAGCAGAAGGCAACAAATAACTAAAATCAGAGCAGAACTGAAGGAAACAGAGACACAAAAAACCCTTCAAAAAATTAATGAATCCAGGAGTTGGTTTTTTGAAAGGATCAACAAAATTGATAGACCGCTAGCAAGACTAATAAAGAAAAAAAGAGAGAAGAATCAAATAGACACAATAAAAAATGAAAATGGGATATCACCACCGATCCCACAGAAATACAAACTACCATCAGAGAATACTACAAACACCTCTATGCAAATAAACTAGAAAATCTAGAAGAAATGGATAAATTCCTCGACACATACACTCTCCCAAGACTAAACCAGGAAGAAGTTGAATCTCTGAATAGACCAATAACAGGCTCTGAAATTGTGGCAATAATCAATAGCTTACCAACCAAAAAGAGTCCAGGACCAGAGGGATTCACAGCCGAATTCTACCAGAGGTACAAGGAGGAACTTGTACCATTCCTTCTGAAACTATTCCAATCAATAGAAAAAGAAGGAATCCTCCCTAACTCATTTTATGAGGCCAGCGTCATCCTGATACCAAAGCCGGGCAGAGACACAACCAAAAAAGAGAATTTTAGACCAATATCCTTGATGAACATTGATGCAAAAATCCTCAATAAAATACTGGCAAACGGAATCCAGCAGCACATCAAAAAGCTTATCCACCATGATCAAGTGGGCTTCATCCCTGGGATGCAAGGCTGGTTCAATATACGCAAATCAATAAATGTAATCCAGCATATAAACAGAACCAAAGACAAAAACCACATGATTATCTCAATAGATGCAGAAAAGGCCTTTGACAAAATTCAACAACGCTTCATGCTAAAAACTCTCAATAAATTAGGTATTAATGGGACATATTTCAAAATAATAAGAGCAATCTATGACAAACCCACAGCCAATATCATACTGAATGTGCAAAAACTGGAAGCATTCCCTTTGAAAACTGGCACAAGACAGGGATGCCCTCTCTCACCACTCCTATTCAACATAGTGTTGGAAGTTCTGGCCAGGGCAATTAGGCAGGAGAAGGAAATAAAGGGTATTCAATTAGGAAAAGAGGAAGTCAAATTGTCCCTGTTTGCAGATGACATGATTGTATATCTAGAAAACCCCATTGTCTCAGCCCAAAATCTCCTTAAGCCGATAAGCAACTTCAGCAAAGTCTCAGGATAGAAAATCAATGTACAAAAATCACAAGCATTCTTATACACCAACAACAGACAAACAGAGAGCCAAATCATGAGTGAACTCCCATTCAAAGAGAATATTTGCTTCAAAGAGAATGAAATACCTAGGAATCCAACTTACAAGGGATGTGAAGGACCTCTTCAAGGAGAACTACAAACCACTGCTCAAGGAAATAAAAGAGGATACAAACAAATGGAAGAATATTCCATGCTCATGGGTAGGAAGAATCAATATCGTGAAAATGGCCATACTGCCCAAAGTAATTTACAGATTCAATGCCATCCCCATCAAGCTACCAATGACTTTCTTCACAGAATTGGAAAAAACTACTTTAATGTTCATATGGAACCAAAAAAGAGCTCGCATCGCCAAGTCAATCCTAAGCCAAAAGAACAAAGCTGGAGGCATCACACTACCTGACTTCAAACTATACTACAAGGCTACAGTAACCAAAACAGCATGGTACTGGTACCAAAACAGAGATATAGATCAATGAAACAGAACAGAGCCCTCAGAAATAACGCCGCATATCTACAACTATCTGATCTTTGACAAACCTGAGAAAAAAAAGCAATGGAGAAAGAATTCCCTATTTAATAAATGGTGCTGGGAAAACTGGCTAGGCATATGTAGAAAGCTGAAACTGGATCCCTTCCTTACACCTTATACAAAAATCAATTCAAGATGGATTAAAGACTTAAATGTTAGACCTAAAACGATAAAAACCCTAGAAGAAAACCTAGGCATTACCATTCAGGACATAGGCATGGGCAAGGACTTCATGTCTAAAACACCAAAAGCAATGGCAACAAAAGCCAAAATTGACTAATGGGATCTAATTAAACTAAAGAGCTTCTGCACAGCAAAAGAAACTACCATCAGAGTGAACAGGCAACCTACAAAATGGGAGAAAATTTTCACAACCTACTCATCTGACAAAGGGCTAACATCCAGAATCTACAATGAACTCAAATAAATTTACAAGAAAAAAACAAACAACCCCATCAAAAAGTGGGCAAAGGACATGAACAGACACTTCTCAAAAGAAGACATTTATGCAGCCAAAAAACACATGAAAAAATGCTCACCATCACTGGCCGTCAGAGAAATGCAAATCAAAACCACAATGAGATACCATCTCACACCAGTTAGAATGGCAATCATTAAAAAGTCAGGAAACAACAGGTGCTGGAGAGGATGTGGAGAAATAGGAACACTTTTACACTGTTGGTGGGACTGTCAACTAGTTCAACCATTGTGGAAGTCAGTGTGGCGATTCCTCAGGGATCTAGAACAAGAAATACCATTTGACCTAGCCATCCCATTACTGGGTATATACCCAAAGGACTATAAATCATGCTGCTATAAAGACACATGCACACGTATGTTTATTGCGGCACTATTCACAATAGCAAAGACTTGGAACCAATCCAAATGTCCAACAATGATAGACTGGATTAAGAAAATGTGGAACATATACACCATGGAATACTATGCAGCCATAAAAAAGGATGAGTTCATGTCCTTTGTAGGGACATGGATGAAATTGGAAATCATCATTCTCAGAAAACTATCACAAGAGCAAAAAACCAAACACCGCATATTCTCACTCATAGATGGGAATTGAACAATGAGAACACATGGACACAGGAAGGGGAACATCACACTGTGGGGACTGCTGTGGGGTGGGGGAGTGGGGAGGGATACCATTGGGAGATATACGTAATGCTAGATGACAAGTTAGTGGGTGCAGCACACCAGCATGGCACATGTATACATATGTAACTAACCTGCACATTGTGCACATGTACCCTAAAACTTAAAGTAAAATAATAATAAATTAAAAAAATATATATCTGAAGGTAGTTTGTTGTGGCAACTCAACAATGTCGGCATTGTTCTAGGCTTTGCCCATTTTTGCTGTGCCATCAAGAGTGGCTTCAGGGGCGTGTGACCTGTAAAGTCATATAGGGTTCAAACTCAGAAGGGTCTCTTGCTTGGTTTAAAGCTTGCTGTTGCTGTTTGAATGCCTTGAAAATTTTATCTTTGCACTTGTGTTGAGTAAATGAACTCTGATGGGACAGTGGAACATGTGTGTAATGAGAGGAAATACATACAATATGAGTGTCTGTCATTCCTTGCCCCTCCATTTGCATATAGTCTTTGTGATGTCCCATAAGGATTGAATTCCAGTGGACCCAGGAATCATGGGAGTTCATTGAGACTCAAAGTGAGCACAAGTTAAACATGTTACATCTATGACTAAGTAGGGGAGATGATATTCCAGAGCGGCTACACTTTTCATTTAAACGAAAACTTGCTTCAAATATAAAAAGAAGGCAGTGCCATTCTAAGGACTATAAATAAGCAAGGAGTCTTATATCCTTTCACTTTCATGTCACGTCCCTATATTAGCCATTTCATTTATACCAAAAATGATGGCATCAAAGGAAAGGGAAAAATAGGGCAATGCATTGTACCTTTTCCTTTCAGTCCCTTCCTTACTCATCAGTAAGTGGAAAGTAGAGAATTTTGGGACTATGTGTGTGAATCAAAACATGAAATAAAGACAATTGAGTTTGTCTTGTGCAGTGTCCTCAGTGTTTGGTAAGAAAGAAATACACATGCATGCGTATACAAGGTAAGAAATGCAAGTAGCATAATGTTGGTGATTCTGTATATAAATCAAATGCTCTTGCATTTAACACTGGCATTAAACAATATAAACTGCAATGATAAAATTCATGCTAATAAATTAAATTTTATTCTTTACTGATAACATCATCAAGTAGTAAATAAAAAACACTATGGAGCCAGACACAGTGGCTCATGCCTATAATCTTAGCACTTTGGAAGGCCGAGGGGGGCGGATCACTTGAGCTCACGAGTTCGAGACCAGCCTGGGCAACATGGCAAAACCAGATCTCTATAAAAAATACAAAAATTCACCCATCGTGGTGGCATGCATCTGTAGTCCCAGCTACTTGGGAGGCTGAAGTTGGAGAATGGTTTGAGCCTGGGAGGCAAATGTTGCAGTGAGGCGAAACACTGCCACTGCACTCCAGCTTGGGCTATAGAGCCAGACCTTGTCTTGAAAAGATTAAAAAAATGCTATGGCAAGTTGAGAAAGAGTCCATGGAAGAAAGGAAAATGCTTTATATTTTAGTACCTTTAATGACACTTTTTTCTGCTTTTTGGGTGAGGCCCTGCATTTTAATTTTTTATTGGGATTTGCAAATTATATAGCCAGCTCTGCCTGCCACCTTAAGCTTATTGCTTGCCCTCTAGCTCTTCCCCCCATAAGAGTTACCCCATAATTGCAAAGTAGCTCTCAAAGTTCCAGGCATCAAATCTGTGTTTGAGGCAGGAAATAGATGGAAGAGTTGGTGATAGCAAGCTTTTCTTTTATGGTCATTACGTTTATCAGGAGTTTAAAAGTCTTTCCAGAAACATTCAGCCAACATTGGGCCCCATGGACACTTTTAGTTGCAACAAAGTATGGAACAATAAGCATCTGGCATAGAGGAATAGAACCTTCCAAACCAATATCTCGCAAAGAATACCGTCTAAGGCAGGGATTGGCCAACTTTGTCTGTGAAAGGGCCAGATAGGCTCTGGTGGCTATATATAGTCTCTGTTGCAATCATTCAACTTTGCTGCTCTAGTGCGAATGCAGACATAGACAACATGTAAACAAATGGGCCTGGCTGTGTTCCAGAAAAACTTCTTCATAAAAATTGTAAGTGGGTCAGACTAACTGTGGGCTGTAGTTTGCTGACCCCTGCTTAGAACTTTATTTCGCTTTGGTTACCAAATGGTAGACCAGGGGGATGATGATAATTAAGTAGGTGCTATTTATTGAATGCCTACTGTGTATTCGTCACCTGAAGCTGAACACATTGCCATCTCTAAAACATATTTGTATTTTCTTATCAAGGAAGAAAGCAGTTTGTTGAGAAGGCAAGTAGCGGAATCTGCCACAACACAAATTAAGACTTGATTAAAAGAGATACAAATGCATAGATGGAAAGCCTTGCTATTGTAAAGATACCACTTTTCTCCAAATTAATCCACAAATTCCATGCAATTCCAATCAACATTTCTGTAGTTTTTTTATAGAACTTGAGCAGTGGATCTGCTCAGTGGATTTTTTATGGAACACATACATGTAAAAAGTAAAACATCAATACTTTTGGTAGAAATTTAAACTTGAAGCAGGACAGAGCTTAAAAAATAAGACACAAAAAACGTAAGCAAAAAAGGAACATTTTGATGAATCGGTTTTCATTAAAATGAAAAACTTTCATAGAATAAAAGGCATCAGAATCAAAGTGAACAGACATTCCAGGGAGTGGTGGACATTAGTAAAGCATATAACAAAAAATGGTTAGGTCTGGAATATATAAAAACAACTAGAGAAAAGTGGGTGAATAATGTGAAGCAGAAATTCACAGAAGAACCCTGAGAGGCCCACAAACATATGAAATTTATTTTCAATCCTGCTAGTATCAGGGAAATGGAAACAACAATCAAGTTTTATGCCATACGTATTAGATAGGCAGTACTTAAAAAAAGTGAAAATCCAGTAGTTGGCAAGCACGTGGAACAATTAAAATTCTCAACCACTGTTGGTGAGATATGTAATAGCAAATAATTGGAAACAACCTAAATATCCATTAACGGAGGAATAGTTATCTACATATTTATGTATGTATGTATGTATGTATGTATGTATCTATCTATCTATCTATCATCTATCTATCTATCTATCTTCTCTCTATTCACCTATCTTTTTTTCTGTCTATATTACCTATTTATCTGTGTGTGTATTATATATAGTGATATGTTCAATATAATGACATTAAAACTGTTGAGATAATAAACTGGCTACATGCATCAAAATAGATATATCTGAAAAATAAATCTATAAATCTAATGTGGTAAGAAAAATGGTAGAGTACTGTAAGTATTATGACACTATTTAAACTGAGTTTTAGAACACAATATATACACACATATTTAGCAAAAACAAAAAGTGTGCATGTTAATGAGAAATGTTGAATTCAGGATAGTGGTTACATCTTGGGCGGGAGGAAGATAAATGAGACGGGTTGGAGGAGGAAATTTAGCTGCATTCTATAATATTTTACTTCTTAAAAACAATATTTGAAACAAATATTGCAAAATATTTGGGTTTGGCAAAGCTGATTGGCAAGTACACTGGTGTTTATTTTCTCTCTTTTATATGTGTTTGAAAATATTTCATAATACAAATTTTAACTGCCTTGTGATGGTAACCTTTGAAATATTTAAAAATTTGACCCAGCCATCCCATTACTGGGTATATACCCAAAGGATTATAAATCATGCTGCTATAAAGACACATGCACACGTATGTTTATTGCGGCATTATTCACAATAGCAAAGACTTGGAACCAACCCAAATGTCCAACAACGATAGACTGGATTAAGAAAATGTGGCACATATACACCATGGAATACTATGCAGCCATAAAAAATGATGAGTTCATGTCCTTTTTAGGGACATGGATGAAATTAGAAATCATCATTCTCAGTAAACTATCTCAAGAACAAAAAAACAAACACAGCATATTCTCACTCATAGATGGGAATTGAACAATGAGAACACATGGACACAGGAAGGGGAATATCACACTCTGGGGACTGTTGTGGCGTGTGGGGAGGGGGGAGGGATAGCTTTAGGAGATATACCTAATGCTAAATGATGAGTTAATGGGTGCAGCACACCAGTATGGCACATGTATACCTATGTAACTAACCTGCACATTATGCACATGTACCCTAAAACTTAAAGTATAATAAAAAAAAAATTTTATCGAACTTATCCCGGGTCTTGCCTCTACTTGTATAAAATGATGTAGATTGCACAACCCCTTCAGACATTATTCCTTATTGAGGCTGCAGCCTTCTCAAAGCTCATTTAGGCAAGGCAAGGAGAATACTAAGAATCTTACCACCCCCAACAACATGGTAAGGTTTGGGATAGGCTAGCTGTCTTACGTCATATGAGGGCTCTTCATGGGACTGAGGGATGGTGGCTGGGACTAGACTTCCACTCTAGTAACTGTTACTTGGATGACAGCCTTATCCCAAATGTTGGCTTTCTTGACCAGACTCTGATAATCTCAGTTTCCATTCTTCATACTCTACCCTGTACTATGCCAACACAGACTGTATGGTTCTCCTAGGACCATACCATCTTCATTGCCTCTGCCTAGAAACTGTTACCATCATGTCCTGCCATTAAATTAGACCATCTTGTGCTATAAACCCAGCTCGAATCAGGTCTGCTTTTGTCACATCCCTCAGGCTTCTGCAGCAGATCATGCTGACTTACACAGAGCTGGTGGCTCTGTCTGTTGCCAAGTCGCTCCACAACTAGAAAGCCTAGGACAGTCCTGTATATGCCCATTATTACAACAACAATAATTATAACACCCCTTTCACACCCAAAAATACCTTAGTGTGGATGATGAATTATATGGTCACCCCATTCATAGCTCATGTCTGAATATACATCTTTACAAAATGGGGGTTATAGTCAGTGTTCTCCAAAGTAGTTTCCAGTTAAAGCAATAGCCTAAGGTAAGCTTTCATTTGAGGAACACGGGAATCTCATTTATTACTTTTAAAATTTTGTTTAAATATTTAATTTTTTTCTTTTAGAGATGGGTATCACTATCTTGCCCAGCCTGGCCTTCAACTCTGGAATTCAAGTGATTCTCCTGTCTCAGCCTCCCAAGTAGTTGGGACTGCAGGTTGCACAAGTACACCTGGCTCTGATTTATTATTGAAGACTCCAAATAAAGAACTTGCAGAAACTCTAAATGTGGTGTTATGTACTGGAGTCACAACTATTCTGAAGTATGTTACATGTATTTTATTATTATAAGGATTACTATTTTGAGACAAGGTCTCACTCTGTCATCCAGGCTGGAGGGCAATGGTGTGATCATAGCTCACTGCAGCCTTGAACTCCTGAGTTCAAGGGCTCCTCCTGCCTCAGCCTCCTGAGTAGCTGGGACTACAGGCACACGCCATGATACCTGGCTAATTTAAATTTTTTTTTTTTTTTTGTAGAGACAGGGTCTCACTTTTTTGCCCAGCTGGTTTTGAACTGGGATCAAGCGATCCTCCCACCTCAGCCTCCCAAGTGCTGGGATTACAGGCATAAGCCACCACACCTGGCCTATTTTTCTATTCAATGGTCAAGAAAACCAATGTTTTAAAATGTTACTTTATTTTATAAATTAGAACAAATTGCAGGTTGCCCTTTGTCCCTACAGCAAATGCTTACTTGCATTACAATGTACTTTCTTAATAAAGGAAGAAAAGTGTAGAATTACAGCTGGCAATTTTATTCTTCCAGCTGCGTGGGCTAAAAACTTGGAGTCATCCTTGACAGTGCTCTTTTATTATATCCCAAATCTGACCACACCTCTCCATCTCTACCACTTTCATTTTGGGGGCTGCCACCACCATCTTTCTCCTGGATCGTTGCAATACCTTCTCGTAAGTGGTTTACCTGCCTCAGCACTTGGTCTTCTGGATCTTGCCAGCACACAGCAGCTGGGGTGGACAGATCACACCACCCCTCACTACAAACGTGCCAACAGATACTTATCTTAAAATTAAAACAAATTTCAAATATCATCTCCTCCTGCTGTCTTCTAGGGAGACTGGCTTTGTCCTCTTCCTCAAACACATGAAGCTCCTGCCTTTGCTCTTTTTCTCTCTGAACCCACTTCTTTCAGGTATCTGGGTGCTTTCTCAGTTCCAGTCTCCTCTCAAATGTCACCCCATCAGAAAGGATGTCCATGGTGACCCTACTTAAAATAGCACACCAACTCCCACGCCCCTCCCACTGAATTCTCTTATTCCCAACTCTGTTTAGCTTTTTATAACACTTCTGTCTCCTGACATGTTATATATTTATATGTTTATTGTGTATCTTGTCACATGAGAAAGAGAAGAGTCCAATATATTGGAGATGGGGTCCGTGAATTGATGATAATCCTGGTTATATCCTTTAGTGAGTGTCTCCCACATGAATAACATCTAATGTGTGTGGGTGCATGCACATGTGTGCTCCAATAGTGTAAGGTGGTACACAGCACTTGCTTTATTTCACCCCAGAAAATCCATGGCTCTTTCGTTGCTGTTAAATGACAATAAAGCAGGTGGATTTATTGGCTCTGATGGCAGCTGGCTGATTTACCCTTCCTGACCCTCCCATTGAAAACTCTTGGAAGCATAAAAATTGCTGCAGAGATCCAACAACATTGAAAACTAGAAATATCAAATAATGCATTGCCAGACCTTGGGAAGAATTTCAGGAACCACAACACAGATGGAACTGGATTGACAAGCCATTAGTGGCTGACACATACTTTGAAATTGATGAAACAGAACAGCAGAGCCAAACAAAAAAAAAAGGCTAGGGGGCCCATGTCTCCAGCTTGGAAGCTGATTTTCTATATGAGCTTTCTGCTGTTGAAATAAATATGAGATACAAAGATGGTCATTGAAAAAATCATGACCATTTCATTATGTCATAGCATGATTTACTTTCAGTGCCATGCAATATAGTGTGTTATTTTATCAAATATTTATGTCTATAAGATGTACTTATAATATGTAATCTGCAGTACTTAATGTAGAAGCTATAATAGGGGTTACTATTAACATACATTGTAGATTGTGTATTTTTGGTCTATACATTTTTATCAGGTGGATCTGATATTTTTGCTAAAAACACATGGCAATCCTAAGAAAGATGATAAATGATTTCCAACCACGTCACATCTATGGGCAAATTCAGAGGTGAGGCTGGCTAAGCAGAGAAGGCTTACCTGGCCACAAGGCCAACACTTTCTGTGGGTGGCCACATCTATTTTCAAGACCAGCTTCATGGGCATACAACTGTGCAGTTCCATGGAGCCTCATGCTTAGAAGCGCTTGGTTTGGTGCCTTGCTGTTGCCATCTTGAAATTCTTAATAATTTTGCATTTGAACTTCTGTTTTATAAGTTAAGTCTGATAGGACAATGGGGCACATATATGAATAGAGGAGATCCAGGCAATATGCGTGTCCATGGCCTCTTGCTGCCTCATTCACATATAGCATTTGTGATTCCCACTAAGTGGATTCTATGACATGCTCACCTTACTCTTGGGGCCTTGCTCCTAGAAGGACTCTCACTTGGCTTAATGTTCTACTGTCACCATCTCCAAATTCTTAATAATTTGGTCTTTAGTCTTGTGTTCTGTATGTGAAGTCTGATGGACAATGGAGCATGTGCATGAGCACAGGAGATGCATGCGGGGTGCCTGTTGCTGGCTACCACACCATTCTCACACAGCCTTTGAATCCCCACGAACACAGAGCTCCAGGAGACCCACATTGTGTGAGAGTTCGGTGGGCCTCAAAGAGTGTACAAATGAGTGTGTTGTGTTTTCAGCTGAGCAACTGGAGAAGATGACAGCCCAGAAGACCAGAACTTGCCTTGAATGCAGGAAGAGGCAATGCCACTCTAAGAAACATGAACAACCCTGGAAGACGATCATATCCTTTCTCAATATTATAGACTGAACTGTGTCTTCCTTGCAAACTCACATATTGAAGTCCTAATCCCCCAGTACTTCAGAATATGACAGTATTGGTACAGAGTGTCTTTAAAGAGGTAATTAAGTTAAATGAGGTTATTGAGTTGGGCCTTAATCCAACGGTTGTTATCCTTGTAAGAAGAGAAAATTTGGACACAGATACCCACAAAGGGAAAACCATTGAATGCTCAGGGAGAAGGGAGATATTTGCAAGGCAAGGAGAGAGGCCTCAAAAGAAATGAACTCTTGTCGACACCTACCTTCATCTTGAACTTCCAGCCTCCAGAAGTATGAGAAAGATAGATTTCTGTTGCGTAAGCCACCCAGTCTGTGGTACTCTGTTTTGGCAGCCTTAGCAAACCAATACACTTAATATGTTACTTCCCTATATTAGCCAATAACTTATGCCGAAAATTATGACAGAGGAAAGGGAAAGATACGGCAATGCACAGATTCTTTTCCTCTCAGTCCTTCCTTACTCATTGGTAAGCTGAAGATAGAGAGTGCTGGTAGAATGGGTGTGAATCAAGAAGCAAAATAAAAACAGCTGAGTTCATTTTGTGCAGTGTTTCCACTGTTCTGCTAAGAACAAAATACATATGCATTTATTTCTTTGTTGATTTTAAGTGTTAAATGATATAATGAATGTAAATTTCTTCCTTCAGTGTCTATACAAAATTGGTGATAACTGAGATGATTTTAATGTTGGGTTGGGTCTACACAATAAAAGTAAATGAAAATAGAAAAAGGTTCCCTTAAAAATAAATGAAAATATAATGTGAAGTGGTGCAATATTAGGTTAATATTAATAATAGTTAATATAAATAGTTAATATATTAATAAAGATTTGGAAGTTAATTGAAGTGACAGGCTGAGGAAAGGGTCTAATATTTCTCATCTGTGTTGGGACTATTAAATTATACTTTTCAGAGTCAGGTGTGGTGGCTTGTGCCTCTAATCCCAGCTACTTAGGAGGCTGAGGCAGGAGGACTGCTTGAGCCCAGATGTTTGAGACACCCCAGCTCAGTTCACGGGACACTCCCCGCTCAGTTCACCGCGCCCATCCTGCTCCCAGGGCCAAGTGTTTCCAAGTCTAGAATCACAAATAGAAGCCAATTCAATCTTTAAACTAGATTTGTTGTAGTTTTGCCTCCGACACTATAACAGCCTGGGGCCTGGTCCACAAGGCTGGGCAATGGTGCGCTGGATCCAGGGCGCCTGTGGGGCCTGTGTGGAGGTGACGCTGGGTGTGGAGAGTTCAGATGACCATCTACCTGATTTTGCATATTCACGGGCCACAAAAAAGGTTGCAGCTATTTCTGACGCTAAGCCAGTCCTGGGTTAGTGACCCCCTGACACGGAGTGTGTGTCAGGAAAGAAGATCCCCGAAGGAAGCTCAGCTCCTGCGAAGGATGAGCTCAGCTTTCCATGTCTGGGCTGGGGGGCCCACAGGCGACCCCACACCCCTCCACAGGACCTTCCTGAGGGGAGGTCCAGGCTCCTTGCATCCTCACTCCCCTGCCCTGATGGTGGAGGAGGCTCAAAGTGAAGCCCCAGCCAGATGTCTATGGAGGCCCCTGCCCCACACCCGGCAGCTCTGGGGGGCCCCTGCCTCCAGGAGGAACAAGGTGGCCAAATGAGGGAGACCTTGGTGAGTTTGTCTGATGAGCACATTCATTCGGCCTGGCTGCCTTCTCCTTTTCAGCTGTTTGTTTCGCATTCCCCAGAACTGCACGTTCATCAGCCCTTGCCTTGTGAAGGATCTCTCTAATTGTTACAGCGTGAGGCAAAAATGCATTCTGGGATGTGCAGGCTGAGAACAAACGTGTGCATCTCTGAGCCTGCGTGCCCGCCCCAGTTCCCCACGTGCCTGCCTCAGCTTCCCGCATGCCCGCCCCAGTTCCCTGCGTGCCGGCCCCAGTTCCTCCCGTCCCCGCCCCACTTCCCCACGTGCCCGCTCCAGTTCCCCGCGGGCCCGCCCTAGCTCTGCTAACAGAGGCTCTCATTGTCTTAAAGTCTCATAGAATGGCATCAAATCGCTGGACATAGAAACTACTTCAAAGCAATGCTTCCCACAAAATCAGATCTTCTTGTATTAAGCAATGTTTCATATAAGATGTGTGTGCCTTTTGGAAACAGTTTTCCTTCCTTGATGAATGTTGGTCTTTAAAATTAATTATGAGTAAGGAAATTTGCATAAAATCACTCCATCAGGAGGTAAGCTGAGTGTTTCGATGACATTTATGGGAAAGGAAAGCCAAGGAATCGGTGGAATTTGATTAGAGGAGGCACTGGGGTTGTGAGGGCATTGCCGACAAAAATGCCCCATGTCAGAGTATAAAAGGAGCCAGAGCCGTAAATTTGGGAAAGGTGATGAATAACTTGAATTTGTGTGAGCAGCTGGGGTTTCTCAGATATTGGTATTGGGGAGGGAGGAGACCTCTTTTAGGGGAGCTTTAAGGAAGTCTGATTAAACAGTGTCCAGAGAAGCTCCATGGGAGAAGCTATAATAGATTGCCTTCATCCAAAGCAAAGCAATAAAACCTCCACAAGTGTCAGTAAAGTGTGTCTAATTTGGCAAATGAAATTGTGATGATGGAGGGTATGTTTCTAAATGTGAAGCATGTCAGTTCAAGGACTGCTGTATTCACTGTGTTCTCTTCTCTGACGCGGAGCTGCACTTAGTTCATGGGTAACAGCCGCACCTGCTCCATCCTAGTGTTCTTTCTCCATGGCTCCTCATTTAGTTTTCTGTTCTTTTTCTCATTTTATGTTTCTGTTGCTCTGCCAGGATGTTTGAACTTCCATTTTGGGGCCTTCCTGTCAAGTGGCTCCGTGTTCCAAATACCACACCTGAGATTTCAGTTCTCTCACAAAAAATTAGCTTTTACTTTTAATAGGGCACACAGTGATAGCTTCTTGCCTTATTTCTTAGAGTCACAAATGTGTGTATGTCCAGCTCTATGATCAAAAGCCCATCAGTCATCTTCCAGGCCAGAATTGGAATTGGAAACCCCAGTGAGTCTGTGACAGTGAACCCAGGTTTCCCCGGTGGCTGAGCAGCCACAACTGGCCCTCACCAGAGGGAGTTTGTATTAGTCATTTTCATGCTGCTGATAAAGACACACCCGAGACTGGGCAATTGGCAAAAGAAAGAGGCTTATTGGACTTAACAGTTTCACGTGGCTGGGGAGGCCTCACAATCATGGCAGAAGGTGAAAGGCACATCTCACATGGTGGCAGGCAAGAGAAGAGAGCTTGTGCAGGGAAACTCCCCTTTTTAAAACCATCAGATCTCATGAGACTTATTCACCATCACAAGAACAGCACAGGAAAGACCTACCCCCATGATTCAATCACCTCCCACCGGCTCCCTCCCACGACGCATGGGAATTGTGGGAGCTACAATTCAAGATGAGATTTGGGTGGGGACACAGCCAAACCATATCAGGGTTTAAATGGGACCCGAGTTTCTGCAGCAGCAGGGGTGGTAACAGGGGCTGGAAAGACCCTGGAATGCAACATGGTGGGGGCTGTGGGACCTCAGGGGTGGGGATCCTGATGTGGCCATTCTCTTAATCCGTAAATCACTTCTGGAGCTCATCCTAGAATCCACCCTCTCATATTGTGGGTTCTCAGCCCCTTGTGTGACTTTCTGCCTAGATGCCTGGAGGGGTCACTGCCCTGGCTGCCCTACCCAGCATGATGCTGCCCCCACCAAGGTGACCTGCTGTCCCAGGTGGATTTCTTTACCCATTCCCTTCATCCCCATTTTCCATGTCCCTCACTCTCACCTCTCTGGCCCTAGAAAATGTTCGGATGTGATTTATGGGCATCTCTATCTGGGGCGTGGACAAGTGCAAGTGTGCACATCTGTTATTCTCGTTTATATTAGTCATACTCTTCTTTTAGGTGCCATTCCATTTACCATTATTTTTAAATTTTGTAGGTGTTGCTTTATTCCTGAGTGTTGAGTGGATGCTTCTAGGGTGGCACTGAAACTCTCTCTGTGCACACCCTGGTGACAAATGCAGGTGGGCTTCAAGACCCCATCTCCACCCATAGGGTGGGTACGACCACTCTGATGCAGGGTCTCTTATGAGAACAAGTAATTGTTCTCATCAGATGGTTTTAAACCAGCAAGAAAGGCTTTATTCAAGATCTTTGCAGTAGGGGAGAGCACCCAGGTCCTCTGCAGCACACGGCAGGAAGGCTGAGAGGCCTGAGGGGCTGCTGAGCAGGTGGGAGAGCCCTGGAGGCCTCAGCAGGGGGCTGGCCCCCTAATCCTCCTCAATGGAGTCAGGCTCCTGCCCTCCCACAGTGCCTGAGGGGCTGGGCCCTTTCTTTCTCGATGCCTCATTTTCCAAGGCAGCTCCCAGGCCTGGAGAAGGACATTTCCTGAGCTGTGGAACTGGCAAGTAGCTGGAAGAAGATTTACACCTTGAAGGGGCAGAGAGAGTTTACAATTTTACGTTTTCCAAAATCAGTGCTCTGGACAGGGGAGGTGGAGGCCCAAGTTAGGAAGAAATCTGTCTGGAGTGAACAAGCCTGGGGGAGTGAACGCCGGCTCGGCCCAAGTGTGGCCGGCAGCCCAGCTGCTGGTGCAGAGGTGTCCTGATCATAGTGCTCCAGCATTGCTGCTCTGGGCCCACTGGCAGGGTCCAGGGTTCCTGTGTCACCACCCAGGGCCCTGACAGCCGGCTGAAGCCCTCACTTTCCTCCACATGCCTGGCTGGGCCGGGAGGCCAAACCCCAGAGGCCACTATTTGAGTCCTTCATCCGTGTTGTCCTCACTGAGCAGTGGAGACTCAGTGGCTGTGTCTAGGAGTGGGCCCCGCCCCAGTGACCCTCACGATGCTCCACACATACACAGGCGGGTCTGCAGGGTGGCCGGGCCCTCCACAGGAGTGTGACCGGCAGAAACCAACACCTCTACTCTGCCCAGGTGCACGCAGGGCAATGTTCTTCATCCTGATGACAGTGCACCCAGCCTGCTGCTGACATGACTTGAGGAAGCTTCAGTCCAGAGGCTGAGGGACCCACACCGGGGCTCCAGCAGCTCACAGTGGGTGGACAGGTCACTGCTGCAGCACCTGAGAGTGGGCAGGTAAGCCTGGGGCACACTTGGTAGTAAGACCCCACTGGGCAGGCATGGGGTGGACACCACCTGCATGTGTCCACCAGGACTGGCAGAGAGTGGCCAGCACATGGTCAGCCGGTTCTGGGTCACGGACAGCTGAGTCCTCCTCTCCATCGATTCCCACTGAGCTCTCCCTCCTGTGGGCTCTGTGCCTCTCTCCTCCTCGCATTGGGTCACACGTGTGGTGTGTCTAACTGTACGTGGGTTGCATAGACACAGATGTCCCTTCAGCGAGGGCCATTGTCTAGGGTGCAAACTGCTGGCTGTGGTCCAAGTGGGGAAGGGCCTCTTGGGTCCATCCTCCCCAGGAAGAAAACTCAACAGTGGTGTTTCAAGTTTTGCTGCATCAGAGCAGCCTCAGCTCTGCAGGCTGGATTCACTTTCTGCAGACTCAGTATCCCTGGGCGTCTGCAGCCCCTCCGTCCTCTGTGGGCCTCACTATTCTGCATGGCATGTTCCTCGTTCACACCTTCTCTGTTTCAGTCAGCTGGTGGAACAAACCCCATTGACTTTTATTCTCTAAAAGGTGGGATTCATCTTCGCTGAGTCAACAACTGAGGAGAACAAAACTCCAGAGAGAAAGAGGAGTAAGAGCTGAGCATGTGGCCGGGTGTGGTGGCTCACGCTGGTAATCTCAGCACTTTGGGGGGCCGAGGCAGGTGGATCACGAGGTCAAGAGGTTGAGACCATCCAGGCCAACGTGGTGAAAACAAAATACAAAAATACAAAAATTAGCCTGGCATGGTGGCGTGCACCTGTAGTCCCAGCTACTCGGGAGGCTGAGGCAGGAGAATCGCTTGAACCTGGGAGGCGGAGGTTGCAGTGAGCCGAGATTGTGTCACTGCATTCCAGCCTGGGCAATAGAGTGAGACTCTGTCTCAAAAAAAAAAAAAAAAAAAAAAAGAAGAAAAACAGAGCTGGGAGTGCACTGCCCTGTTGCCTCCAGGCTGTAATTAAGACGCCTGGCAAGGGTCAAAGTTGTCCATCTCCAAAGCTCCAGCCAATGTGTCTGTCCTTCAAGGAGCCTGGGTCCCAGAGCCACAGTGACCATCTGAGGTGGTGACAGTGGCCAGGCTGTGGCCAACAGGGCTCCCCATCCCCACCATGAACGTTTACCTTTTCCTTCCCTTTTCAAGCGGGCCTTAAAGCACTTCTGGAGGTTAAAGGTTGATTTCGGACATTGACTGAGGGAATCCCAGTGTCCTCTACCTGATTTCCACATCTAAGCAAAGCCTTCCCCGTAGGGCGCCATGAGCTCAGGCTGTCTGGGCACCTGCAGGCCCTGGGGGTTACATGTCACAGGAGAGGAGGGAGGCCTTAATACCAGTGTGAAGGGCCACACCCACCCACCCTGGTCTCCGAAATTCTTCCCTCTCCCTGTCTCCAGGGTGGAGAGGCAGCGAGTCAGGGCTACGATGGCGGAAGGTGGAGGCGACCTCCCTCTGGGCTTCGAATCCAGCCCTCCCACCTGGCAGTCATGGAGCCTCACCAAGCAGTTTAACTCCCAAGTCCCAGATCCCATCTGTGAAGCCAGGTGGTAAGAACTGTGGGTCACTGGGTCTCCTGGGTTCCCAGAGGCCCCCATGGCCATCTCTAGAACAGCAGCTCCCCATGGGTAGCACCTACATTCCCAGGCACAGTCCCACCTGGACACCTCCAGCCCACCCTGGAGCTGCGAGTGAACCAGCACCCTCTCCTGCCTCCTTCCAGGCCTCGGGCCACAGCCTCTCACAGGACCCCTGGGAATCACCCGCATCTATCGCTGTTTACCCACCGGGACCCACCTCCCAGGCTACCTGGGAAAAGCCACGGGATTTATGTGCATCTGGAGAGGCAGCTCCACCTTCCTCACATGAGCGGTCACTAATGATTTGACTTTGTCAGCCTGCAAGGTGGAAAGGAGATTTACTCTCCACAGACTGGACAGTCCTTAGCTTTGCGCTTGTCACATAAATGGCATTTAATAAATGCTCCCTGGACTCAGCACTGCTCCTGAAGGCCTGTATTGTGGTCAAATATCGTTTCTTCTGCAGATGAGCTTATTCTTCTCCTCTCAGGATCAATCCTTTCGCCTTCACCGAGGCATCTGACACTAGCATTTGGAGGAACACCCATTCCTTCCTCTTCTCTCAGCTGCCTTTGGAAATTACCATCCCAAACGTGACTCCCCACAGAGTGGCACTCACTGATCACGGGTCTTAACTTTAAAAGGTTAAAAATAAGTCAAGGCTTAAGGTAAATTAACAGGAGGCGTGGATGTCTGAGCAATGTGGTGAACTGAGTCACAGGACTGCCGGGAGGTTCACAGCTGGGACTTTCCAGGCCTCCCGAACGCAGAGCGCCTGAAGACCTCAGTGGGGCCACAGAGTGTGTTTCAGGTGTGATTTGGGGTCATTTATGCCAATTTTATTCACTTTTATTTTCATCTGGTTTTCTTTCTATATATTACATCATGCATGGCACGTTTATAGTCATCCGTATGACGTCTGTCTCACACAGTGAGTAAAGGAGTACAGCTGTACTTTTCACTCAGCAAAATAGGAAAGAATAAAGATGAGCTTGAAACTCCTTTGGAATCACTACATTATCTGATACTTAGCAAAGGCAATCTGTGAATAACACACACATGTACACACATGATACATATTCATACACAGACACACAAACACGTCTGCTCATATGTGTATACATACATATATAGACACAGGCACATATGCCCTGAAGGTCTGCACGGTGGAAAATACTAGAAATGTTCATTTCTAATTCCTGCCAAGGGCTGAAAACCTGTGTGTCTGAAAAGTCACTTGGCTTCTGTAACCAGAGTTACCAAATTAAAAAATTAAAACTATCCAAGTGTAGAGCCACTAGAATTTTGTGTCAACATTATTTTTTGAACCACCAAACTTTTATGATTTTGTTGCATTTTTAACAATGCTTGAGTCAAATATCTCAAGTAGAAAAAAATCTTCTAAAAAGAAAAAACAATCTAAAATCATGATTTTTTTTTTTTTTTTTTTTTGAGATGGAGCCTCCCTGTGTCTCCCAGGCTGGAGTGCAGTGGCACGATCTCGGCTCACTGCAAGCTCCGCCTCCCGGGTTCACGCCATTTTCCTGCCCCAGCCTCCTGAGTAGCTGGAACACAGGCGCCCGCTACTACATAATCTGTTGTCTCTCCCTCCCCAAAATTGTGTGAATTTGTATGTCATGCATTGATTTCTTACAGTAGTTCCAAGTCCTCTGAAAAAATATCAGAATGTCAGTCAAATACCACAAAACACGTGTGTTTACAGATCCTCCCTTGAAGTTGGGAGTAGTTAGAAATGGTGGGAGCTTGTCCTGGACAAACTCCCTGGTGCCCACGATACCAGTGAGGAAGGTTCATCTCAAAAAACAAAAGCTTTGACAAAACAGAAGCTGCATGAAACGAAGGGACCTTCACTTTTATCCTTAGATAAATGATTTTTTAAAATTTTGTGGGCATATAGGTGTATATATTTATGGGGTACGTGAGATGTTTGGATGTAGGCATGCAGTGTGAAATAAGCACATCACGGAGAACGGGCGCGTCCGTCCCCTCAAGCACTTATCCACTGGGTTACAAACAACCCAACTACACTCCTTAAGTTATTTCAAAATGCACAGTCAAGTTCTTATTGACTTTAGTTCCCCTGTTGTGCTATCAAACACCAGATCTTATTCATTCCTCTATGTTTGCACCCATTAACGGTCCCTGCCTCTCCCGCACCCTGCTACCCTTCCCATCCTCTGGCAACCGTCCTTCCATGCCCATGTCCATGAGTTCAGTTGTTTCAATTTTTAAATCTGACAAATAAGTGAGAGAGAGAATGTTTGTCTTTCTGTACCTGGCTTAGAGAAATCATTTTAAAATTTCTGGCGTGCTTGATGGTGACAATTAACAGCCTGTGAGTCGGGGCTGCTCCAGTGAGGGGTGTGATGAGGCGGAGGCTTCAGCCAGGCAGGTAACGAGGCCCCGACAATGGCCCAGCGGCCACGGGAGCCTGACGAATGCACTGCAGGAAGTCGAGGCTGCACGTCGATGTCCTCACAGCTGAGTGAACGGGTGTGAGACAGAGACGTGCAGATTCCAGTTGTGACTGATGAGAAAAATCACAGATATCACAATTTCCCTATGGGGGAGCAGCAGAGTGAGGACGTGGCGCGGAGGAGGGACAGACACACCTGCACACGCACCCCGGGACCCAGTGCGGAGGAGAGACACGGCGGGACGGGCAGCCATGTGTGCTCACCCCAGGACCTGGCGCGGAGGCAGGAACAGACACACCTGCACACGCACGGTGGGACGGGCAGCCGCACGCTCACCCTTGTGTCCTCATATTCCCTGCTGGAACACAAGGATTTTGCAACTATCATGTGAGTGTGCATGAGTGTGAATAAGGTGTGACTTGTGCAAGAGCCCATGTGTGTGAGTGTGTGTGTGCAGTGAGCATGGCTCTGTGTGCAAATTGACATGAGAGAGTGGGTGTGTGTCGCTGTCCAGCTGAGAGGGTGGGGAGAGGTGCCCATGAGGGCCTGAGAGCAGCGAGGCCAGGGAGGAACCCTAATCTCTCACCTGCAGGTGACGTGGGCCTGCCAGAGCCCCGTCGATCTTGGAACGGAGCTGGGGAGGAGAGTCTGCCAGGCCTCCCTTCCCCTCCTTCTGCCCACTGGGATTGCTCCCGAAGGAAGAAGAACCCATCAAGTCCCCTTGTAAATGTGCTGGGGAGAGAAACCCTGACAATACCTGGTACTCACTCCTGGGGAGCCACTGTCTACCCCCTGCCCTCTCTCAGGTGACCCCGGCTCTCGGGTGGTCTTGGTACTGTGAAGTTTCTGGGCTTAGGTCTGTGGCACCTGGAAAATGTCGCGTATAAGTGAAATGATCTTCAAAGCCCAAGAGGAAATGTTCCAGGCACCCCTCAGAGACCCTATGAGGCAGGAAGGACAGGGGGACTACGATGGTCCCCAGCTTCTCCAGCTCGACCTCTGCCTGGAAATTACTCCCCGAAATCGTTAGCAGAGCTGGTTGCTGGGTCAGTTCTGTGATCTGTGGGACTCTACCCTTAATGGCTTCATTTACTTACATGGATCTAACCTTATATTTATCTATGTAAAGAAATAAATTTGTCATTTGTTAGATTCACCTGTGGATGAGATACCTTTATTTATTATTATTAGTATTTTTTGAGACGGAGTCTCGCTCTGCTTTTTTTTTCTTTTTTTTTTTTGAGACGGAGTCTTGCTCTGTCACCCAGGCTGGAGTGCAGTGGCACCATCTCAGCTCACTGCAACCTCCGCCTCCCCGGTTCATGCCATTCTCCTGCCTCAGCCTCCTGAGTAGCTGGGACTACCGGCGCCCGCCATCATGTCCGGCTAATTTTTTTTTTAATATTTGTAGTAGAGATGGGGTTTCACCGTGTTAGCCAGGATGGTCTCAATCTCCTGACCTCTTGATCTGCCCGCCTCGGCCTCCCAAAGTGCTGGGATTACAGGCGTGAGCCGAGATATCTTTTTAAGAATATTTTCCTAGCCATTAAAGAACATAAGTCAGTTTTCTTTTTTCATTTCCCTATTGCTATGTGACAAAAGGTAATATTCTATACTTTTTGTATTAGAGGACTTTAAATTACTGATATGTTAGATGACTTCTAAAGTCTTTGACATATTCTGAATGAACAATGTGAGGCCCAGGTTAAAAAGATCAACAATTAAGTCACAGGGTGTGTGTTCATAAGGTGACCTCCTCTTATTTTCTTGTTGCCCATTTGCGATTGCCTGAGAAGGAAGATCTCATGCTGTGTTCTCACCATGGGCACAGGCACAAGGAAGCCTCCAGGAGGTGTAGAATTCCTCAATTGCTTTGATTTGGTGATGATTTCATGGGTGTTTGCTCATGTCAAGCCTCACCAAAGTGTACACATTGAATGTCTGCAGCTCTTTGTATATCAATTATACCTCAAAAAAGCTGAAACACTTTTACACTTGAAATAATTGAGCTGACATTTCCATCTAAAGGTATACAAAGCCATCGCCTACATAGCTGTTTTTTCCATGACAGTCTCATTTAGAAGAGAAACAAAACAAAATTATGAAGTCAATACCCTTTAATTTTAAAGGGTAACTGAAGCAGTGTAAGGTTCTCTTAGGTCAGCACTCAGACTCTCCCCTGTGATTATTCTGTGGTTAACCGCTTGGTAGATCTGTAGTGATTCAGAAAGATAAATTATCTTCAACACACGAAAGTTCGGTCCTCTGGCATGTACGAATCCTGGTGTAGTTTTTACACAATGTTCTGCTGGGGATGCATGGGGAGAAGCTGTGATAACAGGATCGGGATTTATTCATGCTTCATTCATCTGTGAGGCCTGCGATGGCCTGGCCCAGTGCGGGCTGAGCCTCCAGCGCAGAGCACCAGACACTCCACCCTCCCTGAACCACTTGTGTGGATGGAGGTGAGACGCCCAGACCAGGAGGCTGTGCATGGAAGGTCGGGCTCCAGGGAACCTGAGATGAGATAAGACTGTGCGGACGGGGCTGGTGGAGGTGGTGCCTCCCAGGCTGGGGAGGCTTAAAGATGAATCCTGGTGACCCTGGCCCTGAAAAACTGCCATGTACCTTTTGTAGAAGACTGTCCATGAAAACAGACTCTCAGAAGCAAAGAGGGGCCTCGACAAGCCCCCCCCACCCATGTGCAATGCCAGGTCTTACTCTCTCCACCCCCGAAGGGAGTGTCCTCTTCACCTCTCTGGTCCTCCTTCCCTTGCCTTGTTTGCAACTGTCCACTCAATTACTGCAGCCCCAAACATTCTTTTTGACGTGGACTATTGTAAGCTCAACAGGACTGAATTAATTAGCAGCATATGTTTTTGCTGCTCCACTCACACACTCTCTGAGACCCATTCACATCTCCGGAGGTCCCTCACTCGCCTTGCGCTGGCTGACTCCACTGAGGGACTTGCTGGGATGTCCTCAGCTGTCTGCGGTGAACATGCATTTGGATCTCTTCCCACTTGGGTTTGTGCAAACGTGACACCAGGTGCATCTGAAATATGCCACGTGTCCAGGTGCACACAGGCCATGTGCAGCTCCCTGACACCTCTGCGGCAGGAGAGCAATGAGGCCCAGGGTGAAGTGGGGAGGTGTGGGTGTGGGGTCAGGCTGGGGTGGGGGAAAAACACTGGATTCTGGGCCTTATCTGAGGGCTGAGCAGCAGGCGTCATGGCAGATCAGATCTGGTGTTGAACTGGCCCAATTTTCCCGTAGAACTGATGTTCATGGTTTCTCTGAGTAACATAGAAATGGATCCTTGTGGTCTTGAAACTTGAGAAATTGACATTTGTCTTATTTGGGTTCCTTTCTCAGGAAACTGACCATCAGGCCTCCCAGGTAGTGTGAAGGAACAGAGACTCACCAGATCATGGCATCTGGACAGTGAGACGCCAGACCCCTCACCCGTCATGAGTGCCTGACCAGCCGCCTGTCTCCTCCTGACCAACTTCTCTTCCTCACTCTCTCTAATTCCTGTTTTCCTTATACATAGTCACATTTCTTCCCTACTATGTAGTCAGTCAGGAAGATGGATTTGAGGCTGATCTCCCATCTCCTGGGCTGCCACTCCTGATGAATGCCTTCTTCATTGGCAGTAACCATTGTCTCAGTGAT
Source organism: Homo sapiens (assembly GCF_000001405.40). Taxonomy (NCBI): domain Eukaryota; kingdom Metazoa; phylum Chordata; class Mammalia; order Primates; family Hominidae; genus Homo; species Homo sapiens. Next base: position 69,330,758 of record NC_000008.11, on the reverse strand, counting down.
TGGCTTTTTGTGTGGTGAGCAGCGGGATCTGGACCAAACCCGTGCATTTCAGGAACAGGGAGAGCAGCCTCAGCAGGCCCCCTGCCCTGAATGCAGTCATGACCACCAGGGACCCATACCAGTCACCCTGGGAGGTGAGTGTGGATGGGAAGAAAAGGCTCCTGAGGACCCAGCCAGGAGAATTCCTGTAACATCACGGAGAATCACTGCCACCTGGTGCATGCCCCTCTTGAAGGGCAGCTGCAAGATTCATCTCATTTGTCTTCCTTTTCTGGACATCTTCAAATTTCCTTCACCACAACTTTGTGATCCTCAGATTCCATCAAGATGTGCATTGTTTTACTATATTGCTTTAACTTACTCTGCCAGGTATCTGGAGAAAAGCAACCTCATTTGCAGAAATTATTTCCTCCCTGACGCTTTTTAAATCTGTAATTTCTGATAGCCAGGTACTGAGCCCCTTCAATTGATGTTCAGTTCCATGCTCCCAGGTAGATTATATCAACTCAAAGTCCAACGCTCTTATGAAATATTTTTGTGTTTTTTTCTTAGTTTTAGGAGGTTTTTGTGTGTGTGTGCTTTTGTTTCGTGGAAGTGACATCCTTTGTCTTTGACTTTTGGGAGCCTTCCTCCTTCAGTCTGCATGTACTAAAGCCAGTGCTTGCTGTACAGCCTCTCAGCTGCAGCAACCCACAGTGAGGTGCAGGTGCTCACACCATCACCCCAGAGAGCTCCTCCATTCGTCCCTCCACCCGTAGCTCCTCAAAACCCCCGCCCTGCTCCCCAGCACGGTAGCACCGTCTTCTCCAAGATATCATGTGGCGGCATCCTTTGGCCTATGCCCACCGAAACTAGCTTCCTTCACCGGGTGTGTGACCTGGGAGAGCTGGTGCATCACGGGCGCATCTTTCCACTGCTGGCTGGTGCCCCCATGTGGAAGCATCCGCGTTGGTTCACACCTTCTCCTGCCGATAGACATTTTGTTTTCTTCCAGTTATTGGCAGCGAGGAATAAGCCCAGCCTAAACACTTGTGTGCGGGTTTATGTGTGCACGTTTAAGTTTTCTCTTGGGGGGAGTTCCAGGAGTGGGGTTGCTGGATGACGTGGTAAGGATGTGCTTAATTTAATAAGAAACTCCCAGACCACTTTCCAGCATGGCGGGACCCCTCCCATTCCCACCGCAGCTTATGAGGGTCCCAGGTCCTCTGCATCATCACTGGAACCTGGACTGGCCAGTGTTTTTTGTCTGTTTTTAGCCATTTTAATAGATTTGCAGAGGTACTGTTGATTAGCATTTCTCCAACATCTCTGTGATGCTGAGTGTCTTTCTCGGGCAATATGCCCTCCTTATCTATTCTTTGATGAGGCTCCATTCAAATATTTGCCTTCTCTTTAATACTGGGGTTTTTACTTTCTTATGGTTAAGTTTTGATGGTTCTTCGTATATTCCGCGTGCCAGTACTTTGTGAGATGTGTGATTCACAAATACTTTTTTCTAGACCATAGTTTGTGTTTTCATTCTCTTTAGATTTTTTATATTGCTTTATAGAATTTTAATTTTAAATTTATGACTAAATTTAATTTGTCAATCTTTTCTTTTATGAATCATGCTTTTTGTGTCATGTCTAAGAACTTCTTGCCTAACCCAAGGCGATACAAATTTTCCCCCATGTTTTTATCTAAAGGTTTTATAGCATTCTGTTTTCCATTTAGGCCTGTGATAAATGTTGAGTAACATTTTGTGTCAGCCATGGCCATAATATTTTTTGTCTCTGACAGTATCATGGGCATTTGCAGCTCCCCACATCCTATGCAGTTCCCATCTTCTTGGTCCGGTCTTCCTGTGAGTTTCAGGGGATGTCTTAGTGCTGGTGCTGTCCTGGTCCATCGAGGGGTCCCGTGGGCTTGTCCGTGTGGGAAAGTCAGGACTGTGATGTTGACGGGATGCCCTGTGAGTCAGGGGGAGATGCTGATGGGGGTTTCCATGTAGGAGAGAGAGGTGTTTGGTTTTCTGGATGGGGCAGACTTGAGAGGGGACAAACTTGAGAAATGCCAACAATGAGAGGCCCAGGCAGAGCAGGTCTCGGGGCTGCCCAGCCATGTGGGCACCAAACGTGGATGTGTCAGTGGCCACGCCAGGAGGTAAACCCTCAACCGTGGACCTCTGGGTGTCCAAGACCAAGTCTTGTTCAAGAGGTGCATTCAGCTGAGCCAACCATGGCAGAAATATATAAAGGAGATCCCACGGTTCCTTTGTTTAAATCCCCTGCTAATCCCACCTGACTCAGAGAAGGCGCCAAGTCCTCACAGCAGCCTGCAACCCCACCCTGACTCCACCTCCTCTCGGCTCTAATTCTCCATGTTCTTCTATCCTCTCTGTCTCCTCTCCCACCAGAGAGGAGATCCTGCACATTCATACTGGTGGATTCAAACCCATCTTTGCCATACAGATAGTCACTGGAATGGATAGGCATAATCTATAAATAGTCCTCTTGTAAAAGAAAAAGGCAGGCTGGGCATGGTGGCTCACACTTGTAATCCCAGCACTTTGGGAGGCTGAGGCAGGAGGATCACCTGAGTTCAGGAGTTTGAGACCAGCCTGGCCAACATGGTGAAACCCCATCTCTAGTAAAAATACAAAAATTAGCCAGGTGTTGTGGTGTGCGACTGTAATCCCAGCTACTTGGGAGGCTGAGGCAGGAGAATCACTTGAACCCAGAAGGTGGAGGTTGCAGTGAGCTGAGATCATGCCACTGCACTCCAGCCTGGGCGACAGAGTGAGACTCTGCCACAAAAACATAGTAATAGTAATAATAAAAGAAAAAGGCAAAAATTCATACCACTTTACAGAAACTGGGCAAAAGATTTGAACCAGCCCTCCACAGAAAAGGAAATGTGGAGGAATGGCTAATAAAAAACATGAAGAGGGTCTCAGGCTGACAGGGGGAGATATCACATGACACCCACAAGACTGGCAAAAATCCCACAATCCAATCAATGCAAGTGTTGGGGAGAATGGAGAGTAGCAGGAACACCAGGCACTGCTAAGAATGGTTGTGAAATTTATTTTTGTTATGCTTGTATATGAAAGGGTGTGTGTTGTGGGTTATGGGGAAAATTACGTTTCTTACCTGGGATGAAATTTTAAAAATTGAAAGCTACTGACCAGAAGAAAGTTGCACTTGTGTACAAAAGAAATGCCCAAGAATGTTCCTAGCAAAACACACTCCTAAGGGCCCCAACCTGGACAAACACTCATGAATAGGGAAATGAAGACATTTCCCATGCTCCCCTCATATGACAGGAGATCACGCAGCAATGAACATGAATCATGTCAATGTGGGTGGGTCTCAGGAAGAGAATGGAGGACAAAAATAGACACTGAGCAGATGCTCAGAGCCATGCAGTGTAGGAGCAGCCACACAGGAGAATTTCTTCACATCAAAGTTCAAAACTACAGCCAAGGCAACAGAGAAAGACCCTGTCTCAAAAAGACAACAGAAAGTTCAAAAACTAAATGGCATATCTTTTAGGGATGTACACATATGTGGTGAAAGAAATGTACTATGAAGAAAAGTATGGCAATAATAAAGACTAAAGCAGGAAATGATTCCCTCTGTAGGAGAAGGGAAGGGGCTGGGACTCAGTCAGGGCCTCCAGGGAGCATCTAAAGTTATGTCTCTTCAGATTCTATTCCCTAAACTTGGTGGAGGTCCTCTGTGTCCAATGTGTCGATATTCTTTATACCTTACCATATTGTACAAATGCTTTATTTCCATTCAATATTTAGAAGACAGTTATAAACAAGATGCATTAAATAGCAAGACAGCAGATGAACATCAGGAAGGAACATCAGGAACATCCATGAGGTTCCATCCACGGAATCTCACCATGGATATGCTTGTGATCAAAGGCCTGGTCTCCCCTCAAGACGCAGTCAGAGATCAGAGGCTGCACTCATCATAGCAGTGGAGCAGGACCAGCTGGGACAGGGTCCTTCTGTGACACCTGCCGCATCACCAGGCTGTGTGAACAAACTCAGCTGCCAGAACTCACAGAATATCAGTATCAGCACCAAAAACTCACAGGAAAAATGGTAAGTTCTACGTTTCTCCATTAATAGTAACTCTCAGATTAATCTCTGTTATCCATCGCTTCTCCATGAAATAACTTTTTATAGGTTTGCATTGATGTATTTTTCAATTTATATTTCATTTTACTGATTGAAACAATATATATTGTGTGTGGTGTGTGATTTTGTCTCTGTCAGGATAATCATAGTTTAATTTCTATTATTATTATACCAATATCATTTAGTTTTTTTTTAAGCTTTTCAATTTCTGAGGGTATTAATCAGGGTCTTTCTGTCTTGTGAGACAGAAACCAAATCCAAACTGTGTAAGAGAAAAAAGAATGCGTTGATCACGAGGACTGAGAAGTTCCCAGGATTAACTTGCTTGGGATTCAGCTACATCTACAGTTTCAAGTGGCATCCTGTAACTCTGTCTCTCTCTACTTCCCCAACAGTAGCTCCATGTTTAGCTCCACAAACTTCAGACTTGAACAGCATCACTGGCTCCTGACCAGGACTCCAGCTCCATGAACCTCAAACTAGAACACCAGCCCACCTTCTCCACATGTGTACGGCTCCAAAACCTAAGACATCAGTGGCAGTACTTACTCCTCCCGGGGGCTCCAGTTCCAGGACCCTCAGACTTGAACCACAGCACCAACTCTTCCCTGGATCTCCAGCTCCATGACCCTCAGACTTAAACAACAGCAGCACCAGCTCATCCGTGGGTCTCCAGCTCCACGACCCTCAAATTAGAACTACACCAGCTCCTCCCCAGGTCTCCAGCTCCACAACCCTCAAACTAGAACAACATCAGCTCCTCCCAGGGTCTCCAACTCCATGACCCTCAAACTAGAACAACAGTGCTCACCCCTGGATCTCCATCTCCACAAACCTCACACTAGAACACCAATACCGGCTCCTCTACAGCTCTTCAGCTCCACAACCTAAGACATCAGTGGCAGCATTGGCTCCTCCCATAGATTCCAGCTCTAGGACCCTCAGATTGAACTGCAAAACCACCTGCTCCCTGGAACTCCAGCTGCACGACACTTAAACTAGAACAACATCAGCTCCTCCGCGGGTCTCCAGCTGCACGACCCTCAAATTAGAATATCAGCTCCTCCCAGGGTTTCCAGCTGCATGAACCTCAAACTAGAACAACATCAGCTCCTCCCCGGTCTCCAGCTGCACAATACTGAAACTAGAGCATCAGCTCCTCCCAGGGTCTCCAGCTGCATGACCCTCAAACTAGAACATGAACTCCTCCCAGGGTCTCCATCTACTCGAGCCTCAAACTAGAACAACATCAGCTCCTCCCTGGGTCTCCAACTCCACGATCCTCAAACTAGAACAACGCCACTCACCCCTGGATCTCCAGCTCCACAAACCTCACACTAGAACAGCAACACTGGCTCCTCCATGGGTGTCCAGCTTTACAACCTAAGACATTAGTGGCAGCACCATCTCCTCCTGGGGGCTCAAGCTCCAGGACCCTCAGACTTGAACCGCAGCACCAACTCTTCCCCGGATCTCCAGCTTGACGACCTTCAGACTTAAACAACAGAAGGATCAGCTCCTCCCTGGGTTGCCAGCTACATGACCCTCAACTAGGATACCATCAGCTCCTCCCTGGGTCTCCAGCACCATGACCCACAAACTAAAACACCAACACTGGCTTCTCCACGGGTCTTCAGCTCCACAACCTAAGACATCAGTGGCAGCATTGGCTCCTCCCATAGATTCCAGCTCCAGGACCCTCAGATTTGAGGACCCAGTCACTCAAACTAGAACAACACCAGCTCCTCCCCAGGTCTGCAGCTGCACAACCCTCAAACTAGAACATCAGCTCCTCCCAGGGTCTCCAGCTGCAAGACCCTCAAACTAGAACATCAGCTCCTCCCAGGGTCTCCAGCTGCACGAACCTCAAACCAGATCTTCAGCTCCTCCCCAGGTCTCCAGCTACACGACCCTCAAACTAGAACATTAGCTCCTCCCTGGGTCTCCAGCTCTACAACCATCAAACTAGAACACCATCAGCTCCTCTCCGGGTCTCCAGCTCCACGTCTCTCAAATTAGAACAGCATCAGCTTCTCCCCGGGTCTCCAGCTACATGACCCTGAAACTAGAAAAACACCAGCTCCTCTCTGGGTCTCCAAGCTCCACGACCCTCAAACTAGAACAACGTCAGCTCCTCCTCGGTCTCCAGCTGCACGACCCTCAAACTGGAAAAACAGCAGCAAACTAAAAAAACTCCCTGGATTTTTCTAGTTTGAGGGTCATGCACCTGGACACCTGGGAAGGAGCTGATTTTAATCTAGTTTGAGCGTCATGAGCTGGACACTCAGGGAGGAGCTGGTGTTTTTCCAGTTTCAGGGTCATGGAGCTGGACACCCAGGGAGGCGCTGGTTTTCCTCTAGTTTGAGGGTCTTACAGCTGGAGACCCGAGGAGGAGCTGACGTTGTTCTAGTTTGAGGGTTTGTGTAGCTGGAGATCTGGGGGGAGGAGTGTTTTTCTAGTTTGAGGTCGATTGAGGGTCAGCTGCATGACCCTCAAACTAGAGAAACACCAGCTGCCCCCTGGGTCTCCAGCTCCACAAACCTCAAACTAGAGCAACATCAGCTTCTCCCCTGGCCTCCAGCTCCGTGACCCTCAAACTAGAACAGCGTCAGCTCCTCCTCAGGTTTCCAGCTCCATGACCCTCAAACTAAAACAACATCAGCTCCTCCTTGGAACTCCAGCTCCACGACCCTCAGACTTAAACAAGAGCAACATCAGCTCCTCCTTGGATCTCCAGCTCCACGACCCTCAGACTTAAACAAGAGCAGCACCAGCTCCTCCACGGGTCTGCAGCTCCATGACCCTCTAACAAGGAAAACATCAACTACTCCCTGTGTCTCCAGCTCCATGACCCTCTGATCAGTAAAACATCAACTCCCACCTGAGTCTCCAGACGCAGAAGCCTCAAACTAGAACAACATCAGCTCCTCCCCAGGTCTCCAGCTGCACGACCCTCAAACTAGAACATCAGCTCCTCCCTGCATCTTCAGCAGCACAACCCTCAATCTAGAACATCAGCTCCTCCCTGCATCTTCAGCAGCACGACCCTCAAACTAGAACATCAGCTCCTCCCTGCGCCTTCAGCAGCACGACCCTCAAACTAGAACATCAGCTCCTCTCCAGGTCTCCAGCTGCACGACACTCATACTAGAAAAATGCCAGCTCCTCCCGGGTTCTAGAGCTACAGGACTGTAGAACTAAAAAACACCTGCTCCTCCCCAGGTCTCCAGCTGCATGAACCACAAACTAGAACAACACCAGCTCCTCTTTGGGTCTCCAGCTGCAGGGCCCTCAAACAAAAACATCAGCTTCTCCCCGAGTCTTCAGATGCACGACCCTCAAACTAGAACATCAGCTCCTCTCCGAGTCTCCAGTTGCAGGAAACTCATACTAGAAAAATGCCAGCCCTTTCCGAATTCTACAGCTGGACGACCCTCATATTAAAAAACACTCTCTCTTCCCCAGGTCTCCAGCTGCATGAACCTCAAATTAGAGCAACATCAGCTCCTCCTCGAGTCTTCAGCTGTGCGATCTTCAAACTAAAACATCAGCTCCTCTCTGGCTCGCCAGATGCAGGACACTCATACTAGAAAAATGCCAGCTCCTCCAAGGTTCTACAGCTGCACGACCTTCAAACTAAAAAACACCCACTCCTCCCCAGGTCTCCAGCTGCACAAACCTCAAACTAGAACATCAGCTCCTCTCTGGGTCTCCAGCACCAAGACTCTCAAACTAGAGCAACATCAGCTCCTCTCTGGGTCTCCAGCTGCAGGACACTCATACAAGAATAATGCCAGCTCCTCCCAGGTTCTACAGCTGCACAACCCTCAAACTAAAGAAACACCAGCTCCTCTCTGGGTCTGCAGCTGCACGAACCTCAAACTAGAACAGCAGCTCCTCTCCGGGTCTCCAGCTGCACGACACTCCTACTAGAAAAATGCCAGCTCCTCCCAGGTTCTACAGCTGCACGACCCTCAAACTAAAAAACACCCGCTCCTTCCCAGGTCTCCAGCTGCATGAACCTCAAACTAGAACACCAGCTCCTTTCTGGGTCTCCAGCTGTAGGACACTCATACAAGAAAACACCAGTTCCTCCCCAGGTCTTCAGCTGCAAGACCCTCAAACTAGAAAAACACCAGCTCCTTCCAGGTTCTACAGCTGCACGACCCTCAAACTAAAGAAACACCTGCTCCTCCCAGAGTCTGCAGCTGCACGACCCTCAAAGTAACAAACACCAGCTTTTCTCTAGGTCTCCAGCTGCAAGACCCTGAAATTAGAAAAACACCAGCTGCTCCCTGGGTCTCCAGCTCCACAACTCTGAAACTAGAAAAACACCAGCTCCTCCCCAAGTCTCCAGCTCCATGACCCTCCAATTAAAAAAACATCAGTTTCTCCCAGGTCTCCAGCTGCATGACCCTCAAATTAGAACACCTCTCCCCACTGGATCTCCAGCTCCACGACCCTCACAGAAGAACAGCAACACCAGCTCCTTAATTGGTCTTCAGCTCTACAACCTAAGACATCAGTGGCAGCACCGGCTCCTCCGTGAACCTCCAGCTCAATGATTTTCAGACTTAAAATGCAGCACCATCTCCTCCCCAAGGCTCCATCTCCACTACCTTCAGATTTGAACAGCGGTAGCACCAGCTCCTGTCCGGACCTTCAGCTCCATAACCCTCCCTGAACAATCCCTTTTCATGAAATTCAGCAGTCAAGAAAACTGCAGCTGAAGTAAATGAATAAATGTTTCTTTTTCAGATCGATGTCTCTTTTATGGTCATGCAAGTCAGTTAACTTTTCTACTTTCCATTAACCTTACGATCTACTTATGTCCAATGTGAGATACAAATGAACCATTTGAAATGATATTTAAAAACTTAGTAATATTTTTAATATGATCATCACACAGCTATAGACATGATCTTATTTCTCTCTGCCTGTGCAGAAGTCTTATGAAAACTCAAACTATGCACTTACTTTGTTGAGATTCCCAGAATACACATTAATCCCAAATGTTACTCCTCTCCTTAAAATTTTATTTTATTTCTTTTGCACCTGTTATAAAAGGGATTGAGTTCTTGATTTGATTCTCAGCTTGGTCGCTGTTTGTGTATAGCCGTGCTACTGATTTTTCTACACTAATTTTGTATCTTGAAGCTTTATTGAATTCATTTATCAGATTCAGGGGCGTTTTGGATGAGTCTTTAGGGTTTTCTAGGTGTACAATCATATCATCAGCGAAGAGCGACAGTTTGACTTCCTCTTTACCAATTTGGATGCCCTTTATTTCTTTCTCTTGTCTGATTGCTCTGTCTAGGGCTTCCAGTACTTTGTTACATAGAAGTGGTGAAAGTAGACATCCTTGTCTTGTTCCAGCTCTCAGGGGGAAAGCTTTCAGCTTTTCCCCATTCAGTATAATGATTGGTTGTGGGTTTGTCATAGATGGCTTTTATTACCTTAAGGTATGTTGCTTCTAGGCTTATTTTGCTGAGGGTTTTAATCATAAAGGGATGCTGGATTTTGTTAAATGCTTTTCCTGCATCCATTAAGATGATTATGTGATTTTTGTTTTTAATTCTGTTTACGTGGTGTATCGTATCTATTGACTTGTGTATGTTAAACCATCTCTGCATCCCTGGTATGAAACCCACTTGATCATGGTGGATTATCTTTTTGATATGCTGTTGGATTTGGTTAGCTAGTATTTTGTTGAGGATTTTTGCATCTATGTTCATCAGGGATATTTGTCTGTAGATTTTGTTGTTGTTATGTCTTTTTTTATGCACATACAGGTGTTCATAGTAGCATTGAATGATTTTTTTGTATGTCTTTGTATGCCTGTGGTATCTGTTGTAATATCTCCCACTTCATTTCTAATTGAGCTTATTTGGATGTTTCCCCTACTTATTCTCCAACTCATTGCTTTGCTTAGTTCCCATAGTACTTAGCACAATAAGCACTTTGATTACTTTTTCACTTGTTTAGTACATGTACATTCCTTCCTAGAGAGTAAGTTCCTTTGGGTAGAACCTTCTTTTGCTCTCTCTTATACCTTCAATGTGGTGTTGAATTTACAATTTGAGTATAGAATTGAATAAAGAAATATTGTTAATATAAGGATCCTAAAATCAAAATGTAAATGTCTAGCAAAATGGAAAACTACTACATGTTAGTTAATTAGCCAAAATTTAATAAAATTAAAACATAGTCAACATAGCAAACTACAGGAAATAAAGGCAAGGATAAGTGAGAATCAAAATCAAGAAGCATAAATGAATCTGACACTTTTGTAGCTAAACATATTAGTTATTGCAATGAGCAAAAATGGGTCAAATTACCTATGTGAAAGTTGACTTAGAATAAATTTTAAAAGTTTCCAGTTACATTTTGATTATTAAAGATACATGTCAAACTAAATGACGTGATTATTTCCTTTTATTCAGATTATAAACTTTTATTTCATAAGTATTTTGAAAGGCCCAAAGAATAATTTCCTTTTGGAATTATGACCTCCAAATAGATTTTTTTTATGACAGAATTTTCTTCATTTGTGATCAAACTATTTCCTAATGTATTTGAACCCATTAGGCTTTAAGCAGGGTGGGTTATGGGAAGTTTCAACTCGGGCTCAAGTATTTTTGATATGCAAGGGATGGACTGACTTTCAGGTGTGTAATTTTGAAGGTTTGGTAGTTACCTGTGAATGGGCAGCCCATCATTCTTCTGGCCTCTCTCAAGTAGCTCCGAAGCTCCTCCCATAGACATCCAGCCCATAAGATAACAAGGCAGGACCTCTCGCCCGTGCAGTTGTGTTACCTTTGCTTGTACTCACAGGGCATATTTCTACCAATCCCTTGAACAACGAATGGACCCAGGAATATTTTAGGATTTAGGCTGCCTCCCTCACCCACCGTCTTTCTAAATGAATGGGACCTGTAACCCTTTACTCTCCCCTGGGCTGGAGAATCTATTCTTCCACTGCCAGATCTGTGGTTAGGAGGTGGCTTTGATCTTACATTTCTTTTATTCACAAATTGGTGAGTCCGTGTTCTTTAATGTAGAGAGATACTCAGAGGAGATGGTGTTTTTAGTCGTTATTTTAGAAATAGTAGGCAGAATAATGTTCACCACCCATATCCCAAAGATGTCCATATCCTAATCCTGGAGGCTATGGATATTTTAGGTTAAACAGTAAAAGAAAACTGAGGTTGTTTTTGGCTGACCATAAAATAGAAAGATTATCCTGGATTATCTGGGTAGGCCCAATGTAATCATAAGGGTCCTTCAAAGTAGAAGAGGGAGAAGGAAAAGGGGACGGTGTGAGAGACAGGTGTGACTACAGAAGGTTGGAGTGATGCAATGTGAGAAGAACTCGACCTGAAGTTGCTTTGAATATGACAAAAAGGGGCCACAAGCAAAAGGGTTGAAGGCAAGGACATGGATTCTCCTGCAGAGCCTTCAGGGAGGAAGGCAGCCATGCCAACACCTTGATTTTTAGCTGTGTTTGACTTGTAACCTACAGAACTGTTAAATAATATGTTTATTGTCTCAAGCCACTAAGTTCATGGTTCCTTGTTACTACAGCAACAGGAAATGAATATAACCTAGATTAGATAATGCTAACTTTCATTGGGAAACATTCCCAGACTCAATGCTTAACTTTTCACAGTGTAAACTACCATTTGGTTTTTACTTGCTTTTCATAGAAATATAATTGTTTTACAAAAACCGATGCTATCTTTTTGTAAGAAAACATGATTTTTATGGAAGCATTTCTTTTTGAATTTTGGATTTTGTATACTGTGATAAGATGTGCAAGTGGAAGTATTAAGTTGAGGTAGTTATCTACAGGTTTCAATTTTCACCTGGCATCTCTTGAAAATTGACCAAAAAAAGTTACTTCCTGTGAATGGTACACATTAAATGCTATTGCTTTAATCCCTTATTTTATCTTTCTAATTAGATAGTCTTCTACAGAATAGGAAGAAATGAAGAGAACAGATGTTATGCAGATCGTTTCCAGAGAACATATTTTACGTATGTAATTTTAGGAGCAACAGGGGAAACTGGAAGGCCCATCCCCACAGAATCACACCTGCCCCGTGGAGCAGCTGTAACTCTGTATTTGAAACGCTCCACAGAAAAAGGTCATGTACCTCCTCTTGGTAACTGAATGGATTCTATCCTCATGTGCCCTTTCTTCTCCAGTGTGTGTGAGTAAGCATGTTTCAAATTGCTCTAGGTACCATTACTTGCACCCAAGGGAATTTCTATTATGTAAGAGGCCATGCTTAATTAAAGTAGTACAGGCATGCTATTAGTTATGGTTACTGGGGAAAAAAAGAGGTAAAATAAGTCACCTGCAATTTTTCACAAACAAGCAATATGTTGTGTATATAGTGGCACATTGCACTTTTAAAACTGCAAATTACCCATTGGAACTATCTACCCCGAGTCTTAGGTTCCTCTCCTCCTGAGAAATTAATATCTGGATCTACCAACAGGTACTCATCTCAAACACTTGAAAGTGGTGACTTTTTCCCAGCTTCACCCTGAATTCAGAGTTACATTTTTCTCTCATGCCAGGTCCTGCCCAGGCAGCAAGTCTAGAAGACTATCCAATGAAACAGCCCTTACTTTAGCACCAGGTTCACATCACTGCTGCGGGGCCTTGGATCCTTCACTCAGGCTTCCCGAATTCCCAGCATCCAGCCTGATTCTTACTGCCTAAGCCTGGTGACTACTCACTCTGTTTCCTGACCACTAGCGGTAACTTTGTCTCTTGCCTTTATCTCCTGGATAACTTGATTTGTCCTGGGTTCCACAGCCTTGATGCTACCTGGGTCTTATGTTCCTGATTGCTACTCTGGAGGCGACCATATACTTGAATGACAATGTCACAGCTCCAGAATGTCTCTCTCACATTCTCCTGGTAACAAGAATATCTCACGGTAATTATGAATATTACAAGGTGTATTAATCTGCCAGAGCTGCTATAACAGAATGCCAGATACTGGGCAGCATAAACAACAGAAATGAATTTTCTCACAGTTATAGAGGCTGGAAAGTCCAACATCAAGGTTCCAGGAAATTCAGTTTCTGGTGAGGTCCCTCTTCCTGGCTTGCAGGTGGCTGCTTTTTACTCACATGGTTCATGCTCTGAGCACTCATGGGAAGAGACAAAGCGAGCTCTCTGGTGTTGCCTTTTATAAGAACACAACTCCTATTGGATTGGTAGCACATAATTACAACCTCATTTTACCTCAGTTACCTGCCAACAAATCTATCTCCAATACAGTCACACTGGGGGTTAAGACTTCAATATAGGACTTGTGGAAGAACAAAATTCAGTTCATAGCACTAGAATAATCAGTGTTTCGGTCACCTGTATGAAGAACTGTGAAAAGCGCAGGCCTTTTAAAACAAAGCCAGAAATTTTTACTGGCTTCTAACAAGTAACAATTTGAAACCATTAGAAAACAGTTATTTTCCACACACATATAATTTTTTTGTTGTTTAATGCTGCAATAATACTAGGTTCCTTTTCTAGGTTACATTCATGCAGAAGCATTTATCTGCTTTGGTTCTGATATTGTATGAAACAAATTCTGTAAATATGAACTAACCCATGTCCCTTGTCCTTAGCATGTACCAAAGGGAGTCATTGCTTATTGATCAGGGTATTCTTCTCAATAGGGAACAGATGTAGCTTCATATCTGCACCCAGCATTGTAGGCAATCACTGCCAAATAATTGGAACTGGCACTCTTCTGAGGAGAAAGTATTATGGACTTTATAAGATAATAATTAATATATTTTATTCACACAGTGCTTTATATCTTATAAAGTGTTTTCATAGCTATGTTATTTGAACTTCACAAAAACAATGAAATAGAACAGTTATTACTAACTCCATTTTGCTGGTGGAAGTTGAGGCTCAAAAGCTACTTTCCCAAGTCAGTTAGTACACTTCATAATTGGGACTGGAAACTAACATTTATAAACCCTGACTTCAGTGTTCTATCTAAAAAACCACTACCCTTATAAATATACTTGCATAAATATATCCTGGGGGAAAAGAAACCCATGAGCACAGTGACGTCTACTTCAAAGAAAAGAATGTTTGTCCTCCAGGAGGCCTTTTATGACCTTGACATGAGAAAGCTGGCTCTGCCATCGGTAATGTCCATGGGATCTTTATGGAATCCACACCTACAACACAAGATTGCATACATTTGTGGATGTGTCTGTTTCTTCTGGCCAGACTATATTTTTCCTGAAGATTATGATCATATTTCTTTAGCATTTGGCACTCAGATGCTCAATAAATAAATGATAGCAGCTAACACTTATGGAGGGCTTCATATGTGCTGTGCCCTGTTTTAAGTGCTTTTACTTAATTAATTCAATCTTCACAAACACCTTATGAGTATGCGTACACTCCTCTGTACAAGGGAGGAAAGTGAGTCCCAGAAAGGTAAATTACTGTCCCAGAGACACAGCTAAGGGTGCAGTATTACTCCAGAGTCCCTGTTCTTAATCATGACTTGATGTTGCCAGTCAATAAAGGTTTGCTGAGCACGTGATGAGTGGTCTGGAAGACCTCTTAGGCATAATGGGATCTATTTTCTGGGAGGCACATTTACATGACAATCTTCTAAGATTCTCTCATAATCCCCTTTGTTGATGTCTCCACCAAAGAACAAAATCTCCTGGCAGTGAGACTGAATGCAAGCAAATCCAGCTTGCTGGAAAAGGTGAGTATAGATGAGGACAGAATTTGGCTACCAGATATGGAGTAATGTTAAATTCTCTAACTGAATCTCATCATCGCAGCTGCAGGTACTCAAATTAACTGAGGAGCTGAGTACGAACACGACTAAAAGCTTGTTGTTCTGCTCAGGGGGCAATTCAGTGAGGGAGACTGGCACACAAAGATGGTTCTTATGTCTCCTTCCCTGTTAAGCTACCCTTGTGCTGACTTCATGTCACAGCTTCACAAGTATCTGAGCTGCCTGGCTCGACTCTATCTTCCTGTTTGGGCAAGCCCCAGTATTCTCCCTCCTCACAGATTCAGAAATGCTCTTCTGAGACATAAATGTACTTTGCTTTATCTTTTTCTTTCCCAAAGTTTCTTGCATTGATAGCAGATTTCTTATTTGTAAAATCTAGATAATAGCAGTACCTACCTTTATTAATGAGGCCATAGGCTAAGCTGCTATCACAAAGAGACTCCCTCAAATATATCAATCAGCTCCAACACGGTAATGCTTACTTCTTTCTCATTGAGCAAGTGAGAGGGAGGAGGTTGTCCAGGATAGGTAGACAGCTCTGCTCTGCAAGGTCATCTCAGAACCAGGTTTCTCCTCTCTCATTATTTTACCACCAACATGAATGTTGTCCTTATTCCACCAACTGTGGCCATGTCATACCACAGCTCATTGGAGATGGGGGAAGTGGAAGTAGAGGGCAAATAATTTCTTCATGAAGGATATGTCCAGGAAGTTGCCTATGTCACCTCCACTTGTGTTCCCTCGGTTGGAGTTTAGATGCCCATATCTAGCAGCAAGGGAGCCTGGGAAATGTGGCGGGCATCCACATCTCTAGACAAAACTTGGGGTAGGGGAGTTCTTACTAGATGAATGAAGGGAAAATGACTATTGGGGAACAATGAGCAGTATATTCTATGACAACTTGGAAGGTTGTTTTTTGAGGATTAATTGAGCTAATATACTTAAATTCCTTAGCATAGTACCTGATGCAAAGTGAATGTTTTCAGTATTTGTATAAATACAACCGTAGTTATTATCATGGAATGCCTACTGTGTGCCTGGCATTTATTCTAATGCTCAGAGCAACCCAGTGCAGTTAATATCCTGATTTTATAGAAGGTACACACACACACACACACACACACACACACACACACACACACACACACAGATATATGAAGATCCAGGCTTGTCTAGCTTCAAACCTTAATGCTCTTTTTTAGTCTGCCACATTGTCTTCACTCTGCTATTAATTTCATCTCTCTTTGCTCACTCCCACCTATAGCCTTCCTTTTCTAATTATTTCAACCCAAGAGGAATCATGTTACAGATAAATAAGGAAGTGGTTAGATAAGCAAGGAAAGAACAGTTGTTAGGTTGGAGGGTCAAAAATTTAGATTTGGGCTGGGCGCGGTGGCGCAGGCCTGTAAACCCAGCACTTTTAGAGGCCGCGGCAGGTGGATCACCTGAGGTCAAGAGTTTGCCACCAGCCTGACTAACATGGTGAACCCCTGTTTCTACTAAATACAAAAAAATTAGCTGGGAGTAGTGGCACATGCCTGTAACCCAAGCTACTTGGGAGGCTGAGACAGGAGAATCCCTTGAACTTGGGAGGTGGAGGTTGCAGTGAGCCGAGATCGCGCCATTGCACTCCAGCCTGGGCAACAAGAGTGAAACTCCATCTGAAAAAAAAAAAAAAAACAAAACAAAGAAAGAAAAAATTAGATTGGTCTCATGGTCAAAAGGTAGCCAGAGGAAGTTCTTGAATGAAGGGGTAATATAATAAGAGACTTTAAGGATAATCATCTCACGAGTTAGGTATTGGTCTAAAGGAAAAGAGACCAAATAACTTTTCCCATAAATTAGACATAAACGTCTGAAAAAGAAAGGGCAGTAATTGTCAGAATGGAAAGAAAGGGTTGAATCTGAAAGGCATTATGGAAAACTTTTTGGAAAGAACTTATGGATTTATTTTGTGGTATGTGGGAAACCATTTTCAATTTTTTGGTACATTATTATTTATAACATAACATTTTGAAGATTACACATATCTTAACTGTGGGGATACATTTCAAGACTCCCAGGAGATGCCTGAAACCACAGAGAGTACCAGATCCTGTGTACACTATACTTTTTTTTTTTTTTTTTTTTTGCTGTACAGTAATGGGAGGGATGAAGTGGTATTCTGTGAGATTTCATCATGCTACTCAGAATGGTGCACAATTTAAAACTTATGAATCATTTATATCTGAAACTTTTCATTTCATATTTTCAGATCTTGGTTGGCTTCAGATAACTGAAAGCTCAGGAAGCAAAACCTTCGCTTACAGGGGGACTTTTGTATTTGCCAACTTAACTCATGCTATAGTTCCCCAAATAGCATCATTTTTTAAGTTCTCCAAGTTGTCAATTTAAGGGACTAGGGAAGTATTGATAAAATTAGCAGTAAAATGTGGTAGGAAGGAATGCTGATTTGAGGAGTAAAATAATGCTCTCAGTTTTCCACATGCTAAGTTCCATGAATTGGTATTGTTATTTTTTTTATTTTTATTTTTGAGACAGGGTCTTGCTCTGTTGCCCAGGCTGGAGTGCGGTGGTGTGATCTTAGCTCACTGCAGCCTGTGCCTCCTGCGTTCAAGGGATTCTCATGCTTCAGCCTCCTGAGTAGCTAGGATCACAGGTGCCCATGACCACACCAGGCTAATTTTTGTATTTTTAGTACAGATTGGGTTTTGCCATGTTGGCCCGGCTGGTCTCAAACTCCTGGCCTCAAGTGATCCAGGCACCTCAACCTCCCAAAGTGCTGGGATTACAGGCGTGAGCCATTGTGCCCAGCTGGTATTGTTACACTTTGAATGTGCTCCCCAGTTCATGTGTTGGAAACTTGATCCCCAGTATGGCAATGTCGGGAGGTGGGGTCTAAACAGGAAGTGTTTGGGTCATGGGTACACCACCTTCATAAATGGATTAATGCCATTATTGCAGGAGTGGGTTCATGATGAGAGGATATGTTTGGCCTTCTCTTGCTCCCTCTCTCACCCTCTCTTTTTCCTTCCACCTTACACAGTGGGATGACATAGCACAAAGGCCCTTGTCAGGTGCTGGCAACTCAATTTTGGTCTTCCCAGACTCCTGAACTTTGAGAAATAAATTTTTTTCCTTGTAAATTACCCGTCTGTGGCATTCTATTATAGCAGCACAAGATGAACTAAGATGGTATAGATCATTCAGCTGAAGTATGGTTTAGGTGTCAAAAGGCATAAGAAGTATAGATTTGGAGTGAACACACACATTTGATAATTGGAAGACTCAGAGTATGTAATCATCTTTGTAGAAAAGACTTGAAAGTCAGATTTTTCAGGCTAGCCTCAGTTAGGCAGCATGAAGATGAAGAGAAGCCAGTAATGGAAAAAGAGGCAGATTAATCATAGAAACAGTGTAGTGGAAAGAAGATGGGATTTGGAGTTAATTCTGGTTTTTCCATTTCCTGTTTGACTTTGGGCACTTGAAGAGAACTACCAGTGGTAAGTTTTCTCATAAGTCTAAGGAGTTGGACACTATGAGCTCTAAGTTCCTTTAGTGTAGGAAGAGTTGATGTTCCTAATTAGAAAGTGTGGGAGAATTTCAAGAATGAAATGGTCAAATACAGTGACACTCTACCTGTATTATCCCTCCAGCCCTGCCTTTGCCACACTACTTGAACATTCTAGTACCACACACAAAAAACGTGATAAGCATATCAGTAAAAGTAACTGCATAGTAAATAATGTTGGATACTTCATCAGAATTGAAAGAATTGTTAAATATTAGAGTCTGACACATTTTATTTCTTTTACTTCCTAAGCCTAAAATGCGTAAGTCACAGACTGGCAGGCATAATATTCCAAGGGCAACAAAAATAGGGAAACCGTATTTTCTACATTCGGGGTACTGCTCACTTGGAGATGTAGGGGAAGGCACTTGATACAATAGAAACTTTGAGGGTTTAAAATGTTATCTTTTGGTTACAGAGAATTTTGTTTTCATCGGAATATATTTGACTTTCCTGGGCTATATCTATCTACAGGAGTTTCCAGATTATAGTGCATTAGATTTTATTCCTTTTTCAAAAAAAAAAAAATTCAAGGACCTAGTATGTAAACATGATAGTGAATCCACCTACTGCCAAACCCTAGGGCTCTAAAACATTAATCCAATTTCCTTGCCAAAGGAAAACTCCAAACCCAGCTAGCGTTAGTGTTTGATGGAAAAATTAAACTGTTCTCAGCTGAATTTAAAAAAAAATCTTGTAAGCAACCAATTTAGCAATATATTATTATAATATAATATTATATATAATATAATAAGTTCTTATGAGCCATTTTGTTCTGAATTTTTTATAGAAGAACAATTTTTCAATTTAATTCCTTTTTTATTGGGGAAGAAAAATTTGACTTCAATTCCTCTGTTTAGTAAAAGGATCTTGCTAATTAAAACGTTTCCCTCACAATTTATAAACATCAAATGGTTTAATATTTTTTAGGAGCCAAGAATGCTATCTTTGAGACAGTAAAAAGTAAAGTAAGCTTAATGAATTATTCTTTAAAACATCATTTTAAAAGTCTCACCATTGGTACTTGAATCAATATAAAAATAATATTTGTTAAGGTTTATAGTATATGCTTGGGGTCAGAGATTTAATCACTGGCTCCATAACTTTCCAACTGGATAACTTTGACAAAGCTACTTAAATTCTCATAGCTTCATCTTTTGTATCTATAAAATAAAACAATAATAGCATCTATCTCATAGAATTGTTTTGAGAATTAAATGAAAGAATACATGTAATGCAATCATCACAAAGTACTACAACTCTAATACCACTCCCCTGATTATTATTGTTATTATCTTAAGTAAGCAGAAAATTAAATCAAAAAATTATAAAACCCAGAAACTCAAAGTTCAAAATAATCTCTTCAAGCTAAACTGAACATAAGCAAATGTCTGAATTGGCCACAAATGAGTAAATGTTTCACATTTAGATTTCGTATTATGTTTGTCATTATACAAATATGATTTCTAGAGAAAGTCTCAAAAGATGCTATCATATATCTGAGAAAGAGAGAGCAAGGGTAATTGCACAATTCATTGGAAAATGTTTTAATAAGAAAAATATTTAAGAATTTTTACCTGTTCTGTTTATTTTGTCCATCTATTTATGTCTAGCCTCATTCTAAAAATAACATGAGGTGGTACTTAGAAGATTCAAGTGTGGTCAGTTAAACTTAATAACTGACGAAAATAGAAATAATATACTACACCAAAAGGGATTGGATAGGAAAATATAAATATAAATATAAAAAGTTCTAATTCACTTGGGATGACATATATTAAATTGCTCAATGGAAAAATAAAACTTAACAAAAACTAAAGAGGTGTCTATCTTAACAGAGTTTTCTTAGCTTTGCAGCTGGGAAGATTAATTTAGAACAAGACAGTTTTCCTGGGCCCCAAGGAAAGTCAGTTATTGAAAACTAAAATACCCCGTTACAAGGTATATACCAGCAAAGACCCTCAAATAAGTGAGATATCAATATAATAAATATTTGTAGAAGACAAGTTTTCTTTACCAAATGAATAAAAACTAACCTAACAGGAAGGAGGACTTGGTTGTACATATATTGAAAATTCATGTCATCTTTGTGATCAGAAATTACTAACAAGAAAACAAGCAAATAAATAAATAATAAATAAAAAGGATTAGTGATCTTATTTGTCCTAAAAATGCTTTTGAGATTCTTGGCATATTCACATAATCTATGTGCTTTTGTAGAAAACACTGGCATAGGTTTTAGGGATTACAGAGATGAAAAAAAGACAATCTATTGTTAACTTGTTGGGAGCAACAACAACAAAAACAACAGCAATTATCACAGTGCGGTACATACTACAAAACTGAGGCTTGTACAAGGTGCTACCCTGCCACACACACACACACACACAAGTGCATGCAGGCATGCACATTAGTACAAATAAATTATATTCGTTCTGAACCTGACTTCATTTTCAAATTTGAAGGTAAGACAGTAGTAATTTGCCTCTCAATCCTTTCAGTCAATTGCTGTCCTCCATGTAGCACTTAATGTTAGCAGAATAATTTGTAAGGGACATCTTTTAAGTAGAAAGCTAAACAATTAATTCTTCATGCGGTGACTACGGATTACAGATGGCAGATTACAGATTACATCTCTTCCTGCTAAGATTTCCCAGAATTTCCTAGGTGAATTTCACAGGACAGGTTTTCCACTTTAGTTCAAAACACTCTTGTCACCCAACCTAATGATTTGTTGTTAACAACATCAACACTAAGCTAGTGTGTATTTGGGAAATTAAAATCAATTAAAAAGTTTGCTAACTAATATATAAAACAGTATTAAAATTATTTTATAATAGCATAAACGTGAGCCTAAGCCACTGTTTTCCAGCTCTGTACCATGGTCAAGTCAATTTGGTAAACATTTCATATCACCTATCTCTTCATTCCCAAAGATGCACGGGCCACATAAGAATATTAAATGCTTTTATACTTATTTATTTTAGAATCTTATTTGCCATGGGTTTTCTCAAACATAATAAACAAACAGCTTTCAAAGAACAGCTATTACTATGTCATGGGACTCTGAACTCTTGTGGATTGGCATCTGGGATACTCTCGCCAAAGCAGAACGTAATGTGAAAATAGCTGCACTGCAACAGGATAAAAAGATGAATTTCAAAGTCAAATATGAATGACTTTTGAAAAGCATGCCATTTTAGATTATAGGCACCCCTTTGCCTTCATGATCACAGTTAATCAAATTGCTATAAACATACACAATTCCAGCCTGGGCAACAGAGCAAAACCCTGTCTCTACAACAAATAAAAAATTAGCCAGGCATGGTGGTGCACACCTGTGGTTCCAGTTACTTAAGAGTCTGATGTGGGAGGATTGCTTGAGCCCAAAATGTCAAGACTGCAGTGAACCATGATCACACCACTGCACTCCAGCCTGGGCGACTGAGGGAGATACTCTCTTAAAAAAAAAAAACATATTCCAGTTTATCAGTGCACCAGCTTCTGAATAATGAGCAAACATCTTTATGATGGGAGGCTGATAGAACCTTGTAAAGGAAGGTCCTTTGATGGATTTGCAAAGGGAGGAAAATGCCTTCGCTTATCCTCAGCATATGCAGAGGTAGATTTGCCTTGATTGGTCCTAAGGGAACAATTTATTGTTCAATTCAGGACAGTTTGAGAGTGAAAGGTACACTATTCCTAAGTGTTTAGAACCAGAGCTGCCCTTTGCAAACTGGAAAGCATGGCTACATGCCCTTTGTACATGCCTGACCATGCAGGCCTGTGTGGGAAAGTGAGATGATTTTTATTCTCCTGGCCCCCTCAGGCCATAAAAATATATACATAAAGTGAAAAAAAATCTACCTCTCTCTATATATCTATCTAAGCGAAAATTTATTATGGGAATTGGCAGATATCATTATGTGGGGTGAGAAGTCCACATATGTCATCTGCAAGCTAGAGAACCAGAAAAACCAATGGTGTAATTCCCAAAACCAAGATTCCCAATGTCTGAAGGCAGGAGAAGATGGATGTCCCAGGCCAAGAAAAGAGCGAATTTGCTCTTCCTCCTGGTGGTGTGTGCCTATGGTCCCAGCTACTTGTGAGGCCAAGGCAGGCAGACGTTGCAGTGAGCCAAGATTGTGCCACTGCACTCCAGCCTGGGAGATAGAACAAGACAGTGTCAAAAAAAAAAAAAAAAAAAGGAAAGAAAAGAAAAGAAACAAACTGGGCTTGACTACTTCATTCCTTGACTCCTGTTTATCATATGGCTATGGCCAAATCATTTTTTTTAATCTTCATTTTCTTATCTGCAAAAGAAAACATTTCTTGATACCATGCAGGGTTGTTGTGAGGACTGAATGAGGCAATGTCTGTGGAAGTGCATTGAAAATCATAAAGAGGCTATATCAGTAGTTGTTATTTTACGTAGAATTTTACAATAGAAAACATATACCACCTTTAGATTCTCTAGCCACTCTTCCAGATTATCTACTTTGATGAAATAAGCAAAGAAATTGAGAGTTAAGTACCAGACCAAGTTCTACATTCCTGTTCTTGGTTATCCCCTGTCTTTGCTTTGTGTTGCTATGACAGAATACCGCAGACTGAGGGTGTTTTACAAAGAAAAATGTATTTCTTACAGTCCTGGAGGCTGGAAAGTCCAAGGATAAGGGGCCCACATCTGGTGAGGGTCATCCCATGGCAGAAAGGCAGAAGCCAGAAGTAAGCACGAGAGAGAGAGAGAGAGAGACCAGGGGTCAGGCTCACTTTATGACAACCAACTGACCAACTGTCATGATAATTACCCCATTCTGGCAATAACAACATTGATTCATTCACAAGGGCTCCACCCTTATGGCCCAGTCACCTCTTCTTATGTTCTACCCATCATCGGTGCTGCTTGGGGATCAAGTTTCTAACGTATGAACTTTTATGGGGGACAACTTCAAATCATAGCAACCCCACACAGGAACTTTTTAGAATTTTTTTTTTATGCTTACGGGCTTGAAACAATCTCTTAAGACTAGATTATATCAGGGAAGCAAAACAAAGATAATAGTTTTCTATGTAGACACTAAACTGACAAATAGGCTATGTGTACAAAACAGCACATTCTAGATGGCTGACCGTGTTTCTACACCAGAGGACCACTCCATCCTTGAGGAATCAGCATGGTCCTGCTGTAAGATACTTCCACTCCCAGTGACATTAATGGGTCCATTCCTTGCCAAAACTTGGTTGCCCATTGTGTAGAGTATACCAAGGATGGTCTCTAATGACTTTGCCTTAAATAACTCAAGAAACGACATCAACAACTTTAATAAAGTGAGATCAAATACAGTTTAATATGTGGGTTTAAATGAACTGATTTTAAACATGTTTGACTTTTTCTGTAACATATGTGTTACATATGGCCCCTCTCCCACCCCATCACTCCCCAGCTTTTCTCTCTACCCATCTCTTCCTCACCAAGACAAAGAACTTTTGCATTCACTTCATTTATTCTATCATTTCCCACTTAACTTTTGTGATTGTCCAGATCTTGGCAGATAGTCTATGTCTTAAATTTTTCATCTTCTTGCTTGATTTGCATTTCTATATAGGATGAAAGTGAGAGTGATGAGTGAGGATGAAAAGTTATTTCTTTTAACTTCTTTTTATGGCTCTGGAAGGATGGAGCAGCATATAATGGTTGCAGTGTGGGAACAAAAATACAGCGTACAAACGACTCGTTTTTGTTTGAAATGCTAAAAAATACTATGACTTCCAAAGTGTAATATCTATTTTTTAAAATCTCGGTGTTACAAACTGTGAAAGGTCTGTATGATAAGTCATTTACAGTCATCAAATGCAAGCACCTAGAGTTCGTTTTGGCAAAATGTTGCAAAAATCTCTTCTTTGCCCTGGGTTTAATTCTCTACCAGCCTCTGGTTCTATTGTCCTTGTATCCTCTAAAAGAATAATTTGTTTAACTTCTTAAGATTATTTACATATTAAAAGAAGACCAAAGCAAGAAAATCTGAAAGCAATTAAATTCCAATAACAAAATGTGAGATGTGGAATTGGATTTTTTTTTTAAACAGTACTTCCTGGACGACTTCGAATCACATCACCTAGTAAGCACTTACATTGCCTACACATAGATTGATTTTTTGGGTTTCCACAACGCAAACATATGGCATAACAGATTTATGCTTAAGGTGTAGACATTGTCCAACATTGGAAAACATACCAGACACCAGGCTTTAGGGCAAGAGAGTTAGAACTGAATGAGGCATAGTCCCTGTCTTCCATGGATCAAAATCTAATTAAACAGTAACATTGGACTATGAACACCTGCTAAGTGATTCCTGTAGAAACCATATTCCAGAGATGAGAAGGCAGCAAACATTTAGTGCAGGTCCAGCTCATGCTAGATGCTGCAACATATTATCTCTTGAAACACCAAGCCACAGTGCAGATACATGCATATGTACTATCCTTATTTCCCATTTTCAGATACGATATTTAAGACTCAGGGAAGTTTATTTATTTGATTTGAGGTATGTTGTAGAACCACGATTTAAACTTAGGCTCAATTAAGAAAATACATAGTCTTTAAGTAAAGATTTTTAAGAGAGACGAGTTGGGAATTCAGAAAGTCTTGAAGAAAGTAAAAGTATTGCTTCCTGTCTTCAAAGTCCTTAATCTGGTTCCAGTCATTAATCTGGTTTCCAATATAAATACTTAAATGACAACATGTATAACCAATAACCAGGCTTTATTCAATTTTGAGAGAAAAATACAACTTGCTTCAAAAATTCAAATTTAAATTTCTAATTACATATTTTTACTATACTTGACAATTTTTAAAAAATTTGAAAAGAATAACTGGTGGTCCCTTTGCATAATAAATATAATACTGAAAAGCAATTTTATAAATAACATAGCCAATTAATTAGTAATGTTCAAATATTTAAGGTTACAAATCAATTAACCTGTTAAATAAAATATATTTTAGCTTTCTATCTTGACAAATGTACTTAATATGACAAAATAAATGTGCAAAATTACACTATTAATATGACTGAAATTTGTCAAAACATCAAAGATGGCTGAAGTTATTCTTGTGCTTGCCTGAATGTTCTGTTGATGGGCTAATGATATCTGGATGAGTAATCGAATAAAACATACATAATTTATAAGTTATGAATCTATTCTACAAAACTTATTATTTTGAGCAGAATCACTAATTTATGTTATTTTTGCTCAAATTATTAAATGTTCTTATGCAAGAAGCTATTGCATTCAAGTGGTCAGAAAAAAAGATTTGACAAATTAATTTATCTTTTTTCTTACCTAAAAATTTCCACCTGTCAAATCTTCCACACACTCCAAAGCATAATCTGTCGCTGACACTGTCAGAAATTCAACACTGAAAATTTCATAAGATTTGGTAGTCACCTTTAGTTTAGTAGACTGATAGGGTTTGGCTGTGTCCCCACCTAAATCTTACTGTGAATTGTAATAATCCCATGTGTCGAGGGTGGGGCCAGGTGGAGATAATTGAAAGATGGGGGTGGTTCCCCCATACTGTTCTCATGGTAGTGAATAAGTCTCGTGAGATCACATGGTTTCATAAATGGGAGTTGCCCTGTACAAGCTGTCTTGACTGCTGCCATGTAAGACAAGCCTTTGCTTCTCCTTTGCCTTCCACTATGATTGTGAGACCTCCCCAGCCATGTGGAACTGTGAGTCCATTAAACCTCTTTTCTCTATAAATTACCCAGTCTAGGGTATGTCTTTATTAGCAGCTTGAGAACAAACTAATACATAGACACATGGCAAAAGATGTGGAGACGACCTGGCTGTTAGTCACATAAGGAGATGGTTAGAGTCACAGGCACTGGTACATTGGAGCTGACTCACGTGGGCTTTGAAGAATCCACTGAGAGCATCTTTTCTGACTCTGAGGTTGTAATGTCACATTGGGAGCTTGAAATTGGCCATAGGGAGAGTATTTACACCTTGGGAATCTGCACACATTATAAATTGGGTCCCCTCAACCAGTTGAGCAGGTTCTTAAACATCAGAACACCAATGGTTGTGGGTTGCACTGCATGTTGAATTCTGAATTGACCAAGATATCCACATACACTTGAATATATTTATTATGTGCATGGGCTTGTGATATGCAGAGCCCCTGAAAATACCCTTGAACTTTTCACAAAGGCCTTAAGGCAGCACTGATTTCATCAGATTGTTATTTTTGAAATGGTTACAATAATTTTAGAGAGATGATTTTTTTTTTCTTTTCAGAAAAAAGAATCTATACATTTATAGACAATTTATACAATGTATAAAGTGTCTATACATTTTATCCATTTGACATTTATCCTGTAATTAAATAAAGTTATATAGTTATGTGTTGGCCACCATAATGTGAAATAAATATCCGTTTTCTTAGTCTAAATTGATATAATGTTCTTAACCTGTTTCCTTTTTTTCATGGTTACTAGAGCAGATTTTATGTTACTGAGTGTTGATCCAATTAGGAAAATGAAATGTTTCTGAATAAAAATATCTAGGGAAGTCATGTGTGTGTGTGTGTGTGTGTGTATGTGTGTGTTACTAAAATAGCATTAATTGCTTAACTTTTAGAAACATGATTTTCAAACTTGAAAAGGTTCTTGATTAGTAAAAAGGAAGATATCAATAAGAAGATGAAATATTCTAGGAAAAATAGGGCTAGTTAGATTAACTTCATTAAATTACACTAATGTAGAACATTAAAAAATGAAAAGTTCACCATTTAACTCCCATTCTAGATAATCCAAAGAAGACAAAATAGCTCGAGTTGCCAGGAGTTAAGCATGGTAATTAAGAAACTGATTTATACAGCAGAGAAGGAATTCATGTAACTACTCAACACAAAGCAGATCTTCCAATGTAGAATTATTCCCATCTTGTTCTTTGTATGAGAAGTTTGCTTAGTCCAGAGCCTTGTCAATCCTTATAACATACTCAGCTATTCATCCATTTCCCTCCAAGGCAACTAGATTAGTAATTCATACTTGGGCTTTATGAAAATAGTATCATAAAAATGTTTGAACATATGTTGACTCTCAAAGCCAGGTACTATAACTTTTCCTCTGAGAATGAACACAACTGAGTTGATTAAATATGTTTAATATATTGTAGGATTTACAATTATGAATTCATGTAGTTCAGAATACTTTTTATGCATATTTTTGTTTATAAAAATAAGCTTGGCCAAAACTATGCTTTATTCAAAAAAATGAATTTGAAGTGAGTGTTTTCTTAGCTTCGAATTGAGGATTTGTTTTCTTAGTTGAGCAGAAAGCTATTGTTCTGTGAAGAAGTACAGATGCTAAGGAATGCAAGAGAACACTCATTTATTCCATGGTTTCCAAAGCAAGAGAAAGCAAGGAGTTATTTAGCTGTATTTAATACATTCTTTCCAATGCCTATTTCCTGAATCTTCTGTCTATTATTTCAGCCATTATTGCTGTAAATTACTTGAGCTAGTGACTGAGGGTATGGGGAAGGACTTAGCCATGGGCTACATGGCAATGACCTCTAATCAGAGCTCTCCACGTGGCTCTGTTCGACTCACTGGAAGCATTTCCACCTCTTTGCCTGCTCTGTCTGTTGCATGGTGTTATGATATGGCTTAGTGCAAATCAACACCTGAGGCTTGAGATGACCAGTGTGCAGGGCCCATACCAGCTAGCTTTTCTAAAACAGAGGACAGGACACTGGAGAGAACTTGGATAAGGAGTGTCAGGTGCAAGGAGTGGTGGTTTGATGATTACACTGCTCACCACTCTGCTTTTGCAGTTCATTGACAAAATTTCATTGCGAGCATTTTTAGCCCTAATTTTATAACAGGGCTGACATAGAGAAGGGAGGAGGGGCAGCCATCTCAGTTGGAATTAAAAAGGAGGTGGGCAGTGGAGTGAAAGCATAGGGGTAGTGGATTAAAAAAATCACAAAAACAGAACTTTAAAAAAGTCATGGTTCATAGTCAGTATTTCATGATCTGGAGAGGTATCATTTAAAATTATAAAAAAATTCTTTAAATGTAGGCTTTCGTGGAACTATAGAAAGCAAATCAGTGGGCCATCTCGTAGAGCACAACTTTTTATTTATCTACACTCCCATGCATTTGCCAGAAATAAAATGTTAAAAAGTGTTCTTTCTGATTGCATAATTTACTGATTTTTATCTCCTAACATATTCCACATAATTGAGAGCTGGAGGATCTTCTCACTAAGCCCAGGTCTTTGGTAGCTATTTGTGCTGGCCATTGTGGAAGCACTGCCAGATCACCCCACTGGGACCCAGGCCCTCATTACTCTGGCTGCAGAGAGCATTGGAGGTTCTCATCTAAGTCCCTCTGCGAGGATTGACTGAGGCCAATGAAATTCACCTCACCCAAGAACTCACACTAACCTCCCCACTATATACCCTCCTGCTGAGCAGCCCATAGCCAATAAAGGTAAGTCCAGCCTCCTTGCTTCCCTGGGACAACTCTGAAAAGCCGTCTTAGCTCCAAAGCTCCTTGTGGATTTGGTGGAGGGCTTTATTGAGAGTGTCTCACATTTAAATTCCTCACTCTGGCTTATCCTAACTTCCCTCCCTCCCTCCATAGATGGTGATCTCAACAAACCACTTATACCCCAATCTGTGTTCCAGAGTCTGATTCCTTTGTGATATTGCTGATGAGAACTCGGTCTAACACAGTCTGATGCATTCTTATTCACCAGGGCTGCCCTTACAGGCCTAGCCACCCTCAGAGTGGGCCTTAACCTGTGAGCTCCTAACATTACAGCTCTTTAAACAATGCACACTCAGCTGGGCACGGGGGCTCATACCCGTAATCCTAGCACTTTGGGAGGCTGAGGCAGATGGATCACGAGGTCAAGAGATCAAGACCATCCTGGCCAACATGGTGAAACCCCGTTTCTACTAAAAATACAAAAATTAGCTGGGCATGGTGGCGTGCGCCTGTAGTCCCAGCTACTTGGGAGGCTGAGGCAGGAGAATCACTTGAACCCAGGAGGCGGAGGTTGCAGTGAGCCAAGATTGCGCCACTGCACTCCAGCCTGGGCGACAGGGGGAGACTCTGCCTCAGAAAGTGTACACGAGTACACTTGTGTACAGTCACTGCTGCCACAGTGTGGCTGTTCTATTAGAAGGGCTCTAGTTAATCAATACAGGCTGTGCAAAACTAGCTCTTCTGCTCCAAACTTCAGTCACATGTGTTGATCCAACCTTATGGTGAATTTTACTTTGGGGCTGTTGGTTTCCTTTCTTGCCAGAAAACCTTAGTTAAGATGATGAGAACCAATTAAAGAGAGTTTAGTTATATGAGATCACCAAAGAATAGGTGTTTCAGGTATTAATCTTTTTTTTCCAGAATTTACCTTAGATTTTATTAAGATTTGCTCTTTCCTTTCCCCAACCCCTGCCATTATCAGGCCTGTAAATCTAAAGTTATTGGAAGAAGTAGTCTCTATTAGGCCACAGATAATCCTATTTTACTTTATTCTAATCGTCATAGCCAGGAAGAGACATTCAAGTGTTAGGGAAGAGACAAAGAAAATCTTCTCCAAGGAAAGTTTTTCTATCCACTTAAGCAAAAAGAAGCTGGCAGCTTCCTCTAAAACAATAAAATTATTATTAAACAAAAGTAGTATGTAAACTCCTCAATTATTAATAAACAAAAATAGTACATAAACCTTCCACATATTATTAACTCCAATAATATTAACTACTAAAGACAAAAGGCTAAATAAAAATAGTATCAATGATATAACAAATTATTAATGATGGCAACTATTCCATATGCCATCCTTTCCTGACTTGAAACTCTTTAAAATGTTTCTTAACACCTTTAATGAGATGATTAGAAACTTTTCTTTTGCAAATAATACACATATTAAGACATTTTCCCCTGAGCCTAGTCCTGTCTCTAGATATTGAAGAGTTTTCAGATGTTTCGATTCTGGAGTTGTTCATACATCTCTCCCATCCTTCATTCCTATTTTACTTCCAACCTCCTTGGGTTTTGCCTCTGTCAGTTTGCTTTACACAGCTGTCTCCTTGACTCATAAGTTACTGGAATTAAGTACCAATGTGTTTTAAGATTTTCTTTTATATATCCTAAGATCATGTAAAATTTCTACTCCTCTATTACATTTTTCACTTTTCAAAACTTGGTCTCTTTGGAATTCTTACCAGTGGAAGTAATGTTCAATTTTAGCAAATTACATATGCAGATCTTCTTGTCCATGTCAAAAAATGTAAGGGAATAAGTTAATGTACACTGGTATTTGACAGAAAAAGAGTTTTTAAACAAATGCATGCTCTCTCTTCCTTTGTGTATATTTTGTTAATTTTGCATAAAATTCCCTTTCCTACTTGGTGCACCTGGAAAAATAAAAAGCCAGCTTGTATTTGACGACTCCTTTGAAGCTTCTCTGACATCTTTACACTTCTCTGGCAATATTCATTGTGGCATCTCCGCGCTGTGTAGATATTATTATAATGGCAGCTACCTCTTGCATTATAATAACAATTATTATTATTTTACTTATTTAATTTAATGTGTCTTTCTTCCTAATAGACTTTGAGATTCTTGAAATGAAAATCTACATACAGTCATCTTTGTATTTCAATGTCTAGACTTATGCAGAGTATAGATAAGATGATCTGTAAATGTTAATGAAATCATAAGTAAGGGTGTGTTTAGTTAAAGATGCTGAATAAAACTATTTTCTATTACATGGAAGTTTTAAAGATGGGTTAATTCTCATGACTGCAAGAGGTACAGAGATGAGAAGAAATCACTCTGAATTAGTTGATGATGAATATTATTTTTAAAACACCATTAAGAAGCCTAGTTGATTGAGAAACAGGTTGCACTGTTACAGATAAGCCAACATCTTTCTGCTGCATTTACTAATGGAAACCCCCATCCAAAGATCTAGCTATGGGAAATACCTAAGAGAATGGAAAATTATAGAAGAGTGGACAAAATCTAAAAATCTGTCCTCCACCTGGGACACTTTTATACTTAGAAACTGCTTGAGAGGAACAGCAATCATATTTTTACAGATGTTAATGCATTTCTGTACCTAGAAGTAATAGATATGTGCACATAATGGCTCTTGTCTGCTCAGGCTGAGCTCTGTATCGTGCTTTGCTTGGCTTTTCTGTTCTTTCACAGAGGAGACCGCTTGCAGCAGGAGAATTTCCATGCTGAGAAACTGACAACATGTGCTTATCTTTTAATGTGACTAATCAATTAAAAAATAAACCAGGGCTTCATCCTCATTATAGTTCTTTACATGGGTCATGGACCATAGCATAATCTTAAATTTGTCTTTAGTTTTGGTGAAATAATGTTATTCTAATTCGTGGTAGGATTCAGGAGGCTCTTTCTTGGCTATTGCGTGTATTCTAACTAAATAATAGAATTTTGTAACTGGAAACAACTTTTTATATCATGAAACTAACATTCATGTTTTATAGATGAGCAACAAGATAATAATGCTTAATGTCTGACCTGGGGCTATAGAGATGGAACTGAGGTCAGTGTTCTTTCCACTGCACCAAGTTGACTTTATCATGTAAGCTTGTGTTTCCCTTTGAACATTGAGGAAGCCTGAATCCTTTAGAATACAATATCTAAATTTATAAATTATTCCTATGATGACTGACATTTTCCTTTCCCTCTGTGTAGGTAGAAGAATGGTCACCAAAGATGGCCACACCCTAGTCTCTGGAACTTGTGGATATGTTGTCTTACATGGCAAAAGGAACTTTAGAGGTGGTGTTAAAATTATTGACATTAATATATGGAGATTATTGAGTGGGCTCAATGTGAATGTGTGGGCCTTTAAAAGTGGAAGAGAAGGGCAGAGCAGCAAGTCAGAAAGATAAGATGAAAGACATTCTCTTTCAAAGCCCCAGAGGCTTGACACACCATTGCTGGCTTTTAAGAGGGAGGAAGGAATCCACGAGCCAAGAGATGCAGGCAGCTTCTAGAAGCTGGAAATGCCCAGGAAACATCTCTCCTAGAGTCCCCAGAAGGAACACAACCCTGCTGACACCTGGCTTTAGGCCTCGTAAGACTCAAAGTACAGAAACCCACTGAGCCCATGAACTTCTGACTTCTAAGTTTGTGGCAAATTTTTACTGTAGCAATAGAAAACAAATGCACCCTCCTTCTCCATTCCCTTCTTCTCCTCCAGTTTCACATCCTCCTATAATCGTCATCACCATTTTCATCATAATCATCATCACCACCACCATGGCCCTCTTTTATTGAGTGCCTATCAAATAGGAGGCACTGGGCTTAGTGCTTCTTTGCCTCTGTCTCTGACCTTTACCACAATCCCACCAGGTAGCTACTATGAACTCCTCTTGATAATTGATAACTGAGACAACTGAGTCCTGGAAAGGCAAGCAAGTTTTCATAGGCCACGGACATAAGAAGTATAGGATCCTAGGGAGATATCTCTGGTTGAAAAATTATTCAACTTTGTAGGCAGGAAAAGCTATAATAGGCTATTGTTTATATTCAATATTCTTTCTTCTTTTCCCCTTCCCCTTCCTCTTCCCCTTTCCCTTCCCCTTCCCTTTTCCCTTTCCCTTTCCCTTTCCGTTTCCCTTTCCCTTTCCCTCTCCTCTCCTCTCCCCTCCCCTCCTCTCCTCTCCTCTTCTCTTTTTTTCCTCACTCTGTTGCCCAGGCTAGAGTGTAGTGGTGTGATCTCGGCTCACTGCAACCTCCGCCTCCCGGGTTCAAGCAATTCTCCCTGCCTCAGCCTCTCAAGTAGCTGAAATTACAGGCACCTGCTCCCACACCTGGCTAATTTTTGTATTTTTCAGTAGAGACAGGGTTTCTCCATGTTGGCCAGGCTGGTCTTGAACTCCTGACCTCAAGTGATCTGCCCGCCTTGGCCTCCCAAAGTGCTGGGATTACAGGTGTGAGCCACCGCACCTGGCCTCAATATAACTTTTTTATGAAGAATCTAAAAAGACTAAAAAAATAAAAACTTCTTCAAATTGATAAACTGTGGCATATGGGCAAGTGATTATTAGCAGAGTTTAGTAGTACAGAAAGATGAAATATTAATATGTACTTATAAACAAGAAATTAAAAAAAATTTAGCCATGATATCCAAATAAACACAGTATTTTGAGTGATTATATTTTGTTATAGTATGCAATGTAGTTAACATTCCATCTGCAAGCTTAGAGATTATTAAGATTTTCCTGTGTGATTTTACAAGAAGCCTTTAGATAAGGAGATTCTTCTAGTCTCTTCATTAGCTGATCTAGAATTAAGTTCAAGTTAGCTAAGCACTGCTATATGTTTATGTAATCTGAATGAATTGGCTGGAAATATGTATTCTGGTCTCAGAATACTGAAATGATTAAAAATATGCAGGGAGAAGATGCTTACTAAATACCATTTACTGGTGATCCTCAACCTGTAGATAGCAGGAAGCCCAGAGTTCAGGTGAGTCTGCACTGCCACATGAGGATGCCAGGTGTGCAGTGCTGGGAGAAACCTAAAAAGACATGGCTGTATTACTGGAGGTTAGAAAGGGGACCTGGTGAACATCCTAGAAGGCCAGGAAGCCTAGAAAAGGAAAAAGAGTAAAAGGCAGAACCAGAAATACTGGGAAAGGGTGCTAGCACAGGGCTTGAGAAAAGAAAGAAGATAGGAAGTATTCAAAACAGTGCTATTACAAAGATACCTGAAAACATCATAAAAAAGGGCAGGTTTGGTGTTTTGGAGTACAGCATTTAGGATGAGCTAAGTTAAAAGCCAAAGAGCTTTTAGGATTGTTTTTTGTGCTCACTACATTTTTTAAGGGTTCACTTTTCACCGCACATAAAAATATTAAACCACTAGCTAACTAACATTTATTGAGCATTTACTATGTGGCAGAAGGGCTTGATTTCTTGGTCATTAGTTCACATCATTAGTGAAAAAAAGAACTGGGAGTTGGGTCTAATTCTTTTTGACATCTAAGCCCATTCATTTTTAACAACTACACTGTAATTTTGAAGACATGTAGAATTTATACTTGTGTCTGTCTAGTCAGGATAATTAAAGACTTTCACTTACACCCTGAAATCTTGAGACTGGACCTCTGGAAAGCTAAATAAGAAATCACAGGGTCATGCTCATGCCTCACTGGACAAAGACGAATGGGTTCATGAGCAGGACTCCTTCTCTCAGGAGCCAGACTTCATCCTGTTTCTCAATATCTACAAGAAATGGACAAAGAAAGCAGGGAATGAGGGTGGTGGTGGTGGTGGTGGTGGTGGGGTGGGCAGGACGGGAGTGGATTGAAAGTTGCCACCCAATATCTATACTTTCAGTTTTCTTTAGTAATAGAACACCAGTGCTATTCTGGATGTCAGTGTTCTCCGCTAATATGCTACTTTTGTAGCCTCCATTCCAGTTAGATATGCCAATATAGTTATGTTCTATCTAACTACAGGGGCAGTTGTGTGAAACTTCCAAGAAGGCTCTTTAAAGACAGCTTGATTAGGAGGAACACCACTTGGTCCCCTGCCATTACTTTCTCTTACTGCCTGAAGCAGATGGAATTGTTGGAGTTTAGCAGCTATTTTGTACCATGAGGTGACCTTGAGGATGAAAACCAGTATTAGGATGGCAGAGAAAACAAAACAAAACAAACCTCTTCAGTTACACCAGCACTGAACTTTATGCTCCTGGACTTGAGAGAAAAATGGAATTCAATGATCACTGAGACAGTGTTATTTTGAATTTTCTAATATATGTAAGGTAACATAATCCTAACAGATACAATAGTTGGTTTAGCCTGAATTGTCATAGGAACAGACATGAGGACAGGACTTGACATGTAAAAGACGTATTGGAGAAAAAATCTGTGGCGAGAAAAGAGGAGGTAGCCAGAGGTAGTGAGGAGAGTCCTGCAAAGGAGAGTGGAAGGAAGGAGAGTGACAGGGAGAGTCTTGGTCTGTAATGCAGTTCTACAAAGGTTTTGGCCAGGTTGATGGAGGTCCTCACTCCAAAGCTGCCCATCTGAGGAGACCTGCAACTCTCAGACCTGGGTCTTGCCTAGTAGCTGTGGCACACACGGGCTTGCCATGTGTCTTGGTCTTTGGCTGAGAGCAGTGATCATGGTGGTGGATTCAGAGCACAGAAATTAGGGCCATTCGTTAGTCACATTTCTTGCAGCAAGAGAGCTGGGGGTGGTACATTTTCATGGTGCATTTGCATGGCCTCCAGAGCAGCCCGGTTTTGTTTGTATCCGTTTGTGCTTAGACTTTTCCTCCTCAAAAATATTCTTAGAGATGGCAGCGGTGGCAAACTGGCCAAAAACATTTCAACTGGGACAAGGCCAAAAACGATGACACTGGTGGCCTCTTGTTACTGGTGTCCCTCAATGGTCGGAGTGTCTGTCATGGGCTGAATCCATTTTGAAGGTGAGAGTAAGAAAGCACACTTTTGTGGTTTCTTCCAGTTTGGAAAGTTAAATGGGGACTGAGAACTCTTAACATAGATTAGGTGACTGCCAGCCCAAGGCTGGCCTGAGAAGCCTGTCTGGATGTGGAGGATGTTGGTCTCCCTCCTGCTGCACCGAAGTCTGCCCAATGCCACAACCCAGAGCTACCACTGGCAGCAATACACTGCCAGGAACGTCAGGTCCATAAATGCACTACAAAGGCTATAAATGGAAAATGTGCTTTTCCTATTGACTTGCTTGTATAAATAGCTTAGAGATGTTTTCCAAGTGCAAATCCCTAACACTTTTAAAATTTTATTTTACCCGGTGGGAAGAAAATACTCATTAAAGGATCCGCAAACTTCAGCTTCTTGGCAGGAATTTTCAGCTCATTACATGGTAATTAATACTAATCTATATGCTAAAAAATAAAAAAAACCTGTTTTCTTTGTTCCAATTTTTATACTGCTTCTCTGCCAGACAGCCAATAAAGCTAAAACAGAATTGTTTGTTTTTTTAAAAAGCCTATAATGCACAGAAAAAAATTTTGTGCCTAGGCTGAAGAAATCTATGCATTTTTAGTTTCAGGATAATAAAAGTTTATTATTATTTTTAAAATTACTAATATTATTACCACACATTGCAACAACTCTAGGCCCAACAACCATTAAAAAAAATGCAAGTAGTAGTTAAGAATTTGAAAACTTTTTAAATCCACTTTTTAGATATGGCTTTATCTGCATTAGATTACTTAAAAATGCGACCTCACTAACTGAGATAATATTTCATATTGCATCTGGTATCAGATATGCCAGGATCATTGTCTATTTAAAAGCATGGTCTCTGATGATTACTCCAAACTCTTGCTACAGAGAATAAATGAGAGACAAGAAGTCTGTTTCTTAAAAATGAGAAATATAGAGTGTATTTGCTTACACTTCTGCACTCATAATTTTTGGAAAAAATTGTAATGACTTGTAAGAGAGGACAGAAAAGATATGGCTTTCATTTCTCTAAGATTTTAGGAAATAATTCTGATGATGACTATGGTAATGAAAATGAAAATGATGAAGAAAGTAAACAAGATATAGGAATAGGCATGGGGATGACTGGTTGGAAATGAAACTGACATTAAGGACTTACTATAAATAAGGTACTGGACATGGTCATTACATTTGTTGTTAATTTAAATTATATGAATTTGAAATAATATGAATTGCATATTACAGTTTCACTCTATGCAAAACATTGAAACTATGCAAACCTCCCCAAGTTAAAAATTCATCAAAATACTGAATATTTACAAAGATGGCAGGCATGAGGAATTGGTAAAATGTGTTTATGCCATTGCCATATTGTTGCCCCATTTTAACCAGAAATACTAATACCTGCTATTCTTTCTTAAGATTGGATTTGCAATTGTGCCAGTTTTGAGTTATGTCAAGTCTTCAGAAGTACATCCCTTTCATGGGTTCCACTGGGTTTCAGGGATGGCAACTTGAAACATGCAATCATTGTCATTGGGGGGCCCCTTAGTCCAGTGAGGGAGATGAAGAAATATATAGGGTGAGTGGAATAAGGTGAGATGTAAAATGATGAACATGAGTAGAATGTTTCCAAAGTACAGAGAAGGGACACATGACACAACTTTGAAGGCAGGTAAGACATTCTAAGGGAACTATTGTCTGAGTTGACTCATGCAGTAAGTGGAAGTTAGCCCAGGAAATTGTTGGCTAGATGGGTAGACTGTAGGAGGGAAAGGACATTCAGGTAGAAGAAACAACATATGCAAAGACATGGAGATAAGCATTTTGGATAGTCTGGAGCATGATGAGCGAGGAGGCTGGGGAGGTAGTTGGCAGCCATATTATTCAAGGATATGCCAAGGAGCATGAACAAAACAGAGGTACTCATACTTGCTTCCTAGACTTTATGAAGCAGAATGATG
This sequence comes from Homo sapiens, assembly GCF_000001405.40. NCBI lineage: Eukaryota > Metazoa > Chordata > Mammalia > Primates > Hominidae > Homo > Homo sapiens. Next base: position 69,292,789 of record NC_000008.11, on the reverse strand, counting down.
TGGCCAAATTTCTGTTTTATAGGAATCATTCTGAAAGCAGTATGGAGGATGACTGGTAGGAGGCAGAAGGAGGCAATGTTAGACATGATGGGGGTCAAAGCCAAGGCAGGAGTAGTTGGGAAAGGTGAAAAAGGGTTAGATTGGGTGACCATTATGAAGAAAATAAATAAATCTTGGTAACAGATTTGTTTGGGGCTGGGGAAGGAAGAGCTATGGATAAGAATGGATGTGTGGATATATGGAGATATGAGGATGGAAGAAACAAGACTTATAGACCAGTTGGATATGGGTGCTAAGCTACAAAATAGAGTTTGTTATAAATAGTACATTTTGGGCTTCAATCATGTGCAGTAAACGATTAGCTTAGCAGATCTGAATTGTTCAAACCCTGCAAATTCCAAAAAAAAAAAAAAAAAAAACCCAACTGGGCCCTGCCCATCTCCTGAAAGATAATCCCTGAGCCTTTGGAATACCCTGTTTTCTAAGAGTGTCTTTATTTACCTAAGGCTTTGGGTTGTGCCAGGTCATCTATGCAAACAACGCAATTTATGGCGGGGGCCTTAGGTCATGCAGTATCAACTTGACCTTTGGAAGGAGTGGACGCTAAATAACAAATGCTAGCCGTGTGGGCAGTGAGCCACAACTATGTGACCAAACCCCAGTGAAAATCTTGAACATCAAGGCTTGGGGAGCCTCTCTGTTCGGTTGTACTTGGTGTGTGTTGACACACATTGTTACTGGGAGGATTAAGCGATATCTGTAAGAACCCACAGGGAGAGGAGAATTGGAAGCTTGTGCCTGGTCTCATCTATTCTCTGCCCCATGTGCCTTTTACCCTTGCCTATTTTAACCTGTATCCTCTCATTACAATAAACTGTAACAGTGGGTATTAGAGATTTTATGTGTTCTGCAAGCCTCTCTAGAGAATTACTGAATCTGAGAATGGTTTCAGAGGCCCCCAAGTACAAGTAATCAATTGGGTGAATGGTGGTGCCATTCATGGAGCTAGGGAATATGTGAAGAGAATCAGATTTGGAGGAAAAGATGAGCTCAACTTTGAACATAATGGGTTGAGGTGCTTGGGGAACATCAAGTGGAGATGTCTGGTAAGAAGTATTTATAACATGGAATGGAAGAGAAAGGACTAAGCCAGAGCCATGAATCTGGGAACCATAACTATGGAGATGTTATTCAAATTTGTGTGTACAGATGAGATTACCCTGAGAATAAGAAGAGAAGAGAGTTAAAGAGAGAATCATGGGGAGCCTCAATCTTTTTTCTTTTTGTTTTTCTCTCTCTTTTTTTTTTTTTTTTTTTTTTTTGCAGCAGGGTCTCACTCTGTCACCCAGGCTGGAGTGTAGTGGCACTATCACGGCTCAGTGAAGCCTCAACCTCCTGGGCTCAAGTCATCCTCCCACCTTAGCCTCTCAAGTAGCTGGGATCACAGGTGTGCCATCACATCTAGCTAATTTAAAAATGTTTTGTAGCGTGAGATCTCCCTATGTTGCCCAGGCTGGAACTCCCAGGCTCAAGCAATACCCCTGCTTCAGCCTCCCAGACTGCTGGGATTATAAGCATGAGCCACCACCCCAGGCCAGACCCCCAATCTTTAAGGCAAAGAAAACTATCTTAAAACCAGGATGAAATAAACAAATTAGTGGTATCTCAAACACCAAGGGAGAAAGAACTATGTCTAATAACATCAAAAAGATCAAGTAATACTAGGAATGAAGAGTATTACCTGGATTTTTAAATGATGGCATTGATCTGCCCTCCCCACTATATAGATGAAGAAACAGAGACTCAAAAAGTTTTAACTTGACAGAAGTCACAAAGAAAGTAGCAGAGGGTAGACAGCCCATGGTCTTCCCACAAAAATCCTCCAACTGGGTAGTCTCAGTTATTATTTCAGATGCCATTCTGGGCTTCCTCTGTGCACAAACCTTCCCTAACTTTGCCAACTTCCCTAGCCTTGCCAACTGCCCTCTCCCTGTCTCACTTCCATTAGCACACACACTGCTGCACATCTACTTTATAAAGAGGCACGCTATCACTCCACTTGATCTTAGCCAAAAGGCCAAGAAGTGATCACTATCTCTTTCAGTGAGAGTTTAGGCAGGGAATTACATCTCAAAGCATAGCTATACAAGACTATGCATTACAACATACTTTCAGACTCCCAATTTTTGTGATGTTGTTTCAGATATAAAAAACTAAATGTCACCCCAGGGTTGTATATTCTGTAAGAACAAAAGAATCAGTCTATAGTGGTTATTATGAATCCAATTTGTAGATTATGATAACTTGAAAAAAATCTTCCTCCGGGAATAGGGAGGAATCATACAGCGAGACAGCAAAACTGGTAAGGAAGAGAACAAAGAGTGAAAACTCCACCTCTTTCCTCTGGGGAAGGTAATGAAGGGTTGGGGATGGTAAAGTGTTTACAGGAGTTTAATTTAACATGAGGAAAGTTGGCAGGATGATCCAGGTGAAACACCAAAATAAGACATTAAAATAAAAAAAAGAGGGTGGTGAAATTATAAATACTGTGAGACAAGTGGGGAAATTGGTTCCTGGGAAACAAGGGTCGGGCACGGTGGCTCACTTCTGTAATCCCAACACTTTGGGAGGCCGAGGCGGGTGAATCACCTGAGGTCAGGAGTTCGAGACCAGCCTGGCCAACATGGTGAAACCCTATCTCTACTAAAAATATAAAAAAATTATCCAGGCATGGTGGTGGGCACCTGTAATCCCAGCTACTTGGGAGGCTGAGGCAGGAGAATTGCTTGAACCCAGGAGATGGAGGTTGCAGTGAGCCAACACAATGCCACTGTACTCCAGCCTGGGCAACAGAATGAGACTCTGTCTCAAAGAAGTTATTTTTCTTGGCTAACCTTGTTTGTTGCTGGGTACTTTGAGCGATGGCAGACTGAGCTGGTGAAGCCCCTTACATTAAAGTTGAGGGTGACTGCCCAGAAGTGGTTGCCAAGATATTTCATGCTCTTGCTGACATATATTTTCTTATTTCAGGCTGAGTTTTAAAGTTCTGAACATACACAAAGAAAATGGGAAGTTTAAATTTCAATGTTACCTGCAGATTAAACGTGTTTTGTGTTTTCTGTTTTAACAACCACCTTGGTTGAATTGCTATGAATGCCTACAATATGATGGTGGCTGTGGAGTTCATGAGTGAAACATGATTGTTCCATTAAACACCTCTTTCCAGTAGTTTGGGGAGGGAATAAAGAACCATTTTCTAAAGCTAGTCACCTGGCTTCAGTGAAATCATTATTGATAGTTTTGAATATGAGAAGTTGACACTTAATACCTACTGATCCATTCAAGGTGTATTCTTTCCTCAAAAGATATTTATAAGTGACTTGATGCAAAACTGAGGCAATTTGAATGCATTAAAATAGTTCCAAAAGTCCTGTGCAATTTCTCATGCAACTAATTTAGCAACTTACAACAGAATTACCAATGATATAGTTAGACTTTCCAAAAGTGGGAGCTTCTACCCCTGAAAATGATTTATTGGTATAAATTGTACCATTACCAATTATTTTGTTATTTTTTAGGAGATAATTAGGGTTGAAGTTTCCCAGCAGATATTAAAATCATTAATTTATGAGGAAATTCTTCTCTGGGGAACTTTTAGTGCAGAGTAAAAGTTGATGTATGCAAAATTAGTTTCAAGTTTGTGGAGAACTTCTAAAGAAAATTTCTTTTGGAAGTTTATTGCTAAAAGTTTTGCTAAAAATTAAGTGGAATATGATATAACTCAATAGAAAAATAAATATTTAAATATAATGGGTTTTCTTCAAGATCTTTTTGAATAGTAGTGAAGTCGTCAAGCCAAAAAAACCTTTCTGAGCAAAAATTTTTAAAGCGAATCATAAACTGCTGGAGTTATTTATTCTAACCATCTTACTTTACAGATGAGGAAACTGAGGCCATTAAAATGCCATGGGATTTGTCCAGGGTTGTTGGAGTAAAGCACACCTGGATTACTAAAGTCCTCAACTGCCAGACCAGAGGTCTTTGCTTAATTAACTTAAGCATCTGGTTTCCTTAGAAGCTGAGACTCCTTCCCAATATGCAAGTCTCTCTTTTTCCATTATCATAGAGAAGCTACTTTTCTGAGATTGGCTAAATCATTTAACTCCTTGAACTGCCTGGAAAACATATCATAAATTTTGATGTTTAAACATTTACCTGATTTCCCAGCAAATGGGAAAAAATGACCTAGTGTTATTCTTTAATTCTCTGTAGTTGTAGGAGCAAAGTTTACTCCACAATACAGGGTTAAAGAAATGCCATCTTACCTTTAAACATGGGCTGGTTAGAAATGATATATCAGTCGTTTCTGGAATACTCTTCCCCACTGAACAGGGTCAAATGAAGGTTTCAGCAATCTTACCTAATGCAGAACATCCAAGAATGCTCTCTCTGATTTGCCCCTTTTCCCCATATCTTGGTCTTTGCAAAGCAGTGTATTGGGGTGGCTTGGAGAGGAAGCACCCTGGAGTCAGGCTGCTTGGTCGTGAATTCTAGCTTCATTCCTCGATAGCTACTGTAGTGAGTTGAATGGTGGTACCCCCCACAAAATGTGTCCATGTCCTAATAGTCCAGCCCTGTGAATGTGACTTTGTTTGGAAGGAAAGGTATTTGCAGAAGTCACGCAAGTTAAGACTCTCGATCATCCTGGCCCTAAATGGAATGATAAATGTCCTTAGAAGAAGGAGAGAAGACACAGACAGAGCAGGAGACCATGAGAAAATGGAGGCAGAGATAGGAATGACACAGTCACAAGCCAAGGAACCCCAGGAGCCACCAAAAACTGGGAGAGGCAGAGGAGGATTCTTCGATAGTGCCTCTGGGGGGAGTGTGACCCTGCCAACACGGTGATTTGGTACTTCTGTTCCCCAGAACTGTGAGAGAATAAATTTTTATTGTTTTAAGCCTCCAAGTTTGTGGTAATTTGTTACAGCAACCACAGAAAACTAATACAGTGGAGTGACCATGGGCAAGTCAGTTCTCTGTCAGTTTCCTCCTGTTTATAATGAGCATGGTGATATTAGCGCTTACCTGGTAGTGTTGTTATAAGGATAAATAAGTCAATACAGTGCTTAGAATGACACTGCAACATAGTAAGAGCCCAATGCACAATACGGCTTGTGTTATGAGTCCATGCTGATTACTATTGATAAGGCTACATGGACTTTTAAGGGACTGCTTCTCTGCTTCTGTTATGCAAAACTTGGGGAAAGTGTGGCTTGTGGACTCCAGGGCCCTATTACCTTGCACCCAACTTTCCTAGGTGTTCCCTGCAGTCCTCCCCATCTGAGTAGGTGGGGTCTTCCCTGGCAGTGAGAGAGAGCGAGCAACAGGTCGTAACTACACAATTGACATCATATTTCCTTTTCTACTATAAAAACATAATGCTCATCTTTCTTTTTAGGGAGAAAAAGATGTTAATGTCTATCAGTTTTTTGAACTTACCATGTTGTACATTCTAAACTAAGAAATTAACTAGTTTCTTCTAAAACTTTGTGATATTTTTACCTATGATAGAAAAGAGTGATTTCTTTCTAATTTGTGTTGCTAATCTGGATGGTTTATCTAAACTGTGACTTGATTGAGGACAGAGGCTGTCTCATGCATCCTTTGACCCCATGGTGCCTTACATCTGGTAGGTGTAGTCAGTATGCAGTATGTGATTGGCTATGGAGCAACTGAATTGCAGTGCTTCTGAGCAGAGACACATAAAAAGTTTTAGAGCATTAAAAAATGAGAGACTGGTTTTTCTCTGAAACCCAAGGCAGAAAGTCCCCTACCACTAAAAAGAAAGTTTTAAAAATTTCCTATTTTGACCACATCACCATCATCAATCCTTCAAGACACTGATTTTACCCATTCACATATTGTTCCCTCTTCTTCAATGCTCTCCTCCTCCTTGTGGACATCTCCTTGTAGACCTAGAAAACCCCCACTCAATCTTCACTTCCCAAGTTGAACAGCAATTCTTAAGGAAGTCTTCTTCCTCTTTTTTCATTGGAAACAGGGTCATGCTCTATAGCCTGGGCTCCAGTGCAGTGATACAATCATATCTCACTGTACCCTTGAATTCCTGGACTCAAGGGATCCTGTTGCCTCAGCCTCCCAAATAGCTAGGATTACAGGCATGTGCCACCATAAAAATTTTTTAAAAATTAAATTTAAAAAAAAGATTTCTAGATACAGGGTGTCATTATGTTTCCCATGCTGTTCTTCAACTCCTGGGCTCAAACAATTCTCCCACCTCAGCATCCCATGTAGAATGAAGATGTTTTGGATGCTCCTAATATTGACTCCTGTTCCTACCACTATCATGACATGTGTCACATAAAACTGTAATTATTTACTTGCATTTCTTTGTTTTTTAAAATTTTTAAAATTATACTTTAAGTTTTGGGATACATGTGGAGAACGTGCAGGTTTGTTACATAGCTATACACGTGCCATGGTGGTTTGCTGCACCCATCAACCCGTTATTTACATTAGGTATTTCTCCTAATGCTATCCCTGCCCAGCCCCCCAACCCTGACAGGCCCCAGTGTGTGATGTTCTCCTCCCTGTGTCCATGTGTTCTCATTGTTCAACCCCCACTTATGAGTGAAAACATGCAGTGTTTTGTTTTCTGTTCCTGTGTTATTTTGCTGAGAATGATGGTTTCCAGCTTCACCCATGTCCCTGCAAAGGACATGCACTCATCCTTTTTTGTGGCTGCATAGTATTTCATGGTGTATATGTGCCACATTTTCTTTATCCAGTCTATCATTGATGGGCATTTGGGTTGGTTCCAAGTCTTTGCTATTGTGAACAGTGTCGCAATAAACATACGTGTGCATGTGTCTTTATGGTAGAATGATTTATAATCCTTTGGGTATATACCCAGTAATGGGGTTGCTGGGTCAAATGGTATTTCTGATTCTAGATCCTGGAGGAAATGGTATTTCTGGTTCTAGATCCTGGAGGAATCACCACACTGTCTTCCACAATGGTTGAACTAATTTACAGTCCCACCAACAGTGTAAAAGCATTCCTAGTTCTTCCCATCCTCTCTAGCATCTGTTGTTTCCCGACTTTTTAATGATTGTCATTCTAACTAACTTGAGATGGTATCTCATTGTGGTTTTGATTTGCATTCCTCTAATGGCCAGTGATGATGAGCTTTTTTTCATGTTCGTAGGCTGAATTCTTTTGAGAAGTGTCTGTTCATATCCTTTGCCCACTTTTTGATGGGATTGTTTGTTTTTTTCTTGTAAATTTGTTTAAGTTCCTTGTAGATTCTGGATATTCACCCTTTGTCAGATGGATAGATTGTAAAAATTTTCTCCTATTCTGTAGGTTGCCTGTTCACTTTGATGATAGTTTCTTTTGCTGTGCAGAAGCTCTTTAGTTTAATTAGATCCCATTTGTCAATTTTGGTTTTTGTTGCCATTGCTTTTGGTGTTTTATTCATGAAGTCTTTGCCCATTCCTATGTCCTGAATGGTATTGCTTAGGTTTTCTTCTAGGGGTTTTATGGTTTTAGGTCTTATTTTTAAGTCTTTAATCCATCTTGAGTTAGTTTTTGTATAAGGTGTAAGGAAGCGGTCCAGTTTTAGTTTTCTGCACATGGCTAGCCAGTTTTCCCAACATCATTTATGAAATAGAAAATCCTTTCCCATTCCTTGTTTTCATCAGGTTTGTCAAAGATCAGATGGTTGTTGATGTGTAGCATTATTTCTGAGACCTCTGTTCTGTTCCATTGGTCTATATATCTGTTTTGGTACCAGTACCATGCTGTTTTGGTTACTGTAGACTTGTAGTATAGTTTGAAGTCAGGTAGTTAGCGTGATACCTCCAGGTTTGTTCTTTTTGCTTAGGATTATCTTGGCTATACGAGCTCTTTTTTTGGTTCCATGTGAAATTTTAAGTAGTTTTTTCTAATTCTGTGAAGAAAATCAATGGTAGCTTGATGGGGATAGTATTAAATCTATAAATTACCTTGGGCAGTATGGCCATTTTCACGATATTGATTCTTCCTATCCGTGAGCATGGAATGTTTTTCCATTTGTTTGTGTCCTCTTTTATTTCCTTGAGCAGTGGTTTGTAGTTCTCCTTGAAGAGGTCCTTCACATCCCTTTTAAGGTGAATCCCCAGGTATTTTATTCTCTTTGTAGCAATTGTGAATGGGAGTTCACTCATGATTTGGCTCTCCATTTGTCTGTTATTGGTGTGTGGGAATGCTTGTGATTTTTGCACGTTGATTTTGTATCCTGAGACTTTGCTGAAGTTGCTTATCAGCTTAAGGAGATTTTGGGCTGAGATGATGGGGTTTTCTAAATATACAATTATGTCATCTGCAAAGAGAGACAATTTGACTTCCTCTCTTCCTATTTCAACACACTTTATTTCTTTCTCTTGCCTGATTGACCTGGCCAGAACTTCCAATACTACGTTGAATGGGAGTGGTGAGAGAGGGCATCCTTGTCTTGTGCCAGTTTTCAAGGGGAATGCTTCCATGTTTTGCCCATTCAGTATGATATTGGCTGTGGGTTTGTCATAAATGGCTCTCATTATTTTGAGATACATTCCCTCAATACCTAGTTTATTGAGAGTTTTTAGCATGAAGGGGTGTTGAATTTTATCAAAGGCCTTTTCTGCACCTATTGAGATAATCATGTGGTTTTTGTCATTGGTTCTGTTTATGTGATTGATTACATTTAGTGATTTGTGTATGTTGAACCAGCCTTGCATCCCAGATATGAGGCTGACTTGATCGTGGTGGATAAGCTTTTTGATGTGCTGCTGGATTCAGTTTGCCAGTATTTTATTGAGGATTTTCTCATTGATGTTCATCAGGGATATTGGCCCGAAATTTTCTTGTTTTTGTTGTGTCTCTGCCAGGTTTTGGTATCAGGATGATGCTGGCATCATAAAAGGAGTTAGGGAGGAGTCCGTCTTTTTCTATTGTTTTGAATAGTTTCAAAAGGAATGTTACCAGCTCCTCTTTGTACCTCTGGTAGAATTCGGCTGTGAATCCGTCTGGTCCTGGACTTTTATTGGTTGGTAGGCTATTAATTACTGCCTCAATTTCAGAACTTGTTATTGGTCTATTCAGGGATTCAACTTCTTCCTAGTTTAGTCTTGGGAGGGTGCATGTGTCCAGGAATTTATTCATTTCTTCTAGATTTTCTAGTTTATTTGCATAGAGGTGTTTATAGTATTCTCTGATGATAGGTTGTATTTCTATGGGATCAGTGGTGATATCTCTTTTATCATTTTTTCTTGTGTCTATTTTATTCTTCTCACTTTTCTTCTTTATTAGTCTGGCTAGTGTTCTATCTGTTTTGTTAATCTTTTCAAAAAATCAGCTCCTGGATTCATTGTTTTTTGAAGAGTTTTTCGTGTCTCTGTCTCCTTCCGTTCTGCTCTGATCTTAGTTATTCCTGTCTTCTGCTAACTTTTGAATTTGTTTGCTCTTGCTTTTCTAGTTCTTTTAATTGTGATATTCGGGTGTCGATTTTAGATCTTTTCTGTTGCTTTCTCCTGTGGGCATTTAGTGCTATAAACTTCCCTCTAAACACTGCTTTAGTTGTGTCCCAGAGATTCTGGTACTTTGTGTCTTTGTTCTCATTGGTTTCAAAAAACTTATTTATTTCTGCCTTCATTTTGTCATTTACCCAGTAGTTATTCAGGAGCAGGTTGTTCAGTTTTCCTGCAGTTGTGCGGTTTTGAGTGAGTTTCTTAATCCTGAGTTCTAATTTGATTGTATTGTGGTCTGAGATAGTTTGTTATGATTTCTGTTCTTTTGCATTTGCTTAGGAGTGTTTTGCTTTCAATTATGCGGTCAATTTTAGAATAAGTGCAATGTGGTGCTGAGAAGAATGTATATTCTGTTGATTTGGGGTGGAGAGTTCTGTAGATGTCTATTAGGTCTGCTTGGTCCAGAGCTGAGTTCAAGTCCTGAATATCCTTATTAATTTTCTGTCTCATTGATCAGTCTAATGTTGACAGTGGGGTGTTAAATTCTCCCACTATTATTGTGTGGGAGTCTACGTCTCTTTGTAGGTCTCTAAGAACTTGCTTAATGAATCTGGGTGCTCCTATATTGGGTGCATGTATATTTAGGATAGTTAGCTCTTCTTGTTACATTGATCCCTTTACCATTATGTAATGCCCTTCTTTGTCTTTTTTTATCTTTTTTGGTTTAAAATCTGTTTTATCAGAGACTAGGATTGCAACCCCTGCCTTTTTTTGCTTTCCATTTGCTTGATAAATATTCCTCCATCCCTTTATTTTGAGCCTGTGTGTTTCTTTGCTCATGAGATGGGTCTCCTAAATACAGCACACTGGTGGTTCTTGACTCTTCATCCAATTTGCCAGTCCCTGTCTTTTAATTGGGGCATTTAGCCCGTTTACATTTACAGTTAATATTGTTATGTGTGAATTTGATCCTGCCATTATGATGCTAGCTGGTTATTTTGCATGTTAGTTGATGCAGTTTCTTCATAGTGTCAATGGTCTTTACAATTTGGTATGTTTTTGCAGGGTTGGTAACCCATTGTTCCTTTCCATGTTTAGTGCTTCCTTCAGGAGCTCTTGTAAGGCAGGCTTGGTGGTGACAAGCATTTGCTTGTCTATAAAAGATTTTATTTCTCCTTCACTTATGAAGCATAGTTTGGCTGGATATGAAATTCTGGGTTGAAAATTCTTTTCTTTAAGAATGTTGAATATTGGCCCCCACTCTTCTGGCTTGTATGATTTCTGCCAAGAGATCTGCTGTTAGTCTGATGGGCTTCCCTTTGTGGGTAACCTGACCTTTCTCTCTGGCTGCCCTTAACATTTTTTCCTTCATTTCAACCTTGGTGAATCTGATGATTATGTGTCTCGGGGTTGATCTTCTCGGGGAATATCTTTGTGGCATTCTCTGTATTTCCTGAATTTGAATGTTGCCCTGTCTTGCTAGGTTGGGGAAGTCTTCCTGGATAATATCCTGAAGAGTGTTTTCCAACTTGGTTCCATTCTCCCCATCACTTTCGGGTACACCAATCAAATGTATGTTTGATCTTTTCACACGGTCCCATATTTCTTGGAGGCTTTGTTCGTTCCTTTTCATTCTTTTTTATCTAATGTTGTCTTCACACTTTATTTCATTAAGTTGATCTTCAATCTCTGATATCCTTTCTTCCACTTGATTGTTTCAGCTATTGATACTTGTGTATGCTTCACGAAGTTCTTGTAGTTTGTTTTTCATCTCCATCAGGTCATTTATGTTCTTTTCTAAACGGTTATTCTAGTTAGAAATTCCTCTAACCTTTTTATCAAGGTCCTTAGCTTCCTTGCATTGGGTTAGAACATACTCCTTTAGTTTGAAGGAGTTTGTTTTTACCCACCTTCTGAAGCCTACTTCTGTCAATTCGTCAAACTCATTCTTCATCCAGTTTTGTTCCTTTGCTGGCAAGGAGTTGTGATCTTTTGGAGGAGAAGAGGCATTCTGGTTTTTGGAATTTTCAGCCTTTTTGTGCTGGTTTTTCTTCACCTTCATGGATATATCTATGGTCTTTGATGTTAGTGACCTTCAGATGGGGTTTTTGTGTGGACATCTTTTTTGCTGATGTTGATGCTATTCCTTTTTGTTAGTTTTCCTTCTAACAGGCCTCTCTGCTGCAGGTCTGCTGGAGTTTGCTGGAGGTCCACTCCAGACCTTGTTGGCCTGGGTATCACCAGCGGAGGCTGCAGAATGGCAAATATTGCTGCCTGTTCCTTCCTCTGGAAGCTTCATCCCAGAGGGGCAGCCACCAGATGCCAGCTGGAGCTCTCCTGTATGAGGTGTCTGTCAACCCCTGCTGGAATGTGTCTGCCGGTTAGGAGGCATGGGGGTCAGGGACCCACTTGAGGAGGCAGTCTATCCCTTAGCAGAACTGGAGTGCTGTGCTGGGAGATCCGCTGCTTTCTTCAGTTTTGGCAGGCAGGAATGTTTAAGTCTGCTGAAGCTGCACCCACAGCTGCCCCTTGCCCCTTGTGCTCTGTCCCAGCAAGAAGGGAGTTTTATCTATAAGCCCCTGACTGGGGCCGCTGCCTTTCTTTCAGAGATGCCCTGCTCAGAGAGGAGGAATCTAGATAGGCAGTCTGCCTACAGTGGCTTTACCGAGCTGCAGTGGGCTCTACCCAGTTTGAACGTCTCGATGGCTTTGTTTACACTGTGTGGGAAAACCACTTACTCAAACCTCAGTAATGGTGGACCCTCACCCCACCAAGCTTAAGTGTCCCAGGTCAACTTCAGACTGCTGTGCTGGCAGTGAGAATTTCAAGCCAGTGGATTTTAGCTTGCTGGGCTCCGTGGAAATGGGATCCACTGAGCTAGACCATTTGACTCACTGGCTTCAGCCTCCTTTCCAGGGGAGTGAATGGTTCTGTCTCGCTGCTGTTCCAGGCACCACTAGGGTATGAAAAAACTCCTGCAGCTAGCTCAGTGTCTACCCAAATGGCTGCCCCATTTTCTACCTGAAACCCAGGGCCCTGGTAGTGTAGGCACTCGAGGGAATCTCCTGGTGTGTAGGTTGCAAAGACCATGGGAAAAGCGTAGTATCTGGGCTGGAATGCACCATTCCTCACCGCACAGTCCCTCATGGCTTCCCTTGGCTAGGGGAGGGAGTTTCCCAACTCCTTGCACTTCCTGGGTGAGGCAATGCCCCACCCTGCTTCTGCTCATCCTCGGTGGGCTGCATCCACTGTCTAACCAATCCCGATGAGATGAGCTGAGTACCTCAGTTGGAAATGCAGAAATCACCTGCCTTCTGTGTTGATCTTGCTGGGAGCTGCAGACCAGAGCTGTTCCTATTTGGCCATCTTGCCAGCCACCCCCTCTACTTGCATTCCTTTCTCTAGGTTGTGAGCTCCTAGAGGGTTCTTTACCAATTTAATCTCAGTACTACTAGGGTAGACCATGGTACCTGGGTGGAATACTTCTCAACAAGTGTTTGTTGATTGATAATTTAATGGACTAAACCAATAGATGCATAGATGTCAGTTCCTTTGATACAGTGCTCACATGGGGTTTGTAATGTCTACTAATTGATCATTTTCACTAACTAGTCAATAGCTGTATGATAGTTTAGATTAGAGTTGGGGGGGTGTCTTAATGACTGTAATTCTTAGTTTGGTTGACTTTTCTTTTGGTGAAATTTAAGTGCTTCTTAACAATTATCACATTACCAATTGGCCATCTTCTCCTTGAACTTTTTCAGTTGTCCTTTATCATAGTTTGATCCTCTCATTGCGCTAATTCACTTTGCTGACTGCTTAATTTCTATATCCCTGTTCAAGCACCTTCAATTGCCTCCTTATAATTTGTGGAATTCTGTCTATGTCCTTTTCCTTGGACTGAGTACAAGAATAGAAGCAATAGACCCTCTAAGGAGCCAAAGAGAATTAATGGTGCTTTAGAATAGTGTAGCAGCAGTGGAAAGGAAGAGAAGTGGAAGTATGTGGTATGTACTCTAAAGGTAGAGCCAACAGATCTTGTTGAAGGATTACCTATGGGAGGTGAGAGAAAGAGAATAATTATGGGAAATTCCTAGGTTTTGGCCTGGGCAACTGGGAGAAAGGTGATACTATTTAATGGGATGGGAAAGGACAAGCAGCTTTGTTTTTATTTTGTGTGTTTGTGTGGGTGTGTGTGTGTGTGCATGTAAACACGTGTGGGGTGAAATTGATAATCAAAAGTTCTGTTTTGGACAAGTCAACTTTGAGATAGGTGATAAATTAGAAATTAGAGTTGTAAGCCTGGTAACTGAGCACAACGGTTTTGAGCTCAAGTAAGATACCAGAGGTGGGATATTGAATTTGGGATTCACTGGGTTTGACATATATGATATTAGAAGGCCTGGGAGTGTTTGCGATCACCTGGAGAGAGAGTATAGAGGCGAGATGGCACCCTTGAACAAGGCTTAGATAAGTTTCAACACAGTCAAAATTTATTATTAGTTATTTCCAATACATTTCTTTTGATATTAACAATCACTTAAAAAAGCCTGAAACTTCTATTTTATAGGATTCGCAGTCTCAGAGAGTTCAAAAGAATTACGCATTCCATATAATTTAGTGCTGCTTATTTTGCCAAAAAAAATTTCCGTTAAGGTGTGCAGTTATTCCTTGCCATTGCTTTATGAGAAGCCTTAACTTCTTAAGAGACCTGTAATTTTCCTTTTAATTTCTGATGTGAAGAGTCTGTCGATAGATCTTAATCTGTTAATTACTGAAGCTTTATACTGGTTTCAACTTGCTAGAAAACATTTAAATTTAATACCATTAGGGGAAATGCTTTGTATGTTTTTATACTTCTCTGTTCTCGAAGCATTTTATAAACGGCAGCTAACATTTCTTATCCAAGGAATAGCACAGATTTTATTAAACGGGGTACAATTTGGATTTCCAATCCACTGCTGGCCTCTCTCCAACAGCCGACATGGCATGGTCTGGCAAACCCCAACCTTCCCAACTTCATACTATCTGCTTCTTGAGACATGAAAATGCAGTTTATAAAAGCTGCAAAATCCTGCAATGCTTTTAGGCACGCTTATTTGACAGAGACCCTCTGAGGAAAGCATACACATACACAAAACAAAAACAACACATGTACAATAGGTTAAGTGTTCTCTGTTTCTTATGCCTATTTTTTTCCAAGGACCATGTAATAAGTCCATTTACAGGACATCTATACAAATGGGCATAAACACTGCCTCAATCAATCTCCTTGACAGTTGTGCCTACTTTAAAATTCTACTCTATTCTCACTGACACCAGAAATGCATAGGAGAAAAAAAGAACTGGATCTAACTCTAAGTTCTACCCTCAGCTAATACAAGAGATATTTAATGCTTAGCCATGTCTTCTTACCAGTAACAAAGGCCTGGCTGGGGTTTTGCCAGTGCTATTCACTCTCACTATAAATCTTCTAATGCCACTATAATGCTTTATTTTTCAGGTTTCCTCCTGATCTTCTTCTTACTGTGATTTAACAGAAAAATCCACACACTGCCAAATGATCCCATACAATTACAGGATTTATGAGGTGCTAAAACAGCCCTTGGGCAAGGCCATCAAAGGAAAGGAGTTATTTAGTTATTCTGCAGTTTGTGAGTCTACAAAAGGAAATGGTCAAAATGGCAACTGTTTATTACCAAATCTAAAGAATGTAAGCAGTCACCCAGGACAATCTGCTGGGTAGGAGGAAACATATAAGAATATTCACAACTGTGAGGTGTGGTTTAGGGTTTTTCTCTCAGTGGATGGACTTCCTAAGATATTTGGCCTATTCAATCCCGGGCACCCTTGTTCTGTAGATGAAGAACTGGTCCTTCATTCTGTCTCTAATTCTCTACTTAGGAGAAGATGTGAATGAAATGCAGATGTTTAGAAATATAAAAATCTCATTTTGCTGTGTGTACTTAGTCTGGGAAAAAAGCCAGTGGAATCACTAATTTTGCTTTTCATTTGTTTCATTTACTGAGACATTTTTAAGGTAAGAATAGAAAAAATGATCAAAGCAGACTTTTGATAAATGTTGAGCAAAAATTTCTATTTTTCAAAGTGGAATGGAAAATTGTGCTATTCTTGACCAAACATAGAGCTGTCTGATTATGTAGATCAGAATCCATGGTGATCAGAAATTTTTCTGCTTTAAAAATATTTTTCCATTGCCATATAAATACTCTGAGTAATTTGGTCTGACTTTTATAGAGTTGGGTAAGCTAGGGCTGTCATTTTTTCACATTTCTCCTAGATTCATCACAGTCATGAAGAATTGCACCATTAAAGCCAAGCACTGTGCTAATTACACTTAAAAGTATGTTCTAGTCTTGTGGATGTAGGCTTGGTTCACTGTTCTTTCAGTGGATAAGCTGGGTCTGCAGGTTAGTTTTCTGCTTATAATTATAACCATAAAACCCATCACAATGTGTTGATTACATGCAATCTTAAAGACAACTGACACTTACTGCAAGACTGGTGTGAGCACAACGTAAGTCAATATTTACAATGGTCTCTGAAGTTTGTGGCATTATTCTAGTTTACTCTGCTGGGTTTTTTTTCCCCACCATTATTTTATGCCAAGAGGCACCATAGAGGGGTGGATGGTCAGGCACACTTAGCCATCCACAGTGAATATCCAGGAAGAGGACATTTGGAAGGGGGCTAAGGCAACACAATACACCCAAGCAACATATCACAAAATAACATTTATGAGATAATATGTTTGGAAGGGACAACAAATATTATCCTACTCTTTTAAAAAAATGTTACGTTTTTAGACTGACAAATAATAATTGATCATATTCATGGGTATATGGTGATGTTTACATATGTATAATGTATAGTGATTGCATCAAGGTAATTGGTATATCCATCATCTAAAACATTTATCATTTCTTTGTGTTGGATAATCCAATATTCTCCTTCTAGCTATTTGAAACTACATCATATATAATTGTTAACCATAGTCATCCTACAGTAGTAACCAGTCTTTCTCTTTTTCGGGAGATTTTATTCAAACCGGTGCAAAAAGAGATATGCCTAGCTTTCTCATTAAAAATCTGTATAGAAGTTTACTTAAAATCTTCACCCGTGAAAGCATTCCAATGTCTCCAATGAATACAGTACTAAAGTCCAATGTTTAATGTCCCACCCAAAGGAAATACTGTGTCCAAGAGGCACACCTTACACATGTCTTCCCAGGCTTTGTGATGTCTAGTGATGGGAGGCGGGGGGGTGCCTGGATCCAAATGCAAAAAGTCCAGGTGCTAGCTTGTGTTTGTTCCCAGGATCATTAGTGTCTGCAAAAGCCTGCGAGACTGCAGCAAGGGGATAGCTTTTCATGTAATATCTATTATTTTAAAAAATGTCTTTCTTCATGCCAGTTCTCAAGCCTAAAATTGAGAGGCCTTTCCAAGGTTTTTAGGTGGTTGTTAGAAAAGTTGCTGAAATATGTTCTTTTGTTTCGTATTTAAGTCAGTTAAAAAAAAAAAAAATCAATTTCAACTTGAAGTGAGCAGTGCTTAAATCAAGAAGTTGAAGAAATTACTTGAGCATGCAGTGATAATAATGGCTCTCATTTATTAAATATTGTGGTACGTGTTTTACCCCTCAGCAGGACTCTAAGAGTTAGTTGTTTACTCTATTTTACAGACATGAAAACTGAGGTTCAGAGAGGTCAAGTAAATGAACCAGGCTCACCTGGTTGGGAAACAGCAGAGCCTAGCTTTGATACCACAGCCTGCATTCTTATGTTCTCATCTCCAGGCCATATGGCTTCTAGCACTTGGCGAAGAAGCCCCCTGAAATGCCCACCTAGTACCTGGTTTCTGTAAGATATTCTATCTGACTCTAATTTAAAATGCAATTAAAATTCAATCAAGAGCCAGGTGCGGTGGCTCATGCCTGTAATCCCAGCACTTTGGGAGGCCGAGGCGGTTGGATCACGAGGCCAGGAGATCAAGACCATCCTGCTAACACAGTGAAACCCCGTCCTACTGAAAATACAAAAAAAAAAATTAGCTGGGCTTGGTGGCGGGCGCCTGCAGTCCCAGCTACTCAGGAGGCTGAGGCAGGAGAATGGCGTGAACCCAGGAGGCGGAGCTTGCAGTGTAGCCGAGATCGTGCCACTGCACTCCAGCCTGGGCGACAGACCCAGACTCCGTCTCAAAAAAAAAAAAAAAAAAAAAAAAAAATCAAATCAAAACAAGCAATGTATCTCGATAAATCTAGGTAGAGAAAATGGGATTTTCAGATTACAAAACTCTTTAGCTAGGTTTTTGTTTTTCTGTACGATTGTCTTAATTCATTATTCAATTTGCCTGTGTAATATTTAGGCACTGTAAAAGCACTGTCTGCTTTCCTTAAGCGGGTGTTGTGGTTAGCTGTGAATTCATAACTTAAGCAACTAATTGATATTGGCTCTCTGTGGCCCCATGACACTTCAGACATTTTTAGATGAATAACGTTGCAATCTAATGGCTTTTAAAAATCAATAAACAATACATCAGAATATATATAATAATATATAATATAAATATATATGTTTTTTCCTTTCTCTCTTTTTTGTAATGACTCTTGGAACTTCCTGTTGAATGTCAATATTTTCAGAGATGCTTCCAGCTTCCTTTTGGGTCCCTTGGAGAATGCACAAATTGGCCATTATCTCAGCGGCTCTCTCTCCAAAGATGGTAAAGAGTTTCAGATGAAAGAAGTCCAGACTGCTCCTCTCTGCCAAAGAAAACAAATCCAATATCTCTCTTATGGGTTGTTTTGCCAAACTCCAAAAGGAAGAGTGTATTAAAATGGTGTCTTCTGCATTAAGTCTTTAAACATAGAATTAAAGTAATCATAAGCTTCTCCACTTTTTTGGGTCTCATAATTTTTTCAGGTGATACGTGAAAAGATGTCAGAAGACTCTTCGTGGCCACCTCAGTTTCACAGGCACCTGCAGACATGGATCCCTCTCCTTTCCCCCTCCTCCACCATTTTTCACTCTCAGGAACTTCAATCTTTTAAGAGTTTAAAACAGATTTTGCACTGCGACTCTAAAGTCAAAAAATTTCAATAGGATTCTGACAAATGTTTGAGATTTATCATGGATACATTTTTACCCCCTTTGGATTATTAATGTTTTAGTTTTTTATTATAGTTTCTGCAAGCCAATGAAATTTTTATGAGAACATAAAAGTTAAAAGAAAAATTTGGGTTTTTAAAATCTGTTTCCTCCAAGAGTTTGATCAAATGCTATATTCCCAACAAAGATGTTATTGATGACCCAAGAGGAATTGATGTCTCATATATTTTTCTCCTATCATGTTCTTTTTCGTATTATTACGTTTCTTACATTTCTCTATTTTCTCTTTCTCTTACAGTTATCTCTACAAAAATAATTCAATAGATATTTTCTGAGTGAATATATGTTGAATGAATTTTAGGGAAAGAAACAGTAGGTGCCCATAAGTAAAGCTAATGTAAAAGTAGCTGATATTATGTGTGACATAAAATTAGTTTCAAACATTTATTGAAAGGCACTTCACTTTTTAAAAAGATCATATAGCTCTTAATAAATATTAATGTGTGGTTTAAAGCAGGTCAACATTCATAAAGATTAGGAATTCTAATATCTTCCAAATGTCTGCATCAAAGGATTAAGAACTCAAAAATTCAAAACACAAATTCCCAGGTTTCTGAGGATTTAAATTGTGAAATGATTATGATTTGGAGGGGTAGGAATGAAAAGTAATCTAGGAAATTAATGCTTTCTTTGTTTAATAGCCATGTAAGTTTATCTTCTATGTGCCCACACTGAAGTCTTGAGTAGTAAGATGTGGGCTTGGAGCCATTTTTCATAGGTAAGTTCAGGATTCAAAATTGACAAAAAATTGTACCTCCAAAGATGGACTAATCTGAGTTAGTCAAGAACTGGCTATTATTTTATAAGGGCTTCTATATCTTAAAGTTAATAATGATTAGTAATTTACAACCATAGAAAGAAAACAACTGTTCAGTGAATGCCATCTATGGATCAAGTACTATGGTAAATCCTTTACATATTTATAATAAGCATAATAAACATTTATCTAATCTTTACTAGGCACCTAACACACTTTACATATATAGGTGGCCCTCCATATCTGTGGGTTCTCCATCTGCTGATTCAACCAATTCCAACTGAAAAAATATTCAGGAAAAATAGTAATAATATAACAATAAAAATAAAAATAAAAACACAGTATAACAACTATTTACATAGCATTTATATTGTCTTAGGCATTACAAGTAATGTAGAGATGATTTAAAGTATACAGAAGCATATGTGTAGGTTACATGCAAATACTACACCTTTTTATAGAAGGGACTTGAATATCCACAGATTTTGATATACAGGGTAAGGCCTGGGACCAATCCCCCACAGACACCAAGAGACAACTGTATTCACTCCTTTAATCATTACCACAATCCTGTTAAGTGTCACCACTATCATCCATTTCACATTTGAGGAGATTAAGGCATAAAGAGGTAAAGGAGCTTCTCAGGATCACAGAGCTAGTAAGGGTCATAGATAGGGTTGTGTTAGTCTCCTAGAGCTGCTGTAACAAACTACCACAAACTGGGTGGGTTAAAACAATGGAATCTTACGTATCAGAGTTCTGGAGGCTAGAAGTACAAAATCAGGGTGCTGGCAGGGCCATGCTCCCTCTGAAGCCTGCAGGGGAGAATCCTTCCATGTTTCTTCTAGCTTCTGGTGTTTTCCAGCAATCTTTGATGTTTCTTGGCTGTAGATGCATCCCCTCCATCACTGCCTCCCTCATTACTTAGCTGTCTTCTCTGTGTCTATCTCTCTTCTTATAAGGATACAAGTCATATTGGACAAAGGGCTCACCCTACTCCAGGATGACCTCATCTTAACTAATGACATCTGTAACAACCCTATTTTCAAATAAGGCCACATTTTGAGGCACTGGGGTTAAGACTTTAACATATCTTTTTGGGGACACAATTCAAGCTGTAACAGCTCTCAAATCCATGGTTGTGTGTGTGTTTCAAAAATACTACACTATGCTATGTCTTTTTCTGTGAAGTTTTCCATTTCACTTAATCGTTAACAAGTTTTGTTGTGCCTTTTGTGCTGTGAAAATAGTTTAGGTGGGCAAGAGTTTTAAAAATATATTTTAGCTTTAAATGAAATACAAATTCAGAACATAGCGATTCTATTATTGCTTTGCTATTCTTATAAAATATTTAAATTCATTTTGCTAATGTCTCTCTGATCATTTAAAAATAGGTACCAAAGTAGGCTTTTTTTTTTTTAATGCCTTAAGGCAGTGATGATCCATTTTTTCCACCTAAACCCTCTTGATGGATATGGCATACTCCAGTGAGTAATAGTGGCTCACAGAAACAATGATTCGTAGCTGGACCAGGGAAGTGTGGAATGTCTGAATCTCCACAGCTGACATATATTGAGGAGAAACTTACTCCCTGAGTGATCTTGAAATGTCTTCCCAAAGGGAAACCATACACATCTCACCCACCCCTAACCCAAGGGAGAACAGTTACCTTAAGCTTCACATAGTACTTTATAAATAAATTCTTATTTGATATGAAGAAAATGAAGGAAAATATGCACTTCTCTTTTTAGAGTTGCATCTTCTTATATCTAATCACGTAAAATTAAAAAAAACTAATATTCTTTATTTTACAGAAAAGTTTTAGGTTCACAGCATAATTGAGCAGAGTATGGAGATTTCCCATATACCCGTTGGCCTAACACATGTACAATCCCCCTACTATCAACATCCCCCACAAGAGTGGTACATATATTATAACTGATTAGACTACATTGAGACATCATTATCATTCTAAGTCCATAGCTTACATTAGAGTTCACTCTTGGTATTGTACATTCTTTGGGTTTGAACAAATGTATAATGACATGTATCCATAATTATATTATCATACAGAGTATTCTCATTGCCCCCCAAATCCTCTGTGAGTTTCCTATTGATCTCTCCCTCTTTCTATGTCCTGACAATCATGCTCTCTGTGAACAAAAAGTTTTATTTTTTTCTTCTCAATCTGTATCATTTTCTTTTCTTTTCTTGTGTTATTACATTAGCTAGGAACATAAATTAGTTTTAAAATCTACAAAATGTTAGATAATAGGTATCATAGTGAATTTATTCTCTTCATAGTATTTGTTTTGCTATTTTTTTAAATAAATGGTATAGTGATTGTTTTAGTAGTCTAGGATTTGGTAAATAAATTCATATTATACTTATTATAATATAAATGTCAGTTGCATCCTCTTGAAAACTTTCTTTCAGTTTACCTTGGCATTAAAACTTTTTCATTCATTAATCCTTTAGCCATCTTTTTCATCACTTTCTAAAGTTTGCTTGTTTGCCTTGTAACTACCAAAACTGTACAAAAATGTAAATATGACATTCTAGACTCTGATACTATGGCTTTATATAAATATAGGATAATCTTTGATATTTAAATGGTATATTGCGTATTGTTGCTTTGAAGTACATGTTCTTTCCCAAGTCAAAATTGTTTGTCTAGAGCTTGTTGTCTTGTAATTGTGATTGGGAATATATTTCCCCAAATGTATTACTTTGCAGTTTTCCACTCTGAAACTTATTTAGGTCATTTATACCTCTTTGTAGGTATTTTGAGTGCTTTTCCTCCTTCACTACCTAGAACTGTGATTCTCAGCCTTGATTTTATATTGGGATCACTTTGGAATATTTAAAAACTATGCCTGTGTTCCATCTCTCAAAATTCTGATCTAATTCTTTTGAAGTATGATGTGGGTACTGGAATTTTATAAGTCTCTCAAATGATTCTAATGTGCAGTCAGTGTTGAGAACAATTGCTCTTGGTGTCTTTCTTCTCAGTGTGTGGTCTCGGGATAAAGCCTCTGCATCACCCAGGAGCTTGTTAGAAATGCAGAATCCTGGGTCCCACCCCAGACCCAATGAGTCAGAACCTGCAAATTAACAAGATGGCTTTGATCTAGAAGATGTTAGTGTTTTCTCCAATCTTATAGGTCTTACTGTAAATTTGCCTTTCAAAAATCACTTATAAAAAAGATAAATAAGAAAGCTCCCAAATCTGTCTTCAGATCTGATTGTTAACATTTCCCATTTAGAGAATTGCTATTTTCTACCTATCTTTTGTTTGTTGTCTTGAAACTAGATCTTTATTCATAAAAATTTTTCATGATCCAAATATAATTGCTTTAAAATAGGCTTTCCTGTGGAACTATGTAAATAGCTTTATGAAATTTTACATAAAACATTTCCAGGCTCTCCATCTTCTGCATAAACATATCCTCTTTTAATAATGGATTTTTTGGAGAAAAAATGAATTAGATAAATTAGAAAATACAAGTTGACTATCCCTTATCTGAAATGCTTGCATCCTTTTTGATTTTTTTGGTTTTGGGAATATTTGAATTATCCTTACTGGTTCAGCATTCCTAATCCGAAAATCTGAAATCTGAAATGCTCCAGCGAGCACCTCTTTTGAGTTTCACATCAGTGCTCAAAAAGCTTTGGATTTTGGAACACTTCAGATTTTGGATTTTAGAATTAGGGATACTCAACTTCCACTAAGTGAGTCCAGTAAAAAAGTGTCATACCATGAAATACTACTCAGCCATGAAAAGGAAAAAAAAAACATAATGTCTTTTGCAGCAACATAGAGCTGGAGGCCATTATTCTAAGCAAAGTAATTCAGGAATGAAAAACCAAATATCATATGTTCTTGCTTATAAGTGGGAGCTAATCTATGAGGATGCAAAGGCACAAATGCTATAATAGATTTTGGGGACTCTGTGGGGAGGGTTGGGAGGAGAGTGAGGGATAAAAGACTACATGTTGGGTTCAGTGTACACTGCTTGGGTGACGGGTGCACTAAAATCCCAGAAATCACTACTCAAGAACTTACCCATGTAACCAAAAACCACTGCACCCCAAAAACAATTGAAATAAAAAGTTATAAAGAGAAGAAAAAGAAAAACAAAGAAAAAACTTGTTTAGGAGATAATGCTAATATAAAGAGTGAAGAATCAGATCTTAGCTGCTACTTATGAAAAAAATCCTACCAAGGAGAATTTAATGTCTTCAAGAATCTGGGGAAGGGAAAATGGTGGTGAGAAGCTCAGCCAAAAACCTAGGAAAGGCTAATGTGATCACATAAAATATATATTTTTCTTTAAAGGAATAAAATACCGACAATTATTTGGTTGAAAAAAAAGAAATGTCATATGTATTCTAAAATACGAGGTTTTGAGCCTAATATACACTATAAACATAGCCATTTGGTGAGATGTGAAAATCTATAATTTCTTAAGTTTTTTTGTTTTAAATATGCTACTTCTCATTAAGTTATAAAGTAAATTTTATTTCTATGGTATTACCATGTTTGACTTCATTTTGTGTTTTACTTTTATAAAATCAAGTCAACATATATTTGAGCAAATACTATGTGTGTCTGTGTTCCTACAATTTCATATTTAGCCCATCAATAGTTCTTAATTCTGACATCCCTAGAAGCATTTTCTTGTCCTTTAAGGTCCAACAAGGGAGATTTTTTAAATGGTTGGCTTGAAAGAGGTCAAGGGGTTGTAATATTTGATCTTCAAAAGAAGTAATTATTCAAAGCAAAACTTCTTTCCCTCTTTTCAAGTCACAGTCCATGTGGAAGGTCTATACTCATATATACCAATTATAAAAAAATATAACCACTGAGGTGCAATAAAAAGACATTTCTAGGTTTGTTCCAATATCCTCATTCAATGTGCTTCTCAAATTACAGATGGAATTCAGAGAAAGAGCATCTAGGGGTGGATAGTCATCTTTTCTAAGACATGCAGAGTTTCAGACGCTATAAATTTTAATTCTGTCTGAAGGCAAAGGGATGTTTATATATAAAAAAGAAAAAAAAACCTGAAAGAATACTTCAAGCTCATAGACATTAGAAAAGGATATTAAATATTCCAGAGAAAATGATCAATAATGAGGCAGTTAAAGACACTGAAGAAAAACCTGCTTCTGAAGCCTTAGGGAAGAAATTGAAACCACATCTGAAACCCACAGCAAAAAAAAAAGTTACTTGGGAAAAGCACCTGGCCCCAACAATGCTATGTCTGAGCTCATAAAAGCAGCGGGCAATTATGTAGCTAGTACCCTGTAAAATTTGCCAGTGCACATGGAAAAACAGGGGAATAGCCAGAAGCCTGGTACAAATCAAACGGCATAAAGACTGCTAAATAAGGGAGAACCGAGAGCAAGAAGGGACACAGATCAGGCTGGGGAAAGCTCTCTCATTTCCCATCAATTCAGCCACATGCCTCACATGCTTCAATAAATTATTTTAAGCACAAGATGTCCCAGGAGGCAAAAGGATAAGTAGGGGGACATTTTTGGAAAGAAAGCCAAACTATCTAGTTAACCGCAGTAATGGATGTGGAGCCATGGCAGTGTCTTGCTTATGGTTACATGATTGGAATTGAAGCCTTTCATTGAGAGGACAATTTTGCAATTAGGAAGAAATGGTCCTGGAACTAACTACACCATTTAGCCCACTCTTCCTTCTCTCACAATGGAGTCAGCACAGAAGCTGTGGGCTATTAGATGTACAGTGTGGATTGGGGCCGACTTCATGTAGATGATAATGATCATTACTCCAAATGGGAAACCCTCCCTGTGTCATTAGAAACAACATGGTGGGGTGGGAGGAGGCAGAGAAAGTAACCAAGAAAGGGAAACTTGGAGCTAGAACTCTGCAAGAAACAAATACATTTAACCGATTCAACAAACATTTCTTAATAACCTACTGTGTGTAAAACGTAATAAGAATTAGGATTACAAAGTTGAATGACTCATTTACTTTTGTTCCTTATCATAAAGGAAAGAGAATTGGGGAGGTTTAGCGTCTAACTTTGACTTGAAATGTCGTGAATGGAAATGGTTGTCTGGAATCTTGATGCTCTAAATGTGGTCTGTGGACCAGCAGCATTGGAATCACCTAGCAGCTTGCTAGAAAAGCAGAACCCTGGGTTGCACAGCCACTGAATGAGAATCTGGATTTGAACATTGAAGTTTGAGTATTGGTCTGGAGTGCTATGTTGAGGCAGGTAGTTTGAGGCTCATGAAGAAGATGCCTTGGTTGATGAGGGATATTTGCTGTAGAGAAAGGGAGAAATTGCCACACATTTGCCTGTGTAACTGAG
Source organism: Homo sapiens (assembly GCF_000001405.40). Taxonomy (NCBI): domain Eukaryota; kingdom Metazoa; phylum Chordata; class Mammalia; order Primates; family Hominidae; genus Homo; species Homo sapiens. The sequence goes on along the minus strand of NC_000008.11, from coordinate 69,266,983 downwards.
CACACAAAAGTGCCTGGGAAACATGTTGGCTTGTTTCATCTACCTGGGTGGCCTTATTCTGACCCTGCCTCGCTGGCTCCAGTTGAGATTAGCACAGAGGTGGGCAGCTAATCCAGGCTGGCAACTCCTGATGAGGACCACTCAACAGTGACAATGGTAATTAGCTGGGAATTTAAGTCAGCAATACTGAGGGACAGTTAAGCAGTTGTAACTATTAGTGGTGGAGCATTAGGACAGGGATCTGTGAATCCTGCTCCAGTCTCTGCAAGGCCAGGCTTTCTCTGGCTTCTTTGTCTCTGGGAGGCCTTGCTATTCTGCGTTTCCGGGCTCCCTCTGAAGACTGGCTGCCTGATTCTGGTCACTGTTGTTCACATCTCCACATGACTCCTCCTTGGCCTTCCTGCTTCTGCTTTTGTCCCCAGATAACAGAAAGAGCGATTCTTTTAAAATATGAGTCAGATCATGTCCCTTACTTGCTAAAACCTTCTGATGACATTCTACCCTATACATAATTAAAAAGGGAAGAATACAGATCTCTGACTTCATCTCGTAGTCTCCCACTTGTTGACATTATGCCTTGCTGTTCCTAAGTTCCTTTGCATTTGCTGTTTCCCCTGCCCGAAACTCTCTTCCCCCAGACATTCCTGCCTCTCTCCTTTCTCCTTCAGGTCTTTCCTCTGATATTGTCACCCTCCTCAGGCCTTCTCTCACCTACTAAAAATTGCAATTCCAACTTACCTCATAACCCCCATGTCCTTCATTTCCCTTATTGTCTGACACCAGCACTTGCTTTTCTTCCTCATTTGACACTATATTTTAAAATTATTTTATTTTTTAGATTTTCTGCTTCCTATGCAAGAATGTAAACTCTAGAAGGGCAAGAGGTTTTGTGTGCTTCATTAACAGTTGTACCTTAGCACCTAGAGCAGAGCCTGGCATTCTCAGAGTGGATGCGGGATACGTATTTATCCAGTAAATGAATGAATGCCTGCGATCAAATAAATGGAGGCAGAATAATTCAATTAGTTCTATTGATATTTTAAAAATATAAGTGAGATCATGCACTCTTTGGTGACTTGCCATTGTACTTAGGGTAGAATAACCAGTCCTCATCCCATGCCTAAAACATGAGTAGCTCTGTGTTCATTCTTCCTAACACAGGGCTCTCCCACTACTTGGGGGTTACTCCCCTTACTCTTTGCCTCTTGATGTCTGTTTGCTTCACTTTCTCAGAGTGGTCTTCCCTGATTACCTCCCATTTGAATTAGGTTCTTGTATTCACACTTTTCCAGTTCCTCTAGATGTCCTGTTTTATCATTTCACATGAGTTATGAATATATATATAGATATATATATATATATGTATGATTATTTGTTTAATGCTTGCCTTCCCTCTCAGATTTTATAGTCTAGGTCTTGTTCCTGCTCTGCTTACCACTCTACTTTCAGTGCTGAAAATAGTGCCTGGAACAATTCATTAAGTCGTTGGCTGAAATCAATACATTTCTTGTAGTTGAGCACTTAAGTCATTTTTAAATTCCTTTTGTAGGAGAAAATTGCCATACCCCTGAAAACACTGATGGGCCTCCATCACCTGTGAAGATTATAGTTAAATTATTTTTGCCAGAGGATGTTCATCAATAAGCAAATTGACATCTTTTGCTTATGCTGTTATGTCCGCTTTTTAACAAAATGATCTGTTCTGTGATCCATGACTGGATGTGTTAGCATCAAACAAGCAGAGGCATTGTTTTCACTCTTAGTGTAGTAGTGGAAATAGCTATGGGTAGAGGACCTGGCTTTTAGTCGTGATTCATAGAAAAGAGAACAGCTGCTTAAAAAAATCATTTCCCTTCCTCATGATTCTTGCTGTATGATAATTTCAACTGGGTAATGAGGAACTACATCTCCGAAGAATCCCATTCTCTCCTTGGACATCTGTTATAAACATATCTGACTGTAAGTTCTCATTCATTGATTTTCTTTCTACCTCTTGACGCTGCAGAAAAAAAAAATCCAATTCTTACCTTCAGAGAGGTTTTGCGTATTTCTCTTAGTCTTGTCTTGTAAGTATTTCTTGTTTCAACTCTCTTCCTGAGGGTTTTAGATCCCTTACCATTTCAATAATTCTCTGAAGCACATTGAATGACCATTAAGCCTCTCAAAGGTAGTATCTACTACTTTACATAATAGCCTGCCCATTATTTCACCAATAGGGAGCAGTAGTCTCACCTATTATAACACACATTGTACTTTTAATACAGCCTAAGATCACACTACCTTTTTTGGATGTTGCATAATGTTGTCAAGGCTGCTGCTGTTAGCTCCAATCCTAAAATCTTCTCTTGTATATTTCATTACTCTGTAGTTATTGTAGTAGTTTTCAACCAGAGACATTTTTGTACCCCCTTCCCCCCCGGGGACATTTGGTAATGTCTGAAGACATTTTTGGTTGTCAAATTAATATGGCAGAGGGAGTGACACTGGCATCCAGTGGGTAGAGGCCAAGGATGCTTCTGAACATCCTACAATCCACTAGACTGCCCCAACAACAAAGAATTATCTGGTCCCAAATGTCAATGGTGCTGAAGTTGAAAAACCCTGAGTTCATGTTTTAGTTTCAAACATGGACACTTACCTTTACAGATTAAAATTCACTTTAGATTTGGTCTATTTTTCATATGTCAAGATTCTGCCTCTGTTCACAGAACAGAGCCTCGCATATAGTAAGTATCACATTAGTGCTAGCTGTATTATTACTATTACAACCACAGAAAAAAATGAAGAACAGATATTGAGGGACAACATCAGAAGCATATGTAAAAATGATAACGATTTTCAGTGAATTAGCAACAAATTAGGTTTAGAATAAAACTGTCAGCATAGCTGTGATGTTTTGATATTTTTAAGCATAGATGAACAGCAGCTAGTTAAGGACTTTATTACATTTTCATGCAACTAAATCTTAAGACATGTGAGTATGTGTGTGTGTGTATCTGCATATTTTAGTACTTTTTAAAATAAAGGGCCAAATATTCTTATTTAACCAGACACATTCAATTGTACATGTTTAGGAAAATGTGCTTTCCAAATTCTGTAAAAATTTTTTATAATTTAAGTTCAAGAGAAAATTTGGAGGTATGTACACTTTTGGGCCAACTATGTCAACTATCCACTGCAAAAAAAGTTCAGTGATCCACCCATTCAAAAATCTTGCTTTTACTTGGCTAAAACAGTAGCTGATGAATTAGTACTGTGGTTTTAAGATTGTCCTCGCAGCCCTTGGGGTCCGTAAAAATAACTGGATGCTTGTGGAACATCTCTCTGTGGTTCTTTCTATACCATCACAGATAAAGAGGTGAGACTGGCCAGGGATACCAGACCATGTGCTGATGTGCCCTTGGCTTGGTGGGCTTTTCTGTGGCTCATTGTTGCCTGGGTAGTTTGAAAGCTTCACAAGATGGAGGGTAGCATTCACAGCCATACCCAGCGTTCTAGTTTTACACATTATCAGCAGTATGTTCTTAATTGTTTCACACTGATCTTAAGCCGAGGAAAATGGGGCTCATTCAAAAATCTCCATAGAAACCTGGAGTACTGGGACTTTCTGTGACTGGCTACAGGAAGAGGGAGCAAGGTCTGTGAACATTGATGTATATGTGTTCAACACCATTGGAAGGAACTGGGGAGTGGCAAGTGTAAGAGGGGTTTACACTGAACTCTGCTCTTTGTAGGTGTTAGATCACGTTTGCTGAATGAATGAAAATATGTATTTTGTTATTGTCTTCTGGTTCTGCCAAACAGGAGTGAGTCATATGTAAACATCATGAAGGCAAAGACAAAGACTTAATCAACACCATGAAAGCAAAGACAAAGACTTAATCATGTTTTATTTATCTCAGTATCACCAATACCTTGCATAGTGCCTGACACATACATGGTGTTTAATAAATATTTCATAAATGACTGGCTTAATGAATAAATAAGTAGTAGTGGAAATTCTAACAGGTGGTAATCATCTGAGGAAAATATTTAGGGATATGTAATACTGTGCTGTGGCTCCAACCCTGTAAAATGGGAGGAGAATGAACATTGAAGAATTCCTGACTGTCTTTGAGAAGTTTGAAATCTATTTAGGAAGTTAGCATAGATACACTGGGACACCTGGACAATGAGATGCAACAAGTTTCAAGGTTGGGGGCAACCAGCATGTATGCTTTAAAAGCATTAAGAAAATAGTTCTTTAAAAGGTAAACTACCTTGTATTCACTTGGAACAAGATTGAAACACTGCATATTCCTGAGCTGTTATTAAGCAAATCCCAAACTGTTTTCTTTTCAGAAATTATTTACTAAAGCCTACAAGTGCATAGAGTTAAAATTATTGCAATGCAAGAAGTACATCAATGAACCAACCTATCAGTCAGTAAACTAAGACATAAGAAAAGCAGAAAAAAAGTGTGTTTTTTACCTTTCACTCTGTGTATTTCTGAAAATAAACAGCAAGACAAGTTGGCTCTGGGTAATTCTCCATTCTTCACAAATGCAGAGAGCTCTTGTTTAGTGGGAGAGCTGGTCAGATTGTACCCCTGCCATTGGCATCTGTGATGGTGCTGGCCTCATGGTCCCTCTGAGAACACTGGGGACTCCTGTGCTATCCTTGCAGTATCAACCATCAGAGGAGATATTCTGTTGGAGAATCTACCACATACACATGTGTACAACCGAGTTATGTTGCTGTATCTGGAAGAAGTCTCAGTGGTTGAGTTTTCTGACAGTGTGGTGAGAGGTATGTGTAGTCATGGAGGTTTCTGGACTTTTTACAAAAGAAATGCTTCTTTTAGGTTCATATCAGGTATGAAGTGAGAGTCAAAGGAAGGTTACTCTTAAGACATAATTTAACTAATGGTGAAATATGTGATTGCTCATTTCCCTTCTGACTACTTAAATAGGTTGACATGAGGACAAAAATCTGTTGAGATATCTATGGCTTAAGAATACCTTTTATTGGCTGGGCATGGTGGCTCACGCCTGTAATCCCAGCACTTTGGGAGGCTGAGGTGAGTGGATCACCTGAGGTCAGGAGTTTGAGACCAGCCTGCTCAACATGGCAAAACCCTATCTCTACTAAAAATACAAAACATTAGCTGGACATGGTGGCACATGCCTGTAATCCCAGCTACTTGGGAGACTGAGGCAGGAGAATCGCTTGAACCCAGGAGGCAGAGGTTGCAGTAAGCCGGGATGGTGCCACTGCACTCCAGTCTGGGCGACAAGAGTGAAACTCCATCTCAAAAAAAAATTTTATTACAATTTATAACGAACCTTATTATGGTCACAGCAAAAACTTATAAACTGTAGAAAAGTGTAAGGAAGAAAATAAAAGTCTCCAATTCTAACTCTCAGGGAACACTACTTAGCCTATTTCCTTTCCAGGACATTTCATGAACATCTGCACACGGTAGGACCCGACACACTTTTTAAACATTTGGCTCTGATTTATGTATGTTGCTGTTATTGTACCCTGATTCTTTCACTTCACTTTATATCCTGATATTTTTATAAATTATCTTTTTTTTCAAAAACATGATTTTTAGTAATACTTTATTTCATTATTTGGTTGTATATTTTAAATCTATTCTCCAACCATTAAATATTTCACAAGTTTCATATATATATATATATATATATATATATATGTATATAGTGACTAATATCATGGTTAATAAACATTGGTCCTTCTGATTTTCCTCTGGTTGCTAAATTGCTTTCCAGATAAGTGACTTTTAAAGTAGTAGTCTGGAGAAGCAGTAATATCAGAGTACTTTAATCACCACTGAATATTATGTTTTCTGAAATTTTGATTTGTTAGTAGACCCAAAGAATCATCTTATTCTCATAATTTGCACCTTTAAGATTACTATGAGGCTGCGCTTCTTTGTTCTTGCTAATTATTCTCTTGATTTTCCTCTTCTGTGAGTTATTTGTCCTTTTCCTCTACTTATCTACTATGATAGCAATGTTTTTCCTATGGATGAAATTGAGTTTTTATACACTAACTGTTTGTCATATTTTTGGCAAATATTTCCCCCAATTTTTTGCTTATAATTTTGTTTATCGAGTTTTTGATACGTACATTTAAAATGAGTAGGCAATCAAATCTATTATTCTTTTTCCTTCTGAAAACTCTCATTATTTTTATGCCTGGAGAGTCTTTTCCCATCTAGAAGTAAGATAAATAATAACCTACATTTTCTTTTAGGGGCTTATAATTTTATTTTTTATATTTACTTTTTTCCCATATATATGGCACAAGGCAAGGTTCTAAACTGATTTTAAAAATTAGTTAATTAGGTTTTCCAGTCCATAACTAAATAATTACATTCTCTCTTGATTTTTTGTTCTTTAAATTATAAATAATGTTAGATTCTAATTAGAGTCAATTACTGGGCTTTTTGTTTCATTTTCTAATTTGTATGCTTTTTCTAATTTCAGTACAATACTGTCTCATGAATGACGACTTTAATATATTTGTTTTTTCCTGAAATAGTTCTCTCTTAGTCTTTTTGAAGGTTTTCTTACAAATACTCAGCTGTTCTTTCTTCAGAAAAATTTTCCATAGTTTTAAAAATAGCAAAATGGAATTTTGATTAGAATTATGTGAAACTTAAAAATTACTTTGAGAAGCATTCACATTTTCTCAATATTTATTCTTTCTTTTTTTTATTTTTTTTATTTTTATTTTTTATTATACTTTAAGTTTTAGGGTACATGTGCACATTGTGCAGGTTAGTTACATATGTATACATGTGCCATGCTGGTGTGCTGCACCCACTAACTCGTCAACTAGCATTAGGTATATATCCCGATGCTATCCCTCCCCCCTCCCCCCACCCCACAACAGTCCCCAGAGTGTGATATTCCCCTTCCTGTGTCCATGTGATCTCATTGTTCAGTTCCCACCTATGAGTGAGAATATGTGGTGTTTGGTTTTTTGTTCTTGCGATAGTTTACTGAGAATGATGATTTCCAATTTCATCCATGTCCGTACAAAGGACATGAACTCATCATTTTTTATGGCTGCATAGTATTCCATGGTGTATATGTGTCACATTTTCTTAATCCAGTCTATCATTGTTGGACATTTGGGTTGGTTCCAAGTCTTTGCTATTGTGAATAGTGCCGCAATAAACATACGTGTGCATGTGTCTTTATAGCAGCATGATTTATAGTCCTTTGGGTATATACCCAGTAATGGGATGGCTGGGTCAAATGGTATTTCCAGTTCTAGATCCCGGAGGAATCGCCACACTGACTTCCACAATGGTTGAACTAGTTTACAGTCCCACCAACAGTGTAAAAGGGTTCCTATTTCTCCACATCCTCTCCAGCACCTGTTGTTTCCTGACTTTTTAATGATTGCCATTCTAACTGGTGTGAGATGGTATCTCATTGTGGTTTTGATTTGCATTTCTCTGATGGCCAGTGATGATGAGCATTTTTTCATGTGTTTTTTGGCTGCATAAATGTCTTCTTTTGAGAAGTGTCTCTTCATGTCCTTTGCCCACTTTTTGATGGGATTGTTTGTTTTTTTCTTGTAAATTTGTTTGAGTTCATTGTAGATTCTGGATATTAGCCCTTTGTCAGATGAGTAGGTTGCGAAAATTTTCTCCCATTTTGTAGGTTGCCTGTTCACTCTGATGGTAGTTTCTTTTGTTGTGCAGAAGCTCTTTAGTTTAATTAGATCCCATTTGTCAATTTTGGCTTTTGTTGCCATTGCTTTTGGTGTTTTAGACATGAAGTCCTTGCCCATGCCTATGTCCTGAATGGTAATGCCTAGGTTTTCTTCTAGGGTTTTTATGGTTTTAGGTCTAACGTTTAAGTCTTTAATCCATCTTGAACTGATTTTTGTATAAGGTGTAAGGAAGGGATCCAGTTTCAGCTTTCTACATATGGCTAGCCAGTTTTCCCAGCACCATTTATTAAATAGGGAATCCTTTCCCCATTGCTTGTTTTTCTCAGGTTTGTCAAAGATCAGATAGTTGCAGATATGTGGCATTATTTCTGAGGGCTCTGTTCTGTTCCATTGATCTATATCTCTGTTTTGGTACCAGTACCATGCTGTTTTGGTTACTGTAGCCTTGTAGTATAGTTTGAAGTCAGGTAGTGTGATGCCTCCAGCTTTGTTCTTTTGGCTTAGGATTGACTTGGCGATGCAGGCTCTTTTTTGGTTCCATATGAACTTTAAAGTAGTTTTTTCCAATTCTGTGAAGAAAGTCATTGGTAGCTTGATGGGGATGGCATTGAATCTGTAAATTACCTTGGGCAGTATGGCCATTTTCACGATACTGATTCTTCCTACCCATGAGCATGGAATGTTCTTCCATTTGTTTGTATCCTCTTTTATTTCCTTGAGCAGTGGTTTGTAGTTCTCCTTGGAGAGGTCCTTCACATCCATTGTAAGTTGGATTCCTAGGTATTTTACTCTCTTTGAAGCAATTGTGAATGGGAGATCACTCATGATTTGGCTCTCTGTTTGTCTGTTATTGGTGTATAAGAATACCTGTGATTTTTGCACATTGATTTTGTATCCTGAGACTTTGCTGAAGTTGCTTATCAGCTTAAGGAGATTTTGGGCTGAGACAATGGGGTTTTCTAGATATACAATCATGTCGTCTGCAAACAGGGACAATTTGACTTCCTCTTTTCCTAATTGAATACCCTTTATTTACTTCTCCTGCCTAATTGCCCTGGCCAGAACTTACAACACTATATTGAATAGGAGTGGTGAGAGAGGGCATCCCTGTCTTGTGCCAGTTTTCAAAGGGAATGCTTCCAGTTTTTGCCCATTCAGTATGATATTGGCTGTGGGTTTGTCATAGATAGCTCTTATTATTTTGAAATACGTCCCATCAATACCTAATTTATTGAGAGTTTTTAGCATGAAGGGTTGTTGAATTTTGTCAAAGGCTTTTTCTGCATCTATTGAGATAATCATGTGGTTTTTGTCTTTGGCTCTGTTTATATGCTGGATTACATTTATTGATTTGCGTATATTGAACCAGCCTTGCATCCCAGGGATGAAGCCCACTTGATCATGGTGGATAAGCTTTTTGATGTGCTGCTGGATTCCGTTTGCCAGTATTTTATTGAGGATTTTTGCATCAATGTTCATCAAGGACATTGGTCTAAAATTCTCTTTTTTGGTTGTGTCTCTGCCAGGCTTTGGTATCAGGATGATGCTGGCCTCATAAAATGAGTTAGGGAGGATTCCCTCTTTTTCTATTGATTGGAATTGTTTCAGAAGGAATGGTACCAGTTCCTCCTTGTACCTCTGGTAGAATTCGGCTGTGAATCCATCTGGTCCTGGACTCTTTTTGGTTCGTAAGCTATTGATTATTGCCACAATTTCAGATCCTGTTATTGGTCTATTCAGAGATTCAACTTCTTCCTGGTTTAGTCTTGGGAGAGTGTATGTGTTGAGGAATTTATCCATTTCTTCTAGATTTTCTAGTTTATTTGCATAGAGGTGTTTGTAGTATTCTCTGATGGTAGTTTGTATTTCTGTGGGATCGGTGGTGATATCCCCTTTATCATTTTTTATTGCATCTATTTGATTCTTCTCTCTTTTTTTCTTTATTAGTCTTGCTAGTGGTCTATCAATTTTGTTGATCCTTTCAAAAAACCAGCTCCTGGATTCATTAATTTTTTGAAGGGTTTTTTGTGTCTCTATTTCCTTCAGTTCTGCTCCGATTTTAGTTATTTGTTGCCTTCTGCTAGCTTTTGAATGTGTTTGCTCTTGCTTTTCTAGTTCTTTTAATTGTGATGTTAGGGTGTCAATTTTGGATCTTTCCTGCTTTCTCTTGTGGGCATTTAGTGCTACAAATTTCCCTCTACACACTGCTTTGAATGCGTCCCAGAGATTCTGGTATGTTGTGTCTTTGTTCTCATTGGTTTCAAAGAACATCTTTATTTCTGCCTTCATTTCGTTATGTACCCAGTAGTCATTCAGGAGCAGGTTGTTCAGTTTCCATGTAGTTGAGTGGTTTTGAGTGAGATTCTTAATCCTGAGTTCTAGTTTGATTGCACTGTGGTCTGAGAGATAGTTTGTTATAATTTCTGTTCTTTGACATTTGCTGAGGAGAGCTTTACTTCCCAGTATGTGGTCAATTTTGGAATAGGTGTGGTGTGGTGCTGAAAAAAATGTATATTCTGTTGATTTGGGGTGGAGAGTTCTGTAGATGTCTATTAGGTCCGCTTGGTGCAGAGCTGAGTTCAATTCCTGGGTATCCTTGTTGACTTTCTGTCTCGTTGATCTGTCTAATGTTGACAGTGGGGTGTTAAAGTCTCCCATTATTAATGTGTGGGAGTCTAAGTCTCTTTGTAGGTCGGTCAGGACTTGCTTTATGAATCTTGGTGCTCCTGTATTGGGTGCATATATATTTAGGATAGTTAGCTCTTCTTGTTGAATTGATCCCTTTACCATTAAGTAATGGCCTTCTTTGTCTCTTTTGATCTTTGTTGGTTTAAAGTCTGTTTTATCAGAGACTAGGATTGCAACCCCTGCCTTTTTTTGTTTTCCATTGGCTTGGTAGATCTTCCTCCATCCTTTTATTTTGAGCCTATGTGTGTCTCTGCACGTGAGATGGGTTTTCTGAATACAGCACACTGATGGGTCTTGACTCTTTATCCAATTTGCCAGTCTGTGTCTTTTAATTGGAGCATTTAGTCCATTGACATTTAAAGTTAATATTGTTATGTGTGAATTTGATCCTGTCATTATGATGTTAGCTGGTTATTTTGCTCGTTAGTTGATGCAGTTTCTTCCTAGTCTCGATGGTCTTTACATTTTGGCATGATTTTGCAGCGGCTGGTACCGGTTTTTCCTTTCCATGTTTAGTGCTTCCTTCAGGAGCTCTTGTAAGGCAGGCCTGGTGGTGACAAAATCTCTCAGCATTTGCTTCTCTGTAAAGTATTTTATTTCTCCTTCACTTATGAAGCTTAGTTTGGCTGGATATGAAATTCTGGGTTGAAAATTCTTTTTTTTAAGAATGTTGAATATTGGCCCCCACTCTCTTCTGGCTTGTAGGGTTTCTGCCGAGAGATCCGCTGTTAGTCTGATGGGCTTCCCTTTGAGGGTAACTTGACCTTTCTCTCTGGCTGCCCTTAACATTTTTTCCTTCATTTCAACTTTGGTGAATCTGACAATTATGTGTCTTGGAGTTGCTCTTCTCGAGGAGTATCTTTGTGGCGTTCTCTGTATTTCCTGAATCTGAACGTTGGCCTGCCTTGCTAGATTGGGGAAGTTCTCCTGGATAATATCCTGCAGAGTGTTTTCCAACTTGGTTCCATTCTCCCCATCACTTTCAGGTACACCAATCAGACGTAGATTTGGTCTTTTCACATAGTTCCATATTTCTTGGAGGCTTTGCTCATTTCTTTTTATTCCTTTTTCTCTAAACTTCCCTTCTCACTTCATTTCATTCATTTCATCTTCCATTGCTGATACCCTTTCTTCCAGTTGATCGCATCGGCTCCTGAGGCTTCTGCATTCTTCATGTAGTTCTCGAGCCTTGGTTTTCAGCTCCATCAGCTCGTTTAAGCACTTCTCTGTATTGATTATACTAGTTATATATTCTTCTAAATTTTTTTCAAAGTTTTCAACTTCTTTGCCTTTGGTTTGAATGTCCTCCCGTAGCTCAGAGTAATTTGATCATCTGAAGCCTTCTTCTCTCAGCTCGTCAAAGTCATTCTCCATCCAGCTTTGTTCTGTTGCTGGTGAGGAACTGCGTTCCTTTGGAGGAGGAGAGGCGCTCTGCTTTTTAGAGTTTCCAGTTTTTCTGTTCTGTTTTTTCCCCATCTTTGTGGTTTTATCTACTTTTGGTCTTTGATGATGGTGATGTACAGATGGGTTTTTGGTGTGGATGTCCTTCCTGTTTGTTAGTTTTCCTTCTAACAGACAGGACCCTCAGCTGCAGGTCTGTTGGAGTACCCTGCCGTGTGAGGTGTCAGTGTGCCCCTGCTGGGGGGTGCCTCCGAGTTAGGCTGCTCGGGGGTCAGGGGTCAGGGACCCACTTGAGGAGGCAGTCTGCCCATTCTCAGATCTCTAGCTGCGTGCTGGGAGAACCACTGCTCTCTTCAAAGCTGTCAGACAGGGACATTTAAGTCTGCAGAGGTTACTGCTGTCTTTTTATTTGTCTGTGCCCTGCCCCCAGAGGTGGAGCCTACAGAGGCAGGCAGGCCTCCTTGAGCTGTGGTGGGCTCCACCCAGTTCGAGCTTCCTGGCTGCTTTGTTTACCTAAGCAAGCCTGGGCTATGGCGGGCGCCCCTCCCCCAGCCTCGCTGCCGCCTTGCAGTTTGATCTCAGACTGCTGTGCTAGCAATCAGCGAGACTCCGTGGGCGTAGGCCCCTCTGAGCCAGGTGCAGGATATAATGTGGTGGTGCGCCATTTTTTAAGCCCGTCGGAAAAGCGCAGTATTCGGGTGGGAGTGACCCGATTTTCCAGGTGCCCTCCGTCACCCCTTTCTTTGACTCAGAAAGGGAACTCCCTGACCCCTTGCGCTTCCCAAGTGAGGCAATGCCTCGCCCTGCTTCGGCTCACACACGTTGCGCGCACTCACTGACCTGCGCCCACTGTCTGGCACTCCCTAGTGAGATGAACCCGGTACCTCAGATGGAAATGCAGAAATCACCCGTCGTCTTCATCGCTCACGCTGGGAGCTGTAGAGCGGAGCTGTTCCTATTCGGACATCTTGACTCCTCCCAATATTTATTCTTTCTATCCAGGTATGGCTCTTCACTTCCAGCCTTACTTATGTATCTTCTGGCAAAATTTTGTAAGTTCTTTTGTATAGATGCTAAACCTTAAAAATAGTGTTTTTTTTTCCTAATTTTTTTGTGTTCTTCATTAGTATTGTGAATAAAATAGCTATTCTATGTCTGCTGATTTTTATGCTAATATCCAGTAAAATTATTGATGTTGAGAATTTGTGGGTAAATTCAGCCATAATATATCTTTAAAGTAAGTATTTCAAAACCAAACTACCACCAGAAATGGTAGAGTTTGTTTCTTTTTGAAGAAAATGAAGTTAATTAGATTTATTGTTTTTAGCTGCTAGTGATTTGGCTGCCTGATTTTGAATTTCTATCATACGCCAACTTTTATGTTAGTTACATAAAGGCACCCCTGGTAGGTACATGCCACTCCTGAATAATAACATTTTAAGTGAAAAACACTTAGCCACCCAGTATCTGCACTATGATAAAAATTTTGGTAGGAAAGAATCAAGTGCACGAGATGGTAGAATGTTAGTATAAAGCATTTTCCAATGACATAATATAGCATGAAAACCCCTCTGACCCAGAAATTGCCTTACTGTGTTATGGACTATGAAATTCAGGGAGGTGCAACAAGCCATTCTAATTTTCCCCATGCCCAGCAGCTGACTGATGCATAATGGTCTTCTGTGTGTGCTAGGGATGTTGGCCTTGGTCCTAAGGGTACCCAGGGAGGTTTGGTGGGAAGTCCTTGGGGCAAAGTTAGGGCTTTGCATTTATATAAACCTACCTTTTATTACTGGCTTACTTACTAGTTTGATGAACTTGGTTTAACCCAGTGTGTTTAGGTGGGCTAACCAAACCCAACCTAAACTGCAAATTGTAGTTACCCTGAGAGAGTTAAAAAAATACTGCTGTCTGAGTTCTCCCAGAGTTTCTGATTTAGTTCTGAGTTGAGACACAGACATTGGTATTTTTAAAAGCTGTCCATAGGGGTTCTCTGGAAATTCTGAACCTATTTTCTCAGCAAAAGAAGGATAATATTGCATAATGGTACTGGTGAGAATTCAATGAGAAATTGAAAGTCACCTACTACTGCTTGCAAAAACTTAATAAACTGTGCTTACGATAAAAAGTAATGATGGCTTAGAATATGGCCCAAAGAATATATTAAGGTAGGAGATACCTTCAAAGTATCTAAGACCCTACTCACTACACCTAAACACGAATGAGATGCTGTTACTTTTGAAGGAGAGGAAGCGTCAAATAGGAATCCGGAATGTACACACTTACTCTTGCTTTCTGAAATTCTACTCTATGCCTCATTTTCCTGATTATTTCAAAGTGCAGTTGCATCTCAGGATCTCAAAATTTTACTTGTTATTTATTTTATCACTAAAAGAAGGCAAGGAGAAAATATATTTTGTTTTCAAAACATTTTATAGTTGTTGAAAAAGTACTAAGCTCATTTGGGCATAAGCTATTTATTTAATTGCAGTTTCAGCTGATTATGGTTGAAATAAAAGCTCAGACTCCTTAAATTCTAAGAAACCTGTCCCAAGTTGACCCTGAGATTTTTGACTAACAGATGTAGCAAGTCTCCTTCTAAAACTCATCAACTTCACTCAATATCAGGTGAAGGCAGCCTACTTAAACATTCTATACAGGCATGAAGTCTGTGGCTACCTCTTCACTTGCCACAGTCCGTGTGACCTCCCAATATTTTGATCTGTCTGCCATTGTGCTTATTTAAAAAATTCATTCTGCAATAATTCAAGTGCAATGACTTTCTACACACACACATATATTTATGAGATAAAAGACATGTTGCAGCCATGTTTTTCCATATGGTGCTGGCAATTCAGATTTTAGTAGCAGTTTTTAAAACTTGCAGCTTACCACTAAAATGTCAGAACCCGTGAGAATAAAACACCCTCTATTTTAGGTTTTAGATTCATTTGGTCTGATCTCTCAACCAGAAAAACTGTCTGTAAAGCCCTTTTTATTCTGAATGAATTTAAGACAGTTTAATACTACCTTTTCAGTCTATTAAGGCTAAGAGTGTTCCAGTATCTCTTCTCTTTGTTCACTTACTGACATTTGCTGAACATGTGCCATGAGGGCCAGCTTGTCACCACAGTTAACAAACTGACCTTTACAGCAGTGGAAACCACTGTGAAAGAGAAACCACATTAAAAATAAAAATCACATTTCTGGAAGCCCATGTGCTTAAGCTAAGCAAAGTCTCTCTTAATTTTTAAACCAGTTTAAGAAATTTCAGTGAAAACAGTGTAGATTAACTTGTTTTGAGAAAATTAATAAATTTATTTGGTGCTGGCTTTTAAATTAGAGCCATATTTTATAATGATTGGTGTTTTTGAAATGCCTCAAAAACTTACTGGACAAACTTAACTTTTAAGCGTTTTCACATGGCAATACTTAGTTATTTCAAAGATAGCAACATCTTTCTCTTACATGCCTTTGGTCTCGCAAGGAGTTTGGTATCTTACTGTTATTTGTGTCTCATTTTGACAGACAACTCATTATTCCAGGTAGGTTGTCACAGAGGTGTACTTCATGTTGGAATTGATCAGGTTTGACTATTACTAGTCTGAGTAAAGAGGACTGCTTGCCTAAATATTAACTTTCTATAGCAATTTGTTATAATTAATTCAGTAGAAGGGGGGCTGTAGTTCTCAAATGATCATTACAGCCTCACATTTACTTACAAGAGTAAATAATGACATTTAGAAGAATTCAGGGACTGAACAGTAAGGTTCTTGGAAATCTTTCTTCGTTGGTTTGGTTGGGATCATGGGCACCACTTTAGATATTGTAGACCTGGAACTAGACTGAAGCTGGTAAGAGGACACTTGATCACGGTTTGTCTGAATCTGGGAAATCCAGTTTTGCTATGATGATCCTGACAGATCTCTTCTCTTAACTGTGATCAGAATGGGTAATTTGAGTTGACTGGTTCTAGGTGGGCCTGTGAGACTCGGCGATATCTGAAGGACTCCTTCGTTTTTACTGCAGGCACATAAAGCCTCCTGTCTTTAATTGTGGGTAATTTGCTCAAACTAGAATTATCTGTGGTAATATAGATTTCATGGTGTGAATCTCATGATTAAGTCAGAGCTGGGCTAGGAAATAAGACAATCTTTGAGGTGCCAGGATATGTTAAATTTTAATAAAAAGACAGCTACTAATGGATTAAAGGTTAATAATTTTTCCAAGGAAATAAGATCTTTTATCAATTTTATTCATGACATGCATGTGATAAATTCCCAACAATCTGCAATCTATTTTTTAGAATTCAGAAAAACACAAGCATATTTGTCCGTTCTCTCATTGCTATAAAGAACTACCTGAGACTGGGTAATTTATGAAGAAAAGAGGTTTAATTGACTCATAGTTCCACAGGCTGTACTGGAAGCATGGCTGGGAGGCTTCAGGAGCTTATAATCATGACAGAAGGTGAAGGAGAAGCAGGCATGACTGACCATGGTGGAGCAGGAGAGAGAAAGCAAGGGGGGAAGTGTCACACACTTTTAAACAACGAGATCTTGTGAGAACTCATTATCGCAAGAACTGCAAGGGGGAAATCCACCCCCATGATCAAATTACCTCTCACAGGGTCCCTGCCCCAACACTGGGTATTACAATTCAACTTGAGATTTGGGTGGGGACACAGAACCAAATAATATAAGCAAGTTACTGTGATTTATTCACAGTCTCAATTGCATAACTGTGATCCAGTGAACTAAGGGTCTTGTTGATTTCCACTTCATGTAAGTTGTACAGGTACTGACACTTGTGTCTGCGTATCTTTCTGATGGCATGAAGTCTCTTTCTCCCTTTCTCTTCCTGGTAATTACTGATCAAGTCAAGATACTTAGAATACGCACCATACTCAAATTATAGAGTCAGGTCTCTTTTAATTATGGAATTGATTCTTCAGAGATATTTCTGTGCCAATCTCTTTAGAAGTCTTTTCTGACACACTACCTGGCAAAAGTTAGAAGAGAGAAAAAAGCCATGCTCTGTGTTTTTCTTCCAGTGTGAATCACCATCAGTGTGTTCTTCCAATCAGAAGTAAGTAATTTCCACTGCTCTTTTAATGTCCACATTATTTGTTCAAAGAGATCTCATTCCTGCCCACATAAAATTGTCTTATGAATAAGTTCCTAACTGTGGTGTTTCATACAGTAGTTGCTACCAAGGTGGGGCTACTGAGCAATTGAAAAGTGACTAGTTTGAATTAAAATGTTCTATAAATGTAAAAATATACTTCTAAGACTTAGTATTAACAAAAACTTGTAAAACTTCTCAATAACTTTATAATGATTACATGCTAAAACAATAATATCTTGTATATATTGGGTTAAATAAAAGGTATTATTAAAATTAAATTCATATCTTTTTCACTTTTAATGGGGAAACTAGAAAATTTAAAATTGCATGTGACTCACATTTGTGTCACAATTACGTTGTTATATATATATATATATATATATATATATATATATATATATAATTATATTTCTTATTTTTTTTCTCCCGAGACAGAGTCTCACTCTGTCGCCAGGCTGGAGTGCAATGGCACGACCTCTGCTCACTGCAACCTCCTATTCCCGGGTTCAAGTGATCTTCTGCCTCAGCCTCCTGAGTAGCTGGTACTGCAGGCGTGTGCCACCATGCCCAGCTAATTTTTGTATTTTTAGTAGAGACGGGGTTTCACCATGTTGGCCAGGATGGTCTTGATCTCTTGACCTTGTGATCAAGACCATCCTGGCTTCCCAAAGTGCTGGGATTGCAGGCGTGAGCCATCGTGCCTTGCCTGTTACATATATAATTATATTTCTATTGAACAGTACTGTTCTTCATAAGTTTCAATTGAAATTTTTTTTTCTTAATGATCCAGAAAACTGTAGATACTCCAAAGATATTTGTTAGCTAAACCAAACTGGCCTGGAATTTAAAAATTATGTTAGTTATAGTAAACATTAAAAAGCACATTTGACAAAGTGGGAATTTTAAAGCCAGGGATGCAAAACAAGTTGTTAATAACATAGAGACAAAAATATCTTATTCATTAATTCATATAGCTAATAGTTATTGAGTGCCTACTATGTGCCAGGCATTAGGCACGTTGAGTATATACAGTGGTAAACAAGATCCAGTTTCTGTATTCAGTGACTTTGCTTTTGACCAGTGTTATAAATACTTCTAAA
This sequence comes from Homo sapiens, assembly GCF_000001405.40. NCBI lineage: Eukaryota > Metazoa > Chordata > Mammalia > Primates > Hominidae > Homo > Homo sapiens. The sequence goes on along the minus strand of NC_000008.11, from coordinate 69,248,972 downwards.
GGTGTAACTATGAGGTAAAGGAGGAGATAATAGTAAAAATATGAAGCCCAGAGTGGTGGTGGGAGATGATTTAGAGTAGGCACTTAGCAAAATTACACCATTTTATGAGACAGATTTTCTCATTTCTGTCTGTTTTAAATTACTCCAATATTTTACATAAAAACATATGGGGTTAGAAAAGTCTCACTCAGCAATCCTTAGAAGTTTACAAATGATAAAGTAAGTAAGGTTTATTCACCCTCTGAAAAATTCTGTAGTTTGAAGCATGGCAGATTGGCTCACAAGAATAAAAGCAGCTGGATAAATATTCCTTCTGAAGTTCTTATTTTTTCTGGTTCAATTAATAATTAAAACATTACCAAATACAAAACTTATATGGCACTTCTTCTTGGTAGGCTGTTTGAGAATGTCATTGACTGTTAGTGACAGGATGATGTGTTGGAAAAAGTGTGGGTTTTTGAATCAGACAGGGGTTTGAGTTTTCTGGGACTTTAGGAAGGTTAGTGAACTCTGAATCTTAGTTTCCCTGTTTGTAAAACTAGAAAAATATACACACATTTATGAGGATAAAATTTTATATATATATATCTATATATATATATCTATATATCTATATATATCTATATATATATCTATATATATATCTATATATATATCTATATATATCTATATATATCTATATATATATCTATATATATCTATATATATCTATATATATATCTATATATATATCTATATATATATCTATATATATATCTATATATATATCTATATATATCTATATATATATCTATATATATATCTATATATATCTATATATATATATTACACTTAACACAGTGCTGGGATATAGTAAGATATAGTAAGTAGTAAATAAATCATTAACATTATTATAACTTGGAAAAATGGAATTATTTGAAATAAGATGGTAAGTACATGAAATAAGAGTCTACTACATAAAATGGTAAAAGATAACTTTGATCATGAAAAGGAATAAAGAAGTAGAAAGAAGAATGTACAGATGATTCTTGAGCTGAGGGCCTAGGAGTGAGGAGAGGAGATGGTTATTTTCATTGGGTTTTCCTAAATGAGTTTTATTTTTATTTTTAAAATATTTTTAATGCCTTAATAGGTTTAATATCATTTCTACCATGTGGATCTGGAGTTTTCTTTGTAGGATCTTTTGAGTAATGAGTCTAATTACTATTATAGATATAGAACTTGTCAAAATTTCTATTTATTCTAATGTCGGTTTTAAAAATTTATGGTTTACAATATATTTATCCTTATTTCTAAGTTGCCAAATGTGTTGATAAAGTTATGTATAATACTTTTTGTTCTCATCTTAATGTCTGTAGTAATGTCTCTCTTTTCATTCCTGATGGTTGGTAATTCATGTCCTCTCTCTCTTTCCTCTCTCTTTCTCTTTCTCTCTCTCATTGAAAAATTGTGTCATTTTCACAATTTTTAGATTTCACAATTTTTAGATTGAAAAATTGTGTCATTTTCAAACATCCATATTTTGGCTTTGTTGGTATTTCTTCATTGTTCATGTTTTCTCTATCATTGATTTCCACTCTTTGTTATTTCCTTACTTCTATTTTCTTTGTATTTCATTTCCTCTTCTTTCTCTAATTTTCTGAGTATGAAACTTTGATTATTGATTTTAAACTTTTCTTTTCATTTAAGAGAAGCCTTTATGCATTTCCCTCTGATCACAGTTTTGGCTTGATTCCATTAATGGTAATATATTGTGTTTTTATTTTTATTTAGTTTAAAATGTTTTCTAATTTCCATTGTTAGCTCCTCATTGAGATATAGATTATTTAGAAAAATGTTGTTTTATTTCTAATATTGGAATTTTTCCATTTTCTTTTTGTTATTTATTTCTAGCTTAATTTCATTGTAGTGATAAATACTATTATTTCAGTTTTTAAATATTAATTGAGAATAGCTTCATGGCATAATATATAGTATATTTTAGTGAACGTTTCATGTCCAGTTTGAAAATATGGGTTTCTTCAGTTGTTAGATGAAGTGTACTACAAGTGTTGATTAGTTTAAATGGTGCTGTATAACATTCTATATTCTTTTTTTTTTTTTTTTTTTTTTTTTTATTGATCATTCTTGGGTGTTTCTCACAGAGGGGGATTTGGCAGGGTCATAGGACAATAGTGGAGGGAAGGTCAGCAGATAAACAAGTGAACAAAGGTCTCTGGTTTTCCTAGGCAGAGGACCCTGCGGCCTTCCGCAGCGTTTGTGTCCCTGGGTACTTGAGATTAGGGAGTGGTGATGACTCTTAATGAGCATGCTGCCTTCAAGCATCTGTTTAACAAAGCACATCTTGCACGCTCTTAATCCATTTAACTCTGAGTGGACACAGCACATGTTTCAGAGAGCACAGGGTTGGGGGTAAGGTCACAGATCAACAGGATCCCAAGGCAGAAGAATTTTTCTTAGTACAGAACAAAATGAAAAGTCTCCCATGTCTACTTCTTTCTACACAGACACCGCAACCGTCCGATTTCTCAATCTTTTCCCCACCTTTCCCCCCTTTCTATTCCACAAAGCCGCCATTGTCATCCTGGCCCGTTCTCAATGAGCTGTTGGGCACACCTCCCAGACAGGGTGGTGGCCGGGCAGAGGGGCTCCTCACTTCCCAGTAGGGGTGGCTGGGCAGAGGCGCCCCTCACCTCCCGGATGGGGCGGCTGGCCGGGCTGGGGGCTGACCCCCCAACCTCCCTCCCGGACGAGGCGGCTGGCCGGGCAGAGGGGCTCCTCACTTCCCAGTAGGGGTGGCCGGGCAGAGGCGCCCCTCACCTCCCGGACGGGGCGGCTGGCCGGGTAGGGGGCTGACTCCCCCACCTCCCTCCCGGACGGGGCGGCTGGCCGGGCGGGGGGCTGACCCCCCCACCTCCCTCCCAGACGGGGCAGCTGGCCGGGCAGAGGGGCTCCTCACTTCCCAGTAGGGGCAGCCGGGCAGAGGCGCCCCTCACCTCCTGGACGGGGCGGCTGGCCTGGCGGGGGGCTGACCCCCCCACCTCCCTCCCGGACGGGGCAGCTGGCCTGGCGGGGGGCTGACCCCCCCCAAATCCCCCCCGGACGGGGTGGCTGCCGGGCGGAGACGCTCCTCACTTCCCAGACGGGGTGGCTGCTGGGCAGAGAGGCTCCTCACTTCTCAGACAGGGCGGCTGCCGGGCGGAGGGTCTCCTCACTTCTCAGACGGGCGGCCGGGCAGAGACGCTCCTCACCTCCCAGACGGGGTGGCGGCCGGGCAGAGGCGCTCCTCACATCCCAGACGGGGCGGCGGGGCAGAGGCACTCCCCACATCCCAGACGATGGGCCACCGGGCAGAGATGCTCCTCACTTCCTAGATGTGATGGCGGCCGGGAAGAGGCGCTCCTCACTTCCCAGATGGGATGGCGGCCGGGCAGAGACCTCCTCACTTTCCAGACTGGGCAGCCAGGCAGAGGGGCTCCTCACATCCCAGACGATGGGCGGCCAGGCAGAGACGCTCCTCACTTCCCAGACGGGGTGGCAGCCGGGCAGAGGCTGCAATCTCGGCACTTTGGGAGGCCAAGGCAGGCAGCTGGGAGGTGGAGATTGTAGCGAGCCGAGATCATGCCACTGCACTCCAGCCTGGGCGCCATTGAGCACTGAGTGAACCAGACTCCGTCTGCAATCCCAGCACCTCGGGAGGCCGAGGCTGGCGGATCACTCACGGTTAGGAGCTGGAGACCAGCCCGGCCAACACAGCGAAACCCCGTCTCCACCAAAAAAATGCGAAAACCAGTCAGGCGTGGCGGCGCGCGCCTGCAATTGCAGGCACTCCCAGGCTGAGGCAGGAGAATCAGGCAGGGAGGTTGCAGTGAGCCGAGATGGCAGCAGTATAGTCCAGCTTCCGCTTGGCATGAGAGGGAGACCGTGGAAAGAGAGGGAGAGGGAGACCATGGGGAGAGGGAGACCGTGGGGAGAGGGAGACCATGGGGAGAGGGAGAGCAGAAATTTTTAAACATGATGAATCATGGATACTTTCACTGATCCTTTCAAGTGCCCCTGCCCCTACCTACGCCTTTTAGAGGTAAGGAAGGCCATTCTGTATTCTTACTGATGAACTTCTCTGTATTTTTCTATCAATTACTAAGAGAGTTAAATTAAAATATCTATAGTTGCAGACTTTTTTATTTCTTCACTTAGTTTGTCAATTCTTGCCTTATATATTTTGAAGTTATTTTACCAGGTAAATATTTTACTAGGTACCTATTTATGATTGTTTTGTCTTCCCGATGAATTAACTTTTTTTATTATGAAATATCTCACTTTATCTCTGATGATACTCTTTTCTTAAAATTGACTTTTTCTTATATTAATATAGCTACACTGGCTTTCTTATGATTAGTTTTGGCAGATTATTTTATTTCCCTTTCTCCTTTAAGTTTTAATCTTTCTCAGTCCTTATATTTAAAATGTGTTTCTCATAATATTGTATGATTGGGAGACTTCTTTTTAAATCCAATCCTTAAAAAATGATTAATCCATTTACATTTACTATAATTATTGTTATGGTTATGTTTAAGTCTATAATCTTGTTATTTGTTTTTTATTTTTCCCATTTATTCTTTAGATCAGCTGGTGACAAAGTTGCACAGCTTTTATTTGTCTGTGATGTCCCCTTTCTACTCTTCTGTGAAAGATATTTTTATTGGCTATATAATTCTGTGTTGACAAATTTTTTTTTTTAGCATGTTAAAGATGTTTTCCATTGTCTTTTGGTTTTTATTATTTCCATGAGAATCCAGCCATTATTGGGTGGATCACGAGGTCAGGAGTTCGAGACCAGCTTGGCCAACATAGTGAAACCCCGTCTCTACTAGAGTACAAAAATTAGCTAGGTGTGGTGGTATGCACCTGTATTCCCAGCTACTCAAAAGGCTGAGGCAGGAGAATCACTTGAACCTGGGAGGTGGAGATTGCAGTGAGCTGAGACCACGCCATTGCACTCCAGGCAGGGTGACAGAGTGAGACTCCGTCACAAAAAAAAAAAAAAAAAAAAAAAAAAAAAGAATCCAGCCATTACTATTGTTAATGTTGTTTTCTTAAATGTTATATGTGCTTTTTCTTCTGCATGCTTTTAAAACTTTCCCTTCATCTTTGATTCTTAGCAGTTTGAATTTGAGATGATTATGTTTCTTTTTTAATTTTTAAATTCAATCTATTGGATTTTGCTGAAATTTTTGGATCTGTGAGTTGATAACCTTTCTCAGATTGAGGTATTCTTGGTCTTTATCTCGTCAAACATTGTTACATTCTTTCTTATTTTTCTTTTTTCAGATTCCACTTACTTATCCATATTTGTAGATAGCGTTTTACAATTGTCCAATACACTTTTCTCATTTAAAAAATGATTCTTCTTATTTTTGTTCTTTGTGGCTCAGTTTGGCTAATTTTTGTTGACTTCCCTTCAGTTTCACTAATCCTTTCCTCATGGTGTCTAGTCTGGTGTTAAACTTGGACTTCAGTTATTCATTGGTTTTATTTCATATATTGTACTCTTGTATTCTAAATGTCTTTTTTTAGAGTTTCTATTTTTTCAGCTAAAATTCTCCATTAAACAAATCATTTTGTCTATTTTTTTCTTCTCAACTACTTTCGTAGTCATAGTAATTATTTCAAAGCCTCTGTGTGCTCATTTGAACATGTAGATGGTCCATAAATATGCTTTTATTGATTATTTTTCATTGGTTATAGGTTTTTTTGCTTCTCTATATTTTTTAATTTTAAAAAATTGACATATAATTGTACATATTTATGGGGTACACAGTGATGTTTTGATGTATACAATATGTAATGATCAAACCAAGGTAATTAGCATATTCATCACCTCAAACACTTATCATTTTCTTTATGTATATACACTTCTACAGATAAAACATGGCATTACATATCTATGTACAACATGGCAGGGATGGTTGAAGAAACTATACAATGGTGTTCAGTGACCTTCAGTGATTTTCCCCTTTCCACAAGGACTTTAGATTAAGGGTGATAGCATGAGGAAATGGAGCAAGAAACACAAAAATTATATGCAATTACAAGTGATAGTCAAGGAGTTTGGGAGCCAGGGAGTCCAGGGATCCTGCTGTCTCCATTCCTTTCTCATCAACTTTTTCTTATCCAGTTTGAATGATGGCCTGAAAATTGAACGGCCAGTTGGGAGATAATATACCCCTTACCCCACCCTCCCCGACATGCACATCAGCAAGTTCATCAGTCATTCTCATCAGGCCAAATATTTGGCATATTAGAATTGATGAGGTGAAAAGGCAAGAGAGAATTACAGAATGTTGCTTTCTTGAGTAGCTAGTTCTCACCTTGGCCCTCTTTATCATAACGGGTTGCATTCAGTAAGATTCAGGCCATGCTGATGATAACTAGATTGAAGATGCTGATCACCTGCAACATTTATCATTTCTGCATGTTGGAAACATTCAAAATCATCTCTTCAAGCTGTTTGAAAATATATAATACATTATTAACTGTAGTCAGTCTACGGTGCTATAGAACACTAGAACTTATTCCTCTTATCTAGCTGTTATTTTGTATCTTCTCAACTCATCCCCCTCTCTTCTTCCCAGCCTCTATTAACTACTATCCTACTTTCTACTTCTATGAGATCAACTTTTTAGCTTTATCACATTTTTTGTTGTGTACCAGATATTACATACAAAACATAGTAGAAACTGAAATAGACACAAATTTTATCTGAGGGAAAAAAATGCTCTTTCGTCCATCAGGAAGCTAGGGTGAGGGACAATTTCTTTCAATCTAATGAGGAATTGAGCTGTTGTAGTGCTGAGTTATCACTTTTGTTACTTCCAGTTTACCTCTACTCTTAAATATCTGGAGGGTGGAATTGGTTCCTCTTTCCAGCAAGGTTTTGGGTCTCAGCACCCAAGACTATTCATCTCTTTCTGCTTTTTAGCTCTACCCTGCTTAGTCAGAAAAAATCCCATGGTAGAGTGATTTATAGATGACAGTGAGCATTAAGTTTGTGAGCTCCTTTATATTTCAATATACCTTGCAAGCACACGCAAGCACTAAGAGTTTTAGTGTCTCCTTGTCAGAGCAAAAGTCTGAACTTTTACCAGGCTCACACCTCTTCTTGACTGTCTCCTAGACTATGTTAACACCCTTAGCAATGGGTTCTGCTTACCTAGGAAAGACTCACTTCTCTCTGGAGTTTAGTAAAAATTATTTCTTAGTTCATCTCGTGATTTCTCATTGTTAGGGTGGGAATGATGACTTTTTGCAAAGTTCTACATTGTAACCAGAGAAAGAATAAATGTTTAGTTGTCCCAGAGAAATGACAAGGTTTTTGACATCCAAAGATCTTAGTCATTTTACCATACAAATCATGTGCAATTTTAATTAAGGGTGCACCATTTAGCTTGGGAACATTTTTTAAAAATGTTGTCTTTGTAAGTATGACATTATTTCCTAGTACTAGCAACTTTTCTACAGAAAAGGTTTTTTATTTTATAAAACAGTAGTAGAATTAGATCTGATGACTGAAATATTATTTATCACTAGTATTTCAGTACTAGTCTTCTTTTATAAACTTGGGGATACTCTATTTGTCCAGGAGACCGTATACTAGGTGATTCCATAGATGTCCACGCATGGCCTAAGATGTGCATGGCAGCCCTTGAGTTATGCAATGTACTGCTTCTGTATAAACCATAGAACAGTTATAAAACTCCAATGATATATCATACATGAAGTGCCAGCCATAAGTAGAAACTAAATTGATGCTTGTCACTTTCCTTTTAATTAACACAATTTTTATAATAGTCATCTCATATTCCAGTAAGATTCTATTTTAAAATTTATTGGAAATCACTGAATTGCTTTTATATTCACAATTAAATTTTTTCTTAATTTTTAGTTTCAGTTTGACCAATTCAATATCATACTTCATGAAGAGGCTGAAACTGTCATGTTTGTAGGCTCGTGTATGCAGAGGGATCATTGGATGTATACCCTCCAAAGAATGGAGACAAGAGATAAAGTCTGACCCATAGTTTATTCCTGAATACTAGCATATCTCTTGTTTGAAAATATGTCCAGGACACAAATGAATTTGGAATTTTATTATTTATTAGAACAAATTAGAGATACTTTAAAAAATGGACCTCAAGAAGATGTTCTATTCTGTTTTAAATTTTTCTTCTCACTGTGGACAGCAATGCTATAAGAACAGACAAGGGAACTAATATTTATTATCTATTATCAACCAGCCATAGTATACATAATATCTTACTTTAGCTTCACTTAATCAGATGAGACTGAGTCTCACTAGAATGCTTTTTCCATGTTATAGGTTTGAAAATGAAATGAAGTTTTAGAAAGATCAAAAATGTGTTCTGAAACCACACAACACACTATCAGGAGAATTTGAACTCCAATTTCAAAGCCGAATGTCTCAACCTTAGTTCATATGAATGAAAACAAATCCAGAATATTGGATTTGACATGTAATTATTATTTTCAGAATTTTAAAGCTCATAGCTTCAAGTAGATATTCTAGAAGATAACATTTTTTTCTATGAATTAATTTCTCATCAGATTAGAACTGATATGTGCTTTGTGACAAGCATCAGGTAAATTCTAGTTTGAATGAATGAATGAATGATTATTGCTTGCACTTTCAGTCATTTACACATAGATCATTTCCATATTTTCAGATAATTCAATTACATTCTTAAGGGTTTTCAAAGCCCAATTCAGAACAAGAGCACCTTTTCTCAAAGCTGTCCTTGTTTAGAGGAAAAAAATATAAATTCAAGTATAACTTTTGAAGAAAAACTTCTTAAGAGCAATGGTACATATTAGACTGTCTTGTTACAGCAGATACTTAACTTTATTGTGACCCAATCTTATCAATGCACTCCTCAGCTGGTAAACCATTTGACTATATGAAATGTGCTTCTGCGATCCTATCTTTAGAAACTAAAATTATGCTAAATGTTTGAAAATGATTTCATTAAAAATTCTATTTGTCAATACATGTTCATTGGCTCCTTAAATTTAAGGGAATGGAGATCATGATGTTATAAAATCAAAGGATGAGTTTTAAAACATGAATGATATGAACAGTTAACATTTCTTGGACACATGTTTTGTGCTAAGCTTTGGGCTCAGTTCTCTGAAAACAATCACTCTAGAGGCAGAAGTCTACTCATTTGATGGACAGGAAAATAAGACTTGCTCCAGTCTACCTGGGTAGTAAGTGGCATATCTGAAACTCAAAGCTGTGCCTTTCTGATTGCAAAACCCGCACATTTAACTTGTAATACTTAATTGCATGGTCCTCAGTCTTGCCTTGGTGCTCACTGACTGTCTATTTTGGAGAAAAATTATTTAAACTTTGTGAATATCAGTTATCTCATTTGTAAAGTGGGAATAATAACAAGGTCTATCCACATGCTGCAATGGTAGTGAGAGCCAAATTTAAAAGTCTGTCTGTAGCAGAGTATTTTAATTGGATCAGTTAGGTGATTTTGTGGAGATGGGGAACACTCTTCCTTAGAAGTCCCCTATAGCCTGGACAGATTATTCTCCTCCTATGCTGTGTTTAGGGAACTTAAACTGCTCACAAAGTCCAGTGGCATTTAAAAAAATATTGTCATGAGATCGAGGGGCTCTGTGACAATACTTTGAGCTTTGTCCATTACCGTGATTCAAATATATGCAGGTTTGTTGAATAGACTAGAAGATACTCTAGAAGGAGAAATAAGACCCTAAGAGAAAATCACCAGAATGAAGAAGTGATGTAGTTGGGTGGGCCAGAGTCTAGGCCTGAGCAGTGAAGTATGGGAAGACATCCATACTCAGTCATAACACCTATATCCCTCTCTGTTTCCCACCCAACTACGCCCCCAGAATCCATGCATGGTCTGGGAGAAAAATTGCTATTCTACAAAGAAGAGGACAAAGTCACTCATGGTCTAAAGAATTCTGCTGAGAGCATTTTCTAGGAAACAGCTGGTCACAAAATGGCAATCTTTTCTTGGCCAGTGAGAAGAGGAGCAGCAGGGCTTGGTGATGTGAACCTCCTAAAGTAGAATGGATGCAGGCCTACGTGTGCTGCAGAACAACGCAGTCTACTCAGCAGAAAGATCTCGAAACTTTAGGCAGTGAATCTGGTAACACATGAGACAATGTCTCTCCTCTCCCCATCTTGCCAAGAGACCTAATAGAGGAAGGGTCCTCCCCTAGAAATACAATCTGATGTGGCTCAGGAACCCTTGGAAGATTCTTAGACTGACAGGCTGACCAAAGATAAAGATTTCAAGAAAAATGTTGACTTGCGAGTGAGGGATTTTGAAATGCTAAAATTTAGGGAGCATAATTATAACTATCATCCATTGTCACTAAGTTGTAGAAAGAGTTTGTACCATACCAGTTTTATATATGAGGGCATTTTGTAAACAATAATGTACTATAAAAAGGCTAAACTTAGAACACCTTCTTTCAACAAATAATGTTTTCTCTATTTGTGAGGAACAATGCTAGACACAGAGGCACAGTCTGGTATGGGAGAGATACGTCTACAGATGTCAGCAAGTATTGAGACGGGTGCTGAAATAGCAATATGTATCTGTACACTGGGACAAGAGGGGTGGGCAGAAGTCAGGGTAATCCTTGGGATCTGAGGGGAAGCTTCTTGGAGGAGACAGGTTCTAGATAAGCAGGAGTCAGCTAGATGACCTAAACCAAGAGCATTTCAAAGAAAAGGAATAACACGTGCCAAGGTAAAGAGGGCTAAAAAAACATGGCACCATCAGGAATAAGGGAGGAACTTGGTATGGCCAGTGCCTTTCAGTGAACCTGACACTGAGGGACACAGCCTGAGATAATGATAGAGAGAAAAACAGCAGCCAGAATGCGGAAGTTTTTGCATACCCTACCAATATTTCTAACATAATCATGCAGGTGATGAGATGTCCTGGAGGATTTCCACCAGGGAGTTCCATGATAAGATTGCATTTCTGAGATTGCTCACAGGGGAGTGTGGAGGGCTCCTGAGCCCAGCCACAAACCTAAAAGGCCAGCATGTCATGGTCTCTATACCCAGAGGAAGAGGAGCTGCTTTGGAGGAGCAGCTGTGCCCAGGGCAGGGCACAGATGCAGCAAAATGATAAATCTCCACTTAGGAACACCTGGAAGTGTATTCTTATAAACCTGCAGTAACTGGCAAAGTCATTCACAAACCGGTAAAACTGTAATATATCTTGAAAAAAAAAGATGCACAAAAAAAGTATAAAACGGAGGAATAAAAACAAATCTGAATTAATGGAGAAAGATACTTTGTTCCTGGATAGGAAGATAAAATATTTAAATATTTCAGTACTCACCAGAAAAATCTATAAATTCAATCCAGTCCAAATAAAAAATCAACAAGATTTTTAAAAGCAATACAGTAAGAAAACTTTAAAATTTATCTGAAGAAATAAAAATGAGCAAAATTATCTCAGAAAAATTTGAAATACAAGATTTCAAAACTTGCATTACAGATGTAGTAAGTCAAATATTATGATAGTCATATAAAAATAAAACAACAAACCAGTGGAACAGCATAGAGACACTAGCAATAAACCGTTGTATAAATAGAGCTTAGAATATGATACACTCACTGTGGAGTAGATAGATTCTTTAATAAATAGTTTTGTGACAATTCGGTAAAAATAAAGTAATATATCTGCCACATAGAGCTAAGTAAGTAAATTCCAACTGAGCTAAAGACCTAATCAAAATGTGCCCCCATATATGTATGTTTGCATGTCTGTGTGCCTATATAGAGAATTAGAAGAAAATATACAGGTTTATGCATCTTACCTTAAGCTAGAGAAAGTTTTCCTTCAACAGGAAACAGAGCTCTAAAGCAAAATATTGGTATAGTTGTCTATGTCAAAATTAACAATCTTAAATTTCACGCAAGCATCAACATAATTAAAATTTAAAAGTCTGTCACTGGACAGAGTGGCAGAAAATTGACAAACTGTAAGAAAAATGTTGTAATATTTAAAATACTCAAAATATATGTATTTATTACATAATTATAACAAATCAATAGGAAAAAACATTTCAAAAGAAAAATGGGCAATGGATGTAACTGGCTTTTCACAGAAAAGAAAATATTAATGTCCAATTAACACTTCAAGTTATCATACTAGTAGCCAAGAAAATGTAAATTAACATAATGCAATGCCATCTTTTACCTATTGGTCTAGCAAGAAAGTACCACATATCAAGTGTTTCTGAAGGTTCAGAAAAACAGTTAATCTCATTCATTGATTATAGAATTGTAAATTATACAGCATTTTAGAGGGCAACTGACAATAACAAAGAATTTTTTAAAAAATGTACACAAGCTATACCTAACACTTTCACTTCTAGATATTTCTGAGAAACAATTGCACACATGCAGTGGGAAGTATGTAAAAAGATATTCATGATACCATTGTTTGCAGTATTAATATATTAGAAACAACCTATAGGAGCATATTTAGAAGAATGGCTAAATCAGCTGTGATGTATTTATACAATGATATGTAAAGCAGAAGCTACAGAACACTGAAATGGCAAAATCTCTAACCAGATTGTCAGTAAAAACAAGGAAATTTAAGAGTGGTTGCTACAGAACACTACAAAAAATAGAAACATGAAAAATTCATCTCATATATATTTGAAAACTCATAGAAAGTGTATCAAGATGCGAACAATAATATTAGTTTTCTTTGAGGCATAAAATATAAATGTAAATGTAAATATAAATATAAATGTGTTTAAAGTTTTCTTTAAGAAAGACTGTGCTTTGTTCATATTGTTGAATGGATATAGAAATACTGATTTATGATAAGGAAATGGAAAGCAGTCCCACCTGATAGTTGCATTGTTTTTCCTATGAGACAACACGAAATTTATAATCTGTTAACTGAAAATAAATATCATTAGTATAGTGATAAGAGCTTAGGATTGCTTCTGTGGGACTCAGCACTCCATCTGAGGTCAAAAATCTTAAGTTTGTAGGGCACCAAATTGCAAGGTTTTCTAATTGTACCCAGCGGCCATCAGCAGGAAGGGGTGACCTGGGAAAAATGATAGATGGATTAATAGAAGATGTGGTGACTTGTAGAGCAGATGGAAGGGAGAGTTTTGAGGATGTAAGTAAGAGAATGGGAAGGATTTAAATTATGGGGTGAGGATAATGAATGTGAAGAAAAGAATCAAGAACCTGAGGAGTGACTTGGGGGGTCTCCTCTAAATTGCCTGTTCAAATAAGTTGCCCATTTTCTCCTACTGGTAGTTTGACCTTTTCTTATTGATTTGTGGGGTACTGATCCTTTGCTATATGTCTTGTGAATATTCCTGTATCGTAAATTAAGGAGTGAGAAGGTAGAGGGATGAAAGTTGTGATTAGAGAACCTGAAATTCTGGCTGAAATCCCAGTTTGTGGGAATGGGTTGCTGAAGTGGAATGAAGATGAAATTCATTGACTTTAAGAAAAGCAAAAAATGTTGTAACCAGAGTTGGATGGGCTGTACATATGAATTCTCAGGTCATTCATAATGAAACCTGGACTTTGCTGGAGTAGAAAATTGTTAAGATGAGTGCCAAAGTCTTACATTCATTAGGAGTGGAGATGGGAGAGACAGTTTGGTAGATTCTTTGTATCCAGATGAAATGCATCTCAGAGGAAGAGGGACTGATATCCTGGTGGAAGCATCATGGCCTGGAGAGGAAGATAGGCCTAGGAGAATATGTAAACAGCTGGCCTGTAGCCTCATAGGCTTGGGATATGACGGGAAAAGGAGCCACTTCCATTTGAAGGGTCTGACGTAGAAGTAGTGTCTGTAAGGCAAAGACAGGTTTGAGTTACTCTTTTGTAAAGTCTCTATGTACTCATGAGAGTACAGGTGAGGCCTGTACAGGTGAGATTAGGGGTCAAGAAGAGTTAGATGCAGCAAGCGGCCTTCACATTTCCTTGATAAATGAGTTGCACAAAAATCTGTTGAAACCCCATTTCATGCTTTTTATCTCTTATAAACTTAGTCATAGATAATTTGGCTTTAGTGGACCAGAATTATCTGTTCTACATTTATATGTTGCCTCCTTTTTCCAATTGCAGGTTGGATGAGGTTTCAACCAGGAAAAGGAGAAAAAACAGTACCTGTCAGCATATTGCATAATAATACATTTTAAACCAGAGAGCAGATTGAAAGAGTGTTATCTGAAATTCTACCTTACAAAATTTTAGGTCCCCCAGCTGAGTGTTTCATTAAACATATTTCCTGTGGGGCTCCATTTTGAATCTTGGACCTTCTTTCAGTAGCTGTTCATTTAGCAAAGCCGGTAAGTCACACAGCAAGTGTTAGGAACAAACATTCCTAACACTTAGCACACAGAGAGAATAGTACATTATCCGGCTTTAACAGATGATCAAATAGACGGATTCTATTCTAGAGTTTTGCTTATTGTAGTTGACACTAGCAAACTTTCTTAGGAAGTGAAATTAGGTCAAATATGAAAATGGACCAGGTTTCTTTATAGTTATATTTTTTCTTATTCCAAATGTCACCAATAATATCAGAAAATTAATCTTTCCCTATACTAATAGAATTTTGGCTCTGTTAATAATATGATTTTTTTAAGATTAGAGACCAGAGCATTTTATAAGAGTAAATAATACCAATATTGTAAAAAATAATCAACAGGAAAATGGAATTCCTAAAAAACAGATTCACATATTTACAGGCAATATTTTAGTCCATCTCCAATTCAATTTAAGACCCTAACCTCAGGATTTTCTTCAGAGAAACATTTTTGTTCCTTTTAATGGTAGCACCATCTTCTCATTGTCCAGGCTTACAGTATTACCACTACATTTGACACCTGCTACAGTTTAACAATATGTGTCCCTCTGAGATTCATATGTTGAAACTTAAATTCCAAAGTGATGGTGTTAAAAGGTGGGGCCTCTAGGAGACAATGAGGCCATGAGGGCAGAGACCTCAGGGATGGGATTGGTGCTCTTATAAAGACTGAGGGAGAGAGTTTGTCCATTTTTGCCCTTCTGCCCTCTGTCATGTGAGAACACAGTTGTGCCTTACTCCATATAAAGATGCAGCAAAGGACGCCATCTTAGAGGAAAGCAAGCTCTCACCAGACATTGAATCTGCTGGGGCCTTGATCTAGGACTTTCCAGCCTCCAGAACTATGAGCAATAAACTTCTGTCATTTATAAATTACCCTGAGGTATTTTGTTATAGCAGTAGAAATGCAGTAAGGCAACAACTTCTCTCCACTTGCTACTCGTATTTAAGCTGTCAAATCCTGTATATCTCAACAAGGATTAGATCTTTTATATGTTTATATTTTTCTCACCATTTTCATTTGCATAACCTGAATTCAGGCCTTCATTTTCTCTGGCTAAAACCATAGCAATAGTCCCCTTAATGTATCATTGCTTTACATTATTTCCTTATTTAATTTATTTTACACATCATTTTCTACAGATTCAAATTCAAACAATTTACTATTTACTCATTCAACAAATATTCACTGAGGCCGAATAGGTGACAGGCACTGTTCCAGGTTCCTGGCTTACAGTTATGAATTTTCAGCAAGGTCCTGTGGAGTTTACATTCTAACAGGGAAAGAGACATCAGATCTTAAATGAGTAGACAAATACATGGAAAGTAACTGATATGGTTTGGCTGTGTCCCCACCCAAATCTCATCTTGAATTGTAGTTCCCATAATCCTCACATGTCATTGAAGGGACCCATGGGAGGTAATCAAATCATGGGGACAGGTTTTTCCCCTGCTGTTCTTGTGATAATGAATAAGTCTCATGAGAGCTGATGGGTTTATAAAGGGCAGTTCTCCTGCACATGCCCTCTTATTTGTTGCCATGTAAGATGTGCCTTTGCTCCTCCTTCACCTTCCACCATAATTGAGAGGCCACCCCAGCTATGTAGAACTGTGAGTTTATTAAAGTTCTTTTTCTTTATAAATTACCCAGTTTCGGGTATGTTTTTATTAGCAATGTGAGAACAGACTAATACAGTAACTTTCGAAAAATAATAAGGGCTAGGAAGAAAATGAAAAAGAGTGATGTGAAGAAGCATGACTAAGTGGGTTGAGAGGAAGGTTTACTGTGAAGCTGATGAAGCTCAAGATAAAGAGCCCTTCAATTGCAAAGACCCTTTCTTCAGCCTTAGTGGAACCCTAGAAATGTGTTTGCATGGTCATATTTACTAAAGTAAGATATTTTACTCCAGCTGGTTACATTGATGTCTCATTCCATTCTGACCACTTAAAGAGGGCCCTAAAACTATTTAAATTTTGGGGCCAATCCTGGGTAGGGGACTAAATAGATTTGTTGAACAAAAAGAGCCTTACTGAAGGAGAACATAGTGACAGGATATAGTAGCCATTTGAAGAGACTTGGCCAGAGTTTTCTAGGTAGAGGAAATAGCAAAGGAAGGGTCCTGAGCAGAACTTAGCTTGAACCTGTGTTTCTGAGGCTGAGTGAGGAGGAGAATGGTGAGAAATGAGCTAGGGAGGTAACCAATGGCCAGGCATGCAGAGGTTTGCAGACGTCATAAGAAAGCTGGACTTCATTCCAACTGCAATGTGAAGCTGATCAAAGGTTTTCATGGGTGTTACACAATATAGTTTAACTTAAAAATATTATTTTGGCTTCTCTGTGGAAGGAGATTGAGGAGGAATGGCAGCAGGGCAAGCAGTTAGCATGCCAAGGCAGTATCAGCAAGAGATTAGGTCTCGGTAGTCTAAGTCAGTGAATTAGAGGCAGATATTCTAGGTATGTTTTCAGGGGAAAATGGGCAGGAATTCTCAATGTATTTGAAATGGAGGTGAGGGACTCTTTTTTTTTTCTTTCTTTTTTTTTTTTTTTTGACCAGAGAAGTAGATAATGGTATCATTTATTAAGAAGAAAATTAGGAGTACAGATGTTTAGGGGCATGTGGAGTAAAAAAATCTATTTTTACTATGTTGAAGGTATTATTACTATTGGCTATTCAAGACAACAGCAAGGAAGCAGCTGGATATTAACTTTTTAAAATAGAATTTTTAAAATATAATTTATTTTTTAGTACAATTTTAGGTTTATGGCAAAATTAGGTGGGAGGTACAGAGATTGTCCATATACCTCCTGCTCCACACATGCGGAGCCTCCCCCATGACAAAAACCCCACATCAGAGTAGTACATTTGTTACAATCAATGAACCTGGATATTGAATTTGGAGATCAATGAAGAGGCTGACCAAAGATATAATGTGCTACTTAATACCATGAGATTGGATGACCACCCAGAGACAGTGTATTAGGAATAGAAATCATTCAAATCTCTCCACAATCTGCACTATTTCTTTTATGCTATGATCTTTTTAAACGAACTCTTTTAAAATTCTCAATATTTTGACATCTAAACAAAAACATTCTTACATTTGGTTTCTTTTCTTCTCTACACATCCAAATTCTAGATGTCCTTCAAGGTCTAGCTCAAACATTTCCTTCTCCATGAGTTTATCTTGAGCTTCTGTCCCCAAACAAGTACTCCTTCCTGTGAATGCACATAGGACTTTATCTGCACCCTCACTTTCTACCTGGCCTTACGATGACTTACAGTGTTTTCCTTTATCTCTTAATAATCTTTGTTTCTGGAACACAGGGTCTAGGCCCTTTTCATGGTCCAAAAAATCTGGTCTGCCTTGCACATAATAGAAAGGGAAAAAGTCATACTGAAACACTATTAGTCAGCAAAACTAAGTGAAAGCCCTTATCTAGTATGAAATTTCTTGATATTTGCTTTTGTATAGTATCAATACAGAGTTCTACCTAGGATCCTAAAATTCCTTTATGGTGATGGTGATTGTTTATTAAGCACTCACTCTGTATCAGGAACAAGATTTCCAGTCTTAAAAATGTTTTCTGGAGCACATATATATATATCCATATATATTCCATATATATATATATATATCCATATATATTCCATATATATATATCCATATATATTCCATATATATATATATCCATATATATTCCATATATATATATATCCATATATATTCCATATATATATATATATATATATGGAAATAGCCTTCTGCTTTCAAAAAGCAGAATGTTTTAATTTTGATGAAGTCTAGTTTATCATTTTCCTTTAATATTCTGTGCTTTTTGCATTCTAGGTAATATTTGCCTTTCCTAAGCTCACAAAATTTTCTCCTTTCTTGCACAGAATTTGCAGTTTTATCTTTTATTTTTGGTATATAGTCAATTATGAGTTAATTTATGTCTAAGGTATAAAATAAGTGTTGATTTAGTTTTTTCCACATGAATATCTTATATTAAATATATTAAATATATGTATTTAATAGGAGCATAAACTACTTTTTTATTAGTTTAAATATTTAGCAATAGGTATATACATGTTGAGTTTCAAAGGTTTAAAAAAATCGCATTTATTGAGGTATAATTTATGGGTGCAGTTTAAGATCTTTGGTCTGCTTTCTATTACTATAGAAAATATTTACCTTTCTTGAAGAATTTCATATAGATGGAATCATGCAGCATGTACTGTTTAGTTTCTTGCTTCTTTTGCTCAGCATAATATTTTGGGAATTCATCCTTGTTGTTATGTATATTAGTAAAATTTTCCTTTACATAGTAGGGATATATCATATATCCACATACTCATTGAATATTCAGGTTGTTTCCAGATTTGGGCTTGCATTAATCTTCTATTGCTGTGTGGTACAGTGCCCAAAATGTAACAACTTAAAGCAACACACATTTGTTATTTCACAGACTTCTGGGTTAGGAATCTGGGCACAGTTTAGCTGGGTCTTCTGCAAGGCTGCGAACAAAGCTTCATCCAGATGAGACGGATGAAGGATTCTCTTTTAAATTCACTCAGATTGTTGGCAGAACTCATTTCCTGGGGGCTGCAGAAGGTATGATGGCTTGCTTCTTAGATGCCTGAAGTGAAAAGCAATACCTTCTGTAGGGAGAGTTCAATCAAGACAGAATCTCATATAACCTTAAGTAATCACAGGAGTGATATTGCAGCACTTTGCTACCTTCCATTGGTTAGAAGCAAGCTACCGGTTCCACCCACACTCAAGGGAAGGGAATTATACTAGTCATAAACACCAGGAGATGGGAACCAAGGGGCCCCATAGAAGTCCATGGTCACAAGGCTATTCCAAGTAAATTTGTTATGAATGTATGTGTACAAGATTTTGAGTACACATATGTTTTTGTTTCTTTTGGATAAACACTCAAGGGTGGAAATGCTGATATATGTGGTAAAAGTATATTTAACCTTTTAATAAACTGCCAAGCTATTTTTGAGAGCAATTGTACCATTTTAAATTCAAACCAAAATGTATAAGATTTCCAGTTGTTCCATATTATCACCAACATTTGGTATTGTCAATTTCTTTAATGTTAGCCATTCAAGTGGGTGTGTAGTAGTATCTTATTATGGTTTTACTTTGCATTTCCTTAAAAACTGCCAATGTTGACCATCTTCTCATGTGTTTATTGGCCATTCATATATTTTCTTTTGTGAACGTCTATTTAAATATTTTAGCCTTCTTTTTCTTGGCTTATTTGCTCTTACATATTCTTGATACAAGCCATATGTCAGAGATATATATTCTGTGAATATTTTCTCCAGTTTGTTGCTTTCCAAAAGCAGAAGGTTTTAATTTTGATGAAGTCTAGTTTATCATTTCCCTGTAATATTCTGTGCTTTTTGTATTCTAAGTAATATTTGCCTTTCCTAAGCTCACAAATTTTTTCCTAAGTTTTCTTGTACAGAATTTGTAGTTTTATCTTTTATGTTTGATATATAGTCAACTACAAGTTAATTTATTTCTAAGGTGTAAAGTAAGTGTTGATTTAAAATGTTTTCATATGATTATCTAGTTGATTTGGCACATTTTTTGATAAGACTATTCTTTTCTTGTTTAATTATCTTGCTCCCTTGGCAAAAATTAATTGACCATATGTCCACGAATCTCTTTATTCTGTTCCATTTACTCTAATGACAAAACCACTCTTCTGGCTACTGTAATTCTACAGTAAGTTTTCAAATCAAGTGTTCTAAGTCTTCTGACTTTGTTTTCCACTTTTAAGTTACATTAGCTACTCTACGTCCTTTTTATTTTTATATTATTTAAATACAATTTGAGAGTCATCTTGTCAATTTTGCAAAAAAACTGGATTTAGATTTTGAATGGGATTGTGTTGAATCTATAGATCAATTTGGGAAGAATTAATGACTTAGGAATATTCGGTGTTCAAATCTATAAACATGGCATTTCTCTTAATTTACTTTGTTTACTCAAATCTTTAATTTTTCTTGGTGATGTTTTATAACTTTAAATGTAAAATTCCTGCACATATTTTTTGTTAAATTTATACTTAAGTTTTTGTGGTTTTGGATGTCATTGAAATGGTATTTTTACTTAAATATTCAATTTATCATATTATTTACCAAGATACAATTTATTTTTATGAATTAGTTTGTGTTTTGGCAAGGTTTTTAATTCTGAGTTTTAATAATTTGTATCTTTTAAGATATTTATTTCATCTAGCTTTTCACATTTATTGATATAAAGTGGTTCGTAATATTCTATTATTATCTTTTAATATCTAGGGTCTGTAATAATATCCTTTATTTCTCAAATTGATAATTTTGATTATTCTTACTTCAAAAAATTAACTTTTATTAATTTTCTATATTATCAGTTCACTTTCTATTTATTCTCCCCACTTAATTATTGTTTTTATTCTATTTAATTTTTTAGATTCCTAAAGTTGAAGCATAGATCATTGCTACTGTATCTTTTTTCCTCTGATATAAACATCTTATATTTATGGCTCAGTTATAGGGAATGTTCTATTAAATTCTGTATTGGTTTTTGGGTACAGTGTCATATTAAATATCGTTTAGATCAAGTTGGTTGACAGTGTTGGTTAAGCCTAGTAGAACCATATGATTTTCTCTCTACTTTTTTCTTTAAATTACTGAGAAAAAATGGTGAAATATCTGTGTCTGTGCCAGTTCTATCAGTTTTTACTATGACAATTTTGAAGCTTCATTATTAGGTGCACATGTATTCTGAATGTTTTGTTTTCTTGATGAATTAGGCTTGTATCTTTAGGAAGTGTTCCTGTTTGTTCTTAGTAACTTTCCTTGTTCTGAAGTTCACTTTGCCAGATGTTAATATTGGCAGTCCTAGATTTCCAATTACTAGTGTTTGCTGCATGGTATATATTCTTCCATCTTTTAATTTTTGACCAAATTGCATTGTTACATTTAAAATGAGTTTCTTACAGACAGTATAATCAGGTTTTGCTCTTTTTTTCCAACTTGATAGTGTCTTTCTTTTAATTGTGGTTTAAATCATTTAAAGTTATTATTAAATAACAAGCAAAAACACACCAAGGTCTATCATGATTAAATCTCTTAAAACCACTCAGAAAGAGAAACTTTTAAAGTAACCATAAGGAGGAAAAAGCCTATGATGTACAGATATAAGCAATACAGGAGATTCCTATTAGAAACTATAAAATCCAGAAGATAATGAGACAACACCATTAAAGTGCTAAAAGAAGAAAAAATAACCTAGAAATCTGTCAAATATGAAGTTAAAATAAAAGTCTGTTTTTCAGACAAACAAAGGAAAGAATTTATCACTACCACACCTGCATTACAAAAGATATGAAGGAAAGTTTTTTAAACAGAAGGAAAATAATAGTGTATTGGAGGAAAGGTGGAGCTACATAAAGGAATGTAGAGTGACAGAAATAATAATTAAGTAGATAAGTAAAAAATCTTTTCTAACTTTTAACTTATTTAAAACATAATTAATTGCTTTAAAAATAAAGCTGGCCAGGCGTGATGGCTCACGCCTGTAATCCCAGCACTTTGGGAGGCCGAGGCAGGTGGATCATGAGGTCAGGAGATCGAAACTATCCTGGCTAACATGGTGAAACCCCGTCTCCACTAAAAATACAAAAAATTAGCTGGGTGCGGTGGTGGGCGCCTGTAGTCCCAGCTACTCGGGAGGCTGAGGCAGGAGAATGATGTGAACCCGGGAGGCGGAGTTTGCAGTGAGCCGAGATCGTGCCACTGCACTCCAGCCTGGGCCAAAGAGCGAGACTCCGTCTCAAAAAAAAAAAAATAATAATAATAAATAAAGCTGATTTAGCATGAGGCTTACAACCTGTGTAGAAGTAATATATATGATAACTATACCGCAAAAGATGATAGGGATACAATGGAAGTATAATGTTATAGCATTTTTATGTCACATATTAAATGGTACACTGTTATTTGAAAAATGATTGCAATAAGATAAAGTCGCATATTGTAAATCCTGGCAAAAACCAAGGGTTAAAGAAATAAAACAAAGAGTAATAGCTAATAAGCCAACAGTGAGAATACAATGAAATTTTTTAAATATGCTCAATCAAAAGAAGACATAGAGGGCAAAAAAGAATAAATAGTAGATAACTGTATAACCCACAAACTTCAGCCACTTTGATGTTTAACTCCAAACTCTGTCTTTTCAAAATTCTCTGCTTAGCCTTTTTAGCTATGCTATAGTCTGGAAAATATCTCTAGGTAAAACGCTGGAGCAGTTATATAATTCACCTCACTTGTTTTTATCCTCTCAGAGATCACAGTCCTGTGCTGGCCTGTTGTCCAGTGTTTGAAAATAGGTGTTTCATATGTTTTGTTTAGTTTTAAAATTGTTTATTCTGGAAAGATATATCCAGACCTTGTTTCTCCATTATGGATGGAAGTAGGCTTTTGATACCTGAACAATATTTTTGAACTAAGGTTTTTAATGCCAGAACTTCTCTAAACTGGAGATTCTTAATAGGGCATTTATTTAGTATGTGCCAGGCATTGTAACTAACATGTAATGTTCTTTGGTCTTCTCTTGAATCTTATCATGTTGGTACTATTCTTGTCCCCATCTTATAGATGAAAAAATGGGAGAAGTTAAGTACTCTGCCTAAGGTCCCACAGCTGGTAAATGGCATAGGTGGATCTCAAACCCAGGACTGCCTACACTAGTTTGTACTCCTAACCACTACTGTCATTATATATTGGGTTTGACTTACTGCTTTGGGCATGTCTTAGAAGGGGAAGAAGTGACCTTTAAAATTATTTACAATAAAGAAACAGGCTGTATTCAAAGTTACCCCTCTCTTGCTTTCTTTATATTATGATATATTTTTCTGAGGGGCATATGAGAAGTCATGTTATATCTAGGAGTCAATGAGGGTTACACTGAAATTTTTCCTGTCCATAAGCCTCATCTTTCATTAGCGACCTCTGGAAAATTGTTGTGAACAACTGCTATGAACTAGAAGTGCTATGAATGCTTAATAAGAGATACACAGCTTAAAGAATGATAGATAAAAACTGAAAATACAAAGCAACCTAACCAAATGGCCAAAAGTACTGCACTAGGTAATGGTGTCAAATTAAATGTGGGCACACTCTTATTTATTACATAAGTTGCTTTCTTTTTCCTCCTGAAAATACAGATTGAAATTTGCCTTTCTCTTTCTTAAAACTTCCTTTTTTACTCTTGAGTATCAAATTTTCATTAGACTTGAGACAGTCATTTTTATAGACCTGTCCTTAAGGTCAAAATAAAACTTTTCTGTTTGTGGTTTTTAACAGGTAGCGAAGTGGCAGTAAACAAAATTAAGATTTTAGCCATGGTAGTTCTTTTTGTGTAACTATGTCTTCCTCTTTTTATTAAATTTAAAGCCCTTTGACAATAGTCCTATGACCCTACTAAAAGCTTACTAAGACTGCATTCAGTTTTCTGTAAAGTAAAAGTGTCTTCATATAGGTAGTCCACCAAGCACTGGGCTGAGGGTCTAGGGTGAATTTTCAAAGACAGGATCATAGTTTAGAGCTGTAAATGGAATTTAAATGTTTTTGCAGCTGGAAACTGTCTGTGTGCAGTTTACGTCATGTGGCCCAACTCAAGGCTTCAGTAAACGGGTCTGTCCTTCCCAAGGTTTATCTGTGGTCATGATATCCCACAAATAAAATATAAATGGTATTAAGGTGCTTTGAAATGTACCCCATCTGGCTATAGTCCTGGGAGCTAAATGAAAAAAAAATGTTGAAGAGAGTAGAAATTCAGCATTTTTGTTATGCTCAATGGATTTTCTTTAAGACACTTGCCCTAATGGTGTTAATGGATTCTAATGTACCCTTATCTTTATAAGGTCCTTTCACTTAAAAAAAAAGTACAACCATTAAGGAAATTAAACATGAGTAGGTGAGCAGGGGCTGGGGCAAAGAACAGGGCAGCTTTGCATTTCTGTTTTTTTGCATTGCCTTGTATAGGTTTTCATAAGTATTTTGTTCAAAAAGCAACTCTAATGCAAGTATCAAACTCTAAATAGAACAAATACCTTGATTTGCAATTTTTCATATGAAAACAGGTTTGTACATTTTTTCTCTGTGATTTTCTTATGCTCTCAGATTCTATTTAATATGCCTGGAATTAATAAATTAATATTGTGTATAATTATATGTAAATATTTCATTATATATTAATGTTTTAAATATATTTATTACATGTAATTAGACATGTTTCTGCCTGCTACTTAATATATTGTATGTTTTACATTTGTACTTTTTTTCTGTACTGGGTATTCTCTAAATACAAATACACGCATGCACAAACATACACTTTCCACACTCATTTTCTGTATTTGTATAAGCCACCATGAACAATTTGGGGGAAAGAGGAAATTAATGAGTTAATGAAGTAAACAAAAGAAATACATTAAATAACAGCCTAAGTACGTGACAGCCTCCACTTTAATTGGCCCAGTCTTTAATAACCATGCATATGAAGTAGTGGGAGGAAAAGCAAGGCAGAAGTGCCATATACATCCAAACAACAGCACAAATGATGAAAAGGGTAAAGTGCAAATACATTTCGATTTTAATGTTACTTAACTCTTTTAGTGCCCTAGAGAAGAAATATTGAGTTCAACCAAAGGATACTGTCTGAAACCATCCAGAACTGACCCTCTAATTGCTCTGAGGGAAGCAGAATGACTCACAGAGGAGAGATCGCAGGCTGCACGGGCCATTGGCCTGGGAGGGGTTAAGCAACTTTATCCGATCTTCAGCTATTTTACTTAACAATTAATGACCTACAGTCTGGACAAGTTAAAAGCTAGAAGTGAAGCCAGGACTCCTTGAGACTCCAGCTGGCATTAAGTGACAAGAAATAATTCAGAGGCCAGACAAAGCTGTTATTATGAGCCATTGGCGAGGAAGAAAATGAAATTTTTAAACGGGGGAAAAATGATGAAGAATACAAGGTAGAACTCAGCAGCAATGTTATGTTGTTTTTTCAGCAAATTAAACCTCAGTTTTTAAGTCTTTTTGCTTTCATTGTTAAATTTGATAAAATTTCAATTATAGAAAATTTTAATACTGTTAATGAAAGTGGTGATAAATAACAGTATCCATGAAAAATTTATAGTGCCTGCAAAGTAAAAGATGATGATCAATTATTTTTCATTGACATTTCAACAAAAAGCCATGTGACATCTATTGATTACATTCTTTGGAAATGGTGCCAGTTGTCTTTTCAGCAGAAAAAATAATCTTGATGTATTTTCTTGCTATCTTTTTAGAAAAACATTCTAATCTCATAGCTTATTTAATGGGTTCTGAAAATTACCAAATTGTAACAGATAAAAACTAGTGAGTCTAGACATTAATGTTAGTCATTAATGTTAGTCTGAATGTTAGATCAATGTTATTGGGAGGAATAAAAGGTCTCTAAAAACCCTAGGATTGTAAAATGCTTATCTGAATTTTATATACCAATATTATAGGGAATGGAATATCTATTAAACTAAGTCTAAAAAGTAACAGAAAAAGTGCTAATTGTAGCACTCTGGGGACCTCCAGTACAGACAAGATATAAATAAATTGATGTAGACAGAGATAGGCTATGTTGTTCTAAGTCTTGGATATGCAGGAATCTCCAAAATCGGCAATTAGATGACTTTGGGGCTACTATGTGCATCTGCCATCACAATCCACCAATTAAACTTATAATTGCCAGTTGTATCAGTAAACTAAATGCAGCATAGAAAAACTTCACTTTTGTGATCATGGTATCTCCCCTGCCAGGTAAGTATATGTGGCACATATACTCCATGGAATACTATGCAGCCATAAAAAATGATGAGTTCATGTCCTTTGTAGGGACATGGATGAAATTGGAAATCATTCTCAGTAAACTATCACAAGGAGAAAAAACCAAACACCACATGTTCTCACTCATAGGTAGGAATTGAACAATGAGAACACATGGACACAGGAAGGGGAACATCACACTCTGGGGACTGTTGTGGGGTGGGGGGAGGGGGGCAGGATAGCATTAGGACGTATACCTAATGCTAAATGACGAGTTAATGGGTGCAGCACACCAGCATGGCACATGTATGCATATGTAACTAACCTGCACATTGTGCACATGTACCCTAAAACTTAAAGTATAATAATAATAAAATAAAAAAAGAAAAATATATCTTGCTAAACATATGCAAGGGTTTTTTGGGGGGTATATATTTAGGAGAAGAAAGGCTTAGTTTACTCCAGATGATAATGTCAAACAGATTCCTAAAGTAGTTAAAACATTTAGATTCCTATAAGTTATATTAAATTTAGATGGAAGATGTAAAAATCACATCTTCTTCAATCCTTGAAATATCTAAAATAAACAAATGTATATATTCACAACTAAAAAAAAAAAGAAAAACTTCACTTTCTGAGGGGTCTTGATTGTAAAAGTACATAAGAAGGTATATAGACTCTAGAATATTAAAAAGACAAATGCAAGACATGAGTAGATAATATGGTGTGAATATCAATTATACATGAAGAATATGTGCATTTTAAAAACAGAAGACTGTATGGTCACATTTGGAAGGAACTGCCGTATTGGTGCCTTAGTATTGACATACTCGGTTAAAAGCAAAAGCCCATCCAAAAGCATGTAATAAGAAACTTGGGAGAATTGAGGAAAAATAATATCACAATATTCAAAAGACTTCATCATTTTAATCTTCCATTGTTCAACCGTTGTTTAAACCTAAAACTTGCCTCTTAAACCTGTTGCTTAACAATAATTGTTTCAAGGATTTCCTTTCAATAGTCACCTTTACCAGATTCTTGAATTTAATCTGTTTCTAGGGCAAATCCTGCATAAACACCTATTGACCCAAGTAAGACGTGGGACTCTACTGTAGTTTAGCATTTACTAGAGGGGAATCAACAGTTATGATTGCTTCTGAAACTTAAACCTGGGAGTTCTGTGGACAAATTCCCCTTGATAAGGCTGAAGTCGCTAACTATCATCAAAATTACTGATTTTAAAATTTCTCCTGGGAAGGAAAAATAGCATTAGCAATTTGAGACTCTTAACCAATGTTTTTATATCACAGTATATTTAGTGTCAACATTTCCCAGAAGACAGTTTACTTATATTGCTAAATGGTGAAACATGAATGCTTGCAAATTCCTCTGAAAGAGCTCTCTCTGACTGTGGTTGCTCATTCTTGATGGGATAGGGTCTGAATTTCTGAGTACAGTGTAAGTCACCTGGTGTCCCAGCCAAACTCAATGAAGATTGAATGGCCTCTCCTCATCTCTCTGACGCCATCTATTTCCATTAACCAAAGTACCCTGAGATTCTCTCCAGGGGAAAGAAAATGGATATTTGGGGCCTGGGAGAAAATTCAACCTGGAGGAAAAAAAGTTGGCATGAATAACTAGATCAGCCACAGGGTCAGTGATTGTTTCAGAGACAGTGTTCTGGCTATTACCTGAACTGCACATTTTCTTGCCACAATAATGATAACGCTATGTTCTGGAGGAAGGAAATCTACTTTAAAAAGTTAAAAGAACCCTACCAGCTGAAGTTCTAAGTAGCCTTGCGATGGGGCTTTTTTTTTTTTTTTTTTTAAAGAGCTTAACAACAGAGAAAAAGGAGAGTTTCTTTATCCATTTTGAGTTGAGGTTGACCTGAGCAGAGCTCTTTAGTTTAATTAGGTCCCATTTGTCAATTTTTGCTTTTTTCGCAACTGCTTTTGGAGTCTTTGTCATGAAATTTTTGCCCATGCCTATGTCCTGAATGGTATTGCCTAGATTTTTTTCTGGGATTTTTATAGTTTTGGGTTTTACATTTAAGTCTTTAATACATATATTGTTGATTTTTGTATACGGTGTAAGGAAGGGGTCCAGTTTGACATATTACTGACAGTGTGACAGTAGTATGACAGTAGTAGAGTCACTGGTGACAGTGACCTACACAGAAGAATGTGACTTGGAGGCCCAATGACAACTATGGGATGTGGCAGCCTGAAACATATCAGCTATGCATGTGGAATGGTAGGAACGTATCTATACAATACCAAAGTGGCTGTAGCCCCAGGGAATTACGGAATGATTGAAAGAAGAAATTTTATTTGTTTTATTCAATCCTGTTTCACCAACAACCAGCACTGGGTCATACAAATAGTAGCTACTCAAATTATATTTCTTGAATGAATAAATAAATGACAAGAATCAATGGCCATGGAGACATAAAAGGGGACAATCACCTGGGAGCTAATTCTTTTTTTTTCTAATAATTCTTTTTTAAAATTTTAAGTTCAGGGGTATATGTGCAGGATGTGCAAGTTTGTTACATACATAAATGTGCGCCATGTTGGTTAGCCGCACAGATCATCCCATCACTTAGGTATTAAGCCCAGCACACATTAGCTATTCTTCCTGATGCTCTTTCTCCTCCCCCTACCCTCTGACAGATCCAGGTGGGTGTCGCTCCCCTCTCCATATGTCCATGTGTTTTCATCATTCAGCTACCACTTATAAGCGGGAACATGAGGTATTTGGTTTTCTGTTCCTGTGCTGGTTTGCTGAGGAGAATGGCTTCCAGCTCCATCCATGTCCCTGCAAAGGATATGATCTTGTTCCTTTTTATGGCTGCATAGTATTCCATGGTGTATATGTACAATATTTTCTTTATCTAGTCTATCATTGATGGGCATTTAGGTTGATTCTATGTCTTTGCTATTGTGAATAGTGCTGCAATGAACATACACATGCATATATCTTTATAATATAATGATTTATATTTTGGGGGGTATATACCCAGTAATGGGATTGCTAGGTCAAATGGTATTTCTGCCTCTAGGTCTTTGAGGAATTGTTACACTGTCTTCCACAACTGTTGAACTACTTTATGCTCCCACTAACAGTGTAAAAGAATTCCTTTTTCTCCACAACCTCACCAGCATGTGTTGTTTTTTGACTTCTTAATAATAGCCATTATGATTAGTGTGAGGTGGTATATCATTGTGGTTTTGATTTGCATTTCTCTAATAATTAGTGATGTTGAGCTTTTTAGAATATGTTTGCTGCCTGCATGCATGTGTTCTTTTGAGGAGTGTCTGCTCATGTTCTTTGCCCACTTTGTAATAGTGTTTTTTTTCTTCTTGTAAATTTGCTTAAGTTCCTTGTAGACTCTGGATATTAGACCTTTGTCAGATGGATAGATTGCAAAAATTTTCTCCCATTCTGTAGGTTGTCTGTCCACTCTAATGATAATTTCTTTTGCTGTGCAGAAGCTCTTTAGTTTAATTAGATTCCATTTGTCAATTTTTGCTTTTGTTGCAATTGCTTTTGATGATTTCATCATGAAACTTTTGCCATGCCTATGTCCTGAATGGTATTGCCTAGTTTTCTTCTAGGGTTGTTATAATTTTGGGTTTTACATTTGAGTGTTTAATCCATCTCAAATTGATTTTTGTATATGGTATAAGGAAGGGGTCCAGTTTCAATTTTCTGCATGGGTCTAGCCAGTTCTCCCAGCACCATTTATTAAATAGGGAATCCTTTCTCTATTGTTTGTTTTTGTCAGGTTTGTTGAAAATCAGGTGTTTGTAAGTGTGTGATCTTATTTCTGTGTTCTCTATTCTGTTCCACTGGCCTATATGTTTGTTCTTGTATCAGTACCATCCTGTTTTGGTTACTTTAGACTTGTAGTATAGTTTGAAGTCAGGTAGCATGATGCCTCTAGCTTTGTTCTTTTTGCTTAGGATAGTCTTGGCTATTCAGGATTTTTGGTTCCATATGAATTTTAAAATAGTTTCTTCTAATTCTGAGAATAGTATCAATGGGAATAGCAATGAATCTATAAATAGCTTTGGGTAGTATGGCCATTTTTACCACATTGATTCTTCCTATTCATGAGCATGAAATGTTTCTCCATTTGTTCATGTCATCTCTAATTTCTTTGAGAAGTGGTTTATAGTTCTCTTTGAAGAGGTCCTTTACTTCCCTTCTTAGACGTATTCCTAGGCATTTTATTCTTTTTGTGGCAATTGTGAGGGGGAGTTAATTCATGATTTGGCTCTCTGCTTGCCTGTTGTTGATGTATAGGAATGCTAGCAATTTTTGCACATTGATTTTGTATCTTGAGACTTTTCCAAAGTTGCTTATCAGCTTAAGAAGCTTTTGGGATGACACAATGGGGCTTTCTAGATATAGGATCATGTCATCTGCAAACAAAGAGAGTTTGACTTCCACTCTTCCTGTTTGGATGCCCTTGATTTCTTTCTCTTGCCTGATTGCCTCAGCCAGAATTTGCAACATTATGTTCAACAGGAGTGGTTAGAAAAGGCAAACTTGTCTTGCACCAGTTTTCAAGGGGAATGCTTCCAGCTTTTGCCCATTGAGTATATTGGTTGGGGGTTTGTCATATATGGCTCTTATTATTTTGAGGTATGTTCCTTCAATACCTAGCTTATTAAGAGTTTTTAACATGAAGGGATGTTGAATTTTATCGAAGGTCTTTTCTACATCTATTGAGATAATCATGTGGTTTTTGTCATTAGATCTGTTTATGTGATGAATCAAATTGATTTGCATATGCCAAACCAACCTTGCATGCCGGGGATGAAGCCTGCTTGATTGTGGTGGATAGGCTTTTTGATGTGCTTCTAGCTTAAATTTGCCAGTATTTTGTTGAGGATTTTTGCACTGACTTTCATTTAAGTTATTGGCCTGAAGTTTTCTGTTTTTGTTGTATAATATCTTTGCCAGGTTTTGGTATCAGGATGATGCTGGCCTCATAGAATGAGTTAGTGAGGAGTCCCTTCTTTTTAAATTTTTAGAATAGTTTCAGTAGAAATGGTACCAGCTCTTCTTTCTACCTCTGGTAGAGTTCAGCTGTGAATCCATCTGGTCCTGGGCTTTTTTGTTGTTGTTGTTGGTAGGCTATTTATTACTGCCTCAATTTCAGAACTCATTACTGGTCTACTCAGGGATTCAATTTCTTCCAGGTTCAATCTTGGGAGGGTATATTTGTCCAGGAATTTATTCATTTCTTCTAGATTTTGTAGTTTGTGTGTAATGAGGTGTTTATAGTATTCTCTGATGGTTTTTGTATTTCTGTGAGGTCAGCAGTGATATCGCCCTTATCATTTCTGATTGTGTTTATTTGAAATTTTTTCTCTTTCCTTCTTTATTAATCTAGCTAGCAGTCTATCTATTTTATTATTAAAAAAACAGTTACAGGATTCGTTGATTGTTTTTGAAGGGTTTTTTGTGTTTTATCTCCTTCAGTTCAGCTCTGATCTTGGTTATTTCTTGTCTTCTGCTGGCTTCAGGGTTTATTTGCTCTTGGTTCTCTAGTTATTTTAGTTGTGATGTTACATTGTTAACTTGAGATCTTTCAAACTTTTTGATGTGGGCATTTACTGCTATAAATTACCCTCTTAACTCTGCTTTAGCTGAGTCCCAGAGATTCTAGTACATTGTCTCTTTGTTCTCATTAGTTTCAAAAAACTTCTTGATTCCTGCCTTAATGTCATTATGTACCCAAGAGTTACTCAGGAGCAGATTGTTCAGTTTCCATGTAGTTGTGTGGTTTTGAGTGAGTTTCTTCATCTTTAGTTCTACTTTGATTGCACTGTGGTATGAGAGACTCTTTGTTATGATGTCAGTTCTTTTGCATTTGCTGAGGAGTGTTTTACTTCCCATTAGGTGATCAATTTTAGAGTAAGTGCCATGTGGCAATAAGAAGAAAGTCTATTCTGTCATTTTTGCATAGAGAATTCTGTGTATATCTATCAGGTCCACTTGATCCAGACTTGAGTTCAAGTCCTGAAATATTTGTTGATTTTCTGTCTTGATGTTATGTCTAATATTGTCAGTGGGGTGTTAAAGTCTTCCACTATTATTGGGTGGGATTATAAATCTCTTTGAAGTCTCTAATAACTTGCTTTATGAATCTGGGTGCTCCTGTATTGGGAGCATATATTTTTAGGACAGTTAGCTCTTCTTGTGGAATGGAATGCTTTACCATTATGTAATGCCCTCCTTTGTCATTTTTGATTCTTCTTGGTTTAAAGTCTGTTTTGTCAGAAACTAGGATTGCAACCCCTGCTTTTTTTTCTGTTTTCCATTTGTTTGGTAAATTTTCTTCCATCCCTTTATTTTGAGCCTATGTGTGTCTTTGGACATGAGATGGGGCTCTTGAAGACAGCATACTGATGGGTCTTGTCTCTTTATCCAGCTTGTCACTCTGTCTTTTAATTGGGGCACTTAGCCCATTTACATTTAAGGTTAGTGTTGTTATGTGTGAATTTGATCCTGTCATCATGATGCTAGCTGGTTATTTTGCAGACTTGTTTATGTGGTCGCTTCATAGTGCTACTGGTCTGTGTATTTCAGTGTGTTTTTGTAGTGGATGGTTATAGTTTTTCCTTTCCATATTTAGTGCTTCCTTCGGGAGCTATTGCAAGGCAGGCCTGGTGGTAATGAATTTAACCTCAGAACTTGCTTGTCTGAAAAGGATCTTATTTCTTCTTCACTTATGAAGCTTAGTTTGGCCAGATATGAAATTCTAGGTTGGAAATTTTTTCTTTAAGAATGTTGAATATTGGCCCCCACTCTCTTCTAGCTTGTAGGCTTTCTACTGAGAGGTCTGCTGTTAGTCTGATGGGCTTCCCTGTGTAGGTGACCTGGCCTTTCTCTATGGCTGCCCTTAATATTTTTTCTTTTATTTCAAACTTGGAGAATCTGAAAATTATGTGTCTTGGGGATGATCTTTTCATGGAGTATCTTACTTAAGTTCTCTGGATTTCCTGAATTTGAAGATTGGCAGTTCTTGCTAGATTGGGGGAGTTCTCCTGGATGATATCCTGAAGTATGTTTTCCAACTTTGTTCCATTCTCTCCATCTCTTTCAGATATCTCAATAAGTCATAGAGTTGGTCTGTTTACATAGTCTCATATTTCTCAGAGGTTTTATTCATTCCTTTGAATTCTTGTTTCTCTATTTTTGACTGTCTCTCTTATTTTGGAAAGAGTCTTCAAGCTCTGAGATTCTTTTCTCTGCTTGGTCTATTCTGCTATTAATACTTGTGATTGCATTGTG
The DNA here is from genome assembly GCF_000001405.40 of Homo sapiens. Lineage (NCBI taxonomy): Eukaryota > Metazoa > Chordata > Mammalia > Primates > Hominidae > Homo > Homo sapiens. Next base: position 69,215,350 of record NC_000008.11, on the reverse strand, counting down.
AAGTTCTTGTAGGGTGGTTTTTTAGCTCTAACAGGTCAATTATGTTCCTCTCTAAGTTGGTTATTTTGGCTGTCAGCTCCTGAGTTATTTGATCATGATTCTTAGCTTCTTTTCATTGGGTTACAACATGCTTCTTTGGCAAAATTTGTTGTTACCCACATTCTGAAACCTACTTCTGTCATTTCAGCCATCTCAGCCTCAGCCCAGTTCTAAGCTTTTGGTGAAGAGGTGTTGTGGTCATTTGGAGGAAAAGGGGCACTCTGGCTGTTTGAGTTTTCAGTGTTTTGCATTGATTCTTTCTCATCTTTGTAGAAATTTAAAATATACTTGGTGCTGGGGCTGGACATGTATATTTTGAAAAAATTTTGTGAATGATTTTAATGAGCATTCCTGACTATGAACCACTGATCCCAGCATACCAGACTGACGGAAGTCCCCAAACACCCTCATGAGCTATCAGGCTTTAGTATATTTTTTTCTTGCGTTTACACTGCCCAACCTCATAATCTACATCTCACTTTTTATTTTGGACACATCCTGTTCATCTTTCAGAACTCTATTCATCTGGTTTCTCTGAAATTCTTCAGGAATATTGACTTATTTATTCATTCCTTGTAGTGTCTGACATTTAGTAGGTGATCAAAAAATATTACTTGATGAATAAATAAATTAATGAATGATTAAATTTTGCTAAGGACTTCAGTAGATTACAAAATAAATAAAATGTAATCCCTTCCCTCTCAATAGTAGGAAGATATTATATATTATAAGGAAGAGTATAAGAAATGCCATAAAATCTTATTTTGCATATTCAAAGGAGGAAGGATCTTATTAATTTCTAGTTTCCTAAAGTCTGATTTAAAACATCAGGATGAGTACACACATAGGAAAAGGTGATGGGGTTGTGGTTGGGGAAGAAGAACACAGGAGAATAGCATCAACAAAGACACAGATGATGGAAGCCAGGAATGATATTTTTCTAAATGAAAGTGCCTTAGTATGTTTGGGTTGCTATTACAAAAACATCATAGCCTGGATAGCTTACAAACAACAGAAATTCATTTCTGACAGTTCTGGAGGCTGGAAAGTCCAAGGTCCAAGTGCCAGCTGATTTGGTTCTGGTGCCAGCCTGCTTCCTGGTTCATAGATGACCATCTTCTCCCTGTGTCTTCATATAGTAGAAGGGGCAAAAGAGATCTCTCAAGCCTCTTTTATGCAGACACTAATCCCATTCATGAGGTCTCCACCTTATGACTTGATCATCTCTTGGAGGTACTACCTCCAAATACTATTACATTGGAAGCCAGGATTTCAACATATGAACTTTTAGGGGACATATATGTTTAGTTTATAGCAAAGGGGAAAAGCTAAGTCCAGGAAGGGCACCCACCTGACTTAGCCCTTGAGGCATGACACATCCTGCAGAGGGTATCACACAAGGAAACTCCTGTGTCAGTCAGGGGGCAGAGGAAAGAAGAGAAGTGTGGGTGAGAGATTTTATTGTAGTTCCTGTGGAAAGGCATGGGCGAGGCAGGAAAAGCAAGCTAAGATTGGCTGGTTTGAATAATTCCAGTGGGCTTTGAGACATAGAGACTTTTCCTAATTTTCTGGTACCTGGCCCTTGAGTGATGAGGGCAGGTGGATAGTGGCCCAGATAGTGACAGCCCAATAATGAAGTGGTTCAGGGTTTGGATAGGTTGGTTTGCCATTACAAAGCCCTGTCTTGGTTAAGTAGTTTTCTGTCTCTAGGAATTGGCTAACCATGAGAGGCGCAGTTTCTCCAGAGTCAGCAAGATCTCAGATTTTAAAAGCATCAGAGTACAGAAAATAAAAGACAGGGTTAATACAGGCAGGTTGGAGACATAGTCATGCAGGGACCTGAACTCTAGATTGAGAAGTTTATAGTTAATTAGGTAAATAATGGGGCAGAAAGGGGACAGGCCTGCATACATTATTCAAGTATATGTAAATTAACTACTGCCTTAGGTTTAGGTGGAATATGATTTGTTTTTTCTTTCATCATCTTCACTGCCCTCCAGCCTGGGCGACAGAGCCAGACTCCGTCTCAAAAAAAAAAAAAAAAAAAAAAAGAGTAACAATGGCAGCTCTAAATATTTCTGGAGGTGAGGGGGTTTAGCTATGCATGTGTTAGATTAATACAGTTTATAGTCTCAGCCAAACTCTGATGAATCCTGGCTCTCCCACTTATTAGCTGCATTAGCTCTTTTGGGCTGCTATGGCAATGAACCATACACTGTAGCTTATAAACAACAGAAATTTATTGCATACAGTTCTGGAGACTGAGAAGTCCAAGATTAAGTCACCAGCAGATTTGGTGTCCCATAAAGGCCCACTTTCTGGCTTATAGATGGCTCCTTTTAGGTGTGTTCTTTTGTGGTGGAAGATGCAAGACAGCACTCTGGGGGCTCTTTTATAAGGGCACTAATCCCATTCATGAGGTTGGAGCTCTCCCAGAGGCCTCGCTTTCTAATACCATCACATTGGTGATTAAGTTTCAACATACGAATTTTGAGAGGACACAGCAATCAAACCATAGCACTAGTTGTGTTACTTTTTGTCACATTTCTGGCTTGTCACATTTCTGGATTCAATTTCCCCATCTGTTAAAATGGAAATAATTGTAGCAGAAGTCTTATAGAATCGTGAGGATTCAATGAGTTAATACAAAGAAACCACTTTTGAAGTCCTGGCAAATAGTAAGCACTCAGTAAGTGTTAGCGTTAACTTTTTTTTGTGTGTGTTTTCCTTTTCAAATACATTGCTTTCATCTACATACAAATTATTTTTTTACACTAAAATACAGCTCTGTGATTTATTACAGAGTGACAAAAGTCTGCAATAATCACAGACCTGAACTGAAAATGGAATTCCAACATCTCCTCCAGGTGTTCATTCCTATTTAGTTTCTTTTGCTGTTTCCTTGCCAACTCTGAGGTGCAATCCTCTTTTTGTATTTGAAGAAGCCACTTCCTTGTTTCCCATCCTTCTCATGCAGATGAAATCCTAGCAAAGGTCGTAGGGTACATGCAGGAGCAGAGCCCTCCGTACACCATGCTATGTTAAGTAAGAAGGCAGTAAAGGAATGAAGCTGAAGGTATAAAGATGCACTTCCAGCCCTGACCCTCATCTTATACCCACAAATTTACAGATAAGCTTCAAATGTGTCTATCTCACCACAGAAAGTAGAATTCACCATTTTCAGAGATCTTCTGAGCAGTGGGCCTGTTGTTTTTTGATCATTGGAATCATTCCTCCTGAAAAAATCTCATAAGAAGCTAATGAGAAATGTATCTAAAGGTAAACTATAATTCTGGAAATAATAACATGGGGTAAAATAAAGGTAGAAGGCTTTGGTATTTGATAAGGAATATTGGAAAGTGCAGCTGATTAGTAAGCAACTTGTCAGTGTTGGTTAGCCAGTTCTACTTGAGCATTAAGTGGACTAACTGGTTGGCATAATTATATAAGAAAAATAGATGCTGAACGTGTACATTCCATAGTAGAACTGGACATTTTTTTTTGGCTTTACTGTAGCCTAGGTAAATAATCCCTCTAGAAAGAATCAGTCTTTTTATTTTTTCATAGTGTCAAACAACTTTATGATTTCTAGTAGCATTCTCCAACATACTACTATTAGAAAGTGGCCTGGGAATTAAATACAACATCATAAGCCAGTCTGTTTGGAGTTTCTTATAGCATAGCTTGGTTTCCTAGAGATCAGTCTAAATTTAAAAAGCACAAGACCAGCTACATGACAGTTGAGTCCCACTAAAGTGTGGGAAACCACCAGACCTTAACATCTCTTAGCTTTACCCACTGCTATGATCTGAGAGCTTGTGTCCGACACCTTCCCCAATTCATAAAAATTGAAATTCTAATCCCCAAGGTGATGGTATTTGGAAATGGGGCCTTCTGGAAGATGATTAAATCATGAGGGTGGAACCCACACAAATAGGATTAGTGCCTTTGTAAAGGCAGATCCCTTGATATAGAGGCAGATCCAGCAGATCCCTTGCTCTTTCCACTATGTAAGGTTACAGTGAGAAGGTGGCTGTCTAAGAGAAGGAGGCCCTACACAAGACATTGAATCTGCTGGCATCTTGATCTTGGGATTCCCAGCCACTAGAACTGTGAGAAATAAACTTCTGCTGTTTATAAGCCACTTAGTTTATGGTATTTTGTTATAGCAGCCTGAATGGACTAAAACAATCATTAATTACAATAACCTCAGAGATTGTCTTTTCCCATATGCTCCACGGAGGGCTGGTGTTTTCACATAGGGTATACAAAAAGGCTGCAATAAATGAAAGGAAAGGTGCTAAAAATTTCCAATTGCCTAGAGCCTTCAAAGGAACTACAATCGCTCTTTTGTGGACCTCTTAGTTGCTGCCTATACAGTATACATTTGTAGTCTTGCTCTAGGGCTATGTTAATACTCCCATCCTTTGTCACTATGTAGTCCAAAGGGACTTGCACTATCTGGACATTCCACAGAGCATCATATTGTCCAATATAATGATGACACCATTTAATAGCAATAGATAAGCAAGAATAGCAAGTATGTTGGAGCACTTGGTGAGACATATGCTCCAGAAGATAGGAGATAAACTTAGTGAGTACTCAGGTTTTGCAGTAAGGTTTTTGGGGATTCAGTTGTCTGGAGGTACCAGTAGGAGAATTAATTTAGACCTCTTGGATCAACCAAGATCCTCTTGGATTTGCAAAGTGAGACTATCTTTGTGTTCCATGTTAACACCCATAAAATATTAACTGCTAAGAAAGCACACTAAACAACCAGGTAGATAGAATAACCCAGTTGGTTGACATGAGGTAGCCTCTGTCATTTGATTAATCAATGCAGTATCCACGGTAGCAAGGGTGGGTGCTACACATGGGCTCACCATAGCATGGTCTCCCACTCAGCAAGGCTGATGTAGCTACTAAAACTGCTGATGTCCCAATGTTGGCGACATAAGAAAATACTGAGACCCCAGTGAAGCATCATCCCTTAAGGAAACCAACCAGCTATATAATGGCAAGTTGATTACATTGAAACCCTTTTATTCTGGAAGGGGCTGTAGTTTCTCTTAATTAATTATAATTGATAAATGTTCTGGGTATGTGTTTGTCTTTCCCTCTCATAGCGTCTTAGCTAGCACTACTATCGGAAGGCATATGTAGGACAATGGCTATGTGAATATGAGATTTGCTGGTTCTATCTCATGTTGCACTCTTAGAAGCTGCCAAACTAATAGAATATTGGAATGGCTTGCTTGAGGCGTAGGGAGGCACTAGCGTTGTGATGATCTGTGAGGATGGGGAACCATCTTCCGTAACACAGAATATACCCTAAATCACCAACCATTACATGGTGCTCTGTTTACAACAGATAGAACACACAAGATGGGAAGCCAAGAGTTTAAAGTAGGAGTGGCCTATTGTATAAGTTTTCTATTATTGCCATAATAAAATACCAAAACTTAAAAACAATAACCATTTATTATTTCACAGCTCTTTAAGTTAAATATCTTGTAGACTTGGCTTGGTCTCTGCTTAGAGTCTCACAAAGCTGAAATCAAGGTGTTGGGGAGCCTGTACATCTTTCTGGAAGCTCTAGGGATGAATCCGCTTCCAAGTTCATGCATGTTGTTGGTCAAATTTAGTTCTTTCAAATTTAATTCTAGTCTTAGGACTAAGGTCCGTGTTTCTCTGCTGCTTGTTAGCTGGGGCTGGTCTTGGCTCCTAGAAGCTGCCTGCATTCCCTCTCATGCTTTCCATGTGTCCCTGTCAAGCAATGGCAGATCAAGTCTCTTTCACGCTTCAAATCTCTCTGACTTCACTTTTATTGCACCTCTTTGACTCAAGCTGGATAATTTTTTTTTGTTTTTAAGGGCTCATGTGATTAGATTGGGTTCACTCAAATAATCCAGGGTAATCTTTTCATCTTAAGGCTTATAACTTTAATTAGATCAGCAAAGTCTCTTTTGCCATGTAACATCATATTCACAGGTTCCTGGGACTCAAGTGTAGACATATTTGGGTGCCATTCTGCTTACCACATACTAACTACCATCACTCCCAGTAACCTTCTTGGGGAATCTGTGCCTCCTGTCCTTATTACGCTCTGATCTAGAGGTCCTGGTTCCCAGAAAGCAAATTCTTCGAACAGGGGACACAGCAAGTTCCTAACTCTATCTTATTTAAATTAGCAATCAGTAATGAAGAGCACAACTGTAAAGAATGATATTTGAATCACACAAAATGCAACGATTAGAGTACTGCAGTTAAAAAGTATGACATGTTTGTGGTGCATGCCCTCTTGCATTTGCAGGCACAATTTCCTATCTTCTAAAGGCAAGGCAGGAGGGAGGGAACTCCTGCATTTTCAGTTACTCTGGGAAGGCTGAGGAGAAGGTGTGATCTGCTAAGCTCCATAAATGATAGACGGGAGGGAACTATGAAGAGGCGAGGGAGAAGACATTCCAGACATAGCTCAGGCCCTGGGAATGCACAGATGAAAGGCCTGAAGTGCTTCCCTATCTGGGTGGAGGGGAACAGATGAGTGGGAGAGTAAAGGGTAGTGAAGGAGGGTCCTGAGAAATCTGAAGGGAGCTGGGGACTCGAAGATGAAGCACTTGGTCATGTTGTATATAGAATAATTAAAACCTTCTTTAGAGTTTTCATGAGTGTAAAATGATCAAAGTGGTGGAAAGAAAAGATAATTTAGGGTGAAATGATTATGAATGACCTTATAAAAAATAAATACATGATCATGTTTTTACTAAGATATTTTCTATCAGTTTAAACAACTGGGAGATTCCGAATTAGAAAAGAAAAAATTGAGTAATTGAGGAAAACTAAGTGTCAAAACCTTAAAAAGTTATATGACAAAATTTAACCACTGAAGAAGCTGAAACTTTCTTTTCCCCAGTGTTATCTAAACTGTTTTTTTCTCAAGATAATTTCTCAGTCTTTAGTGCAATAAGATGTTCTTTGTTGCTAACAGAGTACATTACTAAGCATGAGATTACTACATAATATTTGCAGTGACATGTTTTAAAGCTCCAGATTGTGTCAACAATAGTACAAAAAATTTTCTTCTATAAGACATATTATAACTTCATTACAGGATACTTTAAGTTCTTTTTAGAAAACAGGTGGTGTATAAAAACTCCACCCCTACAGGTGCCAAAGTAGATGAGCTGAAAAGAATAACCCCCTATAGCATTTGCTATGTTTCAGATGCTTCCGTAAACACCTGAGACACATAATGTGTTCAATCTTCACAGCAGCCCTAAGAAGTAGGTACTTTATTAATAGAGATTAAGTGGCTTGCCCATGGTTACAGAACAGATACTTGGTGGAGTCAGAGCTTGAGTTTAGGCATTCTGACATTACCGTCTGTGCTCTATCTAAACCACTACACCAGGGGTTAGCAATCTATGGTCTGTAGGCAACAATTGGCCTCCACCTGTTTTTGTGAGTAAAGTTTTATTAGAACACAGCCATGCCCATTTATGTAAGGGTTGTCCATGGCTGCTTTTGCTCTACAAAGGTATGTTTGAGTAGTACCAACAAAGGTGATAGGTATGGCCTGAAAAGCCTAACATATTTACTAATTGGCCCTTTATGGTGAACGTTTTGCTGATTCTTTCACTGCACTCACTATAGAGTTGCTTTCTGACAACTGAATTAGAGTTTGACCTCATGGTAAAGTCTTTATCTCCATTAAAACAATTTATGTACTTCACTGGGTTTAGCATCTGAAGGGAAATAACTTACTGGGAATTCCAGATTTTACAGTGAGTTTAGGAAAAGATATTGAGCCTCTTTTCTCCTTTTAGTCCTTACAACATTTTGAGGAGAAAAATTCTACCCTGCCTTCTGCTTCTAGTTGGAAACAAATTTAAATTTGCAGAGAAGGTGTATCGGTCAGAGCTCTTCAGGAAAACAAAGCCAGTAGAAAAAAGAAAAGGCTGGGTGCGGTGGCTCACGCCTGTAATCCGAGCACTTTAGGAGGCTGAGGTGGGTGGATCACGAGGTCAAGAGATTAAGACCATCCTGGCCAACATGGTGAAACCCTGTCTCTACTAAAAATAGAAAAATTAGCTGGGTGTGGTGGTGTATGCCTATAATCCCAGCCACTCAGCAGGCTGAGGTAGAAGAATCACTTGAAGCTGGTAGGTGGAGGTTGCAGTGAGCTGAGATCGCACCATTGCGCTCTAGCCTGGGTGACAAGAGTGAAACTCCATTTCAAAAAAAAAAAAAAAAAAAGAAAAGAAAAGAATGTATATAAAAAGAGACTCATTAAAACAAATTGGCTTATGTGATTATGAAGGCTGAGGGTTCCATGATCTACCACCTACAAGTCAGAGATACTGGAGAGCTGGTGGTACAGTTCCAGTCCAAACCCAAAGGTCTAAGAACCATAAGAACCAATAGTGTAAGCTCCAGTCTTAGTGCAGGAGAAGACTGATGCCCCAGTTTTAAAACAGGCAAAAAGATCAAGTTCTTCCTTACTCCACCTTTTGCTCTATTCAGGCCTCTGACAGACTGGTTGAGGCCCAACCACATTGGAGAGATCATTTGCTTTACTCTACAAAGTAATCTGAGTACCCTGCAGAGTAATCTGCTTTACTCAAGCTACAGACTCAAATGTTAATCCCATCCAGAATCAGACACACTCAGAATGAGGTTTGTATTAGTCTAGTCTCACGACATACCCAAGACTGGGTAATTTATAAAGGAAAGAGGTTTAATTGACTCACAGTTCAGCATGGCTAGGGAGGCCTCATGGAACTTACAATCACGGCAGAAGGGGAAGCAAACACATCCTTCTTCACATGGCAGCAGGAGAGAGAGAAGTGCTGAGTGAAGAGGGGGAAGCCCCTTAGAAAACTATCAGAACTCACTCACTATCATGAGAACAGCATGAGGGTAACCACCCCCATGATTCAATTACCTCCCACCAGATCCCTTCCATGACATGTGGGGATTATGGGAACTACAATTTAATATGAGAGTTGGATGGAGACACAGACAAGCTATATAAAGGTTTAACCAAGTATCTAAGAACCCCATGTTTCAGTCAAGCTAATACATAAAATTAACCAACCCGAAAAGAATTCTCCAATCTCTTTAATCCGAATTCAGGTCAAAATAGTTCTCTTAGGCCATTACAACCTAACCATCCCAGCACAGGTAGCAAAGCTCACAGTTGCTTGTAGGATCCAGCATCATACCTTGCACATAGCTGAAAAACTCTTTCTTCAGTAAGTGTGTATTGAGACATTGTGGTGTGCCAGGCACTTACGATATGAAGGAGAGTAAGACTTAGACCCTGACCTAGGGGCTTATAGTCTAATAGCTGAGGAAGAGAAATATACAGGTAATTTTTTGTAGTATGTTCAATAAGCACTATGATAGAGGTAATTAGGTGTTGCTGTCTTAGCATATTTGAGAGACTTTTTACTCAAGTTTTAGGGTGAGGGAGGTGAGCCTTAGGTAAGAGAGTTTCTTAGAGGAGGTTCTCTTTTTAGCTGATTCCTCATAAAAGGATAAGATTTAGCTCGGCAAAGTTGAGGAAAGACATTCCAAGAGAAAGAACTACATATACAATGGCCTACCAGTAAGAGAGTTCAGAGTTTTGCAAGATGGCATGTAGCCTAGAGTGAGGAAGGAGACAATGCAATAGATAAGAGAGAAGACAAGAAGGTAAGCAAGAATCAGATGATAAAGTGTTGGGGGAAAGAGCTTGAACTTTATAAGTAATAGAAAGCAATGGCAGAAGACTGCTATGATCAGATTTGTGCTATAGTGAAAGTTCACTGAATACATCTGATTTTTTTTCTTTCCTTTTTCTGTCTTTTTCTTTTTCTTTTTTTTGAGACAGTCTTGCTCTGTTGCCCAGGCTGGAGTGCAATGACACAGCCTCAGCTTACTGCAACCTCTACCTCCCAGGCTCAAGCGATTCTTGTGCCTTAGTCTCCCAAGTAGCTGGGATTACAGATGTGCAAAATTACAGCTAATTTTTGTAATTTTAGTATAGACAGGGTTTCACCATGTTAGCCAGGCTTGATTTGTTCTTTAATAGCACAGAACAGACTTAAGGTGGCCAAAACCATGTGACAAGGCATGGAGGACAGTTAGGTTCTTACTGAAATAATAGGGGGAGAGTTGATGGTGGCCAAAGAACTATTGAGATTTAAAAAAATAAGACATTGCTACTAAAATGTCTTTGAGAATGAGCTTCTGGATGATGAATCAGAATTTTCTTCTCATTACAACTAATTTTTAATGTTATATTTGTAAAATCAAAAATTGACCTTTGATCCTTAGAATCATTCCTTTTTAGAGCCCATCGAAATGCACAGGCAAATCTAATATTCCTTTCTGAAGTTTCTTTAACGTCTCTCTATATGTGTCTGTGTATATAATTGCTTTTTCTTCCTTGATATGAACAGTAAAGAAAATATCTCCCAAGGTAATCATAAAAGATTCATCACATCAATTTTACAAAACCAATCTAATTTTTAAGAATACACTCAGTGCTCTAGAAACCGCCTAGTGAGGGAGAGTTAATTACCTAATCATCTCTAACTCCTGGGATTCCGAAAGTGGAGGCGGGAGGTAAATGAAAGTCTGCTCCAGAGCGCTGTGAAATGCTCCCAAGTTGCCAACACTGTCCTGACACCGGCATGCCCAACTGTTATGTGCCAAAAAAAAAGACATTTACTTATTTTTGATTCCACATCTATAGATCCAACAATTAACGAATGTCTCAGACACAATAAATTAGGGGAAATGTGTTTAATTAAAAAGAAAAAAAAAGAAGCTTATAAAAGTACATAACATCTTTTTGAAGTAATGACTTTAAATAAAATGGATGTAATTTATGATAATGGATGATTCTCCCAAACCTCTGTGGAGTGTTTGAAATCTATCGGCCTAATAATTTATAGATATGACTCTTCCGTGCCTGGAAAGCATTTTGCTCCTTTGGTTGATCCACTCTTCTCCTGGGATATTTCCATCTATATCAATTGGGAATTAAGAAAATAAGGTGAAAGAGATTCATAGGTTAAAAAAATAGAAAAAAATTGTAACTTTTAACTTTATGGATTTTTGGCAGTCAATCAAAAGTAGTCTAAACTCTTTAATATATTTTCTTAGCATATAATTGCATAATTCTGGGCTTAATATTATTTACTGATATATCCTGATCAAGCAAAGGAGAAGAATACAATTTAACAAAAAACGTGTACTTTCTCTAGATTTATTTGATTGTTAGGTTTTCAAGAACTGAAGAGCAATGCAAAAACATTAAAATTGAAGTGAGTTTTGTCATAAAAAACTAATAAACAGTCATAATCTAGTAGGTTGAAAAGGTTCTGATGATTTTTAAATATTACTTTTTGTTCTATATGACATTAGTGTGAACTGTAATAAACAATTTAAAAAAGAGGAAGGAACACTAATAAAGAATTATAATAGATATTACTGAATAGATGTTATTATTATTTATTGAATTCCTATTTTGTGTTAAAGATTCTTTAAATGCTTTATGTGTTATCTCACTGATTCTAGAAACCCCCAGAAGGTAAGTTGCATGAAGCAGAGATCATTTTGCCTGTTCTACTCATTATTGCATGCCTAGCACTTAGAGTAGTCTCCAGAATATGGTAGGTATTTGTCAAATACAGTTACATATAATAATCCTATGAAACAGGCACTGTTTTCTTCCCAACTTTACAGATGGAGAAACTGCAGCATACAGAGAGGCTAAGGTTTCAGAGTAGAAATTGGAAAATCAAGATCCAATGTTCTTAACCATTGTGCTAAGCTGCCTCCCATAAGCAAAAAAAACCCACAATAAAAGCAACAGATAATGCTACTGTCATGCAACCACTAGCATTCTTATTGTCAGTCATAAGAAATCTTTTTACCTATAAAGTGTGTCCTAATTAGAGCCTGTCTTTCACTTTGCATTTTTATGCATTTATCTGATGGTGCTTTCGTTTGGGTGAATATCTGGGTCAATGGTCAATGGTCTGGGTCAATGTTGATGTGTCCATTTCTTTCAGTGGTGCTGATAATTTTCATTTTCCTTCAAAAATGATAGGTTTTTCATCTTCTTTATTTTGAATCCTAGTGAAATCAACTGTTCTCAGTCATCATTTCCCTTAAGAGTTAAAAGAAAAACTCATTGGACATAATCAGGTTCATAAAGCTCCACCTTGAACAACACACCAGCACGTGACAGTTAGGCAGGTAGATGCCATCACACAAAACATCTTTACTTCAACGTGTGAACGACGTTGACCCACTTGCTTGGTCCTCAGGCAATGCTTCAGAATTTCACTGCCAGTGTGATAGCCAAATCTTTTTGAAGAGCTCTTTAAACTATGCTGTTCTGAAATTACTGAAGATACTTCAAGTGTAATTTTAAAAAATTATTTTTTCTCAAAATGTGTACAGCAACCATGTGTAAATTGGGAAGAGATTGTATTCATTCAGGGCATCTCTCATTTCTGATTCATATTTATGTCATTGCTGGCAATTCTCACCTATGATTTTCAACAGATTATAAAAGAGATTGTACTTTCCCAATGTCAGATGGATCAAAATGTTGCTAGACTTTTGTCTCGAGCCAAAAATCTGAAATAGTTCTGCGATTCATATAATGGTTTCAACAATTCCAGGCAAACTGCCTGCATAGTGGGTATGACCAACATGTCTCCTTTTCTATTGGCTGAGGGGAGGCTATTCATTGTCTGAAAATTCTTCCCACCTTTATGGAGTATCCTACCTTTTGAGGAAGAACCTGACACTTTCCACTGAAGCTGGAAATTTCAGAGCTTGCTTTTCCAGCTTCCCTTATGACTGGGGCTTGTGCACATGACCCAGGCCCACCAAGCAGATGCATTTCTATGGATGCTGAATTGGAAGCAATTGACAGGGTGGCGAAAAGAGGTAGAGACTGCAGAGAATCAAGTTAGGAAAAGGTGGCCACAGCTGCATCTGGTTTTCAGAGATACAGTGGCAGCTGTTGAGTAGCGATGTGAAAGGCTAGTTTCACTACTTCTGACTGCAATATGTCTGCCCAGTGGCAACAATAATGTTTCTATTGTTTTAATCCTGAGGTACACTCCAGAGTTGTTTCTGACTGTGTAACCCTGAAGTCTTGTTCTTAGGATATTAAGAGATGTTTTTCATGCCAGAGACTGGATCTCTGATCTCCAAATTTACTTTCTCCTCTTTGTGTGGACAAAGCTAGACTACTTTTTCTAGTCTCCATCATGGTTAGGTGAGTCCATGTGACTTGGTTCTAGCCAGTGGGATGTGAAGGCCATAATGTGTACCATTATGAGCCCTAGCAGATAAAAATCATCCTACATGAGAATTATTTATTTTCCCCTTTAGCCAGCTGAATGCAGAAGACACGAGGTCCCCAGAGAAGGAAAGATGCAAAAGATAGAAGACCCATTTAAAAATAAACTTGTTAATCCACAGAGATATGAGTACTCATCTGTTAATGCAGCCATCATTATTTTAACTGTCACCAAAACTTGTACCAGAAGTGGGTTGTTGTCATGTAAAACAAAACAAAACTATATCTTTGGCTTAGCAGTCAGATAGCAAGTGAAAGAAAACTGAAGACAAACTGGAAAGCTAGAGACCCATGTCATATAGTAACAAAACTTTGGGAAAACTCTTGCATAAAATAATTTAAACTCAATATGCCTACTGAGTTTATAATTCTAAGATAAATGTTTACAAAGTGCCAGAATAGTAGTGTGTGTTGACTCTTACTTTGTTATTTTAAGGTCTCATAAAAAAGAGAATCTGGATCATAAAAGAATTATCTGGTTTGCATGTAAAAATAATGGAAACTAGAGAGTACAGACATTTGGGTCCTTGAAAGTTTAGAAAAATCTCTTGTATTTAGATCTGGAGCAAAAAAAGAAAAGCCAAAGAGACATTTTAAGAGACAAAGTTCCATTAAGACCCAGGCCTGTAGAAAAAATTCAGCTTAAGAATATGATCTTCCCACCCACATCCTGAAGCCAGAACCCTCAAGGTATAAGGCTTTAAATAGAGAGAGAAAAGGATAGGTACACAGAAGCAAGTACATGAATGAAGCTTGAGAATTATTTCTAGGAAAGAATTTTAGCTGTGGTGGTTAGTATACGAAACTTCCTTAAAGCAAATATTGGAAGTTTTTAAAGGCATTGTTTTGTCAAAGAAACAAGTAGCCAAAAGCCCATATATGTACATTTAAATAGATTTTTTGGAATGATGCCTATTCTGTTTTTTTTTGTTTATTTATTTATTTATTATTATTATTTTTTGATGGAGTCCTGCTCTGTCTCCTAGGCTTGAGTGCAGTGGAGAGATCTCGGCTCGTGGCGACCTCCTCCTCCTGGGTTCAAGCAATTCTCTTGCCTCAGCCTTCCAAGTAGCTGGGATTACAGGCACACACCACCATGCCCAGCTAATTTTTTTTTTTTTTATAGTTTTAGTAGAGACAGAATTTCGCCATGTTGGCCAGACTGGTCTCAAACTTCTGACTTCAGGTGATCCGCCTGCCATGGCCTCCCAAAGTGATGCCTATTCTTATGTCTTACCTTCAGTGTCTTACCTGATTGAAAGCATTTCCTAAAATTATTTTTAAAAATTAAGGACTATAAATGAAGTTAATGACAACATTAACTCTTGGAAAATTAATACTTAGGTAGTTTCCTCCACTCTTCTAAGTTAGTTAGCCTTTTTGTCATTGAAGTGAATATCTAACTAGTGTTTCTGTTCAAGGTAATAGGGATTCTATTTTTATTCACTCATTCATTCCTCATTATTCAATAAATGTTTCTTGAGTTTCTACTGTATGTCAGACTTTGTGCTAGGTGTTCACAAATATATGTATCCTTTTGGTTATTATTAACTTAAAAAAACTCCTTTGAATGATCAACCTCCATGTTGTCTTCTCAAGCAGTTATAATTACAGGTGTTTGTTATTAAAATGAATAGTGTGAGTTTCTTTCAAAGTCATCACACCTGAACATAGACCCATTTGGGAAAAGAAAAAAAGACAATATATCAGGTACAAGCATAAAATTATTCCAGACAAGACAAAATCTTGATAGTAATTGTAGATTTTGAAAATTCCACTCCACTATTAATGCAATAACATTCTGTTTCTTAGCCAATACAAGACTAATGATACTAAAAACCCATTTTAAAAATCAGCACTTGCACAACTCTATGTCATAATGCACTTGATCAAGTTATGCCTCATGTCCTTGGCTTTAAGTCTTTTAAGAAATATTGTTTAATTTACTCTAATTGAAATTTAAGTATTATTGTACTTTTTAGGTTTAAAATTTCTTTTAATTTACTAACAAGGAACTGCAGTTCATTATGGTGGCTGTAGAAAATTTATGCACAGATGACAGAACCTGAATTAGTTTGTTCTCACATTGCTATAAAGTTACTCCCCGAGGTGGAGCTTGCAGTGAGCCGAGATCGTGCCACTGCACTCCAGCCTGGGTGACAGGGCGAGACAACATCTCAAAAAAAAAAAAAAAAAAAAGATACTCTCCGAGACTGGGTAATTTATATAGGAAAGAGATTTAATTGATTCACAGTTCTACATGGCTGGGGAGGCCTCAGGAAACTTACAATCATGGTGGAAGGTGAAAGGGAAGCAAGGACCTTCTTCACATGAACAGCAAGAGAGAAAAGAGCAAGCGAAGGAAGAACTTGCCAAACACCTATAAAACCATCAGATCTCATGAGAACCCACTCACTCACTGTCATGAGAAAAACATGGAGGAAAAACCACCCCCATGATCAGATCACCTCCTATCAGGTTCCTCTCTCAACACCTGGGGATTATAATTCAAAATGAAACTTGGGTGTGGACACAAAGCCTAACCATATCAGAACCCAATGGAACTATTATTTTATTTGAGAAACTAACTTGTTTAGGCTAATTGTTTCAAGACATATGTATGAAATGTCTTCTATGCGCAAGTTGTTGTGTTAGGTGTGGAGGATGCCAGGAATAGCAAACTCCATTCTTGCTAGGGACCAGGAATAAAGATAAGGCTAGTATTCAAATTATTGTAAGTGAAAGCATGCTATAATAGTGAGAAACAAGAAGAGTATAGGCGTAGAGACCATTTTCAGAGGCTCAGGAAACACTCTCAGAGCAATCAATATTGGAACTGGACCAGCAAATGCAGTAGGATTTTAGCATGCGTGGATTGTGCCTGAGGGTTATATTCCAAGTAAAAGTGACCATAAGCAAAGTCATGCTGGTCTCTAAGTATGGAGTTTATTTGAAGAGTAGTAAGCAGTCTGATTTTCTGAGAGCATAGGATACATGAGCAGAAACAGCGTGAGAAAAATTGGGAATGCACATTGATATCTGATCACCTAAGACCATTTTATTTTATTTGGATGTATATTAAGATATGGGATTGCTGGATTATAAGGCAGTCCTATTTTTCATTTTGATAAGCCTCCATACTGTTTTCCATAATATCTGTACCAACTTACATTCTGAGTTTATATTTTTACTTTGATGTAATCTCACTTATGGGTCCACTTTTATTCTTCTTCATGTGACTATCTAGGTTTTCCAACACTACTTAAGAAACTATTCTTTCCCTAGTGTATGTTCTTAGTACCCTGGTCGAAGATCAGTTAATCATAGATGCATGGATTTATTTCTGGGTTCTCTATTATGTTCCATTGGTCTATATGTATGCTTTTATGCTAGTACCATACTGTTTTAATTGCTGCAGCTTTATAATACCTTTTAAAGTCAGGAAGTGTGATGCTTTCAGCCCTGTTGCTCTTTCTCAGTATTGCTCTGGCTATTTGAATATTTTGCAGTTCCATATGAATTTTAGGATTGTTTCTTCTATTTATATAAAAATGCCATTATGATTTTGATAGGGATTGTATTGGATCTGTAGATTACTTTGGGTAGTATGAACATTTTAACAATATTAATTCTTCCTATCCATGAACACAGAATATCTTTCAATTTAAATGTGTATTATTTAATTTCCTTCATCAGTGTTTGTTGAATTCCCCCTAGCTTTTGTTTGGAAAACAATTTCTCCTTCATTTTTAAAAGATAATTTTGCTGGATAGAGTATTTTTGATTAACGGTTTTTTTTTTTAAATTCTGTGCTGTGATATATCATGCTATTCTCCCTTGGCCTGCGAAGTTTTTGCTGAGAGATCTACTGATAGCATTTTAAGGGTTGCTTTATATATGATTAGTTGCTTTTCTCTTGTCACTTTCACAATTCTGTCTTTGTTGCTGACTTTTGACAATTTAATTATAATGTATCTTGGTGTAGTCTCCTTTGTGTTGAAAATTTTCAGCTCCATTTTTGGAAAATTTGCAGCTTCCTGAATCTTGATGTATATTTCTTTCTCAAGATTTGGGAAGTTTTCAGCTTTTATTTCTTTAAATGAGATTTCTTTCCCTTTCTTTCTGTCTTCTTCTTAGATACCCATAATGCTTACATTGGTTTGCTTTATGGTATCGTGTAAGTCCTGTAGATTTTCTTCACTCTTTTTTTACTTTATTCTTCTCTAACTGAAGAATTTCAAATACTCTGTATTCATTTTTGTAGATTCTTTCTTCTGCTTTATTGAGTCTTCCATTGAATCTCTCTATTGAATTCTTAAATTTCATTTATTGAATTCTTCACTTTCAGGATTTTTGTTTGGTTCTTTTTAAAATAATTTCTATCTCTTTGTTCATATATTGTTTTTCTGATTTCCTTGGGTTGTCTATATGTGCTCTCTTATAGCCCATTGAATTCTTTTAAAACAATTATTTTGAATTCTTTTTCAGGCAATTTGTAGATCTTCATTTATTTGGGCTCAGTTACTGGAAAATTATTGTGTTCCATTAGTTGGGTTATGTTTCCTTGATATTTTGTGTTTTTTTGTAGCTTTTTATTAATGTCTGCATAGTTGAAGGAAATGTCACCTATTCCAGACTTTGTGGACTAGCTGTGGTATGAAAAGACCTATATCTGTGGTGGATGCAAGGGCATTAGTGAGTGGGGTGTGATGGCTCTGGCTCTGGTGGGAGTAGTGGTGGGGAGTGGCACAGCAGCATAGACTCTGGGAAGCTCTGTCAACTGAGGTCAGCATAAGCAAAGACAGTGGGGGTCCTTGGTAGTCAAAGCTGTGGGTGTCCATGGTGATGGTGAGGGTTGCTAAGGTCTTCCTAGTCTCCTTTTTCCCCACATAAGGAAGTCACAGCAGAGGCAATCTCTCTTGATGCCCAGGTTTGAGGTGTGGGCATGCACATGGTGGTGCCAGAGTCTGGGGCATGAGTCTGGGGCATGAGCACACATACGGTGTGGTACTGGGATCCAAGAAGGCCATGTGCAGAGCTTCACTGGTACCAATGTTTAAGGTGTGGACATGCTCATGGCAGCAATCACACCAGTTTCTGTGGTATAGCACATATAGGGAGCAAGGAAGGGATATAGTGGTAGCTCCTTCTGGACTGGAGAGCGGCACAGGAACATGGACTCTGGGCAGCTCTGTCAACCAGAGTCAGCATTGGCAAAGACTACAGAGGCTCAATGGCAAAAACCACTGGGATCATTGTGCTCTGTTTACCCCACTGGTAGAAGTCAGAACCAAGAGGATCCCTCTTGGTGCTGACTGTGCCAGGCTGGGAAATGGGGTGGCACAGGTAAAATGCTTTCTATAGTTTTCTATGTTGGCTATCATTGGATTTTGTGCTCCACTGGGTTGCTTCATTGTCATTGTACTCTGGGGTTTTCCCACAGCTATTTTCATCAGTAGGTAGTTCTCTCACTGTTGTTTTTGTGGAGAGATGAGCATTGGGATTTCTTAGTTCACCATCTTTCAGACACTACTCATTGCTTTTTATAAAAAAAAAAAAATCCTTTAAAACATAATAGCTATTTTGGGGAGACATAACTCATTGTAAATTAAATTTCTTTTATTTCCTAACTTTATGACATCACTGTCCAAGTCCTGGGTGTTTAATCTAGGACAGTATGAATCAAATAAGCAGATGCTGCAGAGCACCTAACACACATTACTATCTTTAAACAAAGGGTAGTGAACTGAGGTGATCCTCATTTGACATATTTTCTTCTATCTTACATTGTTATTCTCTGGATTTTTACTAGTCTTCTTATATATATATATTTTTTTCTTATTTATTTTCTAGAAAAAATTTTAACCTACTATTTATGTTAAAAGAACACACGAGAATATTAAGATTAACCAAAGCACAAAAGTTAATGTAAGCATAAAAGCTTATAAGTTAATATAAACAAGATAACTATATCATATTTGAGTACAATGGGCAAAATATAGTTTAAAATATTATTTATGGCTTTTCTCACTCTCTTGCTTTTTAGTTCCTATGGCTTTGGGGGTTGATTGGAGATGCTGGGTATAGAAGAAAAATAAAAAAAATGCTGAGAGAAGTTAAATTTGTGTAAGATAGGACATGGAGCTTATTCTCCCAGGAAAATAGAATATTCTGAAAAATAAGAAGGTGAGATGGATGAGACAAGAAATCTTAGGCTTATTACCGACTGAAGTTTTTTTTTTTTAATTAGAGAAATTTGGAATGGTAAAGAAAATTGGGAATAAGAATTTTTAAACAAGTTTTGCCTCTTCTCCATCTTCAACCCACATCAAGGGCATCTTTTCATATGAAAGACTGACATCACATTACTCTTCAAAACTTTGGAGTCATATTTATGTTCGCTTGGGTATGTCTATGTAACGAATCAAGATGAACAGCAAGAAGACTTAGTTTTCCTAAGGATCCATAGGTTTACCATGGGTTTCTGCACAAATGCTACTATTTAATGATGAATATTTTGTAATAATCAACTAATAATCCCACCTTATACAAATTGTTCAGAATATCACTTGGCATTTTTGTTGCCTTCTCTGCTCACAGCTCTCTTCCATACCCTTTTTACTCAGCCATATGACAACTTCTAGGGAATCCTCTTTCTTCTCAATTTCTCTTTGATGCTACATTTCTCTCTTTACTGCATTGGAACTTAACTGACTGCAGTTCAGGGCCTTAAATGTGGGTTAATGCTAAGTAGCAACCTCTCTTTGCCATGGACAATACTGTTGAAGTAGTTGTTTGAAGAGGCCCCAATCCTGCTGATGGTGAAGCTGGACAAACAGACTGCAGTAACTAAAGTTTCACTCAGAAAAGTTCTTAAGACCATTCTGTTAAATGCTTGGACTTAGCAGAATAGTGAAAAACACTGGAAAAGTTGCAATGTATCCATTGTGTACACTATTTCAAATAACATGTATAAATAAACTTGGCAGGAAAATTTTAATGTTAACATAGGACAGAGATAAAAAGAGACATGAAGGCTTTTAAAAGCCGTTGGAAGTATATGCTTTTTTAGGAAGAATCAGTGCCCATTTAAGCTGAATAGAAGAAACATCTGCTGACAATTTGTGATGGTGATAATATGGCAGCCCTGAAGTATTTCACACTTATTCAGGCAACACGGTGCTTTTATCTCTCTAAGTAACCAGTGTGTGTCCTGTTGAGCAGTTACTTTGAAAGTAGTCTCTGTTCTCCTGATAGCTTTGTGTTCTCCTTTATTTCAGTGTAATTAATACGCTCAATATAAATAGCTGAATCTTCAAAAAGATTTGCCTGCCTTGCAAGCGCTACATTTCCAATTACACACTAAATTAGGCACATGATTGAACACGAACACTAACATTTTCCAACAGGTGGTGAATAAGCAATTTCTATCCATCAACTCAACAACAGCTCTCTGGCCAAATAGTCCCCTGTTTTAGAGTTCTTCTAATATAACAAGTGTTTTTAGCCAATTTAAAAAATTATTCCCTTAATAGAAAGATTTAGGGGAATAGAGTGTCTAATTCTAATTCAGAATTGCAGAGTGCAGCAACAGTTAGTATTTCCATATGTGAAACTGAGATATATATGAGATTTTGTGTGTGCTACAGAGTTGTATCAAGCTAAATCTAAGTAAATTTAGTGTTACACCTCTGATTTTTTGAGATCAATAATTCCTAACAGATTTTGAGAAGACACTATAGTGCCTCATGTTTTTTTCAAACATCAGATTTTTGAATATAACTTTGAGATATAGGTGCAAAAATTATCTGTATTCTGAAAATTAATATTTCCAGTTTCAGTTTACACTGAATAAAAAAAGCAAAGTGGAGCTACTAAATTCAAGAAGATGTCAGGATGAAGTTGATGTAGGTTGATTTTAATACATGAGACACATTTCATCAGAATTCTGGGATTAGTTTACCTGTTTTTAAAATGGTCTTCACCATTAGATCATATCTGGGCAAACCAAAAAACATAAATCAATCAGGTGAAAGTGTTGTTCTAATGGTCATCAGATGATTTTGGAGGAGCTTCCTAAACCACAAAGCACTCTCACGGATTAAGTCAAGGCATCATATAACGTTGCTGGCATAATGTGCTATCCAGGAGTAGCACATAGCAAGCAGAGAACAAAGTCTCTGACAATATCTAGTTATATTTTACTAGGCAAATCCCCAGAAAAAGTTATGAGCCAAGATTGTGAGACTCAGGTGTGTGTATTTAAATAGTCCTAGAGTCTAAAAAGTACCACCTACTTATTCTGTTTGTGCTAACTTGATCTGGTGGGTGGAAGAGGAATAAAGTTGAATATGCATGGCCAAATGATGGAGCAAATTCAGTAGCATGAAATGGGGAAGCGCAAATCTGCTAGTGATTTCTCAGCAAGAAGTGGTTGTTGAGTGTGTTAATTTAACTGCTTGCTTTCTTTTGGGCTATTGGGAAAGGTAGATGCAATTCTCTCCCATAGCTTTTGGACCTACTATGCTATAATGAAATCATCTTTCTTCATAAGAAAATGATAAGAAACTTACACATGCTTGCTGAGATCTATTTTTCCTCCCCAGTTTTGTGCCTCTACCATATAACTGTCAGATCATTAGATAATTTTTGTTATAATGGAAAAAAGGTAAGCATTTAGAAGAGACCTTGATCCAAAAACCTTAAAGTTTTAATTCATTGATAACTAAAACTGCACTCAGACAAGGCACATTACAAGGTGAATCAATTATGGAGGTACTAATAGAAGAAGCCCAGTGAGTAAAATGAAACAACTGCCACACAACAAGAAAAGCAAAAACAGATTTCTAAATATTAAAAAAGTAATGATCTCTTATAATTTAAAGGTGGCAGCCAGAGTGCTCCTTGCTACTCATGAAAACATTTTTCTGGGAAGCAAAAGACTTGCATTCAAACCTAAGCTTGAATATTTATCAAGTATGGAACACTGGGAAATGGTTGAACCTTAGAGGTCTCAGGCCCATTATCTGACAGGCAAGGAACTGTACATGGGGAGGTTTTGATGATGGCATCAGTTCTAAACTCTTATGATTTGAATGCCATTGCTCTCTCAGACTAGGGCACCCTATAAGGTGGTAAGTAAATGTGGGATATTTTCCAATGAATTGTGTGTCTCACAATTCAGGAATTCTGATCTCTTAACTCTCAGAGCTTTCTAGAGCTACAAACTGCTGCAAATTAAGGAACATAAAACTTTAGAGGTTTGTAATTTATATGAAGCAGGAAAAAATTTGGGAAAAAAGTATTAAAATATGCTTGTAGCCTTCATAATTCTTC
Source organism: Homo sapiens (assembly GCF_000001405.40). Lineage (NCBI taxonomy): Eukaryota > Metazoa > Chordata > Mammalia > Primates > Hominidae > Homo > Homo sapiens. The sequence continues at coordinate 69,192,603 of NC_000008.11, read as the reverse complement.
ATTCTGCCAAAGGGAAATAGAAAACATCTATTTTAATAAGGGAATCAGAGAAAAGGGAAATTTCTATGTCCCACACATATTAAGTACACATCTTTATATATATAATATTTTCTGTTCAGTTCATTTTCTGAGATGTAAATATCAGCAACTTGCATTTCATCAGTTGCATTCTCTTTATCATATTCATATGCCCTGATGGACAAGAGTTTCTCTTCTATGCTTTCATTGATGAATGTGTTTCCTGATTTGGTCTGAACATTTCCAGTTATAGAACCATACCATCAGAAGATGATGGGCTTGAAATAATTGAGAAATGTAATGGATCTGAATTGTTACTGTTCAGCAGTCTTAGCTCTGCGTTAATACGTAATGTTAGGCTGGTTGGAGACCATGGAGAGCTGACGAGCTGTTATTAGATTAAGAAAAAGATCTCTCTCTCTCTCTCTCTCTCTCTCTCTCTGTATATATTTTATAAAGCAACATTTGAGAATTAGGTATTTTTCATTCTGATTTCCTTACTTTACCTTCTTCTTAGTTCCAGAGAAAAAAGTGGTAGAGATGAAGGAGTGTTGGCATTTCCCTTATGCTGACATTATGTAAAATTCTCACCAATTCTCACTTGGTGAGAATTGGTCTACAGGCTTTTTCACTAGGTGTTCATTGACGAACATTCAAGGTATTAACTTCTCCTGGGGGAATTTGCGTCTTAATTAGGGCTTCTTAAGGATTTTAATACCTTCAAAGCCCTAAGAAACAAGACTCTAATGGAGAAATTGAAAACATTGTATCTAAAACCCACATGTCCTGGATTAGTCCAAATATTGTGTATCATTCCAAATATGTTTTTATCTTCTTCAATAAAAACGACTCATTTAAAAGTTCTTCCAAATGTAATTTACTTTTATGGCTTTTGCAAGTCTTGTCATATAGGAATAATCAAATCAAAAAAATCCTTTGTCAGATTGTGCTTATGTGTTGGCTTAGATATAAGGTGCAGTTAATTCTAACAGAGAGCTACTTTTACAGCTATTTTTGGAAGAAGGAATTGTTGGACTTTCTTAAGCCATACACATAGGGGAGTGAACAGGACAGGTTTGGCTCTGTGGACATTTGGCAGTGTATCCTTCAATTATTTTTTAGTTGGCAAAAATTCCACTTAAATGGAAGCTGCATTACTTTTTATTTTTTAGTGATGTAATACCCAAAGTCAAAGCTTCAGGTGGAATATGCTAGAGTGGGATTCTCACAATTAAAGACTGAGTGAAAAAAGAATTTAATTCTACATTTACCTCCCAAACTACTCACTGGAGCGTACCATGACTGTTTAAGTTGCAGTCACTATAGTCATCCTCATGAGGGCAAATTCTTTGTAAAGCACTGGCTTGTTACACTGACTAAATTTGTACTGGAGTGCTCCACACCGTGATTGAGAGTGATTACAGAACACATAATTAACATCAATGACTGAAAATTCAGTTGTCTACAGTTGTAGATTATGGACCATCGATAATTAAAATATAATTAATGCACTAATTAAGATGTCAGCAACAGAAATATTTTGTTAATTCAATGATAGTTAATGCAGTCATGGTCCTAACGCATTTTAATTCTTAATGGAGAAACACTGATCTCTAATGGCTAATATTTCTGCTTTATGATATGTACAAAATCAGTCTTAGAGGAAGCTGTGTGCTTTCATATTTCATATAATGAGTCACCCAACAGACACATGCATAAGAGCAGAAATGTCTCATTAACAGACATATGGATCAAGGAGCATTTCTCAATTCAAACTTAACATCTTCCTGTCTGCATTTTTAACACGGTTTATTCTTTACTTGCTAACTTTATAATCCACAAAGTGTTATCAGGCTATTTCTTTAGTGTTCATGGCTAATGGGCCTTTAGCAAACTGAATAAATTATTTGGCAGTAATACTCCATTATCTAGGGTATTTTGCAAAAGTTTCTACGTTTTCACTTTTTAGAGCTGAGTGACATCAATTCTCTGAGAATAGGTTAGAAAGGAAGATCAAGAAATCTCAAAAAAGTGATGATGGCAAAAGGGAGAGTTGTAAAGAGAAAAATCCTGGTGCTGTTATCTTGCCTGCTTCCACAGAAGTGAAACAGCATTGTGCTTCCCCTGTATGCATGTCTATGTTCCAGCCTGCTACCCCTTAAGTGGTCTGCCTCATGCTGTGAGCAGTTAGTGGTAGGTTATTTATTCAACAACTGGTTGGTCCCACCTACCAAATGTTTGACACTACGGAACTACCCAAAGTTGATAAACGTTCTACCTATAAAAAGAGAATTCCCCACCAAGTTGTACAAACTAAAGCAGAAGTAAACAGAGAAAAAGTATTTTATGTTTGCCTGTATTGTATGTGGTTGACTGATGAGTATAAACTTTCAATAAAAGTGATTTAAAGAACCCCTCATAATACCTTCAGTTTTAGTACATATTGGTTGAAAAAGTGACTGACAGCTATGACAAGTTCAATAATTCTTTAAATATATTATTTTATTATTTTATTAATCATACCATTCACACATATAAAATCATCATATGTATATACAATTCTCAGTATGTACATTTGTAAGACATATACAAGTTAGTCTTCAGGGAATTCTTGATTTTTTAACGGATTCTAAGTCTCTGAAAAAAATTTAGAATCCCCCAATTCCACTCCCCTTACAGATGCCTTTGCCTAAACTAAACCAAGGGATTGAAAAATATTCACTTAGATGATCAGTCCTTTAGATTTTACAGTATTTTTTGGCAATAAGATATGAATTTTTAAAAAACCTATTGGTACATATAAATTATAGTGCAGTGGCATTGGCAGCATATAAATGGTATATACAATAAGAGCTGTAGGATTTATAAGTAGACTGTCATGGGATAGTATGGTGGAGAAGGTTTCATAGAGGAGATGGGGACAGGAACTGAGACTTGAACTATGACGAGGCATGAGCTAGGCTGCAAAGAGGCATGAGGCCATTCCAAGCAGAAAGTAAAAACGGAGAAATAGTCATGAGCATTGTACCAGGGGGGAATGTGAGGAGGCTGGCATTGTAGAAGGAAATATATACTTGAGGATTGGATTTGGATTATGGGCAGGCAGGATTGCAAAGGTAATTTGAAGTTAGAGTACTGTTAGCAAATAACAAAAAGGGACTTTCCCATGTATAACAGCCAGGAGGAAAGGGATAACATTATACCTGAAGTCGTTTATCTGGAATTCCCTTGGGGTGCATGTGTCACTCAAAAGTATGAGTGCTCTTAAGTTCTCCTTGCTCATGACCACCAGTACACCACAGAGGAAAATCTACACTATATACATTCTGGGGAGCTGAGACGTGAGAAGAAACACCAGGAACTATAAAACAGTGCTAGGTATTCTTAGACCTAATTCTAATTTTGTTACTCATCATTTTTCTGTGAAGGCACTAAGTTCAACTTTGAAAAAAAAAAGTTCCCTGTTCAACTTTTGGGGACAGAAAAGTTAAAGAGCATCCAAAAAGATGACAACTTACATCTCCTTGATACCTGCTGGATGCTGGGAGGAGACACAGGAGCATGAATAGGTAGGATAAGCTATGATCTGCTGTAGAGAACAGGCTGAGTTTGAAAGAGACAACCGGGCGCAGTGGGTCATGCCTGTAATCCCAGCACTTTGGGAGGCTGAGGTGGGCAGAACACTTGAAATCAGGAGCTCAAGACCAGCCTGGCCAACATGGCAAAACCCTGTCTCTACTAAAAATACAAAAAAAGTTAGCCAGGCATGGTGGTGGGTGCCTGTAGTCCCAGCTATTGGAGAGGCTGAAACAGGAGAATTGCTTGGAGGTTGTGGTGAGCCGAGATCGCTCCACCCAGCACTCCAGGCTGGGTGACAGAGCTGGACTTCATCTCAAAAAAGAAAAAAAGAAAAAGGAGAAACTAGGTCAGAGAAATGGACCATTTGTTTAATTGGCAGGATACCCCTTGAATTCTATAACAATTGTCCCTATAAATGACTGTTGTGCTAAGGTTTCTGAAGAGTAATGAGAGCTTTTGAGCAGGGAAATAACAGGATGAAAGGAGGAATTTAACAAGACAATTCAGGCAGAGGGGTGCAGGCATAAGGCAGAAAACAGAGGCAGGAAGAACTTATGCAGTTATTGCAAGGGTCTAGATGTCTGGAGATGAGCATGGACTGGGCAATGATAGAAATGAAGGAAAAAGAGGCAGACTCCAGAGATAATTCATAGGAGATTGGTCGGACTCAATAGCTATCCTTCCCATTACCTGGAGGAGTAAAGGCTAATTCAGAAGCTTCGAGCTTAGAGTACCAAGACTATGACAGCATTGCTGATATCCAAAGAGAAAGTAAGATGGACACATTGGGGTATAGAGAAACAAGATCTGTTTGGGTCTGAGTGTTTTGCATTTGAATAAAACAGTGGAGATACAACTGGAAATTCCTGAAGGATAGTAAGAGATTAAACATTTGGCCGTGAAGGGAAGAGTAGGTGTATTTTTAAAGACTTTCCTTCTCACCCTGGAAATATTTTTTTTTTTCCAGGACAGAATAGATTATAAAGGAGAAATTGAACAGGAGATGAGAGCATTCAAGAGCTCCATTCAAAATTATGAAACATGATTTTCTATTTGATACTATTCTTCTTTCATTTATTCATTCAACAGATGACAAAGTTCAATGATAATCATTCTTTGAAGTTTATCTACCCAAACTGGAGCCATGTCAAAAGACTCCTTGAAGAATGATTGCTGGGGAAGAAATCAATGGCATCAACAGAAAGAACAAAGACAGAAAATGTAAAAGGCAAGGGGAAAAGAAAAAGAAAGACATAAAAATTTAAGAAAAAAGAGGCAAAAGAAAACTAAAAAAATAGAGACTAGGCTTCTTTAATGGCTCCAACAGAAATTAAAAAAAAAAAAAAAAAAACTACATCTGCCTTTTGCTTTTGAATAAATAGAACATTTTACCAATAATGCCAAGATGACTCACAACACACATTTTATGTATCTTGTAATTTTCCTATACACTGCAAAGACAACATAGTTGAGCTAATACTAGCGAAGTCTTACATGTAATTATAGGATGCCTATAGCATTTCTAGTATAATATATTAATGAAAACCAGTTATTTAATTATGGCATAATATCATGAAAAGCTTTTATAGTCACTTGCTAAAACAGACCAAAAAAACATTTTCCCAAATATAGCTGAGGAACAGTAGAATCGTATCTTGATGTCAGTAGATGCCTTTGCCGGGGTGTAGAAACAGCTTCTCCTGTCATTAAAAGGACAAACTGTAATCCATCTGCCATGTATAATTTGACAATCTGCAATCTTTAAACAGTAGGAGGGAAAGACATGTCTTCCAAAATTTCCCCTGAAGGAGGAGGCTTTCAGCAGTTCCCAATTACTATCTAGGCCTAATGTCTCACTTGAGACATCTGCTCAGCAGTTAGTAGTGAAAACCTGGCATACAGGAGATCAGAGGTGTGCCTCATAATTATTGTTGGCCTTTAAATGGCCAACTTTTAGAATATGAGCCAATCACTAAGCTTCAGGTGTGCATTTTGGCAACCTTTGGTGGGGTGCCAGTATAAACCCCCAGATCTAACTTTTGTTCACATAAACTTCTGAGATGATAATCTTTCTAAAGTTCAAGGTGGAAAAATTCACTGTGAAGTGAGTCTGGGTTCAGTAATGAGCCAAAGATCTTAACACATTTCTACTGATAATAGAAGAATGAAAATCATAGAATGCCATAGATCCATGTTTCCTGCAGATAAGGATTGCTTTCTTGGGACCCATTTCAGCTCATTACATTTATTAAGTCAACTAAAAATCTTTCCTGGCACTGGTTCAGAATGCACAAAGCTGTTGTCTACAAAAACCTACTTTAGTTACCACGTGGGTGTTTTCCCAGGTAGGGGTGATTTTAAAGGGAAAATAAGAAAATGGAAAATTCCATTTTGCAGATTTAGGCTTACCTTCTGAAATCTTGAGAATGCTGGGTGAGATTTAAGACAGACTCTGTCGTTCTATCATCAGAGAAATGCAAATCAAAACCGCAATGAGATACTATCTCACACCAGTCAGAATGGCTTTTGATAAAGAGTCAAAAAATAACAGATGTTGGCAAGGCTGTGGAGAAAAGGGTGAACTGATACTCTGTTGCAATGTAAATTAGTCCAGCCACTGTGGAGGGGGCAGTTTGGAGAGTTTGGAAAGAAGTGAGAGTTGAACTGCCATTCAAACCAGCAATTCCATTACTAGATAGGTCTGGATGTCTGGAAAATAAATTGCTGTACCAAAAGGAAACATGCACCTGTATGTTCACTGCAGCACTATTCACAATAGCAAAAACGTGGAATCAACCCAGTTGCCCATCAACAGTGGAATGAATTAAAAAAATGTGGTACATGTACACCATGGAATACTATGTAGCCATAAATAAGAATAAAATCATGTCATTTGCGGCAATATGGATATAGCTGGAGGTCATTATCCTAAGTGAATGAATGTAAAAAAAGAAAACCAAACGCTGCATGCTCTTATTTATAAATGGGAGCTAAACATTGAGTACTAATGGACTTAAAGATGGGAATAATAGACACTGGGGACTACTAAAGGGTGTGAGAGAGGGAGGGGGGAAGGGCTGAGAAACTACCCATCGGGTATTATGCCCACTACCTGTGTGACAGGCTCAGTCATACTCCAAACCCCAGCACCACACAATATACCTTTGTAACAAACCTGCACATGTACGTCCTGATTCCAAAATAAAAGTTGGAAAAGAAAATAAAAAAGATGAACTCTTTGCAGAAAAGCAACGAGCTGAAAGGTACAAATAACAGTATTGTTAATGGGGAAAAGAACCAGTTGATGCTTTCTTCATGTGCAACGGTGAGATTGTTTCAAAACAAGTAGCATCTGCAAGCATCCCTTCCCAACAGCCAAAAGACCCAATCAGGGAGGGGAAAATGACAACCAAATGTAATATGGGATCCTAGATTGGACCTCAGAGAAGAAAAAGGGCACTAGTAGAAAAACAAATAAAATCTGAATAAATTCTATAGTTTAGTTAGTGGTAATTCTACTATGTTTGTGCAAGATGCCAATATTAAGGGAAGCTGGGTGAAGGGTGGATAGGATCTTTCTGTATCATCTTTGCAACACTTTTGCAAATCTAAAATTACTTTGAAATAAAAAGTTAAAAGAAAGCAGAGTCAGTTCAGTAGGAAAATTAGTCCCTGTGCTAAACACTATTTGCCAGTGGAAAGCCAAATCAACATGCGAATAGTTGTTATTTTGAACTATTATGGAATTATGGAATTATAAAATTTCAATTATTGTGGAAAATGTATTAATGCTGAATTAGGTGTTTCTTTTTTATTATTATTAATTGTATAAATGAGAGAACCAAGGCAAGAGCTGTGAAGTGACTTCCTTAGGAATTGACATTTAATTACATGGAGAGCTGGGAAAAATGCCTAGATTTTGTGCTTCTTTGTCCAATGTCACAGGCATAACCTAAGTAGCATGTTACTTCTCTGAAATCAACAACCAATTCCTAAATGAGAAACAAGCATCTAATGTGTTCAAAGCACTGTGCTAGACTCTGAAAATATATGGTGCTCTCTCTGTCCATGATGAAGTCTATATTTGTAGCTATGTCTCTTTAAAATTCTCACAGTGTAGCTGAGAAGGCATATGCACTGATAACTGAAGCTTTATAATAACCTTTATAAAACCAGTCGGCACTAAACATTTTATGTTAAATGAGCAATTTTGACGATAATTGTCAAAAATTATAGTTTAAGTAGAAATTATTATACAACAAAACTCTTTACTGAAAAAAGTTAACCTTGTGTTGTTCCTCCATATATCAGCTCTGAAAGCATACAGAACTCTGAGCTGGCAGGAGGGCAGAGGAAATACTGACTCAATTTGTTACCACTATGTCCTTCTCTGACTCCTTGCACGTAATGTAGAGGATTGTGGTGGTAACGGGAAGAGGCTTTCCATACTTCCTTTGGACAAGATGCCTTTGCCCCTTTCTGTATTTTTTCCAGGGAATGTTACCTCAAGGGAAATGTAAGGAGGTTATTCATGTCAGAAACAGTGTTCTAAAAGTACAATGCAAGTAAAAGATATTGTCTGGAAAGGGAGCAAAGAAGTTAAAGAAGGAAAGATGAACAGCCTGCGCAAATAGTGAAATGAGAGAGTTTCGTATGTTTCCATGATTTTAATTGTGGAAAACGTGGAAGGGGTGAGTTGAAGTTGTCTCATCAGTGGCTTTGATTGTAGCAATTTGTATCCTAAAAGCAAGCCTTTCTGAACAGGCAGGACCTGGCAGCAGAATTGCAGAGTACATGTTGCCAAGTGCATAAATAAGTTTATTTTCCAACTTTTGTCAACATCAAGCCATCACAATTTTCTTTTTTTTCTTCAAGAAATCAAAGGTTATTATAAAGCCTTCGTAGACCAACCCCAGCTCGCCATCAGGTCTTTATTTTCTTCAGGCTCATCTTACATTCATCCTAGGGCAGTAATTTAACATGTATTATGAGTTGCTTGACAATCCTAGATTTTTCATTCAGACACAATGTTTCCTTGAGAATTCTAGAATGATAGTCAACCTGGTATAAGATTCTGTAGTAACACATCAATTTTTCCTGAAAAGCAAATGCCAGTCTTATTATGCTCCACAGGAGATCAGATATTGTTTGAAGGCAGTGCTGGGTCTTCAGTGGCTTTGTAACCCACCCATCCCTTGACACTGTTTTCTCAACAGTAAGTGTTTAATAAATCTTAACTGACTGGCTCACTGAGTAAATGAATAAATGAGTGATTTGTTGAATGAGTTAAATAAATGATTTCACATAAATCATTGTTAACAATGCCTGGCATTTCTTCCCCAAGAGGCAGATCCTGTGATTTAAAATTATTCTATTAAATAAAAAAGGTACATACCCATTCAAAGTTAAAGGGAGAAATGAAACATTTCTAGTCAATTCAAGGTTCACATTCACTTTTGCAAAATATATTTTCAGCTTCAAATATCCAGTGTTCCATGTTCCAGGCACTTAGTTTTGAATAATTAAACCTGGCCAAATAACCACCTGGTCTCAGGTCTCATCCTGGCATTCTTGTTTCCCCTCCCGTTCTCCTTTCCCTCCTTCCTGTGGGCCTTTGTTCATTCTGTTGCTGCTTCCTGGAATGTCCTTTCTCAACATGATCAACCGCAAACTCCAGCCCATGTTCCAACATCTAGGGCACATCCAACCTCCGCTCCCCTAATTATTGTTGGCAAATGTGTTCTGCTTTCCCTTAGCCTTATAAGATTCTCTCAAGAAAATGAGTGAGGGTTCAGTGATGTATGCTCACTTAGAAAACTGACATACATTTGGTACTTCAGTAATTCCTCTCCTTGCCTCAGCACTAGCCCCAGGACCTTCTTCCCATTCCTGCAACATGGATCATGTGCTCCTAGCTCTGATTCTGTTTTCTCTGCCTGGAAAACTCTTCCCCACATCACCTTGTGGCTTGCTCTCTCCTTTTGTTCAGGTCTCTGCTCAGGTGAGACCCTATTGGTGAGGGTTTACCTGCCAACCCTTCATCTTCATATGAAGAATGGCCTTGTGTTACTTACTGCTGAATTCCCTGACACATAATGGGCACCCAATAAACATTTATTAAATATGTAGAGTAATAAAATAATACATTTTCTTTAATTCGTGAGGCATATTAGCATATTAAATGATCAAAGGAAAGAAATATCATGAACTTACTTGCCCATGCTAGACCACACTTTCAGAAAGACAGCTGCAAGGTGTACAGACTGCTCCCTCCTCTGAACTACGACACAGTTTGTCAGAAGTGGCATATAGTTTACTGTCATGTTCATTAATTAATTAATGGGTATTATTTCATCATTTCTCCTCCCTCCAACTAGCTTTGAGCTTCCTTGAGTTCAGAGACCACAACAAACATTCTTCTGCATCTTTACAGAGCTTAACAAAGTGCAAGATGCACAGCAAACCCTCACTCAGCCGATTGCTGATTGGCAGAGCTTTCTCAGTTGTGATAAAGCAGAGTTGAGCAGATTGATGGAGAGTACACTCTCCTATTAGAAACGTTGAGCTTTAAAGATAAAATTAATGCTAAATTAGCATTAATAAGAAATTTCTGAAAGAAAATGTTTCCTTCTTTTTTTTTTTTTTTTGAGACAAAGTCTAGCTCTGTTGCCCAGGCTGGAGTGCAGTGGCGTGATCTCTGATCTCTGCGATCACTGCAACCTCTGCTTCCGGGGTTCAAGCAATTCTCCTGCCTCAGCCTCCCAAGTAGCTGGGACTACAGGAATGTGCCACCATGCCTGGCTAATTTTTGTATTTTTAGTAGAGACAGGGTTTCATCTCTCCTATTAGAAACGTTGAGCTTTAAAAATAAAATTAATGCTAAATTATCATTAATAAGAAATTTCTGAAAGAAAATGTTTCCTTTTTTTTTTTTTTGAGACAGAGTCTAGCTCTGTTGCCCAGGTTGGAATGCAGTGGCGTGATCTCTGCGCTCACTGCAACCTCTGCTTCTGGGGTTGAAGCAATTCTCCTGCCTCAGCCTCCCAAGTAGCTGGGACTACAGGTACATGCCACCATGCCTGGCTAATTTTTGTATTTTTAGTAGAGACAGGGTTTCATCATGTCGGCCAGGCTGGTCTCAAACTCCTAATCTCAGGTGACCCACCTGCCTTGGCCTCCCAAAGTGCTGGGATTACAGATGTGAGCCACTGCACCTGGCCAGGAAAATATTTACTTTTCTTTGTAACCAAGTATGTGTTGTCACACCCAATTCGAATATGGATATAGTTTGCTTGGAGTTTAATTTTGTTGGTTTAATAGTGGAAAGATATATATATATATATATATGCATACCATCAAAATGAAAAGAAAATGAAAGGAAAAGCATAAATTCTATAGACAGATTTTCAAATGCTTCTGTGGAAAATGACTTTATTGATTGTTTTAGATATGAAGATTGGACAAAGTATCCAGAACTTTGCCTCAGAAAACTTAGACAAAGCCAAAACATTTTAATAAAACCTTATTAAAATGTTATTCAAAATGGATATAAAATCATCATGATTTTAAGGAAGTACTGTTTTTCAGATTTGAAGATACTGAAATGGCCTTGTTTCTTTTGAGAAGAGATGGATGAGATGGGTACAAGAGTTTCTTTTTCCTAGGAAAAGCACACACAAGAATGGCTCAGCCATAAACATCTGGTGAGTCAACACTGGACTTTTATGAGAATTCTGGTCTTTTCTTTCTTAGGGCAATGACTCAACTAACTGCCCAAGGGACACATGAAGTACAATATTTTTATGACAGTATTTTTTATTCTTTTGTAGTGGTCACTAAAGAAAAAATTGTTTCTTGGAAACATAGACTCACAGGGCTATGTTTAAAAGATACAAACTGCTACTGAGTCTTGTTTTTATTCTCATTTTAAAATTTACATAAACTGAATTTGTTTCCCTCAAGTAAATGTAAAATAATTTTTTGACATTTAAATACCATCAATATACTTTAAAAATATTTTAAAATTAAGAGTTATTATAAATTTTAAACTTGGCAATAGTCATAGATACATGTCAAAACCAAAATAGAAAAAGTTAAAGAATATACCTTCAAGAACATGAAGGCATGAACAAACATGTATTAGGATTGTTATAATAAGAGTTCCTGTTATGATTTATAAATATGCTTGTGAAAGTACTTAGGTAGGAGACATTTAAGCTATCATAATTCAGGAAAGGTAAATTACAGAGTAAAGGTGTTTGTATGTCTTATCTATTACAACCCTTTTTGCTTTTCTTTTGACATGCTACCAAAAATATTAATTACAAAATGACTTCTGTAGGACTTCTAATATTGATTGTGTCTGTATCTAGATACTCTATCAAAAGAAAGAGATGCAATGTAGGTAGAAGCCTTCATCTTTTGAAGTAACAGACAAACTGGAATTTAAGCATTCCAAACGCTAGAGTATTGTTTAATCTGGTATTGCCCAAGTTGTGCTCCAAGTTGGTAGAGGGATGTGAGTGATGGTAAGGCTGAGGTGATATGCCATGAGTTGGAACTGGAGCATCCTCACTCAAGAAGACAGGTGAAGAGGAGACAGACCAAAGTCATGAACAAGTAGATTGAGGCTGAAGACCAAGGTAAATCTCCAGAGACGAGAGAGCAAGAGACACAGGGGAGGACAGAGGGAGGGCTGGGGCGGCATGCTCTCTGACTTTCATGAGCTTTACTTGGATGCGTAATGGATGGGTAGACTTCAGGGACCACAGAGAGTGCTGAAAAATGTGACTGTGGACAAGTCATTGCACTCCCTGGCCTCTGTAATAAAGAATGAAAAGAGCTCTGTGGTGCTCAGGGAGTGCGGCTGCAGGAGACACCACACAGTCACCTGGAAAACAGACTCCGGCTCTGTCCCCCGCTGACCTGCCCTATCCACACACACTCTGATCACATTTCAAGCTATATCCCCAACATATAACTTTCTTTTCTGGCCTGTTATGCTTCTCTCTCAGTTTGTTCCCTTTTTATTTCCATCTGCTTTCCCCAGTCTCTCTAGAATACTGGTGAATAGTTATCTGTCTAGTTCACTCAGAGTTTACCTCATTCAGTCATCACAACAATTCAGTGAAGCATTTCCTTCCCTGCTTTGCAGATGGGAAAAAGTGTGGCAACTTGCTCCCTCAAACCATAATCTACAAAGTAACTGGCACCAGTTATGTTGTCAATTGTGTTGTAAAAGACAAATAAATAAAAATCTACCATGATTGTCCCACTCATAAGTAGCCACTGTTGATACCTGGTGTGGAAATACATATGTATATCTGAAATTGGGATCAAATTGTTTTTGTAGTCCCCATCCCAGAATAACATATTACATGTATTTTTTTTTCTCATTTCAATCAGAACTCTTTATGGTCACTTTAGAAAGTGCTCATATTTTTCATTCTCTTTTGTTTTTGAAAAGATGGGGTCTCACTAGGTTGGCCAGGCTGGTCTCAAACTCCTGGCCTCAAGCAATCCTCCCTCCTCAGTGTCTCAAAGTGCTGGGATTATAGGTGTGAGCCACTGTGCCCAGCCCTATTTTTTATTTTTATCCCATTTCCCTACACCCCCTAAACTATCAAGGTAAGATTATCACCAGCTGCTAGATTCTTCTCTGAGCCACTTTAGGACAATGTATTAGTCTGTTCTCACGCTGTTATAAAGACAAACCTGAGACTGGGTAATTGATAAGGAAAGAGATTTAAGGACTCACAGTTCCACATGGCTTAGGAGGACTCACAATCATAGTGAAAAGCAAAAGAGAAGCAAAGGCATGTCTAACATGGTGGCTGGCAAGAGGGCATGTGCAGGGGAATTCCCCTTTATGAACTCATTAGATCTCCTGAGACTTATTCACTACCACAGGAACAGTATGGGGGAAACCGCCCCCATGATTCAATTTCTCCACTTGGCCCCGCCCTTGACACATGGGGATTATTACAATTCAAGGTGAGATTTGGGTGGGGACACAGCCAAACCATGTCACACAGTCTCCACTGTTACGAAGTTTGGCCTCAAAGAGGAGGTTCCTATGACATATTCTAAGATAACAAATAGAAGCACTTTTATACATTTAGTTACCTCTATGATATCTGTGAGCTCACAGATATTCATGGGTTTCAGTCTAAGAGGAAGGAGAATATTGAAAAATGATTTAGTTTATCAACACAAAATATCTTTGGAGAAAAGCAAAGGAAACTTCAGGAAGAAATTCAAACTTTTAGCAAATTTTGATTTACACACTCCAATCAAAGGGCAACTTTTGTCTCCACGAATCTGTGCTGTCTGGTTTGTCCATTCCCAGCTAGCTTTTTGCCTTAATTTGGATAAGTCTAAGTGCAGCTTTATCAATCCAGGCCTGTTTCTTGGTGCTGTCACGAACAGTTGGCTCTGGCACACATAATGACACTTGGAAGGAAAGTCTTATTTTAACAACGCTGTTGACTTTCCAACTTCTGCGTTACCACAGTCATCAGAGTCCAATTTACTCTTCAGGGGCCCTAATCATTCTATACCTGAACTGGACAGAAAGAAAATAATTTGTTCACTTAACAGAAAGAAAGTCTATACTCCCAAAACAAAATGAGTCAGACAGTGATCTTTGAATTAACAGGCTCTGCTGACGGACTATTTTCCCCACTTTTCATCAGTCTGGTGACAGTGGACTCTGGACAGAGATAAATGAGAGGTCAAGCTACCCTTCATTTTTCCAGAGGATTATTTCACCCACAGATAAGGCACGAAGAAGGAAGTAATAGTCAAGACCAGCCTGTGAGAAAACAACAAAAAAAGGATAACTAACAAAAGCCCCATTCTCCAGCTCTTGCCCCGGCCAGCGCTTCAGCACGGTGAGCACTCCCACTATAGCAAGCAGAGTTTGTTATTTTTTTCAGTGAGGGGGGTAATAACCCAACAAAGCTAATAGGTGGCAAGGGTGATTGTGCCTCAAGTATTAGATGCTTGTGTTACTTTTCCTAACTTTATAGCTGGTGTTAGAATACCAAAAGAAAATTTTTAAAAAGTTTCTGCACCCAGTTTTTTCATAGTACAGAAAGCCTGGCACCATACAAAAGAAGGTATGCTAAAATATATTTACTGACTGGTTTTAAATGAAGAGAAGAGTGATAAACTTCATAATGTCATTGTGAGATTTAAGTTTTCATTCTCCGTTTTGAGGAAGGAAAATAACTTTCCAAATGCTATTATTATTCTTAGGATATATTGAGGAAACAAGAAGGGTTATCATGATAATAAGTAAAAAGCAAACAAAGATACACATGAACTTGTTACAGACTTTCTTATTGTTAAATTTGATTTCATCAACAATAAGAAAGAAGTAAGTCTACTTCCTTTTTGAGTCACTGTCAAACTTTATTCTACTATGGAAGATAGTTTTTAGATTCTTTGAATTTTCTTAGGGAAATCCTAATCCTAATATATAAAGGACTTGAACAGTTGTCATTTCTATTTCTCCAATTATTTTAAATTTATGGTTCAAAGCAACATAGAGACAGGATGAGTTTTTAGAGACTTAGCACTCCTTAAGGTTGCCAAATTAAACTCAGCAATTAGAATTACTACTGATAAAACTACATTTAAATAGGCACATCAATTAATGTATTTTCTCTAGGAAGTACTTGAGAAAACAGAATGCACAAATGGCTTACACGCTGCAGAATAAAAAAGGTACATGAGAATCAAAAGATTTATCTGATAATGACTTCTGTTTATGTGGATGTTATAGACATTACATGCAAACCGGCTCATTTTCACAAGGTGCATAGTGAAAAATGCTTTTCATGATATTTCAAGAATAATTCTACCTAGGTTTTATGCTTATCTCTTGTTTAGAGGTTCAAATTAAATAGTTTCACTCTGTAGACTGTAGAGTGCTATGCAAATGGCAGTAGAGCAGCTTCAGAACCACTTCTAACTGTAACATTAAGGCAAACTGATGAGCACGCACATCTATTTGTCTACAATTTGTTTATAGTTCTGATTATGCAGCTATGGGCTCTTTCATACCCACGTTATTTTGCCCCACAACCTTCCTCCTATGTCCCCTGGAACTTTTTCTCCATGGTTAACGTCATCTCTCACAGGCTCAAACACTTCTTATGCTCCCTTTTTATCTTCCCCTTAACTAAGCCTTGTCTCACCCCTGAAGGAAGAGCTTCATCCCTTTCCAGTGAAGCCTGCTTGCCCTGTATGATGCAGGGTCAAAGTATGAGGTGCTCCTCAACTACCCAATCCACCGGTGCATCATGAGTCCTCAACATCCATGTAAACCACTTTTCCTATAAAGAGCAGATGGTAAATATTTTAGGTTTATGGACCATAAGTCTCTGATGCAATTGCTGAACTCTGTCATTGTAGCATGAATGCAGCTGTAGACAATATGTACATAAATGGACATGGCTGTGTTCCCATAATGCCTTATTTTAAAAAATAGGCAATTGACAAGTGAATCATAGTTTGCTGATTCCTGCGATATGTAAATGCATAAATAAAATTGTGACATACTCACAATGAGATACTATACAGCAATGGGTATAAGTGAGCTACAACTACATGTAGCAAAATGGGTGAATCTTACAAACCATTGAGTGAAGAAAACCAGAGGAAAACAATACATACTATTTGATTCCATAATAGTGCAAAGATAGTTGAAACGAATTTATGATATTAGAAATGTGGAGGGGGTTATCCCCTGGAGGGGGAGGTAGGAACTGCATGAAAGCATGAGGAGGCCTTCACAGTACTGGAATGCCCTATTTCTTGACTTGAGTCCTATTATGCAGATGTTCGGTTTGTAAAACTTCAGCTAGCAGAATGGTTGTAGTATGTACATTTTTATGTATGTATATTATACTTCAATTAAAATATCATCTATTGTATACTGTGGGGAATACATTTTAAAAAATTATTGGAGTTCGACTAAAATTCATGCAAAGAGCTCCAGATGGAAGCACAGTCTCCTAGAAAGAGCTATTCTCATGACAGAGACTATTTTTCTTTTTGCAGATGCAAAACTCTTCATAATATATTAATAATATAAACTACCCTTAAAATGCAGTGGCCTGCAAATATAATAAAAATAACCAAGTGTGTTTTGATGTCTCATTCTTTTCTGAAACTACTCTTTAACTGGTATCTCGGGACAACTTTAAGCATGAGAACAAACCCATTTGAAAGGAACACTTTGGCTTCATGGTTCTCATAGAATTCTAATGAGGAATGGGTCATTTTCTGGCACTAGGTAAGTGATTCTGACATAACCTGGACCTGTATAATCATATGATTAGAGCATTTAGGGAGAAAATGTATCACAGAAAATGATAGTAATAATAATTTATCAGTAATAAAGTAAATATGCATAGAGAACTTTAGAAGTGTTTTTTGTCGATGAATTCTTTTTCAGTCTTACCGTCACTATCTGAGCCTCACTGTTGTATACCTAGATTACTGCATTAATGTTTTTTCATTCTGGTCACTTCTGTGCTGCTTTCTCCTACCCTTTTAAATCCAATTTCACAACATTGCCAAAATGAATCTCCGAAAAGACCACAATTTGTTAATGTCATTACTCTTATCAAAAGCTATGAGGTTCCCTATTTTCTATCAGAATGAAGGCCTAACACTAAACTGGCCTTCAGTAGCCACTACTGACCCACAATGTATGTGCTCTCTAAACTAGCCACCTTTTGCTACCTTTTGCCTTATTCATGAATCTGAATGTCATAAACTCATCAGTCCTACTCCTCCTTCCAGGGCCAGCTCTGTTGCCACCTCATCTGAGAAGCTTTAGAGCATCATCCCAGAGGTAGTTGTATGCTCCTTCCTTCCAGTTAGTGCTATGTGAACTAACTGTAACTAACTGTATACACAGTTATTTCGATATGTCTTAAATCTCCAATTCAATTGTTAGGCTCTTATTAAAAATATCCTATTTTTCTCTTCAATGCAATATACAACTTTATACATTGTAGGTACTCAGAAAATATTAATTTAATAGATGAAAAATTAGCAAATTAAAGGAAACTATATTAAGCAATAAAACTGTATTTATATGAAAAAAATTTTATACAAACTCTAGAATTGTGATAGTCTATCAGAGAATACTCAAAGTAAATGATGCTATTACTCGTTATTGATACTTTTATAGAGGAAGCCAAAGGCTGCTACATTCTTTAAATTTTTATCCTGCTTTAGTTTGCTCTGAGAGTGTTGCCTTTAACATACAAAATGCATTTTCAGTGCGCAGGATTTCAAGTTTCTTTCAAATCGGTAGCCTTACAATTATGGATTTTAATGAGGTATATATTTTGGAAGCTTAAACAGATAATTTCAATGCATAGTGTAACACTGAAGAGCCCAGAAGAGGAAAAGATTAATTCTGCCTCCTAGAAAGATGTGGGTGCTGAATAAAAGAAGTCATGAAACACTTCACCAAGGTGGAGACACAAGTTAGGTGTTGGGGAATGAACAGGAGTGTGTCAGGGGAATGAAGCTTAGAAATGCAGTCTCAGCAGAAAAAAGAGAAAGGCTATTACTCGGAGGAAATACACATAAAATTCTAAATCCTTAACCTGTTCTTCCGTGATCTATCTTGTACCAGTCTCTTCAGCCTTCTCTCTCTTCCTTTTGCTCCAGCAATATTGATCACTTGCAGTTCCTTACCTGCAATTACATTATTTATGACTTCTGTTTAGAAAATTAGAACATGCACAAACCAAGAAAACATCTCAGACAAGGTTTGAGAGGTTCCAGAACCTCTAGCTGAGCAAATTGGTAGTTTTCTCTTGCATGAAGGCAGTCTGTAAAGAGGAGAGGTGATTGTTTTATCAAAAGCCCTACTGAACAACAACAAAAATCCACACAACATACCAAAGAAACTACAAAACATGGCACAACCAAAGGAACAAAATACAGCTCAGAAATGGGCCCTAAAGAAACAGATCTTTGAACTACCTGAAAACTTAAAGTAACTATATTAAAGATGCTTAATAAGCTAAAAGAGAACAAAGACAAGTAAACAAAATAAAGATGCATAAACAAAATGAGACTATCAACAATGAAATAGAAACTGTAAAAAAGAACCAAACAGAAATTCTGACACTGAATAACACTATAACAACATTGAAAAATTAACCAGAAAATCCAACAGCGGACTTAGGCAGAAGAAAGAAAGAATCGATGAGTATGAAGGCAGGTCATTTGAAATCATTAAGTCAGAGGAGCAAAAGGAAAAAAGAATGCATAAAAGTGAAGAGAGCCTAAGGGATTTATGCAGTATCATCAAATAAAAAATATTTGCAATTTGGAAGTCCAAGAAAAAGATTAAAAAAGAGGCACTGAGCCTATGGGAAAAAAATAATGGCCAAAAAGTTCCCAAATTTGAGTAAAGAAATGGGCATACAAATTCAAGAACTTCAATGTAATCCAACTATGGTAAATCCAAAGAAACCCACACCAAGATATGTTATATTTAAATTGTTGGAAGTCAGAGACAAAACGAGACTCTTGAAAGCAGCAAGAGAATGTGACTCATCACATACGAGGGAACCTCTATAAAATTATCAGTGGATTTCTCAGCAGAAACCTGGCAGGCTACACGGCAGTGAGACGATACATTCAACATGATGGTAGGGAGGCGGGGGAAACAGTCAAACGAGAATACCATGAACAGCAAATTTTTTCTTTAAAAATGAAGGCAAAATTAAGACTTTTCCAGATAAATAAAAGTTGAAGGAGGTCATTCCCACTAGACCCGCTTTATAAGAAATGCTGAAGGGAGTCCATATGTTGAAACAAAGGGATACTAGCAAGCAACAGAAAGAAAGCCATATAAAAATAGAAAGTTTTATGCTAAAGGTAAATACATGGACAGATACAGTAATCTGTATTATTGTATTTTTGGTGCATAAATCCACTTTTAATTCTTGTATAGAATTTGAAAGACAAAAGCATAAAAGCTATGAATATCTGTTAATAAACGTGTAATATATAAAGATATAATATGTGATATTAATAACATAAGATGTGTGTGGGGGAACAACAGTACGCAAAAGGAAATGAGAAAGAAATCAATGTATGACACTACAAGGAATGAACAAAACACAAGGCAATAAGAAAGAAAAGGGAAAAAGGCCAAAAGACATACAGAAAACAATTAACAGAATGGTAATTAGTGAGCCCTTCCCTGTCAGCAATTACATTAAATGTAAATTGGTTAAACTCCCAAATGGAAAGGCATAGATAGGCTAAGATTTCTCTTTTTAGAACAGCAACAACAACAACAACAAAATAAATAAATAAAAAAGCCAGAATTTATGCACTGTCTACAAGAGGCTTACTTTAGACCTAATGATATACATAAACTGAAAGTCAAGAGATGAAGAAAGATAATCCATATGAATGGTTAACCAACAGATAAAATTGACTTTAAGTCAAAACTGTTACAAGAGACAAATAAGGACATTATATAATGACAAAGACATCAATTCACCAAGAAGATGTAGCAATTATAAATATATGTACACCAAAAATTAGAGCTTCCAAATATATGAAGCATACATCAATAGAATTGAAGGAAGACACAGTGACACAATAACAGTAGAAGATGTCAATGGTCAATGTCCACTTTAAATAAAGAATAGAACAACCAAACAGAAGACCAAAGAGTAAGCAGAGGACTTAAACTATATACCATTTGGACTTACCAGACACAAAGAGCACACTCCATCAACAATGGCAGAATATGCATTCTTCTCATGTGTACAGGGAACATCCTTCAGCATAGACTACACATTGGGCCACAAGGACATTTTAGCAAATTTAAAAATATAGAAATTATACAAAGTATTTTTTTGATTATGATAGAATGAAACTAGAAATCAGTGGCAGAAGAAAAACTGGAAAATCTACAAATACATGAAAGTTAAGCAACATGACATCATCTTAAGTATTCAATGGGTGAAAGAAGAAATCAAAGAGAAATTACAAAATGCCTTGAGAAAAAGGAAAATAAAAACACAACATAGCAAAACTTAGGTAATGCAGTAAAAGCAGTGTGAAGAGGGAAATTTATAGCTGTAAATGTTGCTATTAAAAAAGAGAAATATTTAAAATCAACAACCCGTCTTCACACTTCAAGGAACTAGAAAAGCAGCAAACTAAATCTGAAGTTAGCATAAAGAAATAGTAAAGATTACAATAGAGATAAATGAAATAGAGAATTGAAAAACAAAAATAAACAATGAAATGGAATGTTAATTTTTGAGATGATCAACAAAATTGACATCCTTAGTTACATTAACTAAGAAAAAAAGAGAGAAGAGTCAAACATATAAAATCAAAAATGAAAGAGAGACATCATTACTGATGGCACTGAAACAAACCTCCCAAGAAAGAAAAGCCAGAACCAGATGGTTTCATCGAAGAATTTTCCCCAACATTTAATGAAGAGTCAGTAATAATCTTCTTTAAAATCTTTTTAAAAATTGAAGAGAACACTTCCCAAATAATTCTATGACACCATCTTTACCCTGATACCAATGACATAAAAAAATAAAATTACTGATGAAAATCTCTTATAAATATTGATGCAAAAATCCTCACCAAAACACCAGTAAACCAAATTCTACAGCACATGAATAGGATTATAAACCATGACAAAGCGGGATTTATTCCTGAAATGCAAGGAAGAGTCAACACACAAAAATTGATCAATGTAATACATCACATTTACAGAATGAATAACAAAAGCTACTTAATTATCTCAATTGATACAGAAAAAGTATTTGACAAGATTCAGCACCTTTATAATGTTAAAAACACAAACTAGGAATAGAAGGAAACTATCTCAACATAATAAAGTCCATATATGAAAACCCACAGTTAATATACTCAATGGTAAAAGACTGAAAGGTTTTCCTTTAAGATTAAAGACATGACAAGAAAGCTGCATGTATATTAGATATAGAACTGAAAGCACTAGCCAGAATAGTTAGGAAGAAAAGGAAATAAAAGACATTCAAATTTGAAAATAAGCATTAAAATTATCTCTGTTCACAGATTACATAATCTTAGAAAACCTTAGAAAACATGCATAAAAAACTGTCAGAACTATTAAACAAATTTAGCAAGGTTGCAAGATACAAAATCAAAACACAAAAATCAGTTGCATTTCTTATGGTAACAATAAACAATCCATAGAGAAAATTAAGAAAACAATTCCATTTGTGACAGCACCAAAAAATAAAATACTTAGGAATAAACATAACCAAGGAGGTGAAAAATTTGCACACTGACAACTACAAAATATTCCTGAAAGAAATAAAAGCAGATACAAATAAATGGCAAGGCATTCTATGTTCATGGATTAGAAGACTTAATATTGTTAAGATGACCATATTGTCCAAAGTGACCTACAGATTCAACCACAGTCTGTATCAAAATCCCAGCAATATTTCTTTTTCAGAAATAGAAAAACCTATAAAAAAATGTGAAATTTTAAGAGACCCAGAATAGTCTGAACAATATTGAAAGATCAAAAAAATCGGAAGTGTGATACTTCTTGTTTTCAAAACATATTACAAAACTATAGTAATCAAAACATTGTAGTACTGGTATAAAGATAGATATATAGTCCACTGGAATAGAATAAAAAGCCAGACAAGGGTTCCAAGTTCACTCAATGGGGAAAGGACAGTCTCTTCAACAAATAGTGTTGGGAAAACTGGATATCCTCATGTAAAAGTTAGATTTTTACACCACATTCAAAAATTAACTCAAAATAAATTAAGGACCTAAATAAAAACCAAACTATAAAACTCCTAGAAGAAATCATGATGACAAAACTTCATAAATTTGAATTTGGCAGTGATTTCTTAGACATTACATCAAAAGTATAGGCAACAAAACAAAAATAGACAACTTGGACTATATCAGACTTAAAAACTTCTGTGCACCAAGGAGCATTGTCAATACAGTAAAACGTCAACCTACAGAATGGGAGAAATATTTGCAAATCATATTTCTCATTAGTAGTTCATATTGAGAATTTATTTTTAAAAACTTCCTGTAACCGAAAAATGACAAGAAAATATTCACAAATAATCCAATTAAAAAATTGGCAAAGGACTTAAATAAACATTACTCCAAAGATGATATTTAAATAGCCAACAAACTTATGAAAATAAGCTCAACATCACTAGTCATTAGAAAAATGCAAATCAAAACTACAGTGAGATATCACTCCCTACCCATCAAAATGGCTACTATCAAAAAAAAAAAAAAATAACAAGTGTTAGGGAGGATGTGGAGAAACTGGAACTCTTGTACAACGTTGATTGGATTGTAAAATAGTGCAATTGCTATGAAAATCAGCATGACAGTTTCTCAAAAAAGCGAAAATAGAACTACCATATGACTCAGCAGTCCCACTTCTGGGTATATTTCCAAAAGGATTAAAAGCAGGATCTCAAAGATATTTTTGCACTCCTATGTTTATTGCAGTGTTATTCACAATAGCCAAAGGTGGAAACAAGCTAAATGCTTATTGGCAGGTGAATGGATAAAGAAAATGTGGTATATATATATATACAATGAAATACTATTAATTCTTAAAACGGAAGGGAATCTTGTCACATGCTACAGTACGGATGAACCTTAAGGACATTATAGTGAATTAAGCCAGTCATGAAAAGACAAATATTGTATGATTTCACTTATATGAGGTGTCTAAAGTAGTCAAATTTATAGAAACAGAAGGTAGCATGGTGGTTACCAGGGGATGGGGAGAGGTGTGAAATGGAAAGGTTTTGTTAAATGGGTACAGAGTTTCAATGTGCAAGATGAAAAATTTCTGGAGATTTGTTGCACAACAATGGGAATATAGTTAACACTATCAAAGTGTGCACTTAAAAATGGTCAAGATGGTAAATTTTGTTATGTGTTTCCTATCGCAGTTTTAAAATCCACAAAACAAACAAAACAAAAATCTGATTGAGAAATAGGTGCTGGGAGGTCAGAGCCCAAGCAGCAACATGTTGCCTAATTGTGCTTCTGCCCTTGTTACTCTTGGTCTCTGTGGTTTTCCATTTTCCCATCTTCTGCTGGGAGAGTATAATTATTCTTAGATACCTGTGCTTGTATCTGTCAAGGACCTAATGAAGAATGCATGCTTCCCAGAAGGACAAGTAGTTCAACTTTAGAATAGAATCTACTCCTTTTCAGGGTTTGTATCTCTGGTAACATGAGATCTACACAGTCATTGATCATGTTATCCCCGAAAGAACAATTGACCATAATAATCATAATAATTGTTATCATGTATAAAGTGAGTAATGTGTGCCAGGTACTTAGAATAAGGTAGTAACTTATTTAATGCCTACAACAATATGTGAGGTTGATGTTATTGTTATCTCCATCTTACAGATGGGGAAACTAAGCAAGTTTCATAATGTCAGAGGAGACCCTAAAACAGACGTCTGATGAATGGTAATAAATTGTGTGTGTGTGTTTCTTATTAGTCTAATGAATTATTCATTTTGATCAAAAAGAAAAAAATAGTTTGCAGGGAGTCTGCATTCAACAAATATTTCTTGTTCACATTCTATATGGGGGAGAGAGAGGAGTGGGAGAGTTGGTGAAAGGGAAGGAAATCCTGTGCTGTTATATATAAAAATTGATTTAATAAATTCTTCTCCTTTCCACCTGAATGAGGTCAGCCAAAATTTGGTAAAAGTGTCCCATTAGTAGGAGGGAACAAGATAATGATGAGGAACAGGCCTGGGCAGAGTGTCATGGTAAGAGTTTCATGTAATTCTGTGGAGACAATAATTGGAGGAGGAATCCAGTCGTTTCAATTAGAAATATTTGAGTCTATTGCAATTACTGAAAAGATACAAATATATACCAACTTTCCACCTGGTTTTAATTACTATACCTGCACAATGGAGTGTCCGTAATAGATTTTCACACAAATACAGTAAAAGGAAAGAGGATAAAGAAGGACATTGTTCCAAATGACTTTAATCAAACTGGTTAGACTGTGTCTCCCAGAGGGGTAAAGCATTTCCAGAAATAAGGTAGCAATACTTAGAAAACAAAGTGATTGTGTTAGACCCTATAGAATCATTTGGTGACGGTTTAGTGTACAAAATTCTTACTTTGCCCCTGAAGAGTATTTTTGGTCATGAAGAAACTCCTTTCAGTACAAAAGTATACTTAATATGCTACAGACAGAATTTCACGGAACAGAAATGCAAAGTGTTAATTACTTTGGAAATCTATATTGTAGTATTAAGTAATGGGAATTTGCTTATTCATGGTTAGAGAATATTCAATTAATCTTTTAAGTTTATATATTCACTGTAGGTGGCAGAGTAAAAACTTCATAGAGCATTCATCTGATCTAATATATATATATTATTTATAAACTCTTATGAATACCATATTTTGCCTTTTGATGTAAACAGCCAGATGTTACCCTTATGGAGTAATTGAAAATTATTAAAATATGCTTTTAGCTCATTTCATCAAATAAATACATTTCTCAATTTAAAAAGAAACTTAAATTGAGACAAGAAAAAGGGCAAGACATGTAGTTAAAACACTTTTTAAAAAACTGCTGTGGATCCCAAATGTCTCAAATGTTGAAATATAACAAAAATTATTCAGGATGCCTAAGGAATGAACATATAAACAATGTGTAGCCAATAGTGTAGCACCACCAGAATAATGAGAGTTTTATATAATCCAGATTTCCAGAAGTAAATGGGATTTAACTATTTTGTGAAAATCATGGTACAATTAACCAATCACGAGAATGTCTAATACTTTTCATGTACTAAAAATGAGTATCATTTTAAAAGACTTTCCTTTTCAAAGAGAAGCTTTCATAAATAGACACTTAGGGCTATATTCTTTCTTAACATGCACTCTGAAGTACTATTAGCATAATGGGAATTTTACACAACCACTAAGGAAAACATATCTCATTTGGGAGTCTGATTTCCAGTTTAGATCCATGGTAATATTGCACCTGGTATCTTTAAATAAAATAGGGAGTTTATGCATACCGAAGGTGGTAATAAATTATATGCTAAACAGTCATTCTTAAGAGATGAGAACTAATCCCTTAGGGTTTTGACTGCGTTAAAATTGAAAGCAAGAAAAGATACAAACCAGCAAACAGAAAGCTTATGGCTAGTCTTGTGAAGTATTCAAATCTCAGATTTTTGGTTTTACATGACAATGTAGAAGATAAACATAGAGATAAAAAATTGTTTTAAACTCTTATCTTTCTCTAACAACGAAGTATACATCGTTGACAATCACATGAATACTATTAACTTTTTTCCTTTGCCAATGAATACAGAGGTTGCATAATGAAGGTGGTAATCATTTCTTGCACTGCCCTGGTGATGAACTGTATAGTGTCTGAACGAAATAGGGAAAAATAGCCAAGTCCAGTTATTTGAGTTCAGCAGCTTCTAAATGTGTGCGTGTGTGTGTGATGAATATTCATTGGAATGACAGTTGTGATACATTTATTAGTAAATGATGATTTTTTTCTTGGCATAGGTAATTTTCATGAGTCCAGTTCATGGGCTATTCATTTGCACTTAGAAGCACATCTTCATGTGATGCCACATCAGATCATTGATGGCTAAATATTTTAGTCTGTCTCTCTCATCTTGATGTTTTTCACACACTATTGTTCATCTTTTCACCTCTTAGGTTATAATTGTTGTATTCCTAGGTTCTTGCATGGTTTATAGCAGCAGCATTCCCCATGGGGATGCAGCCAGAATCTAATGTGTCATGATCAGCAGTGATATGACAAAGATGATTTATTATGAATAACATGGTACTAAGGTTCATGGAAAGTATTTTTTTTTAAAAAAAAGACTATCCTTATAATATCACCCATTGTCTCAATCACATTGGATTTGGAGTTACATACGTGTTCTTGTGGAAGTAAGCATTATCTCAATATATCCATGAGGATGTGTTAGACGTCCTCCTTTATCAGTGCCCTTCTGGAAAATATAATTGAAAAATCTGATTTATAAAATGCCACAGTGAAGAGATGCTGGCCAAAGGGTACAAACTTTCAATTATGGAAAAAATAAATTCTGGAGACCCAATGTATAGTATGATGACTATAATTAATAATGTATAGTTGAGATTTGCTAAAAGAGTAGATCTTAAATAACTTGATTTTGGTAAACATTTTACCACATATAAATATAGCAAAACATCATATGTACACCTAAAATATACACAACTTTTGTCAATTATACCTCCATAATCTTTTTTCCTGGAAAAAAGGAAAATCCCAAAGTAACCAGATGAAGTGGTTTGAGATTTAACCAGGCAATCTATCACATTTCGTATTATTGTCCTCAATAAAATGGTGATGTATTCTTTGAAATGACAGTTCAGGTGCTCCACGAATACATCATAAGCTTCAAGGGCTTAAATGGTCCATCTGCTCCAATTGCCCCAGAAGAAATAAGCTCAGAACCATTACATGTAGAATAGCAATGCACTGGTCTCCACTTTTGCCACTGAAAAATAATGACAAAAATAAGTAACAACTTTTCTTTATTGAACATGTATCATGCTGAAACTATGTATATCTATCTATCTATCTATCTAGCCTTTCAAATATGTTCAATAGCTCTTCAAGTTAGGATTATAGTCTCTGCTGTCCAAATGAAATAACTGGGCTTTAGCTGTAAATGGTTGAGCAGAGACTTCAGTCTGGCTTTAAAGTCAAAGCTCTTTCTATAAAAAGATGCTTCTCAAATCTCACAGAGGACCAAACATTAACTGATGGAGTAGATTCAATTACAATAGAGCAAATTGGTCTTGAAAACAGGCAGTTCCTGTGGATGTTTTCCAACAGTGTGATGTAGTCACATAGACCTAATAACACGATAATAGCAACTTGGAAATTCCTCTCCTAGCAAGTATAAGTGTATCTAGTAAGTACATGCATGTATATATTCATCGCAGCAATATTCACAATAGCAAAGACATAGAATCAACGTAGTTGTCCATGAATGATAGACTGGCTAAAGAAAATGTGGTACATATACACCATGGAATACTATGCAGCCATAAAAAGGAATGAGATCATGTTCCTTGCAGGGACATGGATGGAGCTGAAGGCTATCATCTTTAGAAAACTAACACAGGGACAGAAAACCAAATACCACATGTTCTCACTTATAAGTGAGAGCTAAATGATGAGAACACATGGACACAGAGAGGGGAACAACACACACCAGGGCCTTTCAGAGTGTGGAGGGTGGGAGGAGGGAGAGGATCAGGAAAAATAACTAATGGGTCCTAGGCTTAATACCTCAGTGGTGAAATATTCTGTACAACAGTCCCCCATGACACAAGTTTACCTATGTAAAAAACCTGCACTTGTACCCCTGAACTAGAGAAGCCACTGAGAATTTGAAGGTTGAATATTATGCACTTCTTAAAAGTAAAAGCTTTCACTGACTCAAATTCTTATTCAATACTAAACATGGAATATAGGATGAAAAAGAAGCCAGTATCTGCAAAATTCTTGCAAGGCAGTTGAGGTGGTTGTCTCCTAGCATACCAGGATATATTAATTAATGATGGAAATTTCAATTTAAACTGAATGTAACTTTTGTGCCATGGCCTAAAAGGAAAAATGTGCTCACATTACTTAGCCATGTTAGGAATTAAACTTATGTTTATTACAAGTTTTAGAAATAAAGTTTCTTAATTTTTTTCAATATATTAAGTCTTTGATATTTCAGGATTATTTATTCATACTTTTCCCACAACAGAGGGAAAAAATCTCAGGTGCACATAGATGGTGTTTACACAGTCTTTCCTAGGAATCTTCTATGAAATGATTATAACTTTGTTGCTCTCGTTACTACAAACAAGCTGTTTACTGAAGCCTTGTCCTACAAATGGTATCTCAGTTAATACATGGTAAATGCAAAGCAAAAAACTATTTTCTTTTATGCTAGAAGTCTGAAATCAAAGTGTCACAGGGCCATGCTCCTTCTGAAACTTGTAGGGGAATCCTTCCTTAGTTCTCTATCTTCTGGTGGTTTGTCGGCAATCCTTATGGTTCCTTGGCATGTAGAGTCATCACTTCCATCCTCTGCTATCACATGGACTCTTTCCTCAGCGTGCCTGTCTCTTCTTTTTATAAGAACACTAATCATATTGGATTGGGGGCTCACCCTTTCCAGTATGATCTCATCTTAACAAAGTACATCAACAACAATGTAATTAGTTAATGACCATATTTTCAAATAAGGTCATAATCTGAGATATTAGGGGTTAGATTTCAACATATCTCTTTTAGGGGGATCCCAATTCAACCCCTCACAAGAAAATATGAAATAATTGGCTTAGAGAGGACAGTAAATCCAGTAGAATGCTGAGATTGGACTGTCTAGTGGCTCTGAGGGTTCACTTATGTTTTGTGTTGTCAAAGTCCAAGACATCATTGTCAAC
Organism: Homo sapiens; assembly: GCF_000001405.40. NCBI lineage: Eukaryota > Metazoa > Chordata > Mammalia > Primates > Hominidae > Homo > Homo sapiens. The sequence goes on along the minus strand of NC_000008.11, from coordinate 69,163,431 downwards.
TTGGCCATCTCAAACCTGTGATATGACAAATATGGGTGTGTTTCTTATTTTGTCATTGTATTGATTTAATTTTTGTTTTACAGTAATTTTAGTAACTCCACTTTCCTGCCAGAGGACAAAAATATTACTCCCCCAAATGAAGGCATGGCCTAGCTAAATAGCATGTACCTCTGTCTACTGAAACTTCTTTTTGCTAATAGTGTAAAAAAAAGAATAAAACCTGAAGAAATTGCTTAGTTTAAGTGCTCATATTCTTACAATCATGAGGAGAAATTTTTTTGTGTACTACACATATATTGTTGCAAAGTAAGTCACTCTCAGACCAGATAGATGGTCTGTCTTTCAGAAATATTCTGGCTAAAAAGCAAAGAAATCATGCTGGAAACCTCATATAAAATATCTTTTCTCTATGGTTAGATATTTAAAGACAATACTGGCTGGGCATGGTAGTCACACCTGTAAACCCAGTACTTTGGTAGGCTAAGGCAGGAGGACTGCTTGAGGCCAGGAGTTCCAGACTAGCCTAGGCAACACAGCGAGACCTCTGTCTCTACATAAATAAAAATAAAAATTAGCCAGGCTTGGTGGCATGAACCTGTAGTCCCAGCTACACGGGAGGTTGAGGAGGGAGGATCCTTTGAGCCCGGGAGTTTGAGGCTGCAGTGAGTTATGATAGTGCCAACTGCACTTCAGCCTGGGCAACAGAGCAAGACTCTTATCTCAAGAAAAATGATGAATGAATTAATTAAGACATACCTGTGGAAACATTGTTTCTGTGCTGGCTTTGGGGGTATAGGGAGAGAATAACACTGTACTTCATTTTTGAGAACCAGAATAATGTAGTGAACAGACTGAGGAGATCTCTGCTTAAATGAAAGTGAAGACACAAGCTAGTAGAAAACAATAACAAGCAATACGATATTAAAGCTGTGCTGTCCAATATGAGTATAAGTGACAGAATATAGACCCTCCCCTTCCCTTCAACCAGCTGACTTACACAGGGCCTAAGGAGCATAATTTATTCATCCATTCCTCAATCCACAAATATTTATTGAGTTTCCACTATCTGTCAGGAAGTGTGCTGAATTCTGCATAATGATGAATATACAGAGAATGATCTCTTAACCTTGCTGCAACTGCCAAGACCTCTCCTTCCATAAAAAGAATTTAGACAATGTCAACCACTGACGTTCAAATATATACAAGCATCAGAAGGTAGGAGTAAAAAATCAAGAGAAATTTGTGGACTTTGTGGAGAGGATTCATGCTGAGGGAGAGAGGATGGTCTCGTGAACTGTCTTGGCAAAGGCTGCGAGCCGTAGGTGGGAGAAATGGTTCCAGGTTCAGACTGCGGCTGTTACATACACTTATGGTGACCCAGCTTCCCTACAGGCATGTATGCACCTGTGTATGTGTGCATCTTCCAGAACAGCCTGGGGCAAGCAGGATGTGCTGGGGCCTCCAAAATGGCCTTATATAGGAAGGAAGGAGTCCCTATTTCCCTTTCCATTTCACAGTGGAGAATGGGTAGTCATGGGAACCAGGATTGCCAGTGGGCATCAAGTCTGGGCAGTGGGCCAGGTGAGTGATGGGGAGTGGCCTCAACACCACCATGGTTGATGGGGAGGCCAACGATGAGAGCAGCTGGGGTTGAATACTCCGGACTGCAAGACAAAGGCAGAGAGGCAATGGTCAGGTGGGGTGGGAGCCTAAAGATGATGCAGGGACCTGACGCTCAGCAAATTTTGAACAACCTGAGGGCCCAAACTTGGTAGAGTTTACTTAACAAACACTGCGCTTCCAAGGCCAGGCCCTGAGGTAAACAGTCTTTAGAAATGTTAACCCATTGAATTCTCACAACACCATGTACTAAGTGCTGTTATTCCCTTCATCAACAGACAAGTAGACTGAGGCACAGGGAGGCTAAATAAGTTGCACAAGGTTCTCATTGCTAGAGATAGCAAGGTTGGGTTCAAAGACAGGCAGTATGGCCCTGGAGTCTGTGCTTTTAGCCACAGTGCTAAGCTGTCTGAAAAATAGGACTCTCTGGCCTGCAGGTTCATGTGGTCATTTGATAACTATTCCTTAAATGCTGCACTGATTGCCATTCTTGGTGCTAGGAATAAAGTAGTGAACAGACAGAGGAGATCTCAGTTTAAATGAAAGCAAGGACACAAATTGGTAGAAAACTATAACAAGCAATAAGATATTAAAGCCTTGCTGTCCAATATGATGGCCTGTGTGACTGGGAAACTGATTTTAAAATTATATTTAATTTAAATTAATTTATATTTAAATTTAAAAATTGAAAATTCAGTTTTTGGGAAAGTTTTCAGTGTATTGGAGCAACTTGGGTATGCAGGTCTATTTTTTCAATTGTAAATGTTATGAAATCTGAAGACAGATCAAGCATTTTAGAAAAAAAAGCGTCTGTATTGAGATGTGCTGTCAAGGGAAAATACACCCCAGATTTAAAGGATTTAGTAGCACATATATTATAAAATAGCTCATTAATAGTTTTTATATTGATTATCTGTTAAAATAATAATACTTTGAGGCCAGGCGTGGTGGCTCAAGCCTGTAATCCTAGCACTTTGGAAGGCAGAGGTGGGCAGATCTCTGGAGCTCAGGAGTTCAAGACCAGCCTGGGCAACATGGTGAAACGCCATTTCTACAAAAAGTACAAATATTAGCTGGGTGTGGTGGCTAGTGTCTACAGTCTCAGCTACTTGGGGAGCTGAGGCAGGAGGATTGCTTGAGCCCAGGACATCAATAAGGCTGCAGTGAGCCATGATCACACCACTGCACTCCATCCTGGGAAACAGAGTGGACCCTGTCTCCAAAAAAAATCTATCAATCTATCTATCTATCATCTATCTATCTATCTATCTATCTATCATCTACATATATATGCATACACACATATATACGTATATATGTATATTTCTTAATATATTGGGTTAAATACAATAGGCTATTAAAATTAATTTCAGCTGTTTCTTTTTTTTTTTTTTTTTTGAAACAGAGTCTCGCTCTGTCGCCCAGGCTGGAGTGCACTGGCACAATAATAGCTCACTGCATTCTTGAACTCCTGGGCTAAGTGACCCTCTGGCCTCAGTCTCTTGAAGAGCCAATACTACAGATTTGCACCACCACACCCAGCTAATTTCTTTTTAATTTCTGTTTTGTAGAGATGGGGTCTTGCTGTGTTAACCAAGCAGATCTTGAAGTCCGTAACTGAAACTTTATACCCATCTGACTCCCAGGGAATGGAACCCTGGGCTGCAGCAGTGAGAGAGGTGAATCCTAGCCACTAAACCACCAGAGAGCATCAGGCAGCTTCTTTAGACTGTGTAATTGGGCAGAGATCATAGGGATTCACTCAGAAGAAGGAATTTCTGGGGGAACAATGTACTAGGTGGAGGAGGGTAGGTACAGTGCCCTGCCTGTGAATGAAGGGAAAGAGGCACTTGCTGCCAGGCCGAGCAGGCAAGGGGCTATGATAAATGTCAGACTGGAGGGTAGGGGTCAGCTTCTAGGGCCTTGGAGGCCACAACAAAGAGTTGAGAATCCTCTTAAATGTGATGGAAGTCACTGGAGGCTTTCTAAATGGGAGAGTGTCGCAATCCGATTGATAGAGAAGGGAGACAGCAACACAAGTGAGGAGTGGTGCCTGAGCCGACTGCAGTGCGCTGTGGTATGGCTGGTTCTCCTGGATCCTGTTTTGCAGAACTAAGGGGCAGGAAAACCAGGAATCAGGGCCAGTGTCTGTCTGGAAGTCATTACTGTGTACACTGTGTGAGCTACCATAGTAGCATGTCCTTAGTTGTGGCTTCAGGCTTGTGAGGCCCTAAAATATTTGGGTTTCACTAGAATAGGATCTGGCATACATTTAATATTCAATGGGTGTTTATTGAATTAAAAATATGGACAATGACAATGACAGTGTTTCTTCCGAGAACAGGAGGCAAATTCTCATGTCGAGGTTATCCCACTTCTGATTCATCCCATTTGGGAACATTTTAGTAGTAATGTAATCAACATTAGCCCTTGGTGTGGGAACGCCACTAATGGTTACACTGGGCAAGAGGCTGAAAGCCAGAGCCTGAATTCTCCTGGCCTTGAGTTGTAGTGGATTTTCATGAGATCATATCGGTTAAACAGTAGGGGATGAGGACAAATTACGTGCTGTTGATCAAGGAGATGGAGGTGATGATGGGGATGAGTGCTGAGGAATGACAGGCTTTCAGTAGCATGGAAATGAGCACATTCACTTTTCCTTGGAAGGATGTGGCCTGGTGAGGAGGAGAAAGAATGATGTACTAGAGATCAGGAGTGCAGTCGTCAATGGCTCTTCCAATCTCTGCTGTCTGGCCTTGGGCAACCTACTTCTTTTTCTGGGCCTCTGTTGCTGGTAGGATGAACTAGTTTTCTATCTCCTTAAAATCATCAGCTGCATTCTGCCTGCACTGGCTGGACATATGAATCAAGAATTTAGTGAATACTACAATGTCAAATTTATTTCATCACTTTTCCCTCTGGACTATCAGATTGCCACATAAACCATGTCTGTCTGAAGTCTATTTGTTCTGGACAATTTACACCTTATTTGAACAAATCTTGCCAATCCAACAGCAGAAATTAATCACTAAAATTTCATAATTGCTGCAAAGTGGGTTTAACTTTACGTCCTCACAATAGGTACTAGGCTAAATGCACTCAAAACAGTCTCTGGTATGCAACCACAATATTTACTTAAGATCAAGAGAGGTAAATGGATATCCCAGAGTCTAATTACCAGCAGGATGAAAAGGAGTCACCAATCGAATCACACCTTTCTAAATTATACAGGACACTTAAATGTCACAATAGAAGGTAAAGGACAATGAACGTATGAGTGTTTGTAGTACGAATTTATTTCTCTCCACTGATATTGTCTTCATGTCAGAGGAAAGTTTGAGAAATCAGATATTTTCTAAGCTAGTTAAAATTTTAGAAACTAATATAGGGAAAACTATTTCAAGGCTGTGCCAACTCTGATTTAGTATTGCACCTTTTCTAGGCTCTCCTGAGGGGTTCTAAAAGTTTTTATGTATAAAGGTAGGATGCTAACTAAGTGTGTCATAGCAAAGGCTTGTGAGCTGTGTCCTACAAAGAAATGGTATTAGATCATTTCAGCAGAAAAACAAAGAATATATAAAGTGAAATCGTACTTATTATCCTACATGTTTTAGTCCAGAGTGCTGAAGTACTTAGGGCAAGAGCTAAAAGAATCATGTCCAAATCCCACCACAAAATTAAACCTGAATTGAGAACTGAAAAAAACAAAAACAAACAAACAAAAAAACCCCTGGCTCAGAAAGGTAAAATGTAGAATGCATTCTCTTTTAGAAAGATTCTTAAGATCTGCCTAGAAAGGGTAAGGTGAGCAGGCAAGGAGAAAGGAGACTTTTCATATTAAACAAACATGCATTCTTCTTAAAATAATATAAACATTTGAAAGTATACATCATTCATTCTTTCAACAAATATGTTGAAATTATAATACGGTAGGAAGTGTTTTAGGTGTTGGGTCCAGTTCTAGGTGTTGGATATACTGAAAAACACATAGCAGTCAATGGAGATGGATCAGATACATCCATGAGATAGTAGATTGTCTATCACAGGCCCTGTGGAATGCCTAGCATTTTTTTGAATTGTGGTAGCTCAAGAATATACAAAATGCAGTGCGCTTCTATTCCATCCAAGAGACTTATTAGCTAGCTGGGGAAGCAGGATGCATTTATACAAACAATGATAGCCTCATCCAAGACACTATATAGGCGAATGTGATAATTTGGCACAATTCATAGATCTCACATTTTGATGGCATTCAAGGCTCATTTTGCGATAGAGTTTGGTAGGAAAAGCTTCAGGAAATAAGCAAAGGTGAACCATTTCTTGAAAAAAGCAGAGAATGAAGATGATAGGTTAAAATAAAGAAGAATATTTATGAATTTGCTCTTTTTTGGAGGCCATGAGGAGCTGTCAAGGGAGCGCTATTCAGGGAGTGTTTAGAGATCTAATATGTAGTCACTCTATGAAAATTAATTAACTTTCAAAACTCCTGCCGAAGAAGCTACAGAAGCCATCTTTCTGTGTGTAAATAAGGAAGCGGTGGTGTGGAAACATTAAACACACTTGCTGGGTTTGAAAACATGATGGTCTGATGGGGCACTTGGTGTCTGCTTGGACACTGTCTCACAGTGCCACATCCCCTGCTGTGGGGGACCAAGGACTCTCTTCTCACATGTCAGATTCCCTTTAAGTTTCATTCTCCTCTCATACCGATGAAGCATTCAGTATTTGCTTTCAAGTAAATGATTTCCACATTTGCTCTTTTTTTCTCTCAAAAGATTCTCTCCATTTATTTCCTTGCCTGTACTTGTTGCTTTTCTTCAGGTCCATTAAAGTGGCACTGTTTGGTTTTGAAGACCCTTAAAGCCACAATGAGAAATGATTGAGTTTTATCCCCAGTTAAAGAAACATTCTAGTGGATATTTCTGCTATCATAATAAAGGCAGCATCTCTAATATTAGACATAGTCATTATTTTAAAACCATTATGAAGTATCTAAGTCACGCACTCAAAAGGCTAAGCATCCCAGAGTGAGTTAAACAAATTCTGCCTTCCAGAAGTACACAACTTCAAATCATCACTGAAATCATTCAGATGACAATTAGCTCATCTCTATGATATTACTGTATAATGTCAACTATTACATATTATCAGAAAAAGCAATATTTTGCAATGTGGTGTCCATAACTATACATTGTATCTTGGTTTCAGCATTCTTCATTGACAGTTGACATTAGAACTACTCAACACATTTCGTCAAACGACTACATTTAAAGCCCATTTTAAAAATTTTGCTAAGTTTCGCCCTTTCATGAAATATCTATATCCACAACTTTTCTTTGCCAGATGTATCAGCTTACATTTTTTTGTCCTGATCTCACTTTATCATAGATTTCTAATCTGATATCTCTTTAGTATATTGTTATAACATCTCTAACCTTGTTGAAATATAACAATCTTAACAAATATAAAAAGGGCCTGTTGGAGGTCAGGAGATCGAGACCATCCTGGCTAACACGGTGAAACCCCGTCTCTACTAAAAATACAAAAAAATTTAGCCGGGCGCCTGTAATCCCAGCTACTCGGGAGGCTGAGGCAGGAGAATGGTGTGAACCCGGGAGGCGGAGCTTGCAGTGAGTCGAGATTTCGTCACTGCACTCCAGCCTGGGTGATGGAGCAAGACTGCGTCTCAAAAAAAAAAAAAAAAAAAAAGGGCCTGTTGGTAGATTACTCACAAATTTGTACATTATTACATAGTAAACATACTTAATTCTTTCTTCGAGTGGAAAAAAGTGACCCTCCCTTTATGAATTTACTCTCCAACTTTTTTGAACCTGCAACCTAACATTCACTGAGGTTCAAAAATTGGTAATAGTTTTGAGAACTTCAGTCCAATGTCTCTGGGAATAAGGAAATCCACAGTTATTATCTAGCAATACTGTTACAAAGCTGAAAATGACAAAATTAGGGATAGTATTTAGAGATGGGTATTGCATTTGGTGTATATAAGAGAATGTGGGCATATGTTTATGTGTGTATACATACATACATGCATATATAAATACATATACATATATGTTCACATGCATATATATCATCAGCCTTCTTACAATAAAACTGTGAAAAGAAAGAGGAGAGTCAGGAGAGATAAGAGAATGAAAAGAAGAAAAAAAGAGGTAGAGTTTAAGGCGCAGTAGTGATAGCTTTTAGAAATGGCAATGAGAGAATGAGGACAAGTCAGAATAGTCACAAACAGGGCCAGAGGCAAAAAGAAAACACAGAACTGCTGTATGCATTTGAAAACAAAGATGGCTGTGAAAGGATTATCTGCACTTCAATTGTCCTTGAAGGCACCATCATGGCAGAAAAAAACAAAAAACAGAAAGCAAAGCAAGGCCCACTAGGACTTCAGTAGCTCTCTAGGGCCTGGCTGGCTCTCAGCCACCCTAGACTCCAGGGTAAGTGTAATTTATTTCTTATCAATGTGCTTGCTGGAGGCACAACAGGCAGTAAAACAGCATAAAAAGAAAAGAAGCAAAAAGAAACTGAAAAAATAAGGTACAAAAAGAAGTACTGTAAATAGTAAAATGAGTTTCTTTTATTTTAAGGTAGGTGTGGTGCAGCAAAGCACAATAAAATATTATAGACTATTATCTTAATGGAAGCATTTAGACAATTAGCAGAATATCTATATATCAGTATCTATTACTGATATATCTCAAGTCATATTGAGATAAAAAGTAAAAACAAATTTAGATTGATCTACTCCAGGTATTGTTCATCAGTAACACATGAGGATTTTGTTTACTTGCAATATTTTACTCTGTCTTCCCCCACTATTGTTTCGTTTCTTCTTCAGTAACTTTAGTAACTTCGATAAAGTTAAATCTCTACTTCTTATATTGTCAACTTTCCTCAGTATCCTTTGATACAGTTTATTATTGCATTGCCTTTATCTTCATCTCTTCTTTCATTCCCATTTCCAGGTCTCAAATTTTGCCAGTTGTACTTTTATTGCACAATTGTGAGCACTGTTATATTGAGTTTTGTAACCATAAGCAAATCTATGTGTTTACAGGTTGATCTTGAAAAGTGAATCAATAGTGCTTACATTATCATGAATATGGATATATTTTTCTTTGCTCAGTGAAGTACTGTTCTAAAACTTAAGAGAGAAAGATAAAAGGATTTATAAAGGGGGAAAAAAGGGAAATCTTGATGGATCAGTATGATATTAGGTCAATTACCTTGTATAATATCAAGACTCAGAAGGGCAATCATTAAAATTCTTCTCAGACTCCATGTCATTCATCTAAGGCTTTTAAAAAGAGCTATATCCATCACTTGCCTACATTAGAGCTCTGGAGTTTTACAGCAGTGATTCTCAGGAAGATGAGGATGTTTTTAAATTGCCATCAGGCTTATTTTAAAAGGCAGAATATTTTAGCTAACTATGTTTATTTTCCAGAGAATGGATTTAGTGCTTCTAATTGAGATAGTATTTAAAAAGACTTGATATATTATAGGTCATAAAAACTGTGAAGAATAATACTAAAGCACATTAATGTGGCTTTTTCAAACAATGGATTTCTGAACACCATTTTAGGGTTGAAGCAATGGCTGGAGTTTAGCCGTGCTTGCATCTAGGCAGGCACCAGAGAATAGTGGGAAGAGCCGATGAGTGTAAGCAGAAGGGAGGGGAGAGGTCAGCTTTTCTTTCCTGGCCTGGACTTTATGCTCCACTAAGAGAAAGGTTTGGCTGTGTCCCCACCCAAATCTCATCTTGAATTGTAGCTCCCATAATCCCCACGTGTCGTGCTAGGGAACTGGTGGGAGGTAATTGAATCACGGGGGCAGGTTTCTCCCCTCCCGTTCTCATGATCGTGAATAAGTCTCACGAGATCTGATGGTTTCATAAAGGGCAGTTCCCCTGCATAAGTTCTCTTGCCTGCTACCATGTAAGACGTGTCTTTGGTCATCCATTGCCTTCCACCATGCTTGTGAGGCCTCCCCAGCCATGTGGAACTGTGAGTCCCCTAAACCTCTTTTTCTTTGTAAATTACCCAGTCTCGAGTATTTCTTTATAGCAGTATGAAAATGGACTAATACACCGTGATAACAGAATAAATTCATTATCCCTCAAAGTCATTGCACCTTTGCTTTTTTGTTTATAGAGAGTAAACTAGTGCATGCAAAAAGACCTTTTTCTCTGTTTTTTTTTTTTTTAATCTTTTTGTAGTTTCGGATTAATGTTCTCTAATATCCTCTGGTTTCCTGCCTCACTCATACAGCTATTTCTGAGGAAAGTTGATCACATGGTTAACCAAGCTGGCCACAGCTGATCAGATAAAGAGTGGGTACCAATATGCATCACAATTGGGATCTCGGGTGCAAGTCAGATAAATTGCTAACTTATAAGAAAAGATATTTTGGAGGGAGCAGATAATTGGAAAGCTCATAGGATTTACGGGAAGCTTGGAAAACCATTCCCCCAAAAAAGGAGTGTAGGGGCAGCAGAGAACACTGCTTACAGCATGTCTTAGGAACAGTCTATTTAAGACACCACTGCTCCAGCTATGGGTCTCTGGGCCACACTGAAACACCATTGCGAATCATCTCTAAATGACCCCAAGAATTTTTGTCACTTCTGGTTGGAATACCAGGTGGTAACACCTGTTTTTTAGAGCCCCGGTCATGTGCCTATTCATTAAGAAACAGAAAGGAGAAATTTTTTGTTTCCTGTGGCTGCTACCAAAACCACATGTAATGGAAAGTATAAACAAATAGGAAGGAAGTTCAGAAGGAGGGCAGCCAAAATTGGGAAAACTCTCTATTACTTACCCCAAGGGCAGCCTGATTCTAGACTAGCCTGAAGCCTGTCAGGTAGTCTAGAATAAGTGCTCTGCTCAATAGGGATAGCAAATATGATGAGAAGCAATCAGATTTTTTTTTCCTCTTAAAAAGTTGAAATGTGAGAGAGTCAGTAGTTTCTTTAGGGTCCTATAAGCTGAAAAGCACAAAAAGTGTAGGCATTTAGCCAAAACCACAAGATAGGAAAAAGTATGCCTGAGCAGAAGTCATGAACCTGATAGCATTGCAGAGAGAAGTCAGTTACCAGCAAGACAGAAGGATTCATTTCATTACAGTGAGCACCAAACTAGAGGAGAAAGTGTTGGAAATGTTACATTGAGAAAAAGCACAATAATCTGGTTTCTAGAGCTGTGTGTATCATGAATGACCTTTCCATTTTTGGGCTTCTATGTTACATGGATATCCCTATATCTTTTATTTTTTAAAAATAATCTTTGTTTTAATTAGTTTAAAAATTAAATGTCCTTACTGAATAGAGTAACAAGTAGATTTGCTTACAAAACAAAGACATTTCTATCTAACATATGTGAAGGGCAAGGCAGACAGGTGGGTTTTACTTCACAGAGTGGAGACATCTTTGCTAATTTTAATGTAAGACTTCCAGAGTTGTTCTAGTAATTCCAATCAGTAGAAAGAAAAGGGATAAATAAGTCCAGGACAGGCATATTTTTTAAAAAATAAAGTTTCCCAATCAATTCTGCTCACATCTCAAGTGTGAGAACGTAGTCACAGGACCATATGTATTCACAAGGACATCTGGGAAATTTTGTCTCTTAACTGGGCAGTCAGGTGCCTAGGAGGAAGAGGGGGACAGATTGAAGTGGAAGGAGGATTTCTGAGTTAAGCTGAGCATGTCTCTGCTCCTAACAAGCCTTACCTTTATTGGAAAGCTGTATTTGATGCATACACACCCTTGAGGAGAAAACAAGAGTTACTTTACAGGTAGACAAATGCAGACATTACCCTGATGACAAAAGATTAGTATGTGATATCTTTCTACCCTATTTTCCAAGTCCTACCTAAATGATTCATTCTATAGAATAGAGTTCTAACCAAAAAATGTGCTTCTTGTGGTGCCTCACCATGATCTCCTTGCCAGGGCTCATGTACCCATCCTCCAGCTTCTGGGAATACCAACTGCTGAAGGCTATGTCCCTTACTAGGACAGCTATGTCCCTTACTGGAAATTTCCCTTATTTGCAAGACATTGCTGTGCCCAAGTTTCCATCCTTTCATCCCCACCAGAGGCTTGCCTCTAGCCAATGACACAAGGCAACTCTAAAGGACCTTCTTAAGTCCGGAACTCTCTGTATTGGCTTCCTTTGCAAGCCATGTTGTGAGTCAGCATTTCCCAGTTCCCAGGCCTGCCTTCCCCCCTTAAGAAAAGATATATCGCCTTAGAAACCTTTGCATACAAATCCCTCTATCTCAGTGAGTTTTCAAGAAAGCCAGACTGACACATAATGTGGTATGGAAGAGAATTTATGAAAATTTGATTAATAATGAGTGAACTACAAGAACATTTCAACATGATTACAGTAATTTGGTTGCAATTGTTAGATAGATTTTAAAACCTTGCTTTAGGCTAGAATTCCATTCACAGTCAAACATTAAGAAGAAACTGTGGGAGGTTGTAGGTTGTCTGAATTTATGGTTATAAAATTCAAAAGCTTTGTCATAATAAATATAGGAATGTTTACCTTCAAATGTCCTAGCACATATTCTGGAAGCAGTGTGTAATTCTTTATCCTATATCGTAAAAGAAATTATTGCAAATGGGAGACGTGTTAAGCCTAAATTAACAAAGAAGAAGTACCTGAGTCTCATTAATTATACAGGAAAAAGAGCCCAGAAAATGCTGCTAAAAAGTCAAATGACAATGGAGGATCAAAACATGGAGTTAAAAAATCACTTGGGGAAAAACACTCCTTGGCTTTGAATTCCATAATGTACTTATTGGAATGAGTATTGTCTGACACTAACCAGATGGCCATCTGAAACCTTTCCCTGACACTCTCTCTAGGAAAAGGAACAATTGATGAAGATTTGGTGGAAAACCACATGTATTCAAAATAAATGTCTCATAAATGCAATCTACACAAGTTCGTTTTTCAAATATATATGAAAAGTCAGATTTAATCTGAATATCTTATGTTACACAATGTTAAGTATTCCTGTACCTTATCTATTACGATAAATGAAATTCAGATCTTAAATTGCTTCTTTATCTTTCCTAGAACTGCCATTACAAAAAAATCTTTCAGCACATAAAGCAAACTATCCATCTGTTAATCGGATGTTCAATATTATTTACTCTCAACCCAGTAAACAGATGTTTATTATATTTAGCTACCAAATTGTGCCAATCCAGAGAGAAAAATATTCTAAATAATGAACATAAACTGTGACTAAAAATTTGCTAGTAATTCATGTGAAATTCTAGCAGTCTGAGAATGATGTACAAAATGAAGGACATTACAAATCATTATAATTATCTGATGAGTTTAATCTCTAACTAACACATCTTGGCCATTTCTTTTAAGCAGTTCAGGTAGGTTGTTGTTGCTTTGGAGTTTCTCATGTGTTTGTTTGTTTTTAATATAAGGAATATCCTTCAAAAGCAGAAACAGTAGAAATGAAAATAATTTTAAATAGCTTCTAAAATATTAGTCATGAAATTACAAGTTCTCCAATATGTTGATTCTAAAAATCATACTTTGTTGTGACTAAACTTTAAAGAGTGTATGAGATTGCCGTTTGTTTTTTTAATATATATATATATTTTTATTATACTTTAAGTTCTAGGGTACATGTGCACAACGTGCAGGTTTGTTACATATGTATACTTGTGCCATGCTGGTGTGCTCCACTCATTAACTCGTCATTTACATTAGGTATATCTTCTAATGCTATCTCTCCCCCCTCCCCCCACCCCACAACAGGCCCCGGTGTGTGATATTCCCCTTCCTGTGTCCTTGTGTTCTCATTGTTCAATTCTAGATGCTTCCCTTATTTTAATGCTTTGTGATTAGAAATTTCTTGCCTTCATGCATGTGGGTATGCTTGTATTTTTTTTCTTCTTTATGAGCAACTTTTGAATACTCTTCAAATCACTGCACTTTTCACTCTTTCGCTACTTTTAGGTCTTAAATTTCTTTGTTCTAAATTAGAGAACTTCCAAGAAAGGCCACAATGGGTCCTGATGCATCTTTGAATCTGACTCTGATAAGAAAATATTGAAAACATGTGGGAGTAATGATTGTTCATGTTCTTTTCCATGTGCGAACATACTGGTCATGAGAAACAGAGGAAGAGTAATTTGATAGACAGGGGGCCTAGTAATATTAGCAAAAAGTTGAGATATATGATCAAGGCACTTGATTCCTTATAACCTTGTTCTGGGCCACACTCTGGGCCCTGCATGAGGTTGCAAATTGTCACAGAAAAGAATTCTATAGGTTTTTAGTGCCTTCCTTTCTTCATCTCTATCTACTCTTTTAGTGACACCTGACTTTGACCTTAGCAGTGGCTCACACCAGTAATCCCAGCACTTTGGGAGGTCGAGGTGGGTGGATCACGAGGTCAGGAGATCGAGACAATCCTGGCTAACATGGTGAAACCCAGTCTCTAATAAAAATACAAAAATTAGCCGGGCATGGTGGTAGGTGCCTGTAGTCCCATCTACTCGGGAGGCTGAGGCGGGAGAATGGCGTGAACCCAGGAGGCGGAGCTTGCAGTGAGCCAAGATGGCGCCACTGCATGCCAGCCTGCGCGACAGTGCGAGACTCTGTCTCAAAAAAAAAGAAAAAATTAGTTTTTCTGTATTTATAGCCTTCGTTTCTTACTTACTACCATGTCTTAGAGCTCATTGCTTTTAAATTTAGCTCTGGATTAATCTTAGGGCTAAGTTACTCTGCTCTCAGGATAGCTCTTACTGGTTCAGCCTGGAATATCCAGTCCCCATCATACTCTTGGCATGGCCTAGTCAAGCTAAGCATCAACATTATTAAAAGACCTCCTAATGCCAAGGTCAATGACTGGGGAAATCATAATGAAGAGTTCTCAGGGGTACTAAGATTCCTTCCCTTTGTCAACCCAGCACCTCCTAGAATAGGAATTCATCTAAGGTTGACAATGCTTTCCTTGACTTATCATTACATTAAAAGTCAGCTGAAAGCGAATATATCAAAATCTACCTTCACTGTAAGTATCTAAACCCAATGCATTCTAGTTTCTTCATAGTTCATGGTTTTTAGAGATCTGTATCCAGACTTAGACTGCTGTAGACTCAAGGCCACTAGCAAACTTATCTGTTAAGCACAAGTCTGAACATGGCCCTGACTCACGTGGATACATACCACTGATAGTTGTCCCTTGATGGGTGAAACCACAAAGGCTAATGTCATTATGTCCCAGTTTGTGCCCCTAAAAATGAGGCAGGAGAGAGTGTGTTCACTGCCTGTGCTCTGTGCTGGCATTTGATCTGATACAATATTAACCTCAATTTGATTATTTTCTTCCCTCTGTGTTAAGTGGATGTCATGATAGTTTGATATGAAGTTCTAACTCTTATTTTGGTATAACTTACAATGGAAATGAAAAAGAACTAAAGCTTTTGAATGGATGATTCTAAAAATAAACAGGAAGCATTGTTTTTAATAAAAGGATTAGAAATTGAGTGAATTAATCTAAACCACATCAGTGAGTTAGTGAAAGGGTTGAGAATAGACTTCACAGTTTGTGACATCTGGTCTAGTTCTTAGACTTCTTGTCTACTGTCTCACTGTGTGTTCTTGGAAAGATCACTTCCCGTATATTCATGTTATGGGAAAATTACATTGAACCCGTCTTACAAATGTACTGAGGGAAATCTAAAATTCCCTGAGGGCTGGGCGAGCGTCTGTTTTTACTTGCTTACACATGCATTGCTGCCTCTCACAACTGAACAGGACATTCCTGATGACTTACTATCTGTGCACATTTCAGAAGACCAACCCTAGGCAAAGTTTTTTTTTCATTAACCCACATAACTTTTATGGACTTCTATTGATGGGACAGGTTCTAAAGATCTTGGTAAAGAGACTGTGACAGCTATTCCTGACATAAACTGCTTCAGACTTCTGCCCTCTGTCTTTTCAAAAATTTCAAATTCCTCTTCAATTCTAAGTATTTATGTAAGGAAGACCCCTATTACTTGTTAGTAGTTTTTAACACTTGCCAATTTGTTAGCATGGCTTATTAGACCCCACTGGTAATTGCAAGGGGCACTTTCTGGGAGCAGTCAGGGAAGAGTTGGAGAAGACAGCCCAGAGAAAAAGGGGCAGCTGTGACTTTCCTGTGTTGGAGTGTTAAGTGGTTTTATTTTCTGTCTTTAATTTTCTGCTTTGAATCCACTGCTTCTGAGTACTAACTCCAAGTAGAGTCCAGGTAAAGAAATGGAAACTCCCACTTTGGTGTGATCTCCATGAATGCATCAAAGTGATATGGGTGAGCAAGTTGTTGATGTCATTCACCAGACTCATGATGGTTGCGGAGAGGGGCACAAGAGACACTTTCAGTTCCATCTGGTATTCTCAAATGGAACTACTCACAGAAAGGCTGCAAAGTCAATATTTGTCTCTATTTCACTGGGTTCTAGAGTTGAGGTGAGAGGCTGAGGAAGTTGGATTCCAGAGTCCCCACTATCACTCAAACCATCAAAATACTGATTTGACCAGTACTTACCTCTTTCATTTTATTGGAGAAAAAAAATAATATCGGTCTAAGTTTTTCATTCAGGTTCTTATAGATAAGAATATAACCTTATAGATAAGAACCACATTATTTTTAAGAAGAATTTTTACTGTTGCTAAAATAACTGGGAAACACCACACATGCTCTACTTTTATATTTTCATGTCATGGTAGAATTGTTGATCAGAATATGTTGCCAGGAGCAGAGCTCTGTCTCCCTCGATGCTGTCATCATGGCCAGAAAGATGTGTTTCAATGAAGTACCATCAAATACATGGACCATATCAAAAATGTGAGTCATACAGTCTCCATACCTAATCAGTCTGCTGAAACTAATAATACCGATTACAGCATGCCTAGAGTTTCTTTTAAATTCTTCCAAAAAATGATATACTGAGAGAAATATATAAGCTATTAAAAATGAAGGGCAAGCAGGCAACTGGGAGCTAAAGTGCAAACATGCCACTTTAATTGGGAACACATGGCAACTGGAAGACAGGCATGGAAAATAAGTGGTAACACAAGCAATTGGGAGCATGAATGACTTAGAAGCGGGTGTCTTCAGATCCCTAATGAGAACCGTTTTGCTCCATGTCCACCCTGTCCCACCACTCCATCTTTCTTGGGCCATTTCCAGGCTGGGTGGGATTCGGGAGAAGCAACATCATGGATAAAAACTCATTAATATTAACAATACTCCCTGAACAAAACTTACAGATTGATACGTGGGGTTACATCAAAGCCAAAACTAGTTTGTGTGATATTTCATAGACAGAGTAAAAACTGGACTGATTTATGTTTTTGGCTAGGAGATGGAGTTTTTCATGACAAATTAACTGATTTGCTTTGCTTGCAGCAAAATTAGTAATCTGTTTCATTTTAAAATAAGTGATGGGCCTTGCTGAGAAATCTAGTCTTTTCTTTTTAATAACAATATTTAAAATACACATGCATTGGGACAATTAGGAAAAGGTAGTGCTGAGAATATAATAAACAATTACACTAAACTCTAAGGTTATTTTCACTTAAATAAAAAGTGGTAAACTTTATTTCCTTAGAATATTTTTCATGAACAAGAAAATAACATTGCTTCACAACTTAAGCCTGAGGGAGTGGAGATACCTTCTCTCTTGTCACTCCTCAATGTAATTACCCACTTCCTTTAGTCACCACAAGGCAAACCAGTCTCAGAGAAAATAGTGTTGATGGTATAGAATAGGAAGCACCAAGGCGACAAAAAGAAAACCAAACAAAAGAAGCGGAAAAAAGTACAAGGCAATTTGGGTCATTGGTCATCCCTTTGCATGTTTTCTGATTGCATATGTTGATTGATTGAGAAGATTTTGCTAAAACCTATAAACTAAGTTACACCCTTGCTAAAACTTAAGAAGATAAACAAGGTCATGGACTAGCATTCTCATTAACTAGTGCATGTTTGGGAATGAATAATATGGACATATATAGCACACAGTGATTTATACAGCAGTAGTAGATGGAGTTACTAGAGATTGAGCTTACACTTAAGGAGTTGTGCTATGTGCAGCTTTCTGCTAGAGGCATTCACTCACCAGCTGCATATAAGTTGGTCTTGTTTGAATGAAGCTGAAAGGACTGTAGATACACATTTTTGTATAGTGCATTGTTAGAGAGGATGAACAACCAATAAGTGAAGACAAAATGAAAGCATTTGTCTAAGGAGGCAAAGACAAATTCAAATCTTATGGTACTTCTCTTACAATGTGTTTTACTCCAATTATTGTGAACAACCCTGTCTGTCTGAGTGCCACTCTGTAAGGGATAGTGGTTAAACACACAACCTCTGGGGTCCAGCAGAGGTAAGGTCAAACTTTGTCTTCGCCACATATGATTGGTTGAATCTTTAGCGAATTGCTAAACTCTTAAAATTTCAAGTTCCTTATCTGTTAAGTTGAACGATAATCCCTCTGGTTGAGAATTAAATGAGACAATGTAGATAAAAAGCTCAACAGAAGGTCTAGAACTTATTAGAAGAATAATCAATGCTGGAGGAGATGCTAATCCTCGACCACACTCCTTCTTTATCACTATGCCCCTGTTCATCCCCACTCCCCTTCTTTCTCTCCTTGGACTCACCAGGCTCATTCTCATTTTGTACTCTGATTCTTATCTTTTGCCCCTCTTATCCTCCATGCATATAGACCACCTTTCCTGTCCTTTCTGCTCTTTGGAAAGCAAAGCTTAGTTGGGTGTTAGGACATTTTCTTTTACTTTTCCTGTTGCCTGGGTAGTTCTTTCCCTGATCTTCATGTGGCTACATTATTCTCTTTGGTTTGATCTAATCTTTCATGTCACATCCTCAATTACACTTTTCCTGAACACTGTAATGACAGTAGCCGCCCAGCTCTCTAGACACTGACATTGCCCGATGTTGTTTTCTTTAAAGCCTGTGTCACTAACTTACATTGATTTCCTGCCTCCCTCCACTGGAATGTAAGCTCCATGGTACCTCTTCCGCATGCCCAGCATCTAAACTTGTGTATGACATGCAGTACATGTTCAAAAACTTGTCTTGAAAAAAGGAATGAATTTATTGAGTCTCTACCATGTGCTAGGTACTACCGGGGACTAGGAATCTGGCAGTCAGAAAAATGGAGGCCTTTCATGTATGTATGGAACTTATAACGCAGTGGAACAGATACAGAACAAATAACTAGATAAATAAATACCTAATCACAAACTGTAGGTGAACCTGATTGATTTAGAAGGTGAGGAAAGTATTCCTGAGGAAATTATATTTGAGATACTTGAGACTTAGAGATGAAGGAGTAAGAGCTAACCAGGAGATGAGGATGGAGATGGGAAGAGGAGATCCTTATTGTATATGCTGGCCTTGAAGTAGAGCAGGAAAGTGGAACCACAGAGCCAAGGCATGGCCCATGGAGTGCTCACACTTCTGCAAGTGCCTTTGGGAATGAATCCAAGAATGAGGCTGTAGTGACTGAAATCCAGTTGAAATTGCAAGCCTAGGAATTCTGGGGATACCTCTTTTTTTAATTCCTTTTAGTTTTCTTAGAAGGTTAATTCCTTTCTTTTGCTAAGATGGGGAAAGGGTAAAAAGGAAAGCCCTGAATGAGGTCTTTCTATATTTTCACATTAATCCACATTGTTATTAATGAGGAAGGAAATAGAGTACCATCTGCAAAACTGGGTGAGAACTGACCAAGAATTGACTCTGGTACACAGTAAAACTAATATAAAAAAAAGGAAAGTCCAAATAATTGTAGTTCATATGGTAAAAATGTAGACACAAATTTTACAGTATTTTTTACATAATAGTTTATATAAATGCAAAAAAGGAAATTTATTAACAATAATCTAAGTTAAAACCTAGATTTTTAAAATAAGACTGGCAGGCAAGTGGAATAGAGATATATGGCATTAAGTGAAAGTATATAAAATCCTCCACTTAGATAAGGAACAGTCTAATGCTACTGTATTTGGTTTAAAGTTTGATAATTGAAGAACTATACCTTAAAGATGCCTTTGAAAGATAATGGTAACACTACTAGTATTAAAAAGAGGCCAAATACTTTTTTAAACACTAGAGAAGACCAAAGCTAAGACAACATATTCTGCAATATTCCTCATAGCAGAAAATAGAAAACAAGGAAAAAAAATCAGCTGATAAAAGTGAGGCTGAAGTAATCAGTTATGGAAAAACACAAATTACTTTAAAACTCTGTTTAAAACAGACACTGAGATTGAGTTAGTAAACAAAATCCAACTAAAAACATTATGCTCACCCTGCACATCTAACCAAAAGTGATGCAAAATGTTAAAAATGAATGGGCAGATACGTTAGGCAAAAGAAATAAAGAAACAAAGGAGGGTGAGGGAAATATGAGTGCAATATTAAACACAGGCAAAGTAGAAGTGGTAGTATATGCAAAGAGAGTCATTTTCAACTAAAAAAAATACAGTTTACAAGTGAAGATAAATGCTCATGAGATAGCATGTGGTGACCAAACTAACATCAAACTACATTAAACAGAAACTAAGACCGAAGGAATCAATAGAAACAGAGTTGTGAGAAATTTTACTACCTCACTCGGCCCTCAGGTTTAAAGAATTAAAGCAGACTTAAAAAAAGAAGGGTCAGTGACACACAATTACCCATGTAACAAACCTGCACATGTACTCCCTGAACTTAAAATAAAAGTAGAAAAAAAGTAAACGTGTAAAGCATTACAATTATGTGTTTCCTTAACATTGAATAACCAATATAACAATAAAGTGTTGCTTTTCTCATCTACCAGTGATGTGGCTTTGTTTCTCCTTGTGTAAATTGAGGATAATAATACCTACTCATAGTCACTATGAAGATCAATTGAGATAATATTTATAATGACATAGTGTAGTACCAAGTAAACACTTAAAATGGTATTGTCATTATTGTTATTAATAAGAAACATTTTGTCTACAAAATGTAAGTAGAAACTAGCTATTCATTCCAAATTTGGGTGGAATGTTCTTAAAAATAGGCCCCCATTATATGTGACAAAGAAAACCTCTAAAGAAAAATTGAACCAATTTCCAATAAAAATAGAAGTAAATAATAAAAGTTTATTTAAAGAGAATGCAGGCACATGTAAATTTAAACCAATCATTTCTAATATTTAGAAACTCTCTAGATATGATTATTAAATCCTCAGGGATACAACTAAAGCTGTACTGAAATAAAAATTCTATGATTTAAAATCTTTTGTTAGAAAGTAAAAATAAATAAGCTAAACACATAACTGAAACTTTAAAAATGGCAATAAAATTACAGTAAGGAAGCAGGAAGAAACAATAAAAAGAAAGGTAGGAAAATGATTATAAAACATCAAAAGTTTACTTTATATTTTGGTAGGCAGAATAATGCCCCCACCCAAGATATTCGTATTCTAACCCCCAAACTTGTGAACATGTTAGTTTACACTGCAAAGAAGAATTAAGGTTGCAGGGAGAATTAAAGTTACTAATTAGCTGACTTTAAAATAGAGACATTATTCTGTTTAGTCTGGATGAGCCCAGTGAAATCACAAAGGTCCTTAAAAGTGGAAAAGGGAGATGGAAGTGGGGACAGTCAGGGACAGTTGTGACTGCAGAAGGTCAGAGTGACGTGATGTGAAAAGTACTCGCCTTTTGCTGATTTCAAAGGCGGAGGAGGGGCCTATGAACCAAGGAATGGGGGTGAACTCTAGAACCCAGAAAAAGCAAGGAAATGGAACATCACTTAGAGCCCACAGAGAGGAGTGAAGACCTATGATGCCTTGATTTTAGTATAGTGAGACTCCTGTCACATTGCTTACTCACAGAGAATGATACATTTGTGTTGCTTTAAGCCACCAAGTTTGTGGCAATTTGTTACAGCAATGATAGAAAAGTAATACAGATATATTCAGGAACTTGTTTATTAAAAAATAATCAGATAAATCCTCCTTCTGGCAATGCTTTGAAAAAGGAAAAAAATACTCAATAAAAATTGAGGAGCAGATTTTAATGAGATTAATAAAAGAGACAAAATTTGCAATTACAGTGCATATAATTCTATGGTGATATATTTGAAAGTCTTGAGGAAATAGAATATTTTAAGAAAAATATAAATTAATAAAGCTAACTCAAGAGCAATCCCAAGAGGACCCACAGACCCTCTGAAGGAAGTGGACTGCTCTTGCACGACCCAGGAGACCCCCCGCAAAACTGTGAGTGCCCCAACTTCAGAATTGGGAAAGGGAGACCCTCTTCTCCTGAACACACACCCCCACTGGAGAAGCTGAAGGTCTGTTAGCGGGAGAAGTTTCTGACTTTACCTGGAGCTGAGTCAATTTGTAGAGCCAAGCAAAATACAGGGGTAGACGAAGCAGCAGGAAGGCCCTGGGAGCTCTCTGGTCCCCGAGCAGCCCATGCCTGCCTGGCACCATAGGGATCCAACAGGGGAGGAGCAGGTGGTAAAACTCCACAGGGAGAAGGAAATCTCAGCTGAACCCCGTAACAATTTGAACGGGGTGAGAAGCCTCCTGGCCAGAACTCGGGGGAGGGTGCAAATCTGGTGTGCAGACTTCACAGGCTGGGGAAGAACCTAGCCCTTTCTTTGGCAGCTGGGAGGTGGGTAGCCTGGGGCAGGTTTTCAAGCCCTTATGCTTTCCGCCTGGAAACTGTCTGGGGGCTGTTGCAGGGGGACACAGTGGGAGTGAGACCGACCCTTCGGTTTGTGTGGGAGCTGGGTGAGGCCTGTGACTGCCGGCTTTCCCCCACTTCCCTGACAACCTGCATGTCTCAGCAGAGGCAGCCATAATACTCCTAGGTACACAACTCCAGTGACCTGTGAATCTCACCTCCACCCCCCACAGCAGCCCCAGCAAGACCTGCCCAAGGAGAGTCTCAGCTCAGACATGCCAAGCCCCATCCCTACCTGATGGTCCTTCCCTACCTGACCTGCTAGCGGAAGACAAAGGGCATATAATCTTGGGAGTTCTAGGGCCCCGCCCACTGCAGTTCCTCCCCTTATTACTACAGTTGATGCTTTCTGGAAAGTGCCACCTCCTGGCAGGAGACCAACCAGCACAAAAATAGAGCATTAAATCACCAAAGCTAAGAACTTTCACAAAGTCCATTGCACCTCCCTGCCCCCTGCCACCTCCACCGGAACAGGCATGGTCTCTGTCCACAACAGAGACCTATAGATGGTTCACATCACAAAACTCTGTGCAGACAACCCCCATTACCCGCCCCCGGAGATGGATATACTCACTGGGTGGCTAGACGCAGAAGAGAGAAAACAATCACTGCAGTTCAACTGACAGGAAGCCACATTCATAGGAAAAGGGGGAGAGTACTACATCAAGGGAATATTCTGTGAAACAAAGAAATCTGAAAAGCAGCCTTCAGCCCTAGACCTTCCCTCTGAAAGAGCCTACCCAAATGAGAAGGAACCAGAAAACCAACCCTGGTAATATGACAAAACAAGGCTCTTCAACACCCCCCAAAAAATTACACTAGTTCACTAGCAATGGACCCAAACCAAGAAGAAATCCCTGATTTACCTGAAAAAGAATTCAGGAGGTTAGTTATTAAGCTAATCAGGGAAGCACTCAATAAAGGTGAAGCCCAATGCAAGGAAATCCAAAATATGATACAAGAAGTGAAGGGAGAAACATTCAAAGAAATAGATACCCCAAAGAAAAAACAATAAAAAATTCAGGAAACTTTGGATACACTTTTAGAAATGCAAAATACTCTGAAAAGTCTTAGCAATAGAATTGAACAAGCAGAAGAAAGAAATTCAGATCTTGAAGACAAGGTCTTTGAATTAACCCAATCCAACAAAGACAAAGAAAGAAGAATAAGAAAATATGAACAAAGCCTCCAAGAAGTCTGGGATTATGGTAAACGACCAAACTTTAGAATAATCAGTGTTCCCAAGGAAGAAGAGAATTCTAAAAGCTTGGAAAAGATATTTGGGGAAATAATCAAGGAAAACTTCCCTGGCCTTGCTAGAGACCTAGACATTCTAAATACAAGAAGCACAAAGAATACCCAGGAAGTTCATCGCAAAAAGATCTTCACCCAGGCACACTGTCATCAGGTTATCCAAAGTTCCAAAGTTAAGACAAAAGAAAGAATCTTAAGAGCTGTAAGACAGAAGCACCAGGCAAATCTTCCGCCTCCTCAAACAAAACAATTATTAGCCAAGAATTTTGAATCCAGTGAAACTAAGCATCATATATGAAGGAAAGATACAGTCGATGGGATTCTACTCAGCCATAAAAAAGAATGAATTAACATTTGCAGTGACCTGGATGAGATTGGAGACTATTATTCTAAGTGAAGTAACTCAGGAATGGAAAACTAAACATCGTATGTTCTCACTGATATGTGGGAGCTAAGCTATGAAGACACAAAGGCATAAGAATCATGCAATGGACTTTGGGGACTCGAGGGGAAGAGTGGGAGGAGGGCGAGGATAGAAGACTACAAATATGGTACAGTGTATACTACTCAGGTGATGGGTGCACCAAAATCTCACAAATCACCACTAAAGAACTTACTCACGTAACCAAATACCACTTGTACCCCAATAACTTAAGGAAAAATTTAAAAAAAAATTAAAAATGAAGAAAAAAGCTAACTCAAGAATGGTTGGAAGCCTAAATTAACTGATAAATACAGAAGAAATAGAGAAAATGTGTACAAAATAATTTCATTCAGACAAGTCTCTTGTCAGACTGGTGATGAACTTATTTTTTAAAGGCAAAGATTTCTGTACTATGTAAACATTTGCAGGATTTAGAAGAATAAAGAAATCTCCTCCATTGATGTTATAAAGTTAGTAGAACCCGGAGATCAAAACTGGAGAAATATAATCCAGAAAAGTAAAGTAGACAACTTTATTTCTAAGTATAACAATAAAATGTATTGAAGTAGAACTTGGAATATTATTCCTAAGAGTTGAAGATATGAGGATAGTGGCAATACAGTATGAGTGAGGGGCACAACAGGAGCAGGATAGTTATACATTCTATACCAACACACATTCCAGATCATTAAAGAGCTAAATATTATTTCTGTCTAACAGATCTACAGTAAGTAATGTTATAATGAAGGAAGCATCATAAATTGAAATGTAGTGTGTATTCTCATGTTCTTGTTTATAAACAATGCAATAAATTGTGCAATCCATTTATACTTGGAGAAGGAAGCAAAATTTGCCCAGAATTAGGTAGGAGAGAATAAACATCCATAGCTGGCCTTGTGAGTTCAGGATATAAAGAACCACTCCGGCATCCAATAACATATCCACACACTTAAGCCTGAATTCCAGCATATGGACAACAGAAGGAAAAGCTTTTATTGCTGCAGGAGGCTAACAGAGAGGCTTGCAATTCAACATCTTGATCATATAAAGTTAAATTAATTGTAATGTATTAGTTAACAACCAACCAACCAATTGGTGGAGTTAAATATCTGTTGTAACTTAATATAGTCCCTGTTTAATCCCCTAAGGGAAAATTTCTCTTTATCTTCAGAAGTTGCTTAGTAGGCACAGTTAAGTTTTACAGCATCAGGAAACCAGTGGTAGCTTGGTAACCTAAAGGCTATCTCTCTAGGAAAAACAGAACTCAGATGATCTAAAAGGCATCTGAAAGATGACCAAGAGCCATTATGAAAAAACTCCCGGTTTTTATTTTTGTATTTTTTCCACATTTACTTCCACATAAATAATATTTTCTCCAGTTCTTAATTCTCATTATTTCCACACCAATCATTCCTAATATTTGGCTTATTTAATAATTTTCTATTTGTTATTAAACAGAACTAATGATATTATAACTGATGTCTTCTTGAATATGAAGAAACAGTAATGTACATCACTTGATGTTTTTAGGAGTTTACTTAACGGTGTACACAGGAAATGTCAGGCTGTTAATGTTTCTAAAAAGTGGGGCATCTATTTTCGTCTTACACTCTGGGCTGAAAATGATTTTTTTCTCCTGCTGAAAGTGCCTTCCATCAATAGAGTATGTAGAAAGTACTAACGTTTCAGGGAAACATCGATCCCATACAGAGAACATGGTTGCCAGGGAAAAAGGTACAAAGCATTAAACTTAAAGAGAATACATTCACTGAACATTGCCTGGCACATAATAGATTATCAATAATATTTCTCAAATAAATGAATACATGGATTCTCTATTAAGAAAATGAACAGGCAGATAGAAATGAACTATGAGTACTGAAAGGTAAGAAAATTGGTGGAGGAAATGCATTGTTTTCAATAAATTTTTAAAAATTTAACTTTCAGCAAATTGATCTTTCAAGGCACTTTATGACAAGTAACAAGGGTTCTGAAAAGGAACACATATTTCCAACAGTACCTATATAGAAGAACAATAATGACTGAAACAAAATAAAGGACCCAGAGTAGGAGTGAGGGACCAAATTCTCAGCAGGAATGATCAAGTTTTGTCATTCATTCTTTGGTGACAGGGTACAACCTGTTGTATAGTCTGTGATTTTTTTTTGCTTTCACATACATCATTCATGTACCCAATTTGGTCATTTATTTCTTTAGACATTCAATAACTATTCATTTAACAGATACTTTTTACATACCTCTGTATCCCAGCCAGTCTTCTAGGCACCAAAGGGGTGGAAAATGAATGGATCAAGTTAAGTCACTGGTTTCTTAGTGCTTCTGTGTTACTAGGAGCCTTAGGTAATAAATACACATCTGATGTTATATGCTATGGATAAAATTATAGCAGGATAGGAGGATAGAGAATGCTGTGTGTGAGCATGTGATTATGTTCTGTATAATAATCAGGAAAGACTTCACGATAGATGACATTTGAGTTGGTGCCTGAAGATATAGAGTAAGCCATACAAATATCTACAGGAGAAAAAGATCCCATAAATTTTTCTGAGCTGAATCTAAGGAGGTGAGGGGCAAACAGGAAGTGCAGATACAAATGCAGAGGTTGCCGTAAAGCCCTGCTTGCTTTCTCAGCAGGGAAGCTTGTAGCCTGGGGCAAGATCTCAGCCCTGCCTGCCATGCCACCTGAACAACACAGTACAGGTAGCCATAATACCATTTGGACCATAGCTCCAGTGGCCTGAGAACCACCCTGCTGTCTCCCACAATGGCCTCTGCAAGCCCCAGTGAGGAGAGTCTGGCAGCTCAAACCCACCTAACCCTGTCCCCACATGATGGTTTTTCTCTACCCATCCTGGTAGCTGAAGGGATACAAAAGGGATAATCTCTTGGAAGCTCTATGGCCCCGCCCATCACCTGAGAAACTTGAATACTTATCCTGGCCAATTTAGGGCAAGCTTATATTCCCCTTCTACCACCACAGCTGGTGCTCTCTTGAAAGTGCCACCTCCTGGCTGGAGGCCAACCAACTCAAGCCATTACAGCAACTCATAACAGAACAAGTCGGCTCCAAAGAAGGAGAAAACAACAGCTGTTTCTGCTGCCTGCAACATCCTAGCTAACCAGAGGTCCTGAATATGTCCACATGACAACTTCACTGTTAGCATAACCAGCATTCGAGAAAAGCAGCACATTAAACAAAACTATAGCCAAGGACTCTCACAGAATCCACTACACTTCCCTGCCACCTCCACTGGAGAAGGTGCTGTTGTCCACAGCTGGGAGACATGAAGATAGATCACATCACAGGACTCTTTGCAGACATTTTCCAGCACCAGCCCAGAGCTTGGTAGTCTCTCTGGGTAGCTAGACCCAGAAAGGCAATAACAATCTCTGACGTCCTGCTCTCAGGAAGCCCCATCCTTAGGGGAAGGGAGAGAGCACCACATCAACAGATCACCCTGAGGGACAAAAGAATCTGAACAGCAGCGCTTGAATCCCAGATCTCTCTGCCAAAACAGTCTACCCAAATAAGAAGGAACCAGAAAAGTAATTCTGGTAATATGACAAAACAAGGTTCTATGGCACCCCCAAAAGATCACACTAGCTCTCCAGCAATAGATACAAACCAAGAAGAAATCTCTGAATTGCCAGATAAAGAATTCCAAAGGTTGATAATTGTTAGTAAGTTACTCAAGGAGGTACCAAACAAAGGTGAACATCAACTTAAACAAAATACATTATATGAATGAAAAAATCTCCACAGAAATAGATATCATAAAGAAAAAAAATCACAAGTTCTGGAAATGAAAGACATTTAGAGAAATACCAAATACACTGGAAAATTTCAATAGACTAAGCAAGTAGAAATCAAACAAACAAAAAACAACTTCACAGCTTGAAGACAAGGCTTTTGAATTAACCCAATCCAACAAAGACAAAGAAAAAATAATTTTTTAAAAAATGAAAAAAGCCTCCAAGAAATTTGGGATGATATTTAAAAAGCAAGCATAAGAATAATTGGTGTTCCTCAGGAAGAAGATGAATCTAAAAGTTTGGAAAACATATTTGAGGGAATAATCAAGGAAAACTTTCCTGGCCTTGCTAGAGATCTAGAACTCTGAATACCAGAAGCTCAAAGAATACCCAGAAAATTTACTGCAAAAAGATCATCATCTAGGCACATAGTCAACAGGTTATTTAAAGTCAAGACAAAGAAAAGAATCTTAAGAGCTGTGAAGCAAAAGCATCAGGTAACCTATAAAGGAAAACCTATCAGATTAACAGATTTCTAGGCAGAAACCCTACAAGCTAGAAGGGATTAGGGTCCTATATTCAGCCTCTGATATGGTTTGGCTGTGTCCCCACCAAATCTCAATTTGAATTGTATCTCCCAGAATTCCCACATGTTGTGGGAGAGATCCAGGGAGAGGTAATTGAATCATGGGAGCCTGTCTTTCCCATGCTATTCTTTTAATAGTGAATAAGTCTCACAAGATCTGATGGTTTTATCAGGGGTTTCCACTTTTGCTTCTTCCTCATTCTCTTTTGCCACCGCCATGTAAGAAATGCCTTTTGCCCTCTGCCATGATTGTGAGACCTTCCCCAGCCATGTGGAACTGTAAGCCCAATTAAAATTCTTTTTCTTTCCAGTTTTGGATATGTCTTTATCAGCAGTGTGAAAATGAACTAATACAGTAAATTGGTACCAGTAGAGTGGGGCGTTGCTGAAAAGATACCCCAAAATGTGGAAGTGACTTTGGAACTGGGTAACAGGCAGAGGTTGGAACAGTTTGGAGGGCTCAGAAGAAGACAGGAAAATGTAGGAAAGTTTGGAACTTCCTGGAGACTTGTTGAATGGCTTTGCCCAAAATACTGATAGCGATATGGACAATAAGGTCCAGGCTGAGGTGGTCTCAGATGGAGATGAGGAACTTGTTGGGAACTGGGAACTGGAGCAAAGGTGACTCTTGTTATGTTTTAGCAGAGACTGGTGGCATTTTTTACCTGACCTAGAGATTCGTGGAACTTTGAACTTGAGAGAGATGATTTAGGGTATTTTTTTTTTTTAAGATGGAGTCTCACTCTGTCACCCAGGCTGGAGTGGTGCAGTGGCGCAATCTTGGCTCACTGCAAGCTCCGCCTCCCAGGTTCACGCCATTCTCCTGCCTCAGCCTCCCGAGTGACTGGGACTACAGGTATCCACCACCACACCCAGCTAATTTTTTGTATTTTTATTAGAGATGGGGTTTCACCGTGTTAGCCAGGATGGTCTCGATCGCCTGACCTCGTGATCCACCTGCCTTGGCCTCCCAAAGTGCTGGGATTACACGCTTGAGCCACCACACCTGACCCATTTAGGGTATCTTTTGGAAGAAATTTCTAAGCAGCAAAGCATACAAAAGGTGGCTTGGGTACTGTTTAAAACATTCAGTTTTAAAAGGGAAACACAGCATAAAAGTTCAGAAAATTTGCAGCCTAACTATGTGATAAAAAAGAAAAACCCATTTTCTGGGGAGAAATTCAAGCCAGCTACAGAAATTTGCATAAGTAGCAAGGAACCTTATGTTAATCCCCAAGACCACAGGCAAAATGTCTCCAGGCCATGTCAGAGACCTTCATGGAAGTCCCTCCTATCACAGGCTCAGAGGCCCAGGAGGAAAATGTGGTTTTGTGGCCTGGGCCCAGGGTCCCCGTGCTATGTACAGCCTAGGCACTTGGTGCCCTGTATCCCAGCCACTCCAGCTGTGGCTGAAAGGGGCCAACATACAGCTCAGGCTGTGGCTTCAGAAGGTGGAAGCCCCTAGCCTTGGCAGCTTCCATGTGGTGTTGAGCCTTCCGGTGCACAGAAGTCAAGAATTGAGGTTTGGGAACCTCCACCTAGATTTCAGAAGATGTATGGAAACACCTGGATGCCCAGGCAAAAGATTGCTGCAGGAGCAGGGCCCTCACGGAGAACCTCTGCCAGGGCAACGCAGAAGAGAAATGTGGGGTCAGAGCCCCCACACAGAGTCCCTAGTGCGTTGCTGCCTAGTGGAGCTGTGAGAAGAGGGTGACTGTCCTCCAGACCGCAGAATGGTAGATCCACCAAAAGCTTGCACCGTGCATCTAGAAAAGCCTCAACACCAGACCATGAAAGCAGCCAGAAAGGAGGCTGTACCCTCCAAAGCCACAAGGATGGAGCTGACCAAGACTATAGAAACCCATCTCTTGCATCAGTGTAATCTGGATGTGAGACCTGGCGTCGAAGGACACCATTTTGGAACTTTAAAGTTTGACTGCCCCGCTGGATTTTGGACTTGCATGGGCCCTGTAATCTGTTTGTTTTGGTCAATTTCTCTCATTTGAAATGGTACCCAATACCTGTACCTCCATTGTATCTAGGAAGTAACTAGCTTGCTTTTGGTTTTGCAGGCTCATAGGCGGAAGGGACTTGCCTTTTCTCAGATGAGACTTTGGATGGTGGACTTCTGGGTTAATGCTGAAATGAGTTAAGACTTTGGGGGACTGTTGGGAAGGAGTGACTGGTTTTGAAACATGAGGACATGAGATCTGGAGGGGCCAGGAGCAGAATGATATAGTTTGACTGTGTCCCCACCAAAATCTGAACTTGAATTGTATTTCACAGAATTCATACATGTCATGGCAGGGACCCAGGGGTACGTAATTGAATCATGGGGGCCAGTCTTTCCTGTGCTATTCTCATGATAGTGAATAAGTCTCAAGAGATCTGATGGGTTTATCAGGGGTTTCTGCTTTTGCTTCTTCCTCATTTTCTCTTGCCACCACCATGTAAGAAGTGCCTTTTGCCTCCTGCCATGATTCGGAGGCATCCTCAGCCATGTGGAACTGTAAGTCCAATTAAACCTTTTTTTCTTCCCAGCCTTGAATAAGTCTTTTTATTTTTTATTTTTTTATTTTACCTTAAGTTCTAGGGTACACGTGCACAATGTGCAGGTTTGTTACATATGTATACATGTGCTATGTTGGTGTGCTGCACCCGTTAACTCGTCATTTACATTAGGTATGTCTCCTAATGGTATCCCTCCCCCTTTCCCCCACCCTCTGGCAGGTCCTGGTGTGTGATGTTCCCCACCCTGTGTCCATATGTTGTTATTGTTCAATTCCCACCTATGAGTGAGAACATGCAGTGTTTGGTTTTCTGTCCTTGCAATAGTTTGCTCAGAAGGATGGTTTCCAGCTTCATCCATGTCCCTATAAAGGACATGAACTCATTCCTTTTTTAGAGCCGCATAGTATTCCATGGTGTATATGTGCCATATTTTCTTTTTTTTTTTTGTAGTTTATGTAAAAATTTATTTGACCAAAATGTAGAAAAAGTGATACTATTACATATGATACAGTTGCAAGAATCTAAAGTAAAGTGTGGATTTTATTCCATTCACAATTTGCTAGTGTATTTCCTGGGTAGTGCGGTGCTGAATAAATAGGAGTGGGGTGGTGGGGTGGGGTGGGTAAGGGATTCAGATAAGCCAGAAGCAGGGTGATTTTTAGTCAGAATTGTAAACTTTAGTCGGCCCCCACACGCTGCTGGGGAATGTGGAATGTTCCAGCTCTGAGATGTTAACTGAGAAAAGAGAAGTCAAACAAAGCCCATACGTGCAGCCCTGTCTGCAGAATCCCTCATCATCCAGTTTAATCAGGAGTTTCTTGGTCTTTTATTAACTTGGTCCCAAAGAAGGAATTCAAGTCCTAGATAAGTAAATCTTCAATTTGCTGTTCCCTAAAGTATGGAAATGAAGTTGGGCCAATATTTAATCTCTGCTGCCAGAGAGGCCCTTTCCGCTAGTAGATAAAAACTCTTTTGCTCAACTTAGTAATGCCTTGTAGTCTTCTGGATATGGCTGATCTGAATTGGACTGAACTCTACCATATTCCTGCTGAGTGGGTCATTATTGGAATGAGACATTTGCTCTTCAGAGAACAACTTTATTTTTATTTTTTCTTGAGATGGAGTTTCACTCTGTCGACCAGGCTGGAGTGCAGTGGTGCGATCTCGGCTCACTGCAATCTCCACTTCCTGGGTTCAAGCGATCCTTCTGCCTCAGCCTCCTGAGTAGCTGGGACTACAGGCAGGAGTCACCATAATTTTTGTATTTTTAGTACAGACATGGTTTCGCCATGTTGGCTGGGCTGGTCTCGAACTCCTGACCTCAAGTGATCTGTCCTGGCCTCCCAAAGTGTTGGGATTACAGGCAAAAGCCACCTTTCCTTACAGACGAAAGCCACCGGTGAAAGCCGGCCAGGGAAATATGCAAAAGAACATCACATCAAGGATCTATTACTTACCATCTATTAATTACTATATGTGGGTAATTATGACTATTTCCCAAGCGTTGTACGTTGACTGCTTGAGAGGATGTTTGTTCTGCATGGTGGAGTGTGGAGAAGGGCCAGGATTCTTAAGTTAATCTATCTGTGGGTTATGACTTCCCACAATAGCCACCCTGGCCCCTACCAGCCCTTTTATTGGCTCTGGATGGAAAATCCCTACCCATGTGATGGTCCCTGGTCTCTCCTATAGTTTGACCAACAGTTGACCCAAAAGGTTATGGTCTTTAGTGTTTTAATTATATCCACGACTAGATACTGGGGTCTGTGTTCTTCAAAGTGTGGGGCTGCCTATTCTCCCAGGAACCAAATGGCCTCCGTCTTAAGAAAGTATGCTTAACTAGGAAATATCCTGCCTACCTTAGGAATAAATGCAACTTAAGGAAAAAATAAGAGAGCTAAAAAAGCTGGTGCCATTTGAAAAAAAAAGGGGAAGGAATGAGATTTAACTGGTGCTCAAAGCTTCTTCGATACAAAATATTTGGTCATGTATTCATAATTTGCTTGACATTTCCAGCAAAGCTAAGATGGCAATAACAAAAGGAACTTCTTAAAAGAGAAGAGAAAGACCGACGGAGCTCCGGAGTTTCTGTTGGAACAAGACTCTTCTGTTTTGCTTATATACAGTTAAGTTCGTTTAGTGTCTGATCCAGTGTCTGATGTAAGCCCACGTTCTCTTCTTTGGCCTGGGCAAGTTTCTCTTCCAGGTCATCAATTGTCTTTTCCAGTTTTGCAACCGTTCTCTCTGCAAATTCAGCACGGGTCTCAGCCTCTTTCACTTTGTCAGACAGAAGTTTAATTTCTTCTTCATATTTGTCCTCCTTTTCAGAATACTTTTCAGATGCAGCTTCCAGCGATTTCAGATTGTTAGTAACATTCTTGAGTTCTTTGCCACGTCACCACATTTTAGTTCGGACACCTCCGCACGCATCTCTGCACGCTCCTCTGCCCTCTCCAGCTCACCCTCCAGGATGACCAGCTTACGAGCTACCTTCTCGTATTTGCGGTCAGCCTTTTCCGCAATGTGCTTGGCCTCTTTGAGCTGCATCTCCTGAATCTCCATCTTCTCCTCATCCTTCATGGCCCGGTTTTCTATCACCTTCATTCCTCTTTCACTCTCATCTGCAACTTTTTCTGCCTCCTCCAGCTTCTGCAGGGCTGTGGCCAGTCGTTCCTGAGCCCTGTCCAACTCCTCCTCAACGAGCTGGATGCGTCGGTTGAGGGTGGCCACATCACCTTCAGCTTTCTCGCGCCACTCGCGCTTGCCGTCCAGCTCCCGCTGCAGGCCCTGCGCGGTCTTCCGCCTCGTCCGCCTGCTACTGCAGGGGCCTGGATCTTGCATTTCACCGCCTCCAGGGAGTTGAGGTGGCGCGGAGGCGCGGAGGCACGGAGGCGCGGAGGCGCGGAGGCGCGGAGGCACGGAGGCGCAGAGGCACGGGGCAGCGGCGGACCTCGTCTGGGCTCGGCTCTGCCGAGAGCTGCACGGCCGCACCCGGCCCCCCAATCCTTTGCCTATGAGGGGGCCTCCCCCGCCTCTCCCCG
Organism: Homo sapiens; assembly: GCF_000001405.40. Taxonomy (NCBI): domain Eukaryota; kingdom Metazoa; phylum Chordata; class Mammalia; order Primates; family Hominidae; genus Homo; species Homo sapiens. Next base: position 69,129,420 of record NC_000008.11, on the reverse strand, counting down.
CCCCCCTGCCACATTTTCTTAATCCAGTCTATCACTGATGGACATTTGGGTTGGTTCCAAGTCTTTGCTATTGTCAATAGTGCCGCAATAAACATGTGTGTGCATGTGTCTTTATAGCAACATGATTTATAATCCTTTGGGTATATGCCCAGTAATGGGATGGCTGGGTCAAGCGGTATTTCTAGTTCTAGATCCTTGAGGAATGGCCACACTGACTTCTACAATGGTTGAACTAGTTTACTGTCCCACCAACAGTGTACAAGCTTTCCTATTTCTCCACATCCTCTCCAGCACCTGTTGTTTCCTGACTTTTTAATGATCGCCATTCTAACTGGTGTGAGATGGTATATCATTGTGGTTTTGATTTGCATTTCTCTGATGACCAGAGATGATGAGCATTTTTTCATGTGTCTGTTGGCTGCATAAATGTCTTCTTTTGAGAAGTGTCTGTTCATATTCTTTGCCCACTTTTTGATGGGGTTGTTTGATTTTTTCTTGTAAATTTAAGTTCTTTGTAGATTCTGGATATTAGCCCTTTCTCAGATGGGTAGATTGTAAAAATTTTCTCCCATTCTGTAGGTTGCCTGTTCACTCTGATGTAGTTTCTTTTGCTGTGCAGAAGCTCTTTAGTTTAATTAGATCCCATTTGTCAGTTTTGGCTTTTGTTGCCATTGCTTTCGGTGTTTTAGTCATGAAGTCCTTGCCCATGCCTATGTCCTGAATGGTATTGCCTAGGTTTTCTTCTAGGGTTTTTATGGTTTTAGGTCTAACATTTAAGTCTTTAATCCATCTTGAATTGATTTTTGTATAAGCTGTAAGGAAGGGATCCAGTTTCAGCTTTCTACATATGGCTAGCCAGTTTTCCCAGCACCGTTTATTAATAGGGAATCCTTTCCCCATGTCTTGTTTTTGTCAGGTTTGTCAAAGATCAGATGGCTGTAGATGTGTGGTATTATTTCTGAGGGCTCTATTCTGTTCCATTGGTCTATATCTCTGTTTTGGTACCAGTACCATGCTGTTTTGGTTACTGTAGCCTTGTAGTATAATTTGAAGTCAGGTAGTGTGATGCCTCCAGCTTTGTTCTTTTGGCTTAGGATTGACTTGGCAATGCAGGCTCTCTTTTGGTTCCATGTGAACTTTAAAGTAGTTTTTTCAATTCTGTGAAGAAAGTCATTGGTAGCTTGATGGGGATGGCATTGAATCTATAAATTACCTTGGGCAGTATGGCCATTTTCACGATATTGATTCTTCCTATCCATGAGCATGGAATGTTCTTCCATTTGTTTGTGTTCTCTTTTATTTTGCTGAGCAGTGGTTTGTAGTTCTCCTTGAAGAGTTCCTTCACATCCCTTGTAAGTTGGATTCCTAGGTATTTTATTCTCTTTGAAGCAATTGTGAATGGCAGTTCACTCATGATTTGGCTCTCTGTTTGTCTGTTATTGGTGTATAGGAATGCTTGTGATTTTTGCACATTGATTTTGTATCCTGAGACTTTGCTGAAGTTGCTTATCAGCTTAAGGAGATTTTGGGCTGAGACGATGGGGTTTTCTAAATATACAATCATGTCATCTGCAAACAGGGACAATTTGACTTCCTCTTTTCCTAATTGAATACCTTATATTTCTTTCTCCTGCCTAATTGCCCTGGCCAGAACTTCCAACACTGTGTTGAATAAGAGTGGTGAGAGAGGGCATCCCTGTCTTGTGCCAGTTTTCAAAGGGAATGCTTTCAGCTTTTGCCCATTCAGTATGATATTGGCTGTGGGTTTGTCATAGACAGCTCTTATTATTTTGAGATACGTCCCATCAATACCTAGTTTATTGAGAGTTTTTAGCATGAAGGGCTGTTGAATTTTGTCAAAGGCCTTTTCTGCAACTATTGAGATAGTCATATGGTTTTTGTCTTTGGTTCTGTTTATATGATGGATTACGTTTATTGATTTGTGTATGTTGAACCAGCCTTGCATCCCAGGGATGAAGCCAACTTGACCATGGTGGATAAGCTTTTTGATGTGCTGGTGGATTCGGTTTGCCAGTATTTTATTGAGGATTTTTGCATCGATGTTCATTAGGGATATTGGTCTAAAATTCTCTTTTTTTTTGTTGTGTCTCTGCCAGGCTTTGGTATCAGGATGATGTTGGCTTCATAAAATGAATTAGAGAGGATTCTCTCTTTTTCTATTGATTGGAATAGTTTCAGAAGGAAAGGTACCAGCTCCTCTTTGTACCTCTGGTAGAATTTGGCTGTGAATTCGTCTGATCCTGGACTTTTTCTGGTTGGTAAGCTATTGATTATTGCCACAATTTCAGAGCCTGTTATTGGTCTATTCAGAGATTCAACTTCTTCCTGGTTTAGTCTTGGGAGGGTGTATGTGTCCGGGAATTTATCCATTTCTTCTAGATTTTCTAGTTTATTTGCATAGAGATGTTTATAGTATTCTCTGATCGTAGTTTGTATTTCTGTGGGATCGGTGATGATATCCCCTTTATCATTTTTTATTGCATCTATTTGATTCTTCTCTCTGTTCTTCTTTATTAGTCTTGCTAGCGGTCTATCGATTTTGTTGATCTTTTCAAAAAACCAGCTCCTGGATTCATTGATTTTTTGAAGGTTTTTTGTGTCTCTATCTCCTTCAGTTCTGCTCTGATTTTAGTTATTTCCTGTATCCTGCTAGCTTTTGAATGTCTTTGCTCTTGCTTCTCTAGTTCTTTTAATTGTGATGTTAAGAGTGTGAAATTTAGATCTCTCCTGCTTTCTCTTGTGGGCACTTAGTGCTATAAATTTCCATCTACACACTGCTTTAAATGTCTCCCAGATATTCTGGTATGTTGTGTCTTTGTTCTCATTGGTTTCAAAGAACATCTTTATTTCTGCCTTCTTTTTGTTATGTACCCAGTGGTCATTCTGGAGCAGGTTGTTCAGTTTCCATGTAGTTGAGTGGTTTTGAGTGAGTTTCTTAATCCTGAGTTCTAGTTTGATTGCACTGTGGTCTGAGAAACAGTTTGTTGTAATTTCTGTTCTTTTACATTTGCTGAGCAGTGCTTTACTTCCAACTATGTGGTCAATTTTGGAATAAGTGTGATGTGGTGCTGAGAATAATGTATATTCTGTTGATTTGGGGTGGAGAGTTCTGTAGATGTCTATTAGGTCTGCTTGGTGCAGAGCTGAGTTCAATTCCTGCATATCCTTGTTAACTTTCTGTCTCATTGATCTGTCTAATGTTGGCAGTGGGGTGTTAAAATCTCCCATTATTATTGTGTGGGAGTCTAAGTCTCTTTGTAGGTCTCTCAGGACTTGCTTTATGAATCTGGGTGCTCCTGTATTAGGTGCATATATATTTAGGATAGTTAGCACTTCTTGTTGAATTGATCCCTTTACCATTATGTAATGGCCTTCTTTGTCTCTTTTGATCTTTGTTGGTTTAAAGTCTGTTTTATCAGAGACTAGGATTGTAACCCCTGCTTTTTTTTGTTTTCCATTTGCTTGGTAGATCTTCCTCCATCTCTTTATTTTGAGCCTATGTGTGTCTATGCAGGTGAGATGGGTCTCCTGAATATAGCACACTGATGGGTCTTGACTCTTTATCCAATTTGCCAGTCTGTGTCTTTTAATTGGAGTATGTCTTTATCAGCAGTATGAAAACAGACTAATACAGCTTCCTTAAACAAAATAATTATCAGCTAAGAATTTTGTATCCTGTGAAATTAAGCTTCATAAAGGAAGAAGAGATAAAACCCTTTTCAGACAAACAAATCCTGAGAGAATTCACCACTACTAAGCCAGCATCACAAAAAAAAATGCTAAAAGGATTTCTAAATCTTGAAACAAAATCTTGAAATACACCAAAATAGAACATCCTTAAAGCATAAATTTCACAGGATCTATATAACAATAACACAATGAAAAAAAAAACCATATTCAGGCAGCATCTAGCATGATGACTAGAACAGTACCTCGCATTTCAATACTAACATTGAATGTAAATGGCCTAAATGCTCCTCTTAAAAGATGCAGAATTGCAGAATGAATAAAAATCCACCAACCAAGTATCTGTCATCTTCAAGAGACTCACCTAACACATGAAGACTCACATAACCCTAAGGTAAAAAGATGAAAAAAATATATTCCATGTAAATCAAAACCAAAAGCAAGCAGGAGTAGCTATTCTATCAGACAAAACAGACTTTAAGGCAACAACAGTTAAAAAAGACAAGGAGGGATTTTATATAATGATGAAAGGATTAGTCCAACAGGACAACATCACAATCCTAAATATACATGCATCTAACACTGGAATTCCCAAATTTATAAAACAATTACTACCAGACCTAAGAAATGAGATGGATGGCAACACAATAATAGTGGGGGACTTAAATACTCCACTGACAGCACTAGAGAGGTCATCAAGACAGAAAGTCAACAAAAAAAAGTGGACTTAAACTCCACCCTAGAACAATTAGACTTAACAGGTATTACAGAATAGTCTACACAACAACTACAGAATATACATTCTTTTCATCAGCACATGAAACATTCTCCAAGATTGACCATGTAGTAAGCCACAAAACAAGTCTCAATAAATTTAAGAAAATCAAAATTATATCAAATATTCTCTCAGACTACTGTGTAATAAAATTGAAAATTAAATCCAAAAAGAAACCCTCAAAAACTATACAAACATATGAAGATTAAATAATCTTCTCCTGAAAGATCTTTGAGTCAACAATAAAATCAAGAAGGAAATTTAAAAATTCTTTGAACTGAACAACAATAGTGACACAACCTATCAGAACCTCTGGGGTACAGCAAAACACAGTGCTAAGAGGAAGTTCATAGCATTAAATGCGTATGTCAAAAAGTCTGAAAGAGCACAAATAGACAATCTAAGCTCACACTTCAAGGAACTAGAGAAACAAGAACAAACCAAACCCAAACCTAGCAGAAGAAAAGAAATGACAAAGATCAGAACAGAACTAAATGAAATTGAAATAATTAAATACAAAAGATGAATAAAACAAAAAGCTGGTTCTTTGAAACCATAAACAAAAACAATATACCATTCATAAGCTTGGCCAAGAAAAGAAGAGAGAAGATCCAAATAAGGCCAATTAGAAATGAAACAGGAGATACTACAACCATACCACAGAAATACAAAAGATTATTCAAGACCGCTATGAATACCTTTATGCACACAAACTAGAAAATCTAGAGGAGATGGATAAATTCCTGGAAAGATACAACACTGCTAGATTAAACCACGAAGAAATAGAAACTCTGGATAGACCAATAAGAAGTAGCAAGATTGAAACAGTAATAAAAAAAATTGCCAACAAAAAGTCCTGGACCAGAGGGATTCACAGTTGAATTCTATCAGACATTCAAAGAAGATTTGTTACCAATCTTATAGAAAATATTCCAAAAGTCAAAGAGGAAATCCTCCCTAAATCATTTTATGAAGGCAATATCACCCTAATATCAAAACCAGGAAAAGACATAACAACAACAACAACAAACCATAGCCCAATATGAAAATAGATGCAAAAATCCTCAACAAATTACCAGCTAACCAAACCCAACAGCATATCAAAAAGATAATCCACAGTGATCAAGTGGGTTTCATACCAGGGATGCAGGGATGGTTTAACATAAGCAAGTCAATAAATGTGATACACTACATAAATAGCATTAAAATAAAAAATTACATGATCATCTCAACAGATGCAGGAAAAGCATTTGACAAAATCCAGCATCACTTTAAAACTAAAACCCTCAGCAATAGAAGGGACATATCTTAATGTTAAAAAGCCATCTATGAAGATCCCATAGCCAGCATTATACTGAATGGGAAAGAGTTGAAAGCATTTTGCCTGAGAACTGGAACAAGACAAGGATGCCCACTTTCACCACTTCTATTCAACCTAGTACTGGAAGTCCTAGCCAGAGCAATCAGACAAGAGAAATAAATAAAGGACATCCAAATCTGTAAAGAGGAAGTCAAACTGTTCCTGTTCACCAATGATATAATCATATACTTAGAAAACCCTAAATACTCATCCAAAAAGCTCCTAGATCTGATAAATGAATTTAGTAAAGTTTCAGGATACAAAATCAATGTACACAAATCAGTAGCACTGCTATACACCAACAGGAAGCAAGCTGAGAATCAAATCAAGAACTCAATGCCTTTACCATAGCTGCAAATAAAATAAAATAAAATAAAATAAAATAATAAAATACTTAGAACTATATCTAACTAAGGACGTGAAACAGTGCTGAAAGAAATCATAGATGGTCGGACATGGTGGCTCACGCCTGTAATCCCAGCACTTAGGGAGGCCAAGGCGGGTGGATCATGAGGTCAGGAGTTCGAGACCAGCCTGACCAACATGCTGAAACCCCGTCTCTACTAAAAACAAAACGAAAAAAAGTTAGCCAGGCGTGGTGGCATGTGCCTGTAATCCCAGCTACTCAGGAGACTGAGACAGGAGAATTGCTTGAACCCAAGAGGTGGAGGTTGCAGTGAGCAGAGACTGAGCCACTGCCCTCCAGCCTGGGTGACAGAGGGAGACCCTGTCTCAAAAAAAAAAAAAAATTGCAGATGACACAAACAAATGAAAACACATCACGTGCTCATGGATGGGTAGAATCAATGTTGTGAAAATGACCATACTGCCAACATCAATCTATAAATTCAATGTAATTCCTATGAAAATACCATCATCCTTTTTCACATAACAAAAAAAAAATCCTAAAATTCATACAGAACCAAAAAAAAAGCCTGTATATTCAAAGTAAGACTAAGCAAAAATAGCAAATCTGGAGGCATCACATTACCTGACTTCAAAGGATACTATAAGTCTACAGTTACCAAAACAGCATGGTACTGGTATAAAAATAGGCAAGTAGACCAATGGAACAGAATAGAGAACCCAGAAATAAAGCCAAATACTTACAGCCAACTGATCTTTGACAAATCAAAACAAAACCTAAAGTGGGGAAATGACACCCTATTCAACAAATGGTGCTGGGATAATTGAAAAGCCACATGTAGAAGAATGAAACTGGCTCCCATCTTTCACCTTATATAAAAATCAACTCAAGATGAATCTAAGACCTGAAACCATAAAAATTTTAGAAGATAACATCAGAAAAAAATCTTCTAGACATTGGCTTAGGCAAAGACTTCATGACCAAGAACCCGAAAGCAAATGCAACAAAAACGAAGATAAATAGATGGAACTTAATTAAACTAAAAAGCTTCTGCACAGCAAAAGAAATAATCAGCGAAGTAAGCAGACAAATCACAGAATGGGAGAAAATATTTGCAAACTATGCATCTGACCAAGGACTAATACCCAGAATATACAAAGAACTCAAAAAAAGAAACCAAAACCAAATAATCCCATCAAAAAGTGAGTTAAGGACATGAATAGACAATTCTCAAAAGAAAATATACAAATGGCCACAAACATGAAAAAATGCTCAACATCACTAATTATCAGGGAAATGCAAATCAAAAGCACAATGTGATGCCACCTTACTCCTGCGAGAAAGGCCATAATTAAAAAATGAAAAAAATAATAGATGATGGCATGGATGTAGTGAAAAGGGAACACTTTTACACTGTTGGTGGGAAAGTAAACTAGTACAACCACTATGAAAATCAGTACGGAGACTCCTTAAAGAAGTAAAAGTAGAACTACCATTTGATCTAGCAACCCCACTACTGGGTAATCACCCAGAGGAAAAGAAGTCATTATATGGAAAAGTCACTTGCACACACATGTTTATAGCAGCACAATTCACAATTGCAAAAATATGGAACCAGCCTAACTGCTTATCAACCAACAAGTGGATAAAGAAAATATGGTTGCATTTGCAGCAACCTGGATGGAGTTGGAGACCATCATTCTAAGTGAAGTAACTCAGGAATGGAAAACCAGATGTCATATGTTCTCACTTATAAGTGGAAGCTAAGCTATGAGGATGTAAAGACATAAGAATGACACAATGGACTTTGGGGTTTGGGGGGAGTGGGGGAGGGAGTGAGGGATAAAAGACTACACATTGGGTATAGTGCACACTGCTTGGGTGATGGGTGCACCAAAATCTAGAAATCACCACTAAAGAACCTATCCATGTAATGAAACACCACCTTTCCCCACAAACCATTGGAAAAAAAAATATTAACCTTTGGGTGATCACCTATAAAGTGAAGGTAAATTTTTTGATCCCTGATTCTGAATGCTATTTAATATTTAAAAGTTGAAGAGAAGAAGGAAAGTTATCAGACAAGACTAAAAGAAGTGAGCAGTGAGAAAAAACAAAAGAAAGTGTTATCTCAGAAGCCAAGTTATGAAAGGGTTTCTAAAGGATGGCATCATCAACTGCATTAAATATTGTTGGAAAGGCTAGTAAAATAAAGTGAGAACTGACTTGCTCTCATGGGTCTGGGATTCCCCTCTCCTACTTGGAAACACCCAGCATTCCAGACTGGTGAAGCTACTTCTACTCTGTTAGGCAGCACCAGGAGTGATAGTAGCATCAGATAAAGCAGATGAGAATAACAAAGCAAAGGGTCTGAAAATTGAACTGCTCTTGAAATCATAGTCTACAAAAGGAGGCCAGGACCTTGTAATCAACATAAACGGTGTGACTGCCTGCTAAAATACAAGATATAAATAAGATCCAGAGGCTAACATAACATACAAAATACCAAGAAATCATGTCTCATACAAGAAAATCAAGCTGAAGGAGAAAAGGCAATCAACACCAAAAGGTAAGGCTCATACTGAGATGAGTCAGATCTTGGAATTATTCGAAAAGGATTTTAAAGCAGCCCACATACATGCTGCTATAATCAATTATAAATTCTTTTGAAACAAATAAAAATAAACCCAGTCATGAATAGAAATTATAAAAAGAACCAAATAGAAATTAAAGAACCAAAAAACATAATAATGGAAAAATAAATTTGCCGAATGGACTTAATATTAGAGTGGATATGACAAAGGAGAGAATCAGTGAATTTAAAGACATATCAATAAAATTTATCCCAATCCAAACAACAGGGAGAATGCAGACTGTAAAATAAACAAACAAACAGAAAACAAAAATAGCACCTCCAACACCTGTGGGACAAAATCAAAAGATCCATCATGTGTTGTATTAGAAGCCCACAGGATGGGAGAAAGTGAACCTGAAAGAGTATTCAAGGGAATAATGGCTAAAAACTTCCCAAATTGGGCAAAAGACATAATCTTGCAGATTCAAGAAGCTGAGTGATCTCAAATAGAATAAACTCAAAGAAACCTGTGCCAAGACATATCATAAATAAATTTCTAAAAATAACTGAAGACAAAAAAAATATATATTGAAAGCAGCCATAGAGAAACAATGCATTTCCTATAGGGACACCAATTCAAGTGATGATGAACTTTCATCTGAAAGCACAGAGAACAAAAAGGCTAAAAGCAAATAACTTTCAACTGTCAATTCTACATTCAACAAAAGTGTACTTCAAAAATTAAGGCAAAATAAATATTTTTTCAGATGAAGGAAAACAAAAAGAGTGTGTTGCCAGCAGGTCTACTGTTAAAGGTTGATGAAAGGAAATTCTTAAAATGAAAAGGAAATGATAAGAGAAAGAACCTTAGAGCACTAGGAAAGAAGGAGGAATAAAAAGAAGTATAGCTACACGTAATAGTCTATCCTTTTCCTCATGAGTTTTATAAATCATATTTTATGAATGAAACAAAAAGTTTAACATCATCTCAGACTCAAGACAATGGTACTTAAAGTGGCAAAGGTAAAATAAAGTGTTAAAATATTGATATCAGTAGAGGAATTATTTGTCATACATATATACAGTAACACACAGAACAACCACTATAAAAAATACACAAAAAACAATATAAAAAAGCCAAGATAGAATCCGAAGAAATGTTCAAGTAATGTATCATAAGGAGTGAGAGACAGAGGAAAGAAAACAAATAGTTTTATGTTAAGTTAAAATTGGAAGTTTCTTGAAAAATTCAACATGTAATCATCCATAATCCAGCAATTGCACTCCTATGCATTTTACATGTTCACATATAATTGTTCATAGCAAACTTTTTTATCCATAATTGCCCCAAACTGGAAGCAGCTCAGATGTTCTACAACGGATGAATGGTTAAAGAAACTGTGGTACACCCATACCACAGAACACTACTCAGGAAAGAAAAGGAACAGACTATTGATACATGCAACAACTTGCATGAATGTCTAGGATGAAACAATTAATCTCTAAAGTTTACATACTCTATAATTCTATCAATATAGCATTTTGAAATGACAAAATTTTCCAAATGGAGAACGGATTTATGGTTGTAAGAGATTGGGATACAGGAGTCAGGGAGTAGCTGGATGTGGAATGGGAGAGAGGTCCACATCCAAATATTAAGACTGAGTGAACTTTCATTATTTTATTAGTGCCAAAATATTCTCTCTCTCTCTCTCTCTCGTTCTCTCTCAATGGTAGCAGAAGTAAAGAGGGAAGAGGGAGAAATTAGTTTCCAAAGGGTAACTTTGACTGGTGAGGCCTGGAGTCCTGTTTATTTGTAACTGTACTACAAAAATGACATAGGGCTGACAAGTGCTGTTATTTAACAAGCAGCAGCCTGAGAGAGTTGAGCAAACAATCTCCATGTATTTCAAATGATCACCAAAACCAAGAATGGAGCAATGAGAGGATAAGCATAATGCATTAACTGAGTCACTGTCTCCATTTCTTCCTGGGAAAATGCAAAAATACAAAACACACACACCCAAAAGGATACAATGAAATCCCTTCTGAGATGTCTTTTATTTCACTGGGAGACAGGATGTGACTTAAATAGATTTTATGGTATTCTTAAAAAATAAAATTACCTTGAGTAAGGACATGATATAAATCACAAGTAGTATGTTCTGTGAAAATGTCATGGAGAAGAATTCCATAGCTGCAGATCTTTTATCTAAAAATAAACAAAAGACAGCAATTACACATTGCCCTGCATAAAACACTGAGCAATTACAGTTGCATAGGTTTTTCAAAAATTCCAATATATTCAGTACTATGCTTACAACACCTTTTCCAACATGAATACACTTCTACATGAAAAAATCCATTAGTGCTTTCTTTAAGCCAGATTGCTTGGTAGACAAGCTCTGAGAATTATCAGTCTTAATCAAAAAGGCATGTGTCTATGGAACAGTTTTTTTTTCTTTTCCCTCCTTTTACCGTCTTTGTCATGTAATAAATTAATTATTCACATTTATATCCACTTCACTTTTATGTAGAGACTAGGCCTATATCAAGTATCTCTTTGTTTATCTATCTTAGTCAAAGTGTGGTCTGATTTGGCCTAATTTATCTTGTTCCCTTAAAGAAACATTTTCTAATGCCCTAATCTGTTTCCTATAAAAACATATAATCCCATATTCCTGAAGTCTCAATTACTTTTCCAATAAACATTTTCCTATGCCATTCATTAAATATCACTATTTTTGTATTAGTTTGCTAAGGCTGCTGTAGCAAATAGGGCAAACTGGGAGGTTTAAAGTGGCAGAAATTTGTTCTCTCACAGATCTGGAGTCTAGTGGCTCCAAAGTCAAGGTCTTGGCAGGGCCATGCTCCTCCTGAAGCCTCCTGGGAAAAGTCTTTCCTTGCCTTTTCTGTTTTCCAGTGGTTGCTGGCAGTTCTTGGTGGCAGATGCATGACTCCACTCTTTGCTTCCATTGTTGTATGGATTCTCTCTGTGAATCTGTGTCCAGTTTTTCCTCTTCTTATAAGGACATTAGTTATTAGATTTGAGTCCACCCTAATTCAGTATGTCCTGATTTTAATTTAATTACATCTGTAATGACCCTATTGCCAAGTAAAGTAATATTCACACATACTGAACATACCTAACATATCAAGTTAGGACTTGAACACAATTTTTGGGGGAATGCAATTGAACCCAAACAATTCAGAAGTTATATCTTAAGTCATGCTAGTAGATTATGATAAGAAAGGTATGTGTTAGTTAATAGTGTTCACGTGCAACTCTAAGATTAATAAAATATTTTTCTGATTATAGTTTTCTTAATGTAATTAAAGTAACTGAGAAAATATACACATGATTTCCAGCTTTTTACACTTACAGGGATATGTCAACTTGAATAGAGAAAAATTAAGTCATGTTCACAGTTGAGTATAATTTACATAGTATTTTGAGTAATGAAGGATTTGTTTACTTCTGCATGGATGATTCCTGTATATGATACATATTTGAAAAGCACAAAAAGAAATAATCTTTCATCCTTCTTCCAGCCATTTCCTTCCCTAGAAACAATCATGGTATTAGTACTTTGTGAATTTTTCCAGAAATATTTTTCGCACATACAAGCTATATATGTATGTATGTATGTATGTATGTATCTATCTATCTAACCTTTTATCTATCTCTATTATCTATCTATTAAAAAGTCGCAACACACAAATTGTAGCATAGTATCCACATTCTGCACCATTCTCTTTCACTTAATAAACAAAACTCACTTTTTACCCCTTATTCTCTTCTAGGTACTGTCCTATTTCTTCAGCTTCTTTTTATCAAAACACCTGCAGCAAGTCTTCTCTCCACATTGTTCCCTTTGACTCACTTCCTCCTCCCGCTTGCCCCCTCCCCACTCCACTAGAATTGCCTCCACCATCCAATAGTGATCCCCTGCATCACTGTCACTTTCACTTACCCTATCTTCCTACACGTCACTTCCTCCTATTAATCATGATAATTTATGTATATTTGTTAATTGGTTGTCTCTCAACTAGAATGTAAGCTCCACAAGTGCAGGGGCATTAATTGTCTTAGTAGCTATTTTACTCCCAGCAGCAATTTGATGATGAAAAACAGTATCTTGTAGTTTTAATTTACACTTCTCTTAATATGAGAGAGGGTGATCACCTTTTCAGATGTTTAAGAGTTATTTCTATTTTTGTTTTAATGTACTATCTGTACTATCCATACATATTCTTTGTCTATTTTTAATTAGGTCTTGGTTTTATTCTCATTGATTTATAGGAATTTTATATGTCAAGAAAATTCGGATTTTTTTCCTCTGACCTGCTCTTCACCACCATACCACAGTCCTTCCTTTCATTCCTCAGCTGGCCTCATTTGGATTTAAATATTCTTTGCTTTTCAAGCTCGCTCCAATTTCCATGCTTTTGAAATACGCTGTCCTTCTATTACAGAGTTCATAAGTTCATAAATTAGGCGCAGGCACCATTGTCCCCACGTTGTCTTCCCTTGCCCACCTTCATGCCAAAGTGGATTTACCATTCAGTCAGTTACTAGTACGGATGCTCAGTTTCCATAAGAAAATGTTACTCCTATCTTCTATACTGCATATAATCAAAACATATAAATTTGCCACCAGTCAGCAACTTGGAATATTTATAAATCAGATTTATTGCCAGAAAATATAAGTTCACCTCTCTGCCCTTTCTGTAACTACTCATGTATCCTATTTGGCTTTTTTCACCAGAGAGCTTTGATCCAAATCAGCTAATCCCATTTAGCAACTTTTGGAGACCTTTGGTTGATAATATAATTATATCTCTATTAATAGCCATAACTTCTTTTAACTTTATATATATATAAGCTACTTCAAAATCTTTTAGAAGTGGCATATAAAAAAATTTATATAGCATCCAGTGGAATACCTGGCACATATATTAAAAAAAGAATAATGATATTCTGATGATTAAAGAATAAATTCTGTATAATGCTTTTTTCTTTTCTTAACTTTTAAGTTCATGGGTACATGTGCAGGATGTGCAGGTTTCTTATAATACATAGGTAAACGTGTGTCATGGGGAAACTTTTATATGGATTACTTCATCAGACAGGTATTAAGTCTAGTACTCATTAGTTATTTTTCCTGATCCTCTCCCTCCTCTCACCTTCCAACCTCCAGTAGGCCCCAGTGTGTGCTGCTCCCCTCTATGTTTCCATGTGTTCTCATCATTTAGCTCCCACTTGTAAGTGAGAACATATGGTATTTGGTTTTCTGTTCCAGTGTTAGTTTGCTGAAGATAATGGCTTCCAACGCCATTCATGTCCCTGCAAAGGACATGATCTTGTTCCTTTTTATGGCTGCATAGTATTCCATGGTGTATATATACCACATTTTCTTAATCCAATCTGTTGTTGATGGGCATTTAGGTTGATTCCATGTCTTTGCTATTGTGAATAGTGCTGCAATGAACATTCACATCCATGTGCTTTTATGGTAGAATAATTTATATTCCTCTGGGTATATACCCAGTGATGGAATTGCTGGGTCGAATGTTAGTTCTCCTTTAAGCTCTTTGAGGAATTGCCATACTGCTTTCCATAATGGTTGAACTAATTTACACTCCCATCACCAATGTATATACGTGTTTTTTTTTTCTCTACAACCTCACCAGCATCTGTTATTTTTGGACTTTTTAATAATAGGGATTCTGACTGGTGTGTGATGGTGTATCATTGCGGTTTTGATTTGCATTTCTCTAATGATCAGTGATATTGAGCTTTTTTCCTATGCTAGTTAGCTGCAGGTATGTCTGTGCTTAGGATGATGGCCTCCAGCTCCAGCTTTTCTCAAATTAAGAAAAATCTTACATATAGAAGGTTGTTGAAATGGTAAAATATAGCATAATTTTTCAAAAAATAATAAAATGATTAGCAACTGTACATTGCTCCCAGCTCTAACATGAATGAATAACATGCAAAGTGTCTGTTTAATGTTAACTTGTATTAGATAATATCTGCAGTTCAGGGTAGATTTAATTCCAGATTTGCTATTTCAAATGTAGCAATTGTAGATTTTCTTTTACTATCTTCTCCTTATAATAAGAAATAGATTATTTACATTGCAAAATTATACAAACAAATAGAGCCCCTTACACATAATGTGCTTGTGAATGAGAAGCATAGGTGAGTATAGTCATATACAAGTTCAGAAATCTCAGCTTTCTCAGAAATGGAAGGGAAAGCTCACAAATCATAATGTTATTGCAACATTTCTGGTAGAATGAGACATTTGGAGGGCAAAATTTAATGAAACACTTTGTATAACTTTAAAAGTTTTACATTTTAACTGACATTTGAATATATTAGACAACATAAAAAGAAACTTTCCATTTTAAACTCAGTATGTTGGAGTAAACAACTAATATACATAATATTACACCAAAAAGTGACATTATATCAGTATAATAGAAGTCTGGATTGAGTTTTGTTGAAATTTGATAAAGCTTGGCGAGATTACATTAAAAGTGGAAGAGAAAATTTCAAGCAAATTAAAAATTTTTAAATGACTCTATCCCAGTGTCATTCTTACTTTTTAAAATAATTCAATTAATTCATTAATGAGTGCTTATAATGTGTGCCAAGATTGTTTTGGACACTAGAATGAATGAATGGATGTTAATAGTTCAATATTCTAACTAGGCCTTTGAACTAAGCCTTTCAGGTTTTCATAAAACATTTATTTTGGCATAGAAAATACCCGACCACCCATCTAGAATGTTCCAGAATGTTCTTGAATGTTCTCCATTCTGCCCACCTATTTTTTTTGTTTTATTTTAAACCCTCAAGTCAATTCTATCTAGCCCCTTCTGTAGAACCTTTTGTGACCCTTTGGCACAAGGCCTTGCACATAGTAGATGACCAATAAGTACTTGTTAGTTTAATATCAATGATGGAAACAGCATTCAAAATGTACTATAAATATGCCTTCAAACACATTCATTTTTATGAAAGACTAAACATGTGAATCTAGTACTATATGGTAAATAGAAATCTGCTAGAAGGGGGAAATATGGATTCCCCTAACTAAAGAGTTCTATAATTCAATAAATATAGATAAGTAAATAAGCCATTAAGGACAGGTGTATTTCAACTTAAACGTTTACATGATTGCAAGAGTCAAATCTATCTTGAGTAGCATTGGTAGACTTAGCAAATGAAAATATGGGCCACTCAGTTAAATGTGAATTTCAGATAAACAACAAAAAAGTTTTTTTGTAAAAGTATGGTGTTGTTTATCTGAAATTTAAATTTTACTAGGCTTCTTGTATTTTGTGTGGCAACCCTAATCTTGAGGCGTAGTTCTGTCCTGTTTTGTGCTAAAGGCCAACACTGGGTTTTCTAGTGGAGAAGTTAGTGGGCACACTGCCACTTTGTGGCAGCCAAGAGCAACGACATTATCGCTTTTGGGAGAAAAGAGGTGGTAGTCCAATGATTATTTTATTTCCAGTGTGCATAACATATCAGATACTAAGATAAACTAAAATGACCTTTAAAGAAAGAAGTATGGAAACCGCCATGCTTATCACAGATAACATTAGTTATGGTTGGCATGGGGGCAAGATTTACCTCCTTTCTGAAGAACTGATATGCCAACATTTCTACATAAGGTTTTGGAGAAATGGGAGGATGGCTTTACCAGTGAATATTGCCAGAAACAATATGTGAACTATTCTCATGTCACCGGCAGTAATTATAAGGAACTGCATATAAGAACATGATGGTATGAACTGCCAACACAGTTCTGCTTTTATTTAGCACTATCAAGCCAACGTTTGTTTTTATAAGACCTCTAAGGCAGTCATTTTTACCAGTAAGAAGGCGAAAGGATAAACCAATTTCCTGAAGGTTGCATACCAGATCAATAATAGAGTTGGAGGGACGAGTAAAAATTCCCTACCTTCCAACCGTTGAAGACTTTCATTAACTCAGGATCACTATTGTTTTCTGAAATGAGCCTCTTTCAAGACCCTTAAAATATTATTTCAGAAATACTAGCCATACATGTGGAAGTAATAATCTTGTGATAATTTAAGGCATCCTTGTAGAAACTAAAGAAATCCCAAGTTAAAAATTCTCAGATATCTTCAGAATCTCCAAAGCAAACAGAACCTTCAAAAATTTATCTTCCATTGTCCCTTTTTCTTCTTAATGAATCATTTACCTTATACTTTTATGTTTTTTTGAAGAATAAGTATTCTTGAGATATAGTTATTTTTTAAATCCACACAAGAATATATTTAAAAGTTTGTTGACAATAAGCTATCAAAAACTTATTTACTAATACTGTAAAAATTATTTTAATTAATCCTTAATTTTGTGTGGCTACACTTAACACTCAAACCTTGACAATAAACAGAGGTAGAAAGTAGAGGTCCAAAAATACACCATATCATTATTTTCATTTGTATTAGAAACTACAGCAGGTATAATATATGTTAAAGTATTTGAAGCTATTTTTACCCTGAAAAATAAGAAGTTATTGGGCCTTATTCATCTTAAAAAAATTATGGGCTTAGTAGTTGTCAAGCAAAGGCAAATATTGGTTGATTTTCCAGAAGCCACAGTTGGCTATAATACTTTATTGAGAGTGTTTCAGTTTCATCTTGGTGGAAGATTACCCAATACATCAAAATTTCAGTAATTTGTCTACAGACAGTTGACAATTAGAAAAATATGTATGTCACATTATTTAGTTTAGCAATCTGCCAAATATGCCATGTAATTCTATGATGGAAGAAACAGGGCAAGGTCATGCTGGCCTTAACCACTTGCTGGAAGAACTGCTGACCTTACACAAGCCTTTAACAGTGACCTGGGTGTGCCAGAAAATAAGTAGATAGTGTGGAAAAGAGAGATCATATGAGACTGGGTGGGAAATGAGTATGAACAGAATCTACTACACTAACGCAAATTCTTTTGGTGCGTTTGTGTGATTTATAGTATGTGAAAAGATGGTCACAATGTATTCAGACAAAATCAGTACCATGCAGAATGCTTTACTAAAATACAGGTTTGTATCACAAAATAAGTTGCGGGTGATATTGGAAAGTGAGTGTTTCTATTTTAAGAGTAGCTGGTCATAAGTTCAGGACTTCTTTTGCTACCTTTGTCCATAGAAATACAATGACTTCCAGGGGCTTAGATCTTCCCTGTGCATTTGTATATAAGTACAAATGTGTGCTGCTATTATTGTTACTTATTTTGCTTACCAGTATTGCTTTTTTTGTCACTCCTCTGCAATGTACCTTCCACCTCTTTGGTGTGTCTGAATAGTATCCAGTTCCATTCTACCACTTTCTTCCCATTCTTAATCCAAATGATGTCATAACATAATTTATTCTTACAGAGTTTATCCGGAAACTCACTCAACAAGGCACAGTAATTATCCTATCTTTGACAATGAAGAAAACATGAATATATGAGCAATGTTAATAATTAGCAGAGACCCAAATTGTTTTATTTTTATGTATTTATTTTTTTAAGACGGCTCTCGCTCTGCTGCCCAGGCTGGAGAAAAGTGATGTGATCATGGCTCACATGATCCCTGTGAGCTCAGTCTCTGTGAGGCTGCCTTGACCTCATGGGCTCAAGCAATCCTTTCCCCTTAGCCTGCTGAGTAGGGGGACCACAGGTGCGCACCACCATGCAAGGTTAATTTTTGCATTTTTATTAGAGATGAGTTTTCACCAGGTTGTCCAAGCTGGTCTTCAATTCCTGGGCTAAAGCGATCCGGCCACCTTGGCCTCCCAAAATGCTGAGATTATAGGCGTGAGCCACTGTGCCCATGCCCACCCTCATCCCCCAAGTCACTTTAAAATCTGGACTTCATTTCATAAAGATACAGCCCTAAGAAATATTACACATGCTCAAATGAAATTATTTAAATCCTGTTCTATAGAAAGTGGAATCCAATAAAAGAAATTGAAGGTAATAATATTCACTTGAATGTGTATGTGTTTTTCGGAATTTAAAAGAAACAAAGTGTTGCAGCTCTTTTAGAATTGATCTAGCAGGTCTTCGGGTTTTTAACTGGAAACCTTCCCCATGTGGAGAGAGGCTGAGAAACAATCAAAATACACATTCTAAAACTCCCAACGATTAGAGATTGTTTTTTATTACTAGTTCAGTTTTGATGATATGAGAATGATTATTTCCTTGGGAAAAGCTAGCACTTGAAAACAATACCATCATCTGAAAACTTGGCTTTCCTTGATCAAATAATATGAATTACTAATCAGTAATTCAAACAGTCTGTGGAAAGTTAATTTCAGAACTGAAGTGATTTTAAAAATCTGTAGTAAAGGGATTCATAGTTTCATCCCCTGAAATCCTGGCAATGTTCCTGGACCTATGCGAAACTTTAAGAACTGTTAATAATGTTTAAAAAGTGGTTCTGGAACAAAAAAAGTTTAAATTCTACCCAGAAATACAAAACAGACCTTTTTTCTGTTCATCTTGCTTTTCATATTGTTTTATCTGATGCCAATTTTTGTATTATAAAATCTGTTTTACAGCATTACAGTCTTTCTCACCTGTTCTTGTGTTTTAAGTCAAAATTTTATTAACTCCAATTATTGGCACCAGGGTTATCATTTAATGTTCTAAGTATCTTTACTTTCAAAGGCAGATATGAGAAAGGTATGAAATTGACAAGCAGGGAAAGGCACTGCAAGAAACTTTCCACTCATTCTTTAAGACACATGTCAAAGGTTATTGCCTATATAAAGTCTTCCCAGACTTCTCCACCCCTTCCAGAATACTAGCTGTATTCTCCTCAGAGTTCCTGTAATCCTTCCCAGGTGTCCTTCCCTTACTACAGTGAGCTCTGAGAATGGACTGTTCTTATCTGCAACTGTAAAGCATAGGACATTGATCATGACATAGCAAGTCTGTCAATCATTGCTTATTGAATAAGTTTCAATATTTGTTGAAAAAATAAATGAATAAAAAGAACTGCAATGTACTGAGAATCTCTCCATGTGCTTACAAAAAGTAGCAACCTAAGTCATCATTAATTAAACACTGAGTGGTCTGGTTAAATATCCAAGTCTAAGTGAATTAGAGAGATTAAAACAAAACAAAATTTATAAACCTGGTAAATACAATTTTCAAGTGAGCACATAGGCATATTTTTGTTATTCTCACATAAAGACATTTGCTTTGTAATCTTTTCTATTTCAAAGGTTTTCTATTTGGGGAGTATGTAGTTATTGGTCAATACTTTTGGTTGCAAGTAACAGAAACCATCTCAAACAAGGTTAAGTTAAAAGGAGAAATATATTGTCTCACAAAAGGATGGTGGAAGAGCTACACTTGGGCCTTAAACCAAATCAGAGTTCTCTCTCTCTTTCTGCGTTTTCTATTCGGTTTCCTACTCTATATTTTTTTCCCCTTTTTGTACCCACCAGAAGGAGATCATGACCATATGGCAATTTTGCCCTTATACTCTAATATTTCTGTCCCCAGAGATGAAAGATGTTCTTTCTCACAAGCTCTAGATATAAAATTCTAGGAAGCATTTGTGCATATAACAAAGGTTCAATTTCCAGAATCTATGAAGGACTTAAATTAACATGCAAAAAACAAACAACTCATTGAAAAATGGGCAAAGAATATGAACAGACACTTCTCAAAAGGAGACATACATGCATCCAAGAAGCATATGAAAAAATGCAATTGGGCAAGGTGGCTCACGCCTGTAATCCCAGAACTTTGGGAGGCCAAGGCAGGTGGATCATGAGGTCAAGAGATTGAGACAATCCTGGCCAACATGGTGAAAACCCATCTTTACTAAAAATACAAAAATTAGCTGGACATGGTGGTGCGTGCCTGTAGTCCTAGCTACTCGGGAGGCTAAGGCAGGAGAATCACTTGAACCCGGGAGGCAGAGGTTGCAGTGAGCCAAGTTTGTGCCACTGCACTCCAGCCTGGTGACAGAGTGAGACTCTGTTTCAAAAAAAAAAAAAAAAAAAAAAAAGCTCAACTTCACTAATAATTACAGAAATGCAAAAACCACAATGAGATACCATCTTACACCAGTCAGAATGGCTAATATTAAAAAGTCAAAAAATAGCAGATGCTAGTGAGGTTGCAGAGAAAAGGAAATGCTCTTATGCTGCTCCTTGGAATGTAAATTAGTTCAGCCACTATGAAAAGCAGTTTGGAGATTTCTCAAGGAACTTAAAACGGAACTACCATTCGACCTAGCAATTCCATTACTGGGTATATACCCAAAGGAATATAAATCGTTCTACCATAAAAATGCATGCACATGTATGTTAATTGTAGCACTATTCACAATAGCAAAGACATGGAATCAACCTAGATGCCAATCAATGGTGGACTGCATAAAGAAAATGTGGTACATATACACCATGGAATATTATGCAGCTATAAAAAAGAATGAAATCATGTCCTTTGAAACAACATGAATGGAGCTGGAGGCCATTATCCTACGTGAATTAACCCAGGAACAGAAAGCCAAATACCACGTGTTCTCACTTGTAAATGGGAGCTAAACATTGAGTACACATGGACACAAAGAAAGGAACAATAGACACCAGGGCCTACTTAAGGGTGGAGGGTGGGAGGAGAGTAAGGAGTGAGAAATTACCTATTCAGTACTATGCTCATTACCTGGGCTACAAAATAATCTATACATCAAACCAGTGTGACACACAATTTACCCATGCAACAAACCTGCACATGTACCCCCTAAACTTAAAATTAAATTTGGAAAAAAAATTCTAACCTAGTTGAAAAAAATTTGTTCAGTTCACAACCAAGATGGCTAGTCAGTTCAACATACCAGTAGAGGACAACCATGGTGGTACAGACGGTTTCAAATGGAGATTGGTAAAGAAAGAGCTCATGGAACAGAGGCACATGGAAAAGTAAAAAGCCAAGTCACAAGAGATAGAAAGCAGGGATTCTTTGCAGTCAAGGGTTTCTGTTCATAGGGCATGGTGATGTTTCCAGGATGCTAACTACCATAATCTCAGATACTAAGGCTATATAATAGGAAATATGGGCTGCTCAAAATATTGCTCACTAAAGGGTATCAGATAATTGATTTCTACACCATGTACTCTGAACTTAACCTGGTTTGTGACATAATGAAATCTTGTGATACAGAGAGAGGAAAAAAGTAAGTTATTAGCAAAAATGTTCTCAAGGCTTTGCCAAACTGATTGCTGTCACAGACAATAAGCAATAGGACCAAACTATGAAACTAGATGTACATAAATATAAATATAGTATGTATTTAAGTATTTTGAACTAAATTATATTGAATTTCAACTTTTCCAAAGTTTATGTTCTTTAAGAATAACCCAGTTTTTTTTTTAGACTCCAAGCCAGAATAGTATGCTATTTTGCAGAGCTGGCAGAATAGAGTGTACTAAGACTTTTCTGCTTATTTTTAGTCATCTACTGGAATAGTTTCTTCACATTTAAAAAGTCAGCTTTACTGTAGCTCTCATACTGTGAAATCTTTTACTAAATCTTCCTACTTAACAGATTTCCTTAGTATTCCATTAGTAAGAATGATAAAATCAGAGCATAATTACATTCATTTTGGATTCTTTGCACACAAGTGTTGACTGGTGTATGGATAGTATTTAAAGCTAACAATTTTCTATGAAAAAAAGGTTGTTTTAAGAGAAATAAGAAATCCTATGTAGCTCTTGTATGACCTTTAAGAATCCACTTGAACATACAATCTAAGTTATCAAGACCCAGGCATTGGAATGGTTGATCCCTTGTAATACCTCATTCACTTTTTCCTGTTTGCAATATTAAAAAAGTAAGCATGAGTAAGAAATAAACTAAGTCTATTATCTCTAATATCTATGTTAATAGGATCTTAAGGAGATAATGCCATAACTTATATAAAGTTCTCTAATATTGGAAACACAAGTTCACTTCTAATTGGCATCTTGTGTAAAAAAGACATTGACCTTCAGGTGAGTAGCTTTCCTTGCAACTCTGGCATCTTCTGTGGACTTACTTCTGTGGATTTATTTCTGTGGACAAGAGCTGTTCATTCATTACTTCATTCAGCAAATATTCCCCACACAATTAGTAATTCCATAGAGTACATTATTCAAACCCCAAGGGCAACCCACTCCATAGCCTGTAATTTTCTTCTAAGACCTCAAGGCCATTGATTTGGTCATGATATTGATCTATTAACAATGAGTTTTTCATTTGCAAGTGTGAAAAATGACCATATGGCACTGCTGGGCCATGTTTGACCAATGTGTATAACTGGGATGGTAATAATTTAGTTCACTTTAATGTTATAAAAAGAAAACAGAATATGTTAAAAGACTTGTAAAGTCATGAAGCGAGTAGCTCACAATACCTGACCTGAAGATAGGCTTTCCATATCCAAGATTACTCTTCCTGAAAACAGGCTGAGTCACATTAAACAGAGAAAAGAGTAAACCTTTGGGTCCAGTACCACGTCACATTGTTTCTTTCTAGTTCATAAAATCCAAAGGACTCAGCTAAACCAGGAGAACAATTAAACTCATCATTTCTTCATTAACTCATATTCCAAGGTGAAATGGCTAGTCTAAATACAGCACTGTTTAAAGGAAATATTTTTGTGAATTCCAAAGAAGCTCTTGAAGACTACTGTCTTTGGGTCATTTGCTATTTCTGTTTATTTGAATTTAAACATCTACAGACACTCTTGGCAAAATAGGCTATTTTCTTTTGAATTCTTAACTATGTCACTGATTAATTATCAAGATAGAATTACTTCTGAGGTTAAAACAGACCCTTGAGATTTGGTGGTTCACTGCATTCACTTCCTCTAAAATTCTAGTAGTTCATGCTTGTGAAATTTCCTTAACTTGACCTAAGTTACTTGATATGGAAAATAAACTACACTAATCGAATTATTTAAGCATCTCACTATTTCCCTATTTGGGCAACCTGGAAATCATGTCAGTTAGCTTATTTAGGACTCTAGTATTGTGAGTGGCAGAAGACCTAAGGAATTTAAACAGAACAAAACAAAGTGGAAAAGCCATATCAAATTAAAAATAAAACAAATAAAAATACTGGTCATTCTAAAACATCCCTCCACCAAACACATTTGAAATTCAGGCTTATATTTTATTTTTTCCACATGGATGAGAAATATGAAATTGGAATTTGTTACTTTTTCTTAGTGTGCTTATTCTAATGCAAGCCTCGTCGTACTAATGAGTAGCAGAATTTCAGGACTCGTGTCTTCTAGTTCACTTGTAGTGGCAGTCGTTTCTTACTACAAATCCTTTTTGAGGGAGGATAATATTAACAAGTCATTTAATAAAGCACTTGTAATCCCCATGCATAATACAAGTTTGACAATTGTGAGACACTAGAGCAGCCGTCGACCTACTGATATTAAATAACTCCTTTAAATATGAAAAAGATATTATGTATTTTTTTCTTACATCACAAATGAAATCTAATCTAACTCCAAATATTTTAATGTGCCTTATAAAGATCTTTTCCTCAACAAATCTTATCTGCACTCTTCCTGAAATAAATTGAAATCATTTTCAAATATTTACTGTGTATCAAATAAATCCCTTGCCATTCCATCTATACCTAAAAGGGTGCGGTTTGATCATTTTATTTTTTTCTGAACATTCTATAAAACATATTATGTATCTGAACCACCATAAAATACTGTTCTTGCAACATTGCCAATTTCAAAATGCTCTGTTGAATAGTTTATCATCGGTGTTCTCCATTTCCTTTCTTGATCCTCTTTGAGAATCAGCCAAGCAAATGCTAGCTAAATTTATTTGCACTTATTAATGTGTCTTAGTCTGAACATTTCTTACTGAAAGGAAATCATGGGGCCAGAAAGAATAAAACCCAATTTTTGGCTGAGGCTCTAATAGCATGGGGGTGATATTAGATGAAAAATAGAGACGGAGGGAATGTAAACGTTAGTTTATTCAGTTCAACTGATTTTCTTCCTATTAAGGTGCATTCTGTTAGATAGTTTTCCTCCTACTTACTAAATAGTTAAGCCCTGACATCATAAAGAAAACTGCAATTCACATCACTAAGGCTAATGTCACCCAAAGATAACTTGCTATTTTAAATAACATGGAAACTGCATTGGGATGACAGATAAGTATAACAATCCATTTTATTTTTAACTGCTTTTGATGTGTTCCAGACTTTGAATATTCAGACAGAAGAATAATGGAAAAGTTATTTTTTCCCCTTAATCACACCTCCACACCCCAAACTACTATTCCTCCACACCCCAAACTACTATTCCTCCACCCTCACCTCTGAACTTTTTGAACAAAATTGATGGATCAAACTCTCCTTTTCTTGCCAGGAGAATAGTCCTGGACTGAGCTTCAGAAGATCTCAGATCACTGACGTTCTGTCTAGAAGAATACTCCAAGATATATTTCTAAGTAATATTCCTTCTCTTGTTGGGGGAAATTAGAGAAGATTTCTACCTGGTGCCATATCAACTCAAGGATGGAGTCAAATACTGAGAGGCTCTGTCATCTGTCTTTGGATCTCCTTCTGTGAGTATTTAT
Source organism: Homo sapiens (assembly GCF_000001405.40). Lineage (NCBI taxonomy): Eukaryota > Metazoa > Chordata > Mammalia > Primates > Hominidae > Homo > Homo sapiens. Next base: position 69,103,985 of record NC_000008.11, on the reverse strand, counting down.
GCTGAGGCTCCACAGTAGGACCACATTTCTGTAACAGACCAGCAGTGGGAAACCAGGACTAGACCCACAACTCATACTTTCCAGCTTGTTGTAACATCCTTTGAAATGTTCAGCATTGATCCCAAAAAAATCTTAGCCAGGATTTCCAAATAACATCATTGTTCAATACAAAATGTATGTATATTATTCTTCCAATGAATCTTTCTACAGGGCAAAAAGAAGCAATGGTCCACAATAGCCATTACTGCCTGTTCAAAGAACTTACATTAGCTATTTTAGGGTAGGCGTATTAGAAATACATTACCTTGGTTTTTCTTCTTAGAATATTTTGATTTTTCCTCATTCCTGAAGGATATTTTCTCCTGATGTAGAAGTCTTAGCTGACAATGTTTCTCTTTTTGTACTTGAAAGATATTGTACCCCTTCCTTTTGGCCTCCATGGTTTTAGATGAGAAATCTGTTGTCTTTTGTTCTGTAATAGGTAACATGTTGTTTCTCTCTGGGTGCTTTCAAGGTTTTTCTTTGTTTTTACATTTTGAAAATTTAATTGTGACGTATCTTGGCATATTTGTCTAAATTTGTCCTATTTGAAGTTAGCTAAATTTCCTGAAGTGTAAATCCTGAAGTGCCTACCAGCATTAACCAGTTTTCTACCTAAATGAATTATCATTCAAGAATTTACAAAAAAATAACAACCTTGTCATTCCCACTATTATAGATATTATAACCCTACTCAACCTATACTTTTATATATGCCTAATCTATTCTACTTCAGTCACATTATTCCCCATATCCAATAATGTAAAAATAAAGTGACAGTTTGAAAACACAAAGCCCATACTACTTCTCCCCCGGCTTACCATCCTCGCCATCTTCCTCCTACCAATCTCCCTACTTACCCTGCTTATCTTCTAGAAATTTAGGTTAAACAAGACCAAGAGCCTTCAAAGCCCTTAGTAAGTAGACTATACTTAATTTCTGAAAACCCAAGGACTGCAAAACTCTACTCTGCAAATTTGAGAACTTTTCAGTCATCATTTCATGGAATACTTTTTCAATAATGTTCTTTTTTTAAATCTCCTTCTGGGCCTTTGATAATATGCATGCTAGATCTTTTGGTATTGTTCACAGGTTCTTGATATTCTGTTAATTTTTTCTCAGTCTATTTTCTCTGTATAGTTAAGAGTGGAAAAATTCTATAGATCTGTTTTCAAATTCATTGATTCGATCTGTCATCTCCATTCTGTGATTAAACCCAATCATCAGGTTGTATTATTGTTATATTTTTTAGTTCTATAATTTCCATTTGGTTCTTTTTGTATAACTGTTGTTTGTCCACTCAGACTTTTTGTTTCTTAAATTTGTGTCAGGGGAATTTGTCATTGCCACATGAAATATTTTTGTAATTACTGCTTTAAAATCCTTATCACTTATTTCCAACATCTGATTCACTTGGGTGCTGCTGTCTGTTGTCTTTTCTCACTCAAGTTGTAATTTTCCTGTGAGTTTCTTACTGTATGCTGGACATTTTGGGTATTAGATTATGAAACTAAGGATTCTATTTATCCTTTTTTTTTTTTTTTGAAGCAATTGCCCTGTTGATGTGTAGTGTGAATGTGAGAGTCAGATGGATATTTATACTTAGCTTTACCCCTTTTTTGCTGCAGAAGTGGGTTAGAAATTTAGCTCACCACTAGTTTCTGATCACACCAGTGGTAAGTGGAGTGCTAACTGATCCTGCCTCCCACCACTTCGTTCTGCCTTATTGATACCTGATGAAGATGAAGGCTCAGCTTCCCACCATCCCCTGCTGACACCATGGTGGGGGAAAGTGGAGTAGTATGGTACTGTACCTCTTCATTCAGTCTTCTTGCTGCTGGATACACACAGGTGTTCAGCTCCCTCCTGAGTCTGCTGACGCCAGGAACGTTAACTAGTCCTGACTTGCAACACGTTTTCCAGTCTTCATGTTGAGTGGGGGCAGAGGTTCAGGTCCCTACATAGAAAGAGTGGTATCACCCAGTGGAGGAAAGGGTGCATCACTGCTTGTTTTCACAGGGTGGAGGGGTAAAGTGGAAGATTACTTCCTTGCTCATTTCCACTGAAACCATGGGGATTGAAGAAGGATTTTCTGTTAATGGTTGGATGTAGTTGGGCCAAAAATGTTTTCTGTTGATAGGTCACCTTTTCCTTACGCCTTGGCGAGAGGGAATAGAATACTCTAGAAATCTTGTGTGTTGTTTTGAGTGTCTGTTGGCAGTTTGCAGTTGAAGGCTTCTGCAGTGTTCTGTCTAGGATATATAGGAGGCAATTAGGAAAACTGAGGTGACTCACCACTGTGTTGCTCCTCAAGTCCTGAGGTCCCTAGGCAGTCTATTGTCTTTTCACTTTTCAATGTCTTTCTATACTTGTTTGTTGTAGTATATCTGGAGTTTTTATAATTTTTCAAGAGAGAACCTGGGAGGAGTGAAGTCTACTCCATCTTGGCTGGAATCAAAAGTCCCATTGTAGATTTTTTTTTACATATATACATATATAAAAAATTAGTGAAATCAATTCAATGCTAATAAGAGAACTTCATGTATTCTCCACATTTTAATGTAGACCTTATTATGTGTAATTCTGGAACAAAAGGACCAAAAATTTTACTAAGAAACTATTTCCTGTGCTATTTTGTAAATTTATAGGCACACAAATCGTTATTTATACCTGAAAGTCTTCTGCCATCTCCAGCTCAGTGGTTATTCCATAAATATATTACTTGTTTTTGTTGCGAATAAAGTTAGACCATACCATGAAAGAAATATTTCAATTCTTACTATAATTTGCAAATTGTTTTATGATAAAAACACAGTCTTCAGGCACCTCAGGGACCTGGGGCAGGAACAATGGACACTGGTGTACAATATATAAGAAGAAGTGAGGTGAAGGAAACAGGATAGACTCTTTGAGGTTCAGCTGGAATTGACGGTATTGGTGTGAATTCACAATTTTTATTATATATATATATAGATAAGTGGATATAGAAAAAGATGCACAGGTGAGTAAATTTGTAAGTGTGTATGTGGATATGTGTGTGTGTGTGTGTGTGTGTGTGTGTGTGTGTGTGGAGTGTGTTTCCTGGTTCTATCCTCTATTCTCTGAGACAGACTAGAAAGCAATGACACCACAGTAGCAATGAGCACACTGAGAAGCCAGATGTTGTTTTGTAAATATTATTTCGCCACAAAAGGAAACAGGGACTCCTGGAGAAACAACTGATCTCAGATTCAGAGCAAAAAAAAAAATGTACAAGAACCTTGAACACCTTTTTGTGTGAAAAAAATAGGAATTGCTTAAAGAATGATGTGGAAATACCAAGAAACCAGCTTAGGGGTGCTTTTATTAGCCAAATCTAGAAATAAATTAGCATTGTAAAAAGTATGATAGTAAAGGATTATAACCAATTGGAAAACTGGAATCTGTAAGTACATGCTGATCTGAGTGAAAGAATGAATAAGTGAAGGAAAAAACTCTATCTGAAGGTAGTATGCCAACTAATAAGAAATGATTGATTTTAAAAATGACTGGCTTTGGCTACCTCATGGTAACAACTGATTCAGACAAAAATTATGAAAACATACTCAAACCCTCTTGTGAGTGTTTGATAGGTAGTAGAATAATTAAATAGTTATAAAGTATCTTTTCCTTAAGTACTTATTAAAATATTTGAAATGCAAAAACATCATTAATTATTCTTAAATTGTAGAAATCTGGCAGACACTTGGCTAACCAAGCATAAAACCAACATCACATGCATCTATTGAAATAATATAATGAGAAGAATACAGGATTTTCTGGGGTGCTCCTGCCAAAAAATGCATAACCTGAATCTAGAAAATATCAAACAAACCCCAAATGAGGAATGTTCTACAAAGTAACTCATCTATATGCCTCAAAAAATGTTCAGATCATGAAATTCAGGGAAAAAATAAAACCCTGAGGAACTGTTACAATTTACGAGGTTAAAGGGATGCGACAACTAAATGACTGGATCCTGAACCAGAAGGGAAAGAGCTTATAAATAATACTATTGATGCAATCCACACAATCTGAATGGGGCCTATGAACTGGATGGTATTATTTTATTGGTGTTGATTTCCTCATGTTTATGATTATACTTTAATTATATAACAGCATGCTTTTGTGTGTGTAAAAATGTATACTAAAATACTTAGAGGTAATGGGGCATTATATCTCCAGCTTTTGAACAATTAAAAAATGAAAAAATGTATATATATATGCACACACATATGTATGTATAATGTATGCAAGGGGAGAGAAGAAGAGGGAAGAGATAGCAATGGAAGAGGTAGAGAGAGAGAGAGAGAGAGGGAAATATAGAAAAATTCTTATACCTGGGATATCTGCATGAAGAGTACGTAGGAGAAAGAATGTCTTCAGTTTAGGGCAGTGTCTCTTTTGATTTCCCGTACTGATTTTTCAGTTCTAATCCTTTGGTAATTGAACTTGGAAATGAATAAATCTGGATAGTAAGAGATTTTGTATTTGCTAAGATGATAGGATTTCATTAATAATGATTTGACTAAATAATGCTTACTAAAGAGGATTTAGGTTTGCATTCCTTTTTGCAAGCTAATGGTATAAATCATTTTAAATCATTATGGTGACTGGCTCTGGGCACATTGACCCCCTGTGAATTTGGTAGAGACATACAACCTTCTTTGACTAGTGAAATGTGAGCAGAAGTACCATGTTTCATTTTCAGGTGAAAGTTTTAAGAACCAGTGTATGAGTCATTATTTTTATTTCCCTTACTGACCAAGGAAGCACGTGTCATACTGAAATGAAGTTTCCTTCATCTTGGGACCTTGAGTAAGCTGAATTTAGAGCTTAGCTGACCAATGATTGATATCAAAGTCAATGATAAATTAAACTCTGATATTTTGGTGGCTGTTTGTTAAGGTCGTATAACCTAGTTGGTTATAATCACTGGCCTTGGCTGATCATCACTATATGACAGACACCATGCTTAGTGTTTACGTAGATTAGCTCACTGAATATAATCATCCATGAGGTCGATTTTATTGCCTCCATTTCACACGTGCAGAAAGTGAATCTCAGAGAGATTAAGTAACTTGACTAAGGTCACAAAGCTAAGCTGTGACAGGACTGGAAAAGATATCTTCAAACACAGAATAACATAAATTGTGAATCATGCTGTCTACTTGCATATAACCATTGGAATAACAGTGAGAAATAAATCACATCCAATCATTAGGCTAATTTGAATTGATAAGCTTTTCTTATCAGCTTTTGGCATGCTGACCTTGTGGTGGGGAACACTAGGGGTCCAGAAGAGTCAGAGATCTCTAAGTGAAAAATAGCTCACTTTTGAGCTTCTTCTATCTGTGTGACCTTGGATGATTTATTTAACCCTCTCAGTCTCTCTTTCCCATATACAAAATGGGGTGAAAAAATGTCAACCACAATGGACTACTCTGAGATGTAAATTAATTATATTTGAAAAATACTGCTAAATTAGTTCTCTTTTTTCTTCCCTCAAGTGACGGATTCTCTCTCTGTCTCTCTTTCTTTCTATATGATAACTGGTTTAGAAACATTCTATGATGCAGACAATTTGATAATTCACAAACCTCCCAGTTACTTCAAATTAATGAGAAGATCTCAAAAGTTAAAAAAAGAACAATTTTCATTAAACATTTTTTGTGGAACTTCATACATAAAAGATTACAGGATAAGAAATACACGGCTTTGTGATATAAGGAGTAGAATCGCAGGCTTTAAAATTCCAGTCATATAATTCCCTAAATCGTCTGGTTTGAAAATTTGGGCTATTCAGATTACCTCTGCCATGCACACATGAGTAGCTCTCCATTCTCTGGGAGGGTGGTCTTTTCCAGGAACTTTCAGTTGCAAACTATTACAGGAAAATCTATTCTCTGGCCAGTCCTCTGGTTCCCTATTTCCATTTGAGCGTGTTTGTCAGTCAATAAATTCCTGCCTTTTGCATGTCTCTCTATATATCTGGTGTTCTTCATTAAACAATGAAATACCCAAGGACTTTCCACTTTCTTGACTTCAGCTGAAACGTGTTTGGCAAGGCATGAACATAACTCAGCCTGCTCTTTATGGCTTAATGGGGAAAAGCCATTCCATGCCAATGTGAATTTCCTCACTGTTCTGTTATGCTCACTGACACCAGTGAGTGCTTTCTTCCTAAATAAGATGGAAATATTCTGATATTTCCAGACAATTACTTGATAGTACTTGGCTTTTGTTTATACATTTACCAATGATCCCACTGGAGGCTCCCTAATAGAAGTAGTGTTGGCCAAACTAAAAGAGCCCTTGGAATTCCAGTAACATAGGCTGCTTGCTTTTCCCCTTTCTTGTTTATTTTCAGTCTATAGTTTGATTAGGTTAAATTTCCTTTATTTAGACTTCAGCAAGAACAACTGACATAAAGAAAAGTAGGTTCCCTGAAACTTAATTTGAAGAGACAGTGAAGTAAATCACTGCCATAAAGATATCAGGTCACATAAACAGGCTTATTCATCCTGTGAACCAAATGGCCCTAGTGGAGCACTCCTTAATTCTAGCACTAGGACAAGTATGTGTCCACAGTTCAACTGGCACCCTGGAATTCAGAGGAGCTGTGGTGCTCTGATTTTCTGTTTGGCAAACTGTAGTCTCATTGTAAAATTAAGGTTTGGCAGCATGTTTGACATCAGATGGAAATATGTGCATTTAGTCAACTCGACACTTGCACAATACTGTTGAAAGTACTCTGAGTACATGACTTTGAACTTTTTCTGCAAGAACAAGAAGAAACTCAAATCAATGTGGTATGATAATGAGAGCTGTTTTCAAGATTCACTTGGTCCATCATTCGAGATGGCTCAGTATTTGTTCAAAAGTCTTCCAAAACAAGGATCGTTTTTGTATTTCTAGGGAAAATAAGTGGAGGAGGTAAAGTTTTTCTTATGGTCTCATGTACTTTTGTCACTAGGATACAGTCATGTAATCATCCATTTCTTTCTCTTCCTACTGCTATGACTTTTATTTAGTCACTCAATGTTTAATCATCAGTCTCCACCTGGACTAGTATAGTAACGTTTTCATAAGTCCCCACACTCTCCTGCATTTAAAATACTGCAGTTAGTTTACTATTCCCTAAGGAACAACTCCAATATCATGTACTCATCTGTGCAAACACTTTAATGGTTTACCACTGCCATCCCAGGAATAGTATACCCCTTCTACAATGTGATCTCAACCTTCATACTGAATCTATCATATTCCCCTTCAGGTACAAACACACATATACAGCATTTCCACACATGCCCATACTTCCTTGCATCATGTCTTTGCTGTTTACGTTCTTCAGGACTACCTTTCTCTATCTTTTTATGCTTAGATTGTACACAATTTTACCACTCACTGAAACTATTGCTCCCATATGAAGTCTTTCTTTATCCTAAGTGTTTTGCAATAAAAGAACCTTCTCTCCTATAATATATATCTATTCAAATTAATACGATTTTTTTCTTATAGCTATCTAAAAGGTATATTTTGTTGAAACTCTTCTTTGAGGAATTTTATTTGTAAGTTTTAGAGTTGTTTATAAAATATAGATATGGGTTTCATATAAAACTTTAGATGGGCACATATGTTATTGAGGTTCTATATATGGTTTAAAAGATTTAGTCTTTCAAATTACCTCCCTATGGAGTGAACATGACTAACTCTTCTTTTCCAATTATATAATTCTATTTTAAAGTGGCCTTTCCTCAATAAATCACATGTGAAAACCATTTAAAAGAAACCATTTGCTTATGAGCCCTTCACAAATATAACAGTGTGTGTATCATTTTTCTAGTCATGTATTCTTTCATTTTCTACCAAAGTTATTTATGTAAATGTCTTCTCCTTTACTAGTCTCTTAGTTTGTTGAAGAAAGGATGTATGTCCGATTCCTCTGCAGTTTCCTGAAATTCTGGATACATAATGTTACATAAATTGTGAGTAAAATAATGGCTCAATCAATCTTATAAGTCATTGCTGTCACCTTTCCAATTTAAAGTCTATGTAAAGCTTAGGTAGTTATATCATGCAAGACAAAAACTGTGCAAAACAAAAATGTTTTTGATGATAAAAAATGGATAACTCACATTGGTAAGTAATTTAGAAAATTCTATTTAGCTTCCACAATTTTAAATATAAGCAGGAAACACATTCCAAATTTCTCCATCTAGAAAGAAATCAAACTAATTCGGTAAATAAGTAATATTCTATTTTTTACAAGCCTCATTTTAAAATAAATTCAGTCATACGTTTGTAAGTAATTTTTCTGTGAATTTTGCTATCATATTACTTTATGGATAAGATTCTAATATAAACATACAAAATATTTGGAATGGTATTAATATTTTTGATTCCTCTGAGAGTAGGATATCTGTTAATTAAGTTCCTTCATGTAAAAAGGAATTTTAAACTCTGTCTTGAGGCATTATACAATTGCTATTGAGATTAAAAAGAAGTTACATGAGCCCACATTTTGATTGTCAAGGAAAGTGAGGAGCAGAAGGACATGAACAATTTTTTTTTGACGTTCTTCAGCCATTGCTTTCATTTTCTCCCACTTTTACTCCTCTGCCATTGCCATTTGCCAAACAGAGTTGCCTACATAGCAAAAAGAGAGAGGTTCTGTGATTTGTTGCACCTGTCTTCAAGATTTTGACCACTTTCTACTGGAGGTGCAGTAGGGTGCTATACAGGCCAGAAGGAGCTACCAGTATGTGGGGGAAACAATCAGGTTTATTTGAAATCCCCATGTTCTGACTATTAAGTTTCTAGGTCCTTCAAAGAAAGTACTGCCTAGCATAAATATAAGGCAAAAGATGATGTCAGCCACATTTTTCAATAGGACAGATTGATAACAAGCAAAGCTGTTTGCAAAAAGCAGAGGTAAAGCTCCTGCATATTTTATAAAATCTAGTACTGTTGGTCTTCTGGAGGTAGATTGAGATCCAAGATTGCCAAAGTCTTTATTTTATTCACCCTCACATAAGAATGAAAGAGGAGAGGGTCAGGAAATTATTGTTTCCAATGTGAAAGCATGAAATAAACAGCATGGACCAGAAATCACTGAGCTCATGTTTCACAGTTTAGTCAAGGAGCGAAAGGAGCAGCAACAGGAAACCTGCTTCAAAGGGTTCTCTTGGGGGGTGTGGGGTTGGGGACCAAGCTGTCAGGGCCATTTGGAATATTCTGGAATATTACTTGCTTTTGGTTTACATTAAAAGCTATATAGCGATGCCAGTGTTAGCGACAAGGTAATTGTCTAACATTTCTATGGATCTTCTCATCAACATTTTGAAACTCTTAGGGTATTTATGTTTTTTTTTGTTTTATTACTCTTTGGATGTTGTGTGGTCAATAACCTTGAATAGCCCAAAAATTCTGGGATATCTCTGGTAGCCAAGATTATAGGAATGAGGCAGCGGTCACTGTGTCAATTCCCACTGACACATGAGCGGGCTCTTTTGACCCCACCTCACCCCCCTCCACCACCAGGCTGGGTCACAGTGGCCGCTCTAACAGTTATCCGTGCTGCCAAGCCAAGTTTCTGACTTGCGGGAGGAGGGATGTGGAGGAAGTCCAGGAGAAGAACTGCTCAGGTGCTTCACTTCTGCTCCCTCTCTTCCGGCTCTATCTTTGCCTTAGTGATGGACTCAAAAGTCCCCAACCTTTATTAAAATTCTAGTTGCAAAACTTTGGTTTCTTTACCTTCTGATAATGGACTAAGATTGTCTGAGGTGGAGAAAGGATTGGGGAGAGCATGAATCAGAATGTTTTGTAAAAATCTCTCTCTCTTTCTCTCTCTCCTTCACCCCCTTCTAAATAGTTTACCACAAAAGATCTTTTAAAAAAGCAGCTGTGGGGCTTTGTTAAGTACACAGCTGGGACAAACCCAGTGGTCTTTGTTTTCTTGACAGTGAGATATTCCATGTTGCAATGCAGAACAAAGCATATTTTTGATAGAAAAAAATAATGCATCTTCCTAGTTGCACTACTTTGTGTGGTAGTAATTTACCGTGAATTTCCCAATATATGGCCATCCCATCGTACTCTTTTTGCTTTAGCTTATGGCTACAGATTCATCTCTTAGAGCCTCCATTTTTAGAAAATCTTTTAATAAGACCTCAAATTCTAAATACTAACAGCTATTGTTACTAATAATTACTAACAATTACATTATTTAATATTCCATTATCAAAGTGGAAAGCATTCCTGTAATAGTTAATAAAGTGTTATATTTGGAAGACTACCTATAGCCTATGTTCAGTCATTTATCTTCTTGTAAAATGTGTATAATTTGAAAAGCATAGTGTTATAACCAAAATCACACAGAGTTCTCTGATCATCCTCTCCCAGTTAATGCTAGAGTTTTAAATTTAAAACAAGAAGTAACACTTAAAAGCAAGATGAAAGTAGAACGTGTTTATAATCTCCCACTACTGTTCTGTTATTCATAAACACTTTAAAGGAAGATGTGCAGGTACAAGGAATCCAGGACCTCTGTTTTTCCTGCCCCTCTGCAGCCACCACCCTTTGAGTACTCGCTTGCTGAAGATTATAGCCCAGCTCCCTCCTCCATCTTTCCCACCCCACTACCCCTATACCATATGTAGTATGTCTGGAGTTGAAACATCATCTTAGGCCACTTACCTCATGCAGAAAACATTATTGTACTCTACATAGTCAGAGCCTAGAGGAACGGTAAAGTACTTACCTGGTTCAGATTGCCAGCATATTTTCATGATTCTATGTTTTCCCTACCATTGGTCCTTCTCTCCAAAGATCTCTAAGAAAGCTTTGTCACCTAACGCCACTCTTATTCCACCTCAGGTATAATGGCAAGTTTTGATTGAGTTCCTCTTGATCTCAAGAAAGTTGTCGCTAAGGCTGATTTTTCATTTCTGATCTCTGGTTCTCATATGCTGCTATTTTTACCTAATTTTCCCAAAGTCTTCATATTTTTTTCAGCTTCTAAAGAAAATTGAGTTAGCTTCTTCACTCTCTGTCTCCTCTCTGATTAACTTCTTATTCTCCACTTTCCACACCAAAGGTATGGTTGTTCATTTCTATTGTTTATCTGAGATTTTTTTCTTGCCCTCAGGCTCACAAGCTGCAACCCTAGCATTAACGAGTGTATGCACACATCCATTCAGAATAGATATATACAAAAATGATATTCTGTTTCCAAATTTTCATGGATGAATTATAATGGAAGTAATTTCTTACTATTTTTTATGGCGCTACATATTTTAGTTTTGCCTTTGAAAGTTTGGTTACCATTAAAAATTTCCAACTTATCTACAGGTAACATATTAGCATACTGAATAAAAATAGTGTAAAAATTAGGTTAATGGTATTTTTTCTTTTTTATTTGAAATTACTCATCTTCTTCCACACAACCATGTCTTTGTTACCTATAGAGAAAATAGAAGACTAGAAAGCAGTTTATGCATGGCCACACAAAAATGGAAGGAGCCTCGAACTAGTGATATGTCTCTCTTGACAGAGGACCATTATGTGATTCTTATTAAAATGCCATTACCAAATGGCATTTTTGTGTGTGGCACTCTACGAGTACTTGCTTGCTGGAGGTTATAGCCCAGCAAGCAACACCATCTATGAGGTATAACAGAAACAACTGAAAAGGCACTATGATTCTGCCCTCTTGTTATAAAATAATCTCTTTAGAAATGCAAATCAAAACCACAATGAGATACCATCTCATGCCAGTTAGAATGGTGATCATTAAAAAGTCAGGAAACAACAGATGTTGGAGAGGATGTGGAGAAATAGGAATGCTTTTACACTGTTGGTGGGAGTGTAAATTATTTCAACCATTGTGGAAGACAGTGCAGCGATTCCTCGGGATCTAGAACTAGAAATACCATTTGACCCACCAATCCCATTACTGAGTATATACCTAAAGGATTATAAATCATTCTACTATAAAGACACATGCACATGTATGTTTATTGCAGCACTGTTCACAATAGCAAAGTCTTGGAACCAACCCAAATGCCCATCAATGATAGACTGGATTAAGCAAATGTGGCACATATATACCATGGAATACTATGCAGCCATAAAAAAAGGATGAGTTCACGTCCTTTGCAGGGACAAGGATGAAACTGGAAACCATCATTCTCAGCAAAGTAACACAAGAGAAAACCAAACACCGCATGTTTTCACTCATAAGTGGGAGTTGAAGAATGAGAACACATGGACACAAGGAGGGTAACATCACACATTGGGGCCTGTCATGGGTTGGGGGCTAGGGGAGGGATAGCATTAGGAGAAATACCTAATGTAAATGACGAGTTGATGGGTGTAGAAAACCAACATGGCACATGTATACCTATGTAACAAACCTGCACATTGTGCACATGTACCCAAGAACTTAAAGTAGAATAATAATTTAAAAACCCTCTTCAATAAAAAGTTATTGGCTGGGGATGAGTGTGGGGTCCATCTCAGTGCAGCTCTAGTTCTGGCTAAAATGGACTAAGCACACTGCTTCTACCTATGCCACTAATTACAAATAAAAACCCAAGGTAGAATACACAGAGCAACTATCTGAGGGCCCTGAAAATAAATAATAACAAGTAAATTGGGGACCAAAATAAACACTAGAAGAATTACCTATACAGTGGTGAATTTCCTGTTTCAGTTATTTATGTTCACTGGTATCCTCTGGCTGAGCAGCTCAAATCTCTGAACGGCACAGTAGTAATGAGCAGACAAAATTCAAGAGAACCCCACCCTCCTTGTTTTGGCCATACGTCAGAAAGAAGGACCTCTGTGGGACAGAGATGGCAGGGTGTGTGCAGGGAAACTTTTTAAAATTTTCAATAAAAACTCTCTTGTCTGGCTCCAGGCAAACCCCAGTCATGATCAGGGGCACTCTTACACCATTGTCACCATACAGTCACCTAAAACTCTGAGAAAAGAACCCTTTCCTCTGACCAGAGGACCCTATGTTCCAAAGAGTGAAGAAAACAATCCTCATTATTTTTCTTGCTCCCCATTCTCTAGCCTCTCTACTCCCAAGGTAGACCCAGTTTGGCAGACTCCAAAAGCATGGAGAAGTCAGAACCTCCGCTTTTTAGCAGAGGGCCAGGTAAAAGGGTCTCAAGGAGCCCTGATAGGGTGGGGAAATCACAGAGGGAATTTTGTGGGGAAAATCACAAAATCTCAAAAAATTTTCTTTTAAAAAAAATTAACTGAAAAACAGCCTCAGGCAGGTCCTTCAGAGAGTGTTCCAGAAGAAGGCATTGTTAGCCTAGGAGATGACAGCTCCATCCCTGTTATTGCTCCTGGAGACCTTCCAGTGAGACAGGATGTGGAGGTGGAAGACAATGACATTGATGATCCTGGCCCTGGGTAGGCCTAAGCTAATGGGTGTGTTTGCATCTTAGTTTTTAACAACAATGTTTAAAAAGTAAAAAAAAAAAAAAAAAAAAAAAATTAAAAAATAAACTGCTTATGGAATAAGGATATAAAGAAAGGAGATATTTTTGTGTAGCTGTACAATGTGTTTGTGTTTTAAGTTATTACAAGAATCAAAAGTTGAAAAAATTAATAAGCTTATAAAGTTAAAAAGTTACAATAAGCTAAGGTTAATTTCTTATTAAAGAAAGAAAAATATTTTATAAATTTAGCATAGCCTAAGTGTACAGTGTTTGTGAAGACTGCAGCCGTGCACGGTCATGTCCTAGGCCTTCACATTCACTCACTCACTCACTTACTCACCCAGAGCAACTTCCAGTCCTGCAAGCTCCATTCATGGTAAGTGCTCTATACAGGTGTACCTTTTAATATTTTATACTGTATTTTTACTGTTTCTTTTCTATGTTTCGATAAATTTAGATACACAAATACTTACCATTGTGTTACAATTGCCTACAGTATTCAGTACAGCGATATGCTGTGCAGGTTTGTGACCTAGGAGCAATAGGCCATGCCATATAGCCTAGGTGTGTACAGTAGCCCAGACCATCTAGGTTTGTGTATAAGTACACTCTATGATGTTCGCATAATGATAAAATCACTTAATGATGCATTTCTCAGAACACGTCCCTGTCGTTAAGAGATGCATGACTATATACATGTAAATATATATGCACACATTTGATTGTTAATTGTCTATTTCAACCGCAAGAGAGGGCATGACTGTTTTGTTAACTCCTGTCCATATCCTTAGCACCTACAATAAAGTTTGGCATACTTTATGCTAAACTTTATGCTAAGTGGTAAAGTCATTTCTGCTGAAAGAATAAAGGAATAAGTAAGTTCAAATCATTTTCTAAGTGTTGGCCAATATGACATACAAAGACATTAAAAAAGATTCCACAACAGTGGAAAATTATAGGCAAATATCACTGTAAGTATCAACACAAATAAAGAAATACAGATACAATTCAACAATATGTTAAAAGTACCTTTGTGCCTCTCCACACCCACAATAGTGATAGAGAAAAATAGGAATATGTTTCCCTGATGTAACTAAAAACTTGTATATCTCATCCCAAAAACTGAAGTGAGAATACAATGGTACTACAAAGACTTTTATTAATGGGAGAGATAAGACAAGGATACCACACTACAAAAATAAAACTGCTGGCCAATGGAAATAAATAAGAGAAGAAATAAGAACACAAATATTGGAAAGGAATAATCAAATACCATTTTTTGCAGATGGTTTGACTATAATTAAAAATAAACAACTAGAAACATTAAGAAATAAGATAGGCCGGGCGCGGTGGCTCACGCCTGTAATCCTAGCACTTTGGGAGGCCGAGGTGGGCGGATCATGAGGTCAGGAGATCGAGACCATCCTAGCTAACACGGTGAAACCCCGTCTCTACTAAAAATACAAAAAATTAGCCAGGCGTGGTGGCGGGCGCCTGTAGTCCCAGCTACTCCGGAGGCTGAGGCAGGAGAATGGCGTGAACCCGGGAGGCGGAGCTTGCAGTGAGCCGAGATCCTGCCACTGCACTCCTGCCTGGGCGACAGAGCGAGACTGCATCTCAAAAAAAAAAGAAATAAGATAATTCAGTAGAGTGGTTGTTTATCAAATTAAAATACCCAAATTAGGGAGCATTGTTTTGTACACAAATGGAATCAGACTAATGGAAGAAAAGATGTCATACATCAAAGCCTCTGAAATAACAAAGATAATTTAGTATTAAAAAATTCTACTAAGGGATATAAATGAAAACTGGAATAAATAAAATGAGCATAAATGCAGATTTTATAGTTTATTAATTCTCTTAATTCAGTGTGAACCTAATACAAATGCTAACTGTATTTTCGATGCAAACTAAATATTATTTTTTAAAATTTGAAAATGTTAAAAAGAAAATATTTAAAAAGTCAATAAATCTGAAAAAAGAGTAAAGAGAGAGAAGTTTAAATATATCAGAAAATGATAGTTATTGAAACATACGGTACTGACAGGAATAGACAAACACATCAAGCTACAACATTGAGTCAATATACAGGTCTGGTAGTTTACAAAACAATAAAAGTGGAATTTCAAATCTGCATAATAAAACTGTATTATTCAATAAATGATGTAAGAAAAACTGGCTAGACAAAGGCAAACTCCTTATATCACATTTTACATCAAAATAAATTCCAAATGGATATAATATTTAAATATAAAAAGTAAAAATGTTAAGGTATTAAATCTCACGTAGACTTCTTTTTTGTAACAGCTTTATGAGATATAATTCGCATACCATACAATTCATTCATTGAAAATGTACAATTTATTTTTAGTATATTCACAGAATGTACAACCATCACCACAATCAACTTCACACTTTCATTTTCATCTTTCTAAGAAAACCTCCCACACCCCATAGCAGTCAACCTCCATTCCCCCTAACAGCTCTTCTCCCAAGCCCTAGACAAACTCTTACCTATTTTCTGTTTCTGTAAATTTGCCTGTTTTGAACATTTTATATTAATGGCGTTACACAAATGGGGTCTTTTTTCACTGGCTTTTTTCACTTAAGGATAGTGTTTTCAACGTCAATCCTTGTCATAGCACATGTCAGTACTTTATTCTTTTTATGGCTGAATAATATTTTGTTACATGGATATACTATATTTTATTTATCCATTTATCAGCTGATGAACATTTAGGTTGTCCACTCTTTAGGCTGTTATGAATAATGTTGCTATAAATATTCACATACAAATTTTCATGTGAACATACATTTTCATTTCCTTTGGGTACATACCTAGGAGTGGAATTGTCAAGTTCTTCTGAGGAATAGCCTAGCTGTTTTACAAAGTGGCTGCACCATTTTAACTTCCTCCAAACAGTGTATGAAGATTCCAGCTTCTCCACATCCTTGCCAATGCTTGCTATTATCTGTCTTTGATATAGCCTCGTGGATTTCCTTTCTTTTTTACAATATTTGCATAACCATAAAAGGCAGCTTAGTGCAGGGGTTGAGTGCAGGCTCCATGGTAAGACTATCTTGGTTTAAATTGGGGTTCTACCACTTAGCAGGATGACCTATGCAACATTTGTATCTCAGTTTACTCACATGTATAAAAAGCACTATTTAATTTTTAGGATTAAATGAGTTAATATGAGCTGATTGACTCAGCTAGTAAAGATACAAGAAGGCACTTTCAGATTTAGATTGTCTACTACTTACATATATAGCAAAAAGAAGAGTAGCCAAAGGTGCCAGCTCCCTGGTCCTCATCCTACATACCAAAAAGGATGACACCAAAACAAAAAGAGCCGATGAGTGCCACACAAAGGTGTGGCATACTTCCTCATGAAGGAGCCAATTCTTGGCTACAGCTGAGCAGTTGTGTGGTGCGCAGCTATATCCTGAGAAGGTGAAAAAGAATGGTGCATACCTTCAGGCCACCAAAGGTGATGAGAAAGCATTTCATGACAGCCTCCCAGGGAAGAAACGGCAGTGATGGGGAGAGGGCCAGAGAACAGCTCCTCACAAGCCTCTTATCCTCTTGTGTTCAGGATACAGGGATTCCTGCAAAGCCTCACATAAGTTGTGGTGCAAGCCTCAGTGCATGTGGCCTGGGTGGGTATGTACAAGGTCACCTGTGCTCTCCTACACATAGGTAAAGCCCTTTGCACAGTTCCTCCTGGCCTATAGTCAAGGTCAGTAATATGAGCTGTTATTACTAATTGGAGAACATGCTCTAAGAATCACTCTAAACCAAAACCATCCAGAAAATTATTGATAAAATTGACTACATCAAAGTTAAACTTTAGGCATGGAAAAATTACATGTTTATTATGTCAGTAAATATATTCTAAATTGAGGAATGATCTACAATAAATATGCCAAAAGGCATATTCTCCTCATAAAGTTTTTTAAGTTTTAAGAAAAACCATAACAACCCAATTGAAAAATGAAGCAGTTCTTATAGAGAAAAATAAAAACATGGTTCAACCCCCCAAAAAATATTCACCCCAACGTTTACAACTTCCCACATTTACCAATCACTGTTCCATCTCATAGAGCTCCATACTGTTTCTGCTGATTGTGTTGTAATATTTCATTGTGCCTGTGTGTGTGCAGGGGAGAGGTTATTTGAGATAAAAATGTTTGAATTATTCAAAACACTGTTGATCAAATTCCAGATAACCTTCAGGGACTATGTGCATAGAATAATTTCATAGCTCAATTATTGCAGTTAAAATTATATAATTTTAATAACATCAAATATGTTTTAAAACAATATTTTTAATAGATACATTCTATTTCATCTTACGAAATTGCTACAAATTATTTAGCTATTTCTCTCTTGCTAGATGTTTAGATTACTAAGAGTATTCTTTATATTTAATAATATTATTCTAAACATAGCTTGAAAAGTCCTTATTCATATTCTTATTCTTTTTCTTAAGATAAATTATTAGAAGTGAAATTATTGTGTAAAATAAGAACATTTTAAAGAACATAATGTTTTATTTACTTTGCTTCATGCAGGTGAGTAAAATGAAGAAAAGGTTAGATCTAGGTCATATTACGATCCAATAAATAATCAAATATCACTTGCATGCTGACTATAATAATATTTGCTCCAAAGAAAAGAAATTAAACTAAGTTGTCCAAAAATGTTGTCTGGCAATATACTAGAATCCAAACTTCCTTTTGTAAACAATTGGCATGATATGTCCTACCAGGACCAGAAGTTAAAATGTCCAAAAAATAAGCCAGCATTTATAAAATAAATTACACAACCTTGAAGGCCAGCTGGTTTGAACTCTATGTATGTATTCAGCAAGCAAATGTAAAAGAGCAGGTCAGAATGGAAACTGTTGATGGGGTTCAGCCTCCCTCATTTTCCTTTTTTCTGCTTATGCAATTTAAAAAGCAGCTGAAGAAAATCATCCAACATTTTTGACTCTGGCGGTCAAAAAAATAGGAAATAGGTAAATTAAGCCTGTAATTTAAGATATTTCTGAGAAACTGGCATACCTAAGATCCTATTAATTATCGAGAATGATAAGTTGTTGAAATTAATTTCTCAAGCTTCTCACAGCTCTTATAAAACAGTTAGCTGAAACTGATGTCTGGTAGAAATATGAGGACTACACTTAGGAAAGTGAAATAGGAATGATGTAAATTCAAATACAAAACCTGAAGTTATTTTTCAAAATTCTTTTACTGTACATGCCTCTTAGCAGTTGACTTTCAGGTTATGCTGAGAAAAAGAGGACTATTTTCACAGTTCTAAGTTTGAAATAAATGTTCGGAGGAGATATAAGATTCTGAAGTAATTTGACCTTATATTAAAGAGTTTTGGCTCTATTTTAATCTAGAATATACAATACCTCCTAGATCTACATCAAAATGGCTTGAAGTTTCTGATTATATACTTCAGAAGATTGGCATATTAAAAAGTTGAAGTAAAAATTGTTAAAATGGCTATGAGTTTATTAAAAAAAAGTTTTAGACATTCGGTACCTTTTCTTGGTAGTAAAATCCTGGATCTTATCCAGTTGAAATGCTTTGTTCAAACAGATTAAAAGGCTCTAGTTTTTTTTTTTTAAATTATGATTCTTTTATTCCTATCATCTAAACTATTTATACAATCAGGGCTTACATTTACCTTTACACAAAATCAATTTAGGCTATACTTAACCTTAGTTAGAGAAAGTTAAGAATTTTATCATTAAACATATTACTTTTTGGTTTAAAAAAGCACATTTTATTGACTACAGGTAGGTCTAGTAGAGAGTGGGTGTGGGTGAATATATGTGTGTGCACATATTTTGTCATACTGACTTATCTCATTGTAAGGTCCAGAAAAATCATTCAGAAAATAAATAAAATGGACTTTATGGTCAAAATAACTGGGGTTAATAAATCAATTAATTCAGGTCATCTTCAATATGGTTCTTTCATTTAAAATACTGACTTGTCATTAAGTCTCTTATATGCTGAAGAGAGACTTCTTCAAACAGTGAATGGTTCCACTAAATTGAAATTTCCTTCAATTCCAAAATTTCATGACATTACTCTTTTTTTGGTACTCTTTTTTTTGTTATGAAACTTCTTATGTTTGCTTTAATCTGTCCTCAGATTTTGGCTCCATTCTCAAAATACCACCATTTCCATCTGTTAGTAACAAAATTTAAATCTGCATTAGCGTTTTAGTTTTTCACCTATTGGTTTATATATCTTCAAAAAGATTATAGGAATGAATGGCATTATAAGAAAGTTGGTACGAAAGCTTGCGAGAGTATGAGACACATTTTTCCGCAGATTTCCTCTACCTATGTTTCCTAGCTAGATTACATTTGCCACAAAAATACTGGAAGACAATATTAA
Source organism: Homo sapiens (assembly GCF_000001405.40). Taxonomy (NCBI): domain Eukaryota; kingdom Metazoa; phylum Chordata; class Mammalia; order Primates; family Hominidae; genus Homo; species Homo sapiens. The sequence continues at coordinate 69,084,048 of NC_000008.11, read as the reverse complement.
TTAAAAGAACACAATATAGAAATATAGAAAGAAGGAAAAACAGCAACAAAAGTAATAACAGGGAAATTAACTTGTTTAAAGTTAATCTTAAATGGCTGGCATTTCAGAAGTAAATGGAAGAAGGGGGTAAATAAAGCTATTTTACCAAAATTCCAGAAGGGAACTCTAAAAATACACACGTTTTGAAATTTAGAGTTCATATATAAAATATAGTATGCTTTTGACTTTCATAGTGGGACTCTGGTTAGTGGAATAAAGGCTTAGGGGGCCAATGGAAATGGAAACACGTGTCTATTGAATGTCTGATAGTGGTAGATGGTGAGTCATTGTGGGACCTGGATTAAGCTGCATATCTGCTTGCTTCGGGAACCAACGACTCCCTGAAGGACTAATTGAATAGATGTAAGGGAGTTTGGGAGTAAATAATAGACCATTAGTATTGGAACTAAGACTGAGTGGGGCTGGCAGAAGCCTGGGAGGGATTTGGTGCTGGGTGTAGAGACAAGCACCTTAACAAAGAAGGGTATTCTTCTTCCTATTATATCACAAACCTGAAACACATATACCTATCTGAATACACTAATGATTATTATTGGGAATAAATGCGTTTAAGTGACTCAGATGTCTTCCTTCAAATGTTGTTCTAGGCAGAATATATTCCAAGTTTCTTAGGAACAACTGTGGCTGTTCATAAAGAACTGAGAATGATGAGAACCCCTCCCAATAGCAGCAGACTCAAAGAAGTGTCATCATGGGCTGGAAAAGTGGAGGAGCAGGAGCAGGGACAGGGGAGAATAAAACTAGGGCAAATCGACGAGCAACTAAGAGAGAGGAAAAAGATGGGGTGGCTGAATGAGGCAGAATCCAGCTGCAGACTAAGGCCAGCACGCAGGATGGAAGAGTGCGGCTCCAGTGACAGAAAAGATAAAAAAACCTTCTGCCAGTAAAGACAGCAGCACTGCAGACATGACTTCATTATTTTCCACACGTGCATAAGGTCAAATCTCTATAATAAATTGTGCTCAGACACACACCAGTCCTCTATGTCTGTGAATTCAAACAACCATGAATTGAAAACATTGAGGAAAAAAATGGACGGTTGCCTCTGTACTGAACACATATATACCTTTTTCCTTGTCATTACTCCCTAAACAATACAGTATAACAACTATTTACATAGCATTTACATTGTATTAGGTATTATAGGTAATGTAGAGATAATGAAGTATACAGCAGGATGTGTGTAGGTTATATGCAAACACTACACCTTTTTATATAACGGACTTGAGCATCTGAGGATTTTGATATCCAAGGTGGGTGGTGGTGGTGGTGGTTCTAAAACAGATCCCCCACAGGTACTGAGGAAAGACTGATACATATGTATGATGTAATGGTATGCAACATATATATATATATATATATATATATATATATATATATATGATGTAATGATGTATAATATATATGATGTACAACACCTACATGATGTACAACTTATATGTAATCATATATATATGATTATACAGACATGGAATCTCCAAGGGTTCTCTTCTGACTGATGCCCTTCTTGCACACTTTTCTCTAGCCACATCAAACTAAAACACTAGATGCTCAGTCTATCTATGATTTGAATATATTTTGTCCTTGCTTAAATCTTTTTCTGTTCTTTGCTGACTATTTTTTGTCACATGGTTTAAAAGTCAGCTAAGTCGGGCGTGGTGGCGGGCACCTGTAGTCCCAGCTACTTGGGAGGCTGAGGCAGGAGAATGGCGTGAACCCGGGAGGCGGAGCTTGCAGTGAGCCTAGATCACGCCAGTGCACTCCAGCCTGGGGAACAGAGACTCTGTCTCAAAAAAAAGTCAGCTAAGTCATATTTCCATGGAGCCTGTCCTAGGCTCCTTCATTTACTTTTGCTTTACATCAGTCTCTGCAGTCTTCCAGAACACTGTCCAGATACCTCACTGTTAAAGTGAACGGTAATGTCACCTTAGGTTGTATTTCTTCACCAGATTGCTGAAGAACAGGAACTCGCTCATTCAATTAAATTTTTAGCCCAGTATCTCACATAATATAAGCACCCAAGGAATGTTTATATAAATTCAATTCAATTATGTTTAATTTTCTAACTTACACGTAGATGAATCTAAAATATTTATTTCTGCTATGAAAAAGAAATAAATCATGTGTTTGTATTTTTCTCCATACCTTGTAATGATCCATCTATTTAATTAGTATTTAAGAAGCTCAAAATATTATAATCAATACACCTTTTATTCACTTATACAATAAATACTCATTAACAGCCTGCTATATTCCCAAGTTTTGAGAATATGGCACTGAATCCTTTACCCTCCTGGAACTTATATTCTAGTGGAATGTACTAGGAGGTTCTAGGAATATTTAAACCTAGCTTGTTAGAAATGTACATTCCTTTATAAATAAGTAATTCTTGTTGCAAGCTGAATGTATACTCTATAACATAGGGTGAAAGTATAGTCTTGCCTCTACTAATTTTCAGTTTTTAATTCATTGATTCAATACCTAACCTTGATGGCAAGAATTCCAGTCTCTCCCTGTCTCCCTGGAGTTTTTATGAAGCCTAAAGTCTTATACGGTCCCAAATTGGAAAATGAAGTAGTCAACTGCCTTCCACACTCAGTTCAGGCTAGTGTTGTGATTGTTTATTAGCCTACTACTGCACCTGCCTCTTGCTGCTGCCACATGTTGTCACTTTCAGAAACTCACTGTATTAGTCCGTTTTCATGCTGCTGATAAAGACATATCAGAGACTGGGTAATTTATGCAGGAAAAAGGTTTATTGGACTTACAGTCCCACATGGCTAGGGAGGCCTCACAATCATGGTGGAAGGCAAGGAGTAGCAAGTCACATCTTACATAGATGACAGCAGACAAAGAGAAAGTTTGTGCAGGGAAACCCCCATTTTTAAAACCATCAAATCTCACAAGACCCATTCACTATCATGAGAACAAGCACAGGAAAGACCCACCCCCATGATTCAATCATCTCCCACCAGGTCCCTCCCACAACATGTGGGAATTGTGGGAGCTACAAGATTAGATTTGCTTGGGGACACAGAGCCAAACTATATCACTCACCCTACACTATCTGACAATGTTAGTCCTCTAGAGTTTGAAACTCCATTACAAGATTTTATTCAAACATAATTCTTCTTTCTCATGACTAAATTCAAACAAAGGTGTTCCATGCTTGGATTCCTTAACCCCCAACTCCTGATGTTTAACTTTTTAAAATCCCCTACATACCTCCTCATCCTTGTCCCCTACCCTCCCCACGACCAACAGAATACCTAAGGCAGCAGCTTGCGCCAGGAACCAAGAGTAATCATCTGGTCTGTCATAGACTGAGACTCTAATCCTTATTTCCCATCTCAAAACTTCACATCCTAAGGCCTCAGGATTTAAGTCATCAAAGATACATAATTTAACATATGTTCATTTCCTGGCCAGTGAGCCTTGTAACTATTGGTCCCACAAAAACCTTGTGCCAAGGCTTCTGGAGGAAAGTGCCTTTTCTTACTGAAGGGTGACTTACATTCTAAGGATTTCCCTACATCCCTGCAGCCCAGGATTTTCCATTTACATGTTGATGTCTAAATTTGGAGGAGTGCATGGGTTGGTAATGTATAAGGTACTCTTTTCTTTCTAGCCATTTGTTGCATTATATTTTTTTGTTCCAGTTATTTTTTTCTGTGGATTCTATTATTGTGCGGTGCACTCTGATGTCCAAAGTTTGGTTGTTTTTTTCTGTCCACATCCTCCCTGCAGAGAGGTTTCAGGCCACCTCATCCTCTACAGACCCCATGTTGGCCTGAGAGTCATAAAGCAGATGATTATCTTGCTCACATCCTTGTCTCCCTCTGACTACACCACACTGAGCCTCCTGGCACCACCAATCAGTCTGGCCTCATGGTCACACTGACCACAAACCGAACATCACATTCTCTCCAGTTTGGCTTCTGTGTCTGATCACACAGTTTGTACTGACCCTACACATAGTCTGTAACTATGTTTAGGGGGGTGGGAAAGGACTATGGGAACAACCAGCTTCCTGGCATGATGCCACTAGAAAATTATCCCTTTAGGAAACAAACTGACAAGCTCTCTATTTGGTATTTTCCTGTTTCTCCTCTTAGAAATATTTCTTGCTAGCTGACTTAGGGCAAGAAACAAAAGGCCATATTTCAAAAAGTCTTCCTTCAAATCACTGCTTTTCCTGAAGAGAAACCATTCAGCAATTCCCAGGCCTCAGTGCTCTCTCTCTTGTGATGTGTAGGTAGCCCTTGTACTTGGCTTTGGTTTACAGCAGTGGTGGAATCAGAAGTAGATTATAGGGATTTTCCTGAAAGCAACTGATATGAATGAAAAGTACTCTGAAATGTTTTTTTTTTCTTAAATAAAGAATCTCTTGAATTAGGCAATTTAACTGTGCAAATGGACTCAAGAATTGACCAGAGAAGGAATCAGAAATGACTTAGCTTACACTTACATCCTGCACCCAGGGCCTTATAAGGCCTTGAGAAAGAAGGGCTTGAATAGGTCCAAGTAACAGGATCCTGAGGCCACAGAACCAACAAAAGATAAGACCTTATCAAGGAAAATAAAATCCATTCGAAGACCTGACCATGGATTGACAGTTTCAGGTGGGACAAGCATAGTGAAAGAGCTAACATGCACTGATCATTTCCATCATGACAATGTCTCAAAGCTTATCACTGTTTATAATTATTTTGTAAGATGAGGCATATTGGGCTGAAGAATGTTAAGTGACGTACCCAAGGCTACAGTGCTTGGCAGAACCAGAATTCAGACTTAGGTATAGGGTGACTAACTTGTTAGAGAGCTGGTTTGAGACCTGGCCATGCCAAACAGAAAGAACATAACAATATAACATATAATAAGGAATTATGCCCATGTGTGTTATTAAAATGGGTATTTATATGAAATTATATATTATGTCTTATTATTTTCTTTTCTATTACATTAATGCTATGATTTAAACAAAGCAACAATTGTAGTAAACAGTGGCAATGGGTAGTAATTAGTAGTAGGATTTACTAATAAATAATATGTATAAGTATAATAATATTTAATAACTTTTTAAACTCATGATACAATAGGATATTTCTATTTCAGTTTTCTCTCTTAATATTGCCCCTTTGAACTGCTCACAGCCCAGGACATTTTTATTATCTTTCATGTAATGGTAAAACTGAATCCAGTAAAAAATAAAATGTCCTTTGACTTGCAGCTCTGTTCTTACCATGCCCTGATTACACAGATTCCTGATGTGCTTCCAGAGTGATGACATCAAGTTAAATAGCCTCTCAAAAAAAGTATTTGAGCATGAAATATTTAGGAGCTGACCTAATAGCATCAGCAGGTATTTAGACTTCCCTAAAATTAGTTTCCAGATCTCCAAGAATGTCCTTCTACTTTGTATCTCCATCTCGTTTTGGGATCAGCTTTCGTTGGTCCTTTGCATCTACAAACTCATCACATACGCTCTCCTTTTCTAAAACGTTCGTTATTTTTAAACACTAGGAGCCACACTGAATGTCATCCTAAGTTAGACTTTTCTTTCTCAGGGAAAATGGTTTAAAATTGTATCGATAATTTGAACTTGTAAAATTGAAGTTGGAGTTTTAGTAAAGAAATTAAGAGAGTTCTATTTATTTTGGCTGCCCTTTGCTAGTGATAGATATTTTTTGTACGTGTTCTGAAGCAGTCTATTTTTCCTCAAAACAAGCAATGCTTTGCTGCATGACTTTAGCAACATACAGGCAATATTGAATAACACAGGTGAAGTCTGCTTTAAGCTCCTTATGCTGTCTTCAGATATCAACACATGGTTTCGAAGATATAGCATATAAATAGACTTTTCACTACAATCTTTTTCTGCATTCTGACTCTCAATGTGTTTCTAAATTAGAGAATGACATTATTCTTGCTCATAGTTTGAAAATATAATTTTACAGCACGTCCACATTTTAACACCTTCTTTATGTCTAGCCACAAGCCTTCCTGTAGGCCCATGAACAGCGAGGCTATATCCTTCCATTTCTATTGAGTCAAAATTGTATTGTTTCTATGCAGTTTAAAGAAATGACGGAAAACCTCATTATGTAAACTTTAATATCACAGGTAAGCAAATCACAACCCTTCTAAAGTGTTGTATTAACACTGCATATCTTACCTGCAACGTTCTGTGTATCTTGCCTACAACACTTAACTAGATTAAATTTTGTAATTAATTAAGATTTAATTTTCTTTGGCAAGAAAACTTTATAAACTACATGGACACTGCCAAAATTTGTGTTTGCAGTATCTGTCAAATATGCAGATAGATGAGCAAAGTTTAGTTTGTATTTGGATGAACTATCAGTTGTTTCAGCTTTTCTGCTACTTCACTAAAATCTTTACAGAAATCAAGATGATTTGAAACTCCATTGTTCAAATCAAAGTAAAATAACTAAAAGAAACATTTTTTCTTGTTGTTTCTTGCTGTAATCTAACATATCATTCAGTGTAACTGCAGAAAACCTGATTGTTGGTAAGACGATTGTTGGTATGACACAATCTGAGCTGTGCTGTAAGGGGACAACACATCCATTGTTAAAATATTCCCTTCAGTTTGCTCATAAGATTTTTATTTTATTTATGTATTTATTTTGCAATAAGGTCTTGCCCTGTCACCCAGGCTGGAGTGCAGTGGCGTGAGTATAGCTCACTGCAGCCTCGAAACCCTGGGCTCAAGTCATCCTCCTGCTGCAGCTCCTCTAGTAGCTAAGACTGCAGGTATGTGCCACCACACTTAGCTAATTTTTTAATTTTTGTAGAGATGGGGGTCTTGCTATGTCGATTAGGCTGGTTTTGAACTCCTGGACTCGAAAGATCCTCCTGCCTCTGCCTCCCAAAGCACTGGGATTACAGGCATGAGCCATCGTGCCCAGCCTTGCTCATAAGATATTTTCATTGCAATCTCTGAATCAGTAAACATAACTTTACGCAGTTTCATAGAGCAATCAAGGGAAAGCTATGACAATCTCTGTTCATTGGGGTGTCATGCCCAAGCCATTTTTGACTTAGTATTATATCTTTGGGGGAGACAAAAAATGTTAATTTAAAAGTATTTGCCTAACTCATTTTGAGCTTTCAAAATTCAGTCTCCATGTGTGCTTTCACATCCCTTTTTCACTATGCTTATGCCCAGATTCTTTTCGCATATGTTTTTGTCCATTTGATTTTATAAACTGTTATCCTGCAGCCCCTTCATTTGTAGCTTTGTGTATGTATTATGTTTTTCTCGCAAACTTCCACACCTATTGCTGAAATCCAGGGAGGGCTTTGTTTTCAGGGGCATGGGTACTCAGGGTTAAAACTGAGACTGTCTTGAGTAAACCAGAACAGGTACTCACCCTAACCCTAGATCAGAGTCACATTGTCTTTCACTGTATGATACTGGTTTTCCTTCTCATAAGATAGGTCCCTTGACTGCTCAACCACAGCTTTTTTTGCTAGTTGACCTTGACACTTTCTAGTGGTTTGCCATGCCTAGGCTTTGGTCTGTCTGCTTTCTCTCTATATGGACTAGGACAGAATAGTGTCCCCTAACATATGGAGACAATGCGTTATACATGAAACCAATGTATCTTTCACATCTCAAGTTGCTTGGCTAAAGACAGAGTTGCATTAGCTTAAGTTACAGTTCTTGAGGATACATGAGGACAGTATAATATTGCTACAGAAAAATAAGGTACTACTGATGGGAATTTATATGTACTCTCATCTTTTGCATTCCTAACAAATCTGAAGAAGAAAATTGAGCTATTTCTGAATTAAGCATTTGCAATATTTGAACTTCAATTTGAAGAATGTTAGTTCAGATTTAAATTCAGTTATAGGTCCCTGGTTTTAAACTATAAAGTGGTTATTGCAAATCTCACATTGCATCTGGAATATAAATAAAAAATGTTTATTTACAGTTGTTACTACATAAAATTTTAAATGACAATACTGATGATAGTTTCCTTAGGGCAATGATGAAGAAAACTCTCAAGTTAGTTTCTTGACTTGTATGAGTATATAATTTTTAAACTACTGAACTTCAAGTCTTATCTTGTAGGTGACAATATTGTCTCATGTATAATTGGTCAAAATAATTGCTTATGGAAGTCTTTCCTTGGCTGCACTTAATTTAAACATCTGGCTTCCATTTCCTGCATGCTGTTTGTCTGCAGAAAGATGATTATTACATAATAAAGCAATCCCGGCATATGGAGAAATGTGCTTTGTGGGTGTGTGTGTTTACATACACATATGAACACCCCCATTCACTCATAGACGCTTCTAAAATAGAGCTGCTTGTTTTTTTTTTTCACATACACAGTGAAGATCCAATTTGGGCTACAACTTTACTTGTGTTTACTTTGACATTCTTGCTATTCAATAATATGTCCTAGTTTCCTGTAATTAGATGAAAAACAATTTCCTTCACTTTTTTGGGAGGGCGGGTCCATGAATTACCAAATATTTTTCATCATTCTCTAAACCTACACTTTACATGACATTGAGTTTTACATATTATGTAACGTACTTCAGGTTTCATTGATGTATTTTTCAACTTAAATTTCTAAAAAACCTAACCTGGTTGCTGCTCAGTATTCCCTACTTTTCATACATTGAGATCTGTTTAAATTTCTCACACTCATGCAGATCAGAATATCCAACATTGTGTTTTTTGTTTGAAAAGCACAAGTCTTCGTTACTTTAATTAGCTGCAGGTATGATTTGCATTCTGCTGTTCTCTGCAAAACTTGTTTCTTCTATGGAAAGAGTTAAGACTACTATTTGCCAGAGGAAGTCCAAATTCCTTAAGTTAACATTTAAGACCCCTTCAGATAATTCCTATTCTGCTCTTTCAATCTTAATTGCTTTTTCCCACATGTATTTTATGTTCTTAGAATCTCCATTCCTGGCTGGGCACAGTGGCTCATGCCTGTAATCCCAGCACTTTGGGAGGCCAAGGCAGGCGGGTCGTTTGAGCCCAGGAGTTGCAGACCAGCCTGGGTAATGTGACAAAATCCTGTCTCTACAAAAAAAATACAAAAATTAGCCAGGTGTGGTGGTGTGTGCCTGTAGTCCCGACTACCCGGGAGGCTGAAGTGGGAGAATCACCAGTGCCCAGGGAGGTCGAGGCTGCAGTGAGTCAAGATTCTGCCATCACACTGCAGCCTGGGTGACAGAGTGAGACCCTGTCTAACCTCCCCTCTCCGCTGTCACCCCCAACACACACACACAGTCTCCAATTCCCTCAAGATAACTGCACTTTCTGGTGTTCCAGCCTTTATTGATTTTTTCTTCCTGGAAGTTCTCTTGTTATCTCCATCACCTGAATCCTTCACTCTCTTTCAAGCACACCTAAAATATCTGTCCTTTAATGTCACCTTCCTGTCACCTTGGCAAGGAATTCTGAGCATCTGTTACACTTTTTACCTCTCTGTGCCTTTCTCCATTATGTCCTGAAGAGTGATTTGTGTATCTGGCCATATCTTTCTTACTGGAGTGGGAACCTCTTTAAGATAGACTATGACTCATTCATTTTATCATAGCCCACAGTGCTCAGAAATGTGCTCACTCAGGAAGTTTCTTGAACCAATTTTTCCAATCGAGTTTCTTACTTATTCTGGTTCGTATAAAGAATAAATTAGTTTAAACAGCATAGAAATGACTCTGTTCTAATCCCTAGAGCTACTCTTCAGCTTTAATAGAAGTGGCTAAATGACAATCTGTAACACATTTTTCTAGCATTTCTCAGAGTCCCGGGATTTGACTGTTTCACAGTGGTTTCCACTTTAAGCTGCTCTCTCTCCAGCAACTTGCTCTAGTTCTCAATTCCATTCACGCTTGAATTCATCTAGTCCTATTTGTACTGATTATCTTTGCTTTTAGTCTCTTTTTTTCTAATCTAATATACTTTTGGTGGAGGCTACCTGCATCCCACTTCACATTTAGAAGTGGTTTCTCCCTGGGGGGATTCGGGTATCAGCCTCCAAAGGCATTAGCTCATTATCCTCTGGAGCCTGGGGCTAGTAGATCAGGGAGTAACTTCATTAGATTCCTCATTATGTCCCTTGTGGTGACTTCCAGTGCAAATTATGGCCAGTTTTTACAGTCCTACATGTTAAATTAATCATTTTCTGTCTTAGATACCAACGCTTTTCTTTTTCCTGTTGCTGTTTCTTCTAGATATTACTACATACCACTTTCACCCTAGTCAAGCTTGATTATCTTTATCTTCCCAAATACAGCCTTGGGTTTAAAGTAAACTTTTCTCATGTATCATTTTTGTGTTTACCTTTAGCAATCAAATACTGTAGCAGCATATAGACAATATCTTGTAGTAGTTAAAGCTGTGGACTCTCAAATCAGATGGACCTGGGTTTGAGTTCATCACCTAGGTTATTTGCTTGGATAATTTACTTAGGATTTTTTTTTTTTTTTTTTTTTTTTTGACAGAGTCTCGCTCTGTCGCCCAGGCTGGAGTGCAGCGGCAGGATCTCGGCTCACTGCAAGCTCTGCCTCGTGGGTTCACGCCATTCTCCTGCCTCAGCCTCCCGAGTAGCTGGGATTACAGGTGCCCGCCACCACGCCTGGCTAATTTTTTGTATTTTTAGTAGAGACGGGGTTTCACCGTGTTAGCCAGGATGGTCTCGATCTCCTGACCTCGTCATCCACCCGCCTCGGCCTCCCAAAGTGCTGGGATTACAGGCGTGAGCCACCACGCCCGGCCAGGATTTCTAATACTATTTTCTTATCATCAACTGAGGATAATAATAAGATCCACTTCTTAGAGTTCTTACGAAAATAAATGCAGCAATGCATATATACTGCTTAGACGTTTCTTGGAACAGATTAAGGGCCCAATAAATGATGATCATTGTTAGTGATGGTTGTTCTACAGCAGGGGTCGCCAAATCCCAGGCCACAGACTGGTACAGGTTAGGTAGCCTGTTAGGAACCAGGCCACACAGCAGGAAGTGAGTGGCAGCCAAGCATTACCGCCTGAGCTCTGCCACTGGTCAGATCAGCAGTGGCATTAGATGCTCACAGGAGGGCAAACCCTGTTGTGAACTGTGCATGCGAGGGATCTAGGTTGCGCACTCTTTATGAGAATCTAATTCCTGATGATCAGAGGTGGAACAGTTTCATCCTGAAACCATCCCCAACCCAGAATCCATGGAAAAATTGTCTTCCACAAAACCAGTCTCTGGTGCCTAAAAGGTTGGGGACTGCTCTTCTAGGGGACTTCTGAACCTATTCAATGAGATGGTCTAAGGCTCCCTAAGACAACCTAACATGCAAATACCCCCTTCAGGTTGATAAAAATGCCCACAAGGACAGAGTGAAACAGAGAATACGCACAGAGGGAATAGCTTACGTTCTCTCCTTTGGCTTCTTGACCACTTTTTCATGTTCTTTATAGTTCCTAGAATTATAAGAGCTCAAGAATCAAAAAACCCATTCAAGTCTGAAAAACATGAAAACTAGAAACCAGAAATAAATTACTGTTCATCTCCAGACATTTGCTTTGTATTTTTATAATCATTATTGAAAGTAGAGTGGGCTAAGTATTTAAAGCCAGAGTTGCCCCTAGAGACTACATTTCAGATGAAGGCCAGGATGCACATATTGCTGGTTTTGTTACATACGTTTTGTAAATGAAATACACTATTTACTTTAGCATCAAAATATTTTTGCCTAAAATTGGTAAAATTTGAATTACTGCAGAGATCATTATTAAGCTTTTTTAACTCTTTGAAATGCACTGGATGAGATTTATTGCATTTGTTTTGAAAGGCAGTTGCTTTACTGTGTCCTTTGGCTGCTTCTTCAGGGGTGGCTTTCAAATGGCAGCTTGCGGTATAAAGGATTTTGTTTTTCACTCCAAAAACCATTGATCACTGTCTCTCACGTTTTCAGTACCAGCTTATGATCTCCTGATTGGAACTAACATGACGCTTGATAAAATGAAGTACATAACATAACAACTGCATTGATTTAGAAATACGAGGACTTGTTTTGGATTCCAAGTCTAACTGCAGATCTGGGGACAGCACACACTTTACACCTTGGATTCTGGGATACATTTGATTTCAAATATTGATGGTAAATAACCTTGTCTGATTTAGTCAAAATTATCTTTACACTGGTTTTCTTGACTTGTTTGCCTCTGCCTCATATTAAGTGCAGGCATTATTCACAAAGTTTGTATGGTTCATTACCTAGGTTATAGCAAAGTCATCCACATTCCACTCTAGGGCTGTCACCGTGAAGCCTCCAGAGGAAAAAAAATGAAAGACTTCCAGTAATTGGGTGGAGAAATCTATGGCTCTCAGACCTTCTTTAACTATTCTAAAAGAAGTCATTTTAGTGGAATGAACTCATGTTGGGCGGTGGGAGGGTTGGTGCCTTATTTTTAATTTTAAGGGGATTTACAACACATTCTTCCTTCTTAACAAAACAGTGGCAGCAATAAGAACATTACCTGCCAACATTAACTCATGTAAAACAGACTTGAAGAACTCCCTCCATTGTCTACCCTAAAACACCCACTCATTATACACCCTCCAGTTGTGATGAAGAATTCGATTTTGCTGTAAATGTCAGCCAAAGCCTGGTTTGTTTTTCCCCATTGTGATTTCACAGGTTACTCCAAACAATGTTTCACAGAAATTTTAAAGAGATGGAAGTTTTCCTAATGAGAATATGATCTCTGTGACTTGCTTTTTATTATAATGTTCTTACATGCAGGCTTCTATTGACTCACCCTTCAATAGTTAACCTCTGAAGTCAGCATTGGATGTCTGGCTTATGTGTAAACTAACACCAATTTGTGGCCTGCAAAATATTATTTCAAAGGCCAGTTAAAAATACTATTTTTTAAGCTGGAAAAGAGCACTGCAAACCATAATCGGATGCACAGTATTTTTCCTGTATTTGAAATATCAATGTAGCATTTTGTAGCTAATTAATCCTTCAAATAACAAGGAATGATAGTAGATAATTGCTATTGTGTTTTGATCATATTTATTTAGGGGGATTTGAAGCTTTAGGAGCAAACACTTCCTTATGTAAACACTGTAAAATCACATCATTTATTCACCCATTCAACAAATATTTTTCTTTTCGCCTGGCTTGTGCTCAATCATGTTGTCAACCATTTTATACATAACTATGCAATAAAAATGACAGACAAACCAACATAGGAATCTTCTTAGCAACTTCTGCTTAGACATTAACTAACTTTCATGAACAGCAGTAGTTCCATCCTTTACAAAATGAGACCTGGGAGGTGAGACTTAAAGAGTAGAATACAGAAGGATGTTAGCCCTAAATACAATGCTTTGGGAAAGCCCCCAGATTTGAATGTTTCAAAATGGTGTCAATTTTATGTTTGCTGATATTAGAATCATATGAGGTCAGGAGTAGTGGTTCACACCTGTTTTGGGTGACCAAAGCAGAAGGATCACTTACTTGAGCCCAGAAGTTTGAGACCAGCCTGGACAAGATAATGTGACCCTGTCTCAAAACAAAAACAAACAAACAAAAAACCAGAATAACAGAATGACATAATAAGAGTAAATATAAGTCATGGAATCTGTCTTCCCATGCACCCCAACAGGTTCTTTGAACATAGTGCTCACTTACTTCACTTTTCCTGGTCCTTGGTGTTGGTCTACATGGTTTCATCTATTCTGCCCAACTAATCCATACTATTTTTCATTGCACGTGTTAATGTTCTAGCTTTTATTTAAAGCCTAACCTGATTGCTTCACTTTTTATTAATATTGCCTGCCTCTCAAATCCTTGGAACACTGGTCAGTACCAATGATATTAGCATTGAACTTATTCTTCTATTTGTCTTTCCTGGGCTAGAGGTAAATTCCCTGAATTCATGAAGTGAGACCGTTAAATGTAACTTTCATGTCCTTATCTTCTCCAATTCCCACTGAACACATGGTTAATGTATACTGGAAATGATTTAGAGGGTACTTAATGATCATCCTCTTTTGACTCGACAATTTTCCCAGTAAGAGGCTGTTGATCTCCCCTGGAGACATAGAATTTATGAATCATGGAGGCAGTCCATCTCATTATTGTAAAGCACTAATTTTTACAAAGTTCTCCCTGTTCAGAGCCAAACTCTCCTGCTTGTTGCACTGAATAAAGCATCATTGTCAACAGTTTTAAAAGTCATGTGTAGGGCAGGAAAACTGAAAGCAGATCATATATATTTATCTGTTTTGAATCCAAATATTCATTCATTTAACTGGAGACACAGTAGATCAAGATGAGCTCTTTAGAGTTAGAACAATATGAAATTTGATGCACTTTTGGGTTTTTGTAGCACACAAGTGCTGTTTTGTGTTTGTTTTTCACTGCTATTTCCTTGGAGAGTTCTTTTGAGCGAATGGAAATGAAGAGCACAAGAAACTTGCACAAAAAAGAGTTTCCAAAGTCAAAGAACATAACCTACAAAACCTATTCAGACACCACGAAGAAGAAAAGCCTTAAACACAGGGACATAAATCCTGAGAACAATATTTGGATGAAAATGATGAAGTTTTGTGGACTTCTTGGGAAAAAGAAAGATGAAGGCCATGAATCAATACATCTCTCCTTCTCTCTTTTGAATCACTTCCAACATTGACACTGAATAATTATTAGAGCCTTTTATGGCTATGGCTATTTTTCACTCAACCTAAATTTGTTCTTCTAATGTAGTTTGTATGTTTGCCAGCATAAAAAGGCCCGTGGTGAATATAATAAACCTTATGCTTCTTGGCAAAGCTCAAAGAGATGCTAAAAGCAAATAATGCAGTGGCAAATATTTTATTTGTTCTCTTTAAATAGAGAAACAGTGAAATATGGTGAAACACTGAAATATTTTGAAACACTGAAATAGTGAAGACAAATTTTCTAGATTTTTGATAGTTGCTGGTTTAATGCAAATTTCCAGTTGCACTTCCCAAATATAAATCCTTAAATCATGCTCTCACTTTGTTGAGACCAAAAAAAAAAAAAAAACTCTGCGAATAACCATTTAGGTATTTAGCACACATGTACTAGGTACAGATACTTTGCAAAGCTATGGTTCTTATTTTCTATTGTGAGAAATTTCCTTTTGCAAAATACTAGGGGAAAAGACAAGAAACTAAACAACTAGAAGGGCATAACATATATGGAAGTTCATAGAGAATGTTGTGGGATATCTCAGAACAAATGGCTAACACTCAGGTGGAAGTGGCACATATAGTTAGATATCACAGCAGGGGCATGGAGACTACTGAATTCTGATTCTAAAATACTAGTGTATAACTAATAATCTTATAGTGTTTTTAACAAGGAATACAGCATCATATTTCCTTAAGAAGAATAATGATTGTATATCTTTTAGGTGAAAATTCTAACAAGGAGCAAACAGCAAAGAACTGAAATGCTATACAGACTCCAGTGAGAAAAAACTGAGGTAATTGGTTTCGGTGTGCTGGTGCTTGAAACTCTATCCCAGTGCTTCCTTCAACTAAGGCTGCAAATTGAAAATGTGAAGAACCTTGCCTGCTTGAACCAGCCTGGGCTTGTGGCAGCATCATTCTGTCACTTAATTCTTCTCACAGAGGTAATGCCTATTAAGTGACTTAGCAAGGGCGTGCATGATGTAGTCACGAGATGGATATTGGTAACAGTGATTCCTTGCTGGTACTTTCTATTAAGTCTAGGTTTCTTGTCACTCATTGATCGACCGCACAAAATCTCACCTGCTAAATAATTTGCCCAGGCTTCCACATCATTGTACCTGTATTGATGATCCCCAGTGCACAAGATTACCACGTGAATGGCAATGAAATTTGTGGCGCTGATACTCAGGGTCTCCACCAGCGATGTATATCACTATTAATTTCACTTTGTATTTCAGAAAGCCGAACCTTTTAAAATGGAGCTTATTGCACCAAAAATAGTTGGAAATAGAGTAAAACCAAAGAGAAAACCTTAACAACTATATATTTTTATTTGTTTTAGCAGGAACATTTTTCTATTCATGTTCCAGATTATTTTCTAAAGTAAAATATATTGATTGTAAATTTTTTTTTCCAAAAAAGCTACATCAATTTATATTCAACTAAGTTCTGGCCACACAAAGGAAAATAAGCAAATAAAAATAACTTTCGACTCCCCCAAACTCAAAGATATCCAGTTATCTAAGCTTCCAATGTTTTCTTGTAAAAGTGGTCGCTACCCTGAGGATAAACTTGAATATGTACATCCTATATCCCTAGATTTCTTTCTTACGCCCTCAAGACTAACCAGAAGAAAAAACGCTTTCTCTTCCAGAAAATGCAGCAACTGTACTTCGGTTTTACATATATTATTCTGAAGGTGATATGTAAATAAGATTTTTCTGGAAAAAGAAGCAATCAAAATATTTTGGTTCAGTTTGGCTAATGAAATTCTTGTGTTTTTACTTCTCATGACTCACTACCAAAATCCCATTTAAAAGTCAAGATAGAAATTAGTTTTAAGAAATTTATTCATAACAGTGGCAGAGTGGGAAAATTATATCATCATTGGGTCAGAAACATTGAGATATTCCTGGGAGATTGAAGGCAGTGAACAAACTTTGAGGAGAGAGAGAGAGAGAGAGGGAGGAGGGACCCATTACAGAGGTGAGATCAGTGCTTTCAGTCAAAGCTCCAGAAAAATGCTGACCTTGGAGACAGCAATTTCACAGAGGTCTCTAGCAAAGCAATTAAGCATGGGGTAGTTGTCAGAAGGTCCAAGAAAAGGGGGCCTACCCTGGAAAGCAGAGAAGTAAAACAGCCAGAGATGCTTCTGGCCAAAATATGAAGAATAAAGTTGAAATCGGAGCAATGACCCAAGAAGAAATAGAGACAATAGTAAGAGGAAAAAACAAAAATAGAAAATAAAGAATGAAAACATCTAATTTACACTTCAAGGAAAAACTGAAGAATTTTACATCCACAAAATATGAACTGACTGCTATTAAAAAGAGTAATCAGTGACTACAAAATATGTATTAGAAATTAAAATATGATGATCAGAATTAAAAATGTAATAAGAAGGCTGAAGAATAATAGGCTACGGTTGAAGACTGAGTTAGAAGTTGATGAAAAAGGATGTCTCCCAGAAGGTAGAGCAAAACATCAGAGGTAAAGTATCAGAAAAAAGCAAGATTACTACATACTGGTAATGGGAAAGCCATATCTATTATCCACATAGTAGGGACTTCAGAACAAGGTTAGAAAGAGATTAGAGGAAAGAAATAATTAAGGCAAGATATTAAATATTGCATTGATATTACGAAAACTCACACCTTCACATAGAATGCTAAGCAGACCTCCAGAAATTTCTAAGCTATGAGAATTAAGGGAATAACCAAACAGCCAGCCCCTTACTAGTCTCATCAGACTTCTTACAGGAAACTCACAATACAGACAGAGAAAGAAAATATGTCCTGAAGTGCTAATGGAAAGCAATACATATGTGTAAAATACTATTTCAAACCTACCGGCATTTTAAAAAATACATATTCACTATCTCTGAACAAAAGAAAGAGGGATATGTAACATAAAAAAGGTGGAGAGTAAAAAAAATTAGAAATAGAAGAATAATTTCTGCCATTGTAACTCTGAAATTTAATACAGTGTAAAAAAAGATTCTCCAAAAGGTAGAAATATTATGAAAATACAAGCAAATGAAACCAACCTGGTGCTAAATGTCAACATGATTTCAATGAAGTATGTTAGGGAAGGTAGGAAATAAGATGCTGAATGTCTTGTTTCAATAGAGAAGAATGTAGATATAGTTTAATCCTTGATATGAAAAGATAAATGTATTTGTAAAAAAGTGTGGGTAGAATCTTAAAAAAAAGTATATATAGCTTCCCACAGATAAGATTATAAATGTAATAAAATAAATTGACTAATCAACTACCAATAGAAAAATGAAAAAGGGATATAATAACTAGAAAACATGCAGTAAGATAACAGACAAGTCAAACGTATCAGAAAGCACGAGAAATTGAATGGGTTAAATACATTAAAAGGCATAATTTTTAAGATGTAATTTAAAAAGTCAGCAAAATTTTTTTTTTACTAGAGACACATCACAAACCATCCCTAAAAGAATGAACAAAAATAATCTATATAAATATTAGGAGTGGTTATGGCAATAACTGATGAAATAAGTGAAAAAGTATTTAATTGGATTAAGCATCTAACTCAGTGTTAGAAGACGAAATTTAGCAAAAGCATAAAACAGCCATGTGTCTTTATGCTCTGAATAATATGGCATTCAAGTATATAAAGCAAAAACTGTTAAATGTAAGAAGAAATTCATAATACCACCAATAAAGTGGTTTATAATATAACTCTAATGACTCCTGCATTAGTGATAAATCCAGATGGAATCACTTCTTTTGACTAAAGAACATGCTTCAATATTTCCTTTAGAGTAAGCTTATGGTAATGAATTTTCTGTTTTGGTTTGCCTAAAAATATTTTTATTTCAATTTCATTTATGAAATACAGTTTCATTGGCTATAAAATTCTCAGAAGTTATTTTCTTTTAGGACTTTGATTATACTGTTATCTTCTGATTTCTGTTTTTTTCTATTTTCAGCTGTCTTTGTTCTTCCTTTGAAGAGACTACATTATTTCCTCCTTTGAAGAGATTACACTATTTTTCTCAGGCAGCTTTTAGGATTTTTCTTTGTCTTTTGTTTACTTCATTATGACTTGGTGTGCTTTCCCCCCGCCATGTTAGAAAAACCCTCATTGGAATACGTAGTGCTTTTTGAATCTGGAATTTGTTTTCCTCATCACTAAATATTTCTTCTATTCCATTCTTGCCCTCTTTCTAGGACTACAACTGCACATATTTTTAGGCCTTTTATAATACCCTCTTTGTTTCTTATGCACTTTTGTCTACTATCCTTTTTAAATTTCCCATTACAAGCTTGTCTGGATTATTTATTTAATCATTTTTTTTTCAGTTTATTCATACTCTTTTTAGGTATGTCTAAACAACTGCTAATCAATTTCAGTGAATTCTAAATTCAGTTATTACATTTTTCAAGTTAAGATATTCATGTGATTGTTTCCAATTGTTTGTATTTTCTGCTGAAATTCTTCTTTCTGTATAGAGTTGGTAAGTCAAGAGGTATTTCCATTTTCTTACTCTAAATACTCATACATAGTTTTCATTTTAATAATATTTATGCATTATTTATATAAATGTTTAATTTAACATTTACATTATCATTATTATTTGCATATTAGATATTACTTGAATATCTAAATAAATATGTATTCTAGAAATCATGTTTTTTTATGTAGAAATAAATACAAGATAACCCTATTCTCTGACCTCAGTGTTTTTCTGGTACTGCCTGCAGACTTAGTAATTGTAATATACATCTATCCCAAACAGTGAGAAAAAGGAATAAAATTAAATATAAATATATATAGATAGATAGATAGATAGATAGATTTAGTTCATAAAAACCAGTAAATGCATCTCTAAAAAGTGTGTCTATCTTTAAAATAAAGTTAGTAACAACGGTTCTGTGTCCATCTAAATTTTTATCTGAATTTTGAAGATTGGAGTCTAGTGCCCTAAATTTGCTGATGATAACTGTTAGTGTAAATTACATATTTTTATATTAATAAAATATTCTTTTGATATAAATCTTGAGTTTTTTAAGTTGGTTGGAGGACTTTTTTTATATTGTTGGCTGATTCTTAAAATACATTGTGATGATTTTTGTCTGATATGTACCAACAGCAACTCTTTGATGAGCCCTTACCGTGTACTATTTAATTCATATGTTGCATACTAATATTTCTTAATTTTACCATAAAAAATTGCATTCCCATTTTACAAATGTCAATAAGAAAATCACAGTGGCTAAGTAATTGCTGAAGTATACAGCAATTAAATTTGGCAGATCAATATTTAAACTTAGCTCTTATTGAAATTTCCATTGAAATGATTTAGTATAATAACGGTCTTCTAACATCACATTGACACTGTATTTGTAAAGAAAAACTGGTTATTTTACATGATTTACTCATTTATATAAATTTTAAAAGAGATTAACAAACTTTTTTTTAATTCAGATTTACACATGAGAAGGACATATAATTTTCTGTTAAGGGACATTTTAAAACGTTTCTATATTATGAATTTTTTAAAATAACGTGTATTTCTAGTGTGAGAATTACAAAGAAATACCAATTAAATATCCTAGTCTTCACTATACATGTTATTTTAAATTTTTAAAAATTATATTTCAAATCATTCAGATTTTCCCTTTGCTTTTTATTCTAAACAAATTATATTTTTGACACTTTTCACATTATTTGTATTTTTAAAATTATTAGCATCCTTTTAGCTTTAAGCATTTTTACTTAGACATATTAAACATTTTAAATTTACTTATTATTTTTAATTTTGCTTTTCTCTTAATTTTACTCCACAGTCTAATTTTTTCAAAAGCATTAAGAATTATATCTATTTATTAATTTCATTCTTCTCAAATTATTTTATTGTGAGATATTACCAATTTTTAAAAACTTGTAAGGTATGTAGTTCTCTATATTTTTCTTTTAACCATTTTTGTTATTTTACTTTATGTGTCTTTCCTAAGATGCATACACTGGACTTTAAAAAAACAAATCTAACTTTCTTTGTCTTTTATGGAGGCATTTTAACAATTTAATGTCATAACATCAGATGACATTTAATGTTGTAGCAGACGTACTTGCTTTTTTATTTGTTATTTTACCGTGTTCTTTGCTAATTTATTTTGTTTTCTCTCTATTGCTATGAAAACTGTGTTTAGTCTGATTTTACCTTTGGTGATGATTTGAATATAAGACATCTTATTTTTAACTTTTAGATTTTTACCACTACATTTTCAAAAACACACTTGGACTTATATTTATCTAATTATCAAAGTGAAAATACCTGTGTTTTAAATCTGCTCTACGTATGAAAAATCATTGAGCTTAGCTTGCTTTACTTTCTTTATCCCCTCGTATTTCCATTTTCCTAAATATGCTCATTTAACACTGATGAGGAGGAAGAAAGTGATAAGAATAACATTTTCCCAAATTAATTTCTTGTGGGTAGTTTATTTTCAAATTTATATTAAAACTTTTAACTATTCCCAAAACTATGTTTTTTGTTCTCAATTGTAATAGTCATTTCATATTCCCTATTTCTGAGTTTTAATTATAATTAATCTTTCAGTTTGCTAGAGTATATCTTTGAGTGCTTTTTTATAAGAAAGGGCAAATGTGTTTAATATTTCTAAGCACTGTGTTGCTAAGATTTTTCCACATGAGTAATAACTCCTCTGAATTCAGGATTCTTGGATTATAAAATGTTTCTCTTCAAATATCTGACAACATCATTTTGTATTCATCTGGCATCTAGTTCCAGGACAAGTCTATTTTTTACTCTCTCATAATTATTCTTTGCTAGAACACTATAGACTTATAGTTTTTAGCACGAAAAAATTTTAACATGTCTCTGATTATTTTATGTGTTTTCTTTAAAAATAGCAGTTTCTTTATATTTAATCTTTGATCTTCTGTGATCTTTATTATTATGCACGTTATTGTTCTTTTACCTGCATTTGGCAAGAACTTCTCAATTATATCAGTGAACAAGTTTTTTTCAGAATCAGTTTAGCCTGTATATAACACATTTTACTTCTGCGCCTTTCATTTATAAACCTTGGCATTTTTTTAAAAAAACTGCCCAAATTCCTCTTATTTTTCTGCCTGTTTCTACTTATACTCAGTTTGCTACATTTTCTTTTAAACCTACAGCCTTTTTATCTTTACATACTCACTTTGGGACCTACCCTCTTTTTTTGTTCATTTTTATTCCATGATCTTTTTTCATATGAATAATGTGTTTCTCTGTTCTCTTATTTTTAAATTTATTTTTCTGTTTACTAGATTACATCAATAACACAAATGAGCACCCCCTTTCTCTATCGTTCAGTGAATTTCTGTTGTTTTTTCATGTTGCAGAATTTTGGCTTATGTTGTAGAAATTCATACACACACTTATTTATCTATTTATCTGCAGAAAGAATTTTTTAATTTTTATCTAACCTTGAAATAAAGGGATGGCATAAATCAGTCAGGGTCCACTTAGGAGACAGAGACCACATTGGTAACTTCAACAGGGAACATTTAATATAATAAATGAGTAACTAGGGAAAGGTAGGAGCTCACCAATGATACTTGCTAACTCACTTCACTGGTGTGAGGCAATGTCTGGCCAGGTGTGCATGCTTAGTTAGCTCCATGACAAAGGGTTTTGGCTTCTGCATTATCTCACATCACCCTGGTCAGTGGCAACAAGAACTAACACGGGTCTCAGTCCATACTGATGTGGGTCCAGGTTGTGCTTGGTCGGCTCCACTTTGTGTTCATCTTCCCTTCTGTTCTACCTGCCCTGTGGACATCAAGCTCCAGCAATAGTTATGCAGAAAGCTTTCTCACAGATTGTGTGATCACCTCCCACAATCGTAAATCCTTGCAACTTGTCTATTATGAATCTACCTACCTATCAACTATATATCTGTCTCTCTCTACCTATCATTATCTCCTAGTCCTGATTCTCCAATTGAAGTCTGACTGATACTGGCCCACAAAAAAATAAACATAACTAGCCAGATATAATGTTTGCAGACACATAGATATGAATGGCCACTAGCTTTCTTTATTATACTTGGGAGCACTGCAAGAATTCACCTTTCCTTTGCTGGAGAACCTAGGGGTGCAATATTAGATACTTGGTAAAACTGTGTGGTTCATTATAAACTATTCCTCAGCAGACAATGCTTTCTTGTTTTTAACACATCTCACTGGGAGCCTTGTCTTCTAGAATACCATGATCTACAAACTGTTTCAGTCTACCTCAAGTCTTAGTTCTCCCTTTTAGTTTTAAAATGGATGAAAGGCAGAAAGGTGCTAATCCAGAAAAGTGGACAGAGACAGTAGGTTTGTTGCCATCTTGAAAAATGTCTTGAAGTGTATGTGCAGGGAGGAAAAGAGAAGCTTGATTTGAATGGTTTTTATATTTGGTGTACTTCCTGATTTTTAGAGTGATATAAGCAGATACTCAGATGCTTCAATATTTCTTACTAATTTTTACTTAACTGGGTGATTTTTATCATTTCAGATCACATAGCTTTGCTTCCATACCTAAATTACTACAAATTTGTGTCCGCTTGAATGTTATGTAATTTAACCAGAAATTGAAGAAATACCACCATTTTAAAGAAAATATGGTCATAAACACTATGGAATACTATGCAACCATAACAAGAATGAAATCATGTCCTTTGCAGCAACATGGATGTAGCTGGAGGCCATTATCCTGGGCAAATTTGCAGGAGCAGAAAACCAGATACCACATCTCACATGTAAGTGGGAGCTAAGCATTTGGTATACATGGATATAAAGATGGGAAAAATAGACACTTGGTGACTATTAGAGAGAGGAAAGAGGGAGAAGGGAGAAGCTAAAAACTACCTGTTGGGTATTATGCTCACTACTTGGGTGATGGGATCGTTTGTACCCCAAGCCTCAGCATCACACGGTATACCCATGTAACAAACCTGCACACGGATCCCCTGAATCTAAAATAAAAGTTGAAATTATTGTTTAAAAAAAAGGATCTAATAAACATAGTATTACAATGTTGATGCATCCCTTATTTTTATTTATTTATTTATTTTTGAGATGCAACCTCCACCTCCTGGGTTCAAGCGATTCTCCTGCCTCAGCCTCCTGAGTAGCAGGGATTACAGGTGCATGCCACCATGCCCAGCTAATTTTTTATATCTTTAGTAGAGACGGGGTTTCACCATGTTGGCCAGGCTGGTCTCAAACTCCTGACTTTGTGATCCACCTGCTTCGGCCTCCCAAAGTGCTGGGATTTCAGGCGTGAGCCACCGCGCCCAGCTGCATCCCTTATTTTTATAGCTCTTATCATTATCTGATACTATGGTGTATCTACACCATTCTATGGTGGCCCATGACTATTGTATGTGGTCATGAGTACAATAGTCATTACTGTGTGTATGCCCAGTGTCTAAAAGAGTTTCAAATACATAGTCAAGAGATCAATAAGTACTAGTTAAACAAATAAATGAATTAATCACTGAAATAAAAAAAATTGCTGGAGAACTGAATTTTGTAGCTTTTTACTGATTTGATTTAAAGCAGAGATTATAAATTTTAGAAAAATGATTATCTCAGGTGGACTCCTAAAGGATGATATATATAACATATATTTGAAAATTGAAGAATTTATAAATGCCTGAAATTTTTAATTTCAGATTTTTAAAAGAATCACCATCATTTAGACTTTAATTCTTATAATTATTTTTTCTTATAAATATATAACTAAAATGTATTACAGAAAGATGTATAATATAATGTAAAATATAAATATGAGAATAAAAAGTTAAATAAAGAGTTAAGAGACTCTTGACACCCACAAAAGTCTTATGTTAACATATTTTGGCATACTGCTCCAGAATATTTCCATTAAAAATCTGTACATATACTGGAGAGAAAGCAAAAATGCTGGCTTAATGACTAGAAATAGAATTGCTCCTAGGGAAAGAACACACTTCCTTGTAAAACATGAGGATGGATGCTCTTAATGTTGGAGGATGGCCCTCATGAAAGATAGAGAGGATGGGTTAGGACTGAGATAAACAAAACTAAAATACTCTGTTCTATAATACTAGTCTTGAGATTTAAACTGGTTTTAAAACTTCAGAGACACACAGGATTCAACCAGTTCCATGCATAAGAACAAATATAGGCTAGACAACACAGCAGGAATGGCAACAACACAGCTGAGCTATCATACATCTCAGTAACATTTAAGATCTCCCATGTGGCAGAAACACCATTATGTCTTCACCAAAAGTGCTTAGAAGGGGATATTTGGCAGGTTTGGGCCATAAAATGTGTGTAGAATTTACGTTTACCACTTCCAGTCTTGGTCCCTAAAAAGTCTCCCATGAAATCTAATTTTCCCTTTGCTCTTTGGTGGCCTAACACAGAACACCTGATAGATCAGTTGAGTTAGCCATGTCTCTGAAGGGGAGACTCTGAAGAGGTAGTGGGGATTTGGTAGAAGGAATCTGGATCTCTGAATCACCGCTTGGAGAAAAACTTCTCAGGACAGTTGCCTATGGGGACCATGAAAATGCACCTCTCACATCTCCTGCTGGGACCATAAATGACTGCCCCAGCTGCAGTCCCTCTGGATCTACCACTGCATTTGCACCAAGGCTATGTTTCACCCGGGGGCCTGCTAGCAGCTAATGACTGAACACGGTGGGATGGGTAAGACAGGTTCATTCCAATGAGATGGAGGACTCCTGCAGGCATTCGTCTGAGGATCCCTCACTAGCCAGGCCAACCCTTGCTTAGATTGGTGCTTCAGTCCAAGCTCCTCTTCTTTAATCTTTCTTTCCCTTTCTTCTTCCTCGGGTATCAGATCTACTTCATGGTCTGAAGACCCTTCTTTCTCCTTCTCCCTCTCCTAATAAATATCTTGCACTTCTCAGCAGATCTTGAGTAGCACAAGTGGTACCAGGAGAGGTCTGAGAAAACAAGTGGTAAAATGGGGATTTGGGACTGGCCCATCACAGTCTGCTGGGTAAAGATACCACCCTAAGTAGTGGGTGTGGCGCACAGAGTGCCTGGCACAAAGTGCTAAATATTGCACCAATGGTGACCAGGAAAAATGCCTCTATGGAAGAGAATACTGTGGCAGGTGTAAGGAACCAGGAATATGAAAGAGATAGAGGGAGGAGGGAGCGACAACTACAAACACAGCAGAGTTGACCGATTATTGCTAAGTTGTGCTGATGCTCTGCAGGGGAATACTCAGATATGGAAAATTTTAACAATCATTAAAAGCTGAGTATTGAGAGCCACAGGTCCTCTTTAGTAGCTGATAAATACACCATTATTTATAGCACCATATTGTAGATCTGATAGATTCATAAATCCACAGAGAGATTTTTTAAAATACTCAGCCAAGGCAGGTCTGTTCTGCCATCATCAGGATCATCGATGGAAAAACCTGGAATCCTAAAATATAAGAGGGGCATCTGAATGGATGCCCCTAGTTTCCCTCTAGCTAGCATTCTCCAAGGCCAGTGGCTACTGCTGCCTCTGAATGTCCAAGGAGTCAGGAGAGAACAAAATTAAGCCCCTGATATGGCACTATTTCTCAAAGAGACTGTATCAGTATTTTATTGCTGCCATAACAAATTGCCACAAATTTAGTGGCTTAAAATAACAAAATCTTACTCTCTTTGTGGTTTGCAAATATTTTCTCCCCATCTGTACTTATATTTTTACCCTCATAACCTCATAGCCATTTTCACAGAGCAAAAGTTTTTAATCATCTTGAGGTCCAATTTATTAATTTTTATGGATGATATTTTTATGCCAGTGTAAGAACTCTTTTTGTCCCTTGGTTCTAAAGATTTTCTCCTTTCTTTCTGAAAGTTTCACAGTTTTTTTTTGTTTGTTTTACATTTAAGTTTGTAATTCAATTTTGAGTTGCTTTTTGTGTAACATGTGAGCTGTAGTTTTGCTTATGAATCTTCAATTGCTCCAGTATTTGTTTAAAAGGCTACCTGTCCTCCACTGAATTGCTCTTGAATCTTTGTCAAAAATCAGGTGGGCAAATTTGGATGGATTTAGTTTTGGTTTCTCTATTCTGGTAAATTTATCTATGTGTGTGTTCTTCTTCCAAAACCATTTTGTCTTGATTAGTGTAGTTATATAATAAACCTTGAAATTAGGTAGATAAATTCTTCTTTTCCAAAATTGTTTTAACTATATTTGTTTCTCTGTCTTGCCATATACATTTTAGAAGAATCTTTCTGTATCTGCAAAAATTCTTCCTGGGATTTTGATTGAAATTGTGTGACACCTGTGTATCAAATTTGGAGGAGATTGACATTTTTACCATGCTGAGCCTGTCGAACCATGAACATGGTATAGCTCTTCATTTATGTAAAACTGCTCTTACTTTTCATTAGCTCTAGTAGACAGAATGATGGCCACTCTGAGATGTTCATGAACTGATCCCTGAAACCTGTGAATAAAAATTAACTACATTGCAAAAAGGACTTTGCAGATCTGATTAAGTCAGGATGTTGAAATAGTGAGATTATGGCTTGCACCTGTAATCCCAGCACTTTGGGAGGCTGAGGCAGGTGGATCACGAAGTCAGGAGATCGAGACCATCCTGGCTAACACGATGAAACCCCATCTCTACTAAAAATACAAAAAAATTAGCCAGGCGTGGTGGTGGGCGCCTTTAGTCCCAGCTACTCAGGAGACTGAGGCAGGAGAATGGCGTGAACCCTGGGAGGCAGAGCTTGCAGTGAGCCGAGATCCTGTCACTGCACTCCAACCTGGGCAAAAGAGCAAGACTCTGTCAAAAGAAAAAAAGAAAGAAAGGAAGGAAGGAAGGAAGGAAAGAAAGAAGGGAGAAAGAGAAAGAAAGAGAGAAAAGAAAGAAAGAAAAGAAAGAAAGAAAGAGAGAGAGAGAAAGAAGAAAGAAAGAAAGAAAGAAAGAAAGAAAGAAAGAAAGAAAGAAAGAGAAAGAAAGAAAGAAAAAGAAAGAAAGAGGAAGGAAGGAAAGAAGGAAGGAAGAGAAATAAAGAAATAGTGAGATTATCGTGTATTATTCTTGTAGGTCCAATGTACTTGTAATGTTTCTTTAAGTGAAAAAGGGAGGCAGAGGATACAGAGAAGTAGATGTGACTATGGAAGCAGAGATCAGAGTGATGAAACTGCTAGCTGGAGCCACGTGCCAAGGAATGGAAGCAGCCCCTAGAAGCTGGAAAAGGTGAAGAAATGCAGTCTCCCAAAGAGCTTCCAGAAGGAATCCATGCCTGCCAATGCATTGATTTTGGTCTCATGAAACGTATTTAAGACATATGATCTCTAGAGTTCTGATAAACTTGTATTGGTTTAAGCCACTATGTTTGTGGTCATTTGTTACAGCAGCAAAAGGAAATTAATACATTAGTGTTGTATAATTTTAATATATAATTTCTGTAAATGTTTTGTTAGATTTATACCTACATTTTTATTTTTGAGGGATTATAATTGTATTTTAAGTGTTGGGGTTCATGTGTTTATTGCAAATATGTAGAATTAAAATTAATTTTTGCATATTTTTTGTCCTATGACCTTGCTGATTAGTTATTAGTTGTTAGTTTGTACAAGATTTTTGTAGATTCATTGGAATTTTCTATGTAGAAGACAATTGTGCCTTCCGCAAATGGGATGATTTTATATATTACATCCTGATCTGTAGTCTTTCAGCTTTCTTTATCTTGCCCTATTGTACTTACCAGAACTTCCAGCACTAAGTTGACTAAAAGTGGTGAGAATTAACATCCTGTTTCTGTACCTGATCTTGAGGAGAAAGTATCAATTCTCCCCAGTCAGTATAATGTTAGTTGCAGCTTTTCAGCTGATGCTTTGTATCAAGGTGAGAAAATTATCCTCTATTTCATTATTTGAGCTTTTAATTATGAATGTATGTTGAATTTTAATTAAGTCTTTTTACTTAGTAGATTATATTTTTATTTATTTTTACATGTTTTTGACAACACATCTTTATTCTTTTTTGACAAAAAATAATTGCACATGTTTACATGTATTACAACGTAATGTTGCCATATATATATGTTGTGTAATGATAAAATCGTGATAATTAGCATATCCATCACTTTAAACATGTATTGTATCTTTGTTTGTTTGTTTGTGAGATAGGATCTAGTTCTGTTGCCCAGACTGGGGTGCGGCAGCATGATCATAGCTCATTGTAGCCTCAACCTTCCTGGCTCAAGTGATCCTCCCACCTCAGCCTCCTGAATGGCTGGGACTACAGGTGCATACAAACAAACCTAAGATGGGGGCTTGCTATGTTGCCCAGACTGATCTTGAACTCTGCCTTAAGCAACGCTCAAGCCTCTCATATTGCACCTGGCCCATTTCATTGTTATAAGAACATTCAAAAACCTCTTTCCTCGCTATTTGAAATATACAATGCATTATTGTTAGCTACAGTCACCCTGTTGTGCTATAAAGTAATGGAACTTCTTATTCTTATCCAGCTGTAACATTGTACCCAATGACCAGCCCCTCCCCATCTCCCTTTTTCTTGTATTCTCCTAACTCTCTGGTAACAACTATTCTACTCTGAACTTTTTTGTGATCAATTTTTTTAGGTATTACATATGAATGGGATCATGTGGCATTTGTCTTTCTGTGCCTGGCTTAATTTACTTAACATAATGTCCTTCAGGCTTATCCATGTTGCACAATGACACAATTTTATTATTTTGTGTGGCTGAATAATATTCCATTGTGTGTGTATATATATATATATATATATATATATACACATACCACATTTTCCTTATCCATTTATTAATTGGTGGGTCTTTAATTTGATTCCACATCTTGGATATTGTGAATAGTCCTGCAATAAACATGAGATCTCTTTTTGACATACTGATTGTATTTCTTTTGGATATATACCCAGTAATGGGACTGCTGGGTGATACGGTAGATCTGATTTTAATTTTTTGAGGAATGTCCTACTGTTTTCCATAAAGGCTGTATTAATTTACATTCCCACTAACAATCTATAAGGGTTCCCATTTTTCCATATCCTCAACAGCATTGTTATTTTTTGTTTTTTTTCGTAATAGTTATTTTAACTGGGGTGAGGTGATATCACATTGTGGTTTTGATTTGCATTTTCCTGATGGTTGCTGATGTTGAGCATTTTTTCATAAACTTGTTGGCCATTTGTATGTCTTCTTTGAAGATATGTCTAAACAGGTCTTTTGTCTACTTTTATTTATTTATTTATTTATTTATTTATTTTGAGACAGAGTCTTGCTCTGTCTACTTTTAAATTGAATTAGTTGTTTTTGCCATTGAGTTGAGTTCTTATAAATTCTGGGTATTAACTCTTTGTAAGGTATATAACATGGAAATGTTTTCTCTCATTCTATGGTTGCTTCTTCATGCTGTTGATTTTTTCCTTTGCTGTGCAGAACTTTTTTAGTTTGATGTTGTCCTATTTGTTTATTTTTGTTTTTGTTGATTTTTGTTTTTGTTGTTCTTTCTTTTGAGGTCTTGTCTAAAAAATCCATGTCCAGACTGATATCATGTAGTGTTCACCCCCTTTTTTGTATTAATTTTATAGTTTGAGTCTTATATTTAAGAGTAGATTATTTCGAGTAGATTTTTGTATATCATGAGAGATAGGGTCAAGTTTCATTCTTTTGCATGTGGATATCCAGTTTTCCCAGCACCATTTATTTTCCCATTGTGTGTTCTTGGCAACTTTATTGAAAATCAATTGGTTGTAAATGCATGGATTTGTTTCTGAGCTTTCTATTTTGTACCATTGATCTGTGTATGTATTTTTATGCCAATATCATGCTGTTTTGGTTACTATAGATTTGATTTTAAAATTGGGTAGTGTAATGCCTACAGCTTTGTTCTTTTTGCTCAAGATTGTTTTGGCTATTTGGGGTCTTTTTTTATTTCATACAAATTTTAGGATTGTTCTTTTTTATTTCTGTGAAGAATGACACTGGAATTTTTGATAAGGACTGTATTGAATCTGTAGATTGTCTTAAGCAGTATGAACATTTAATAATATTAATCCTTCCAATTCATGAGCATCAAATATCTTTCCATTAATTTTTATCCCCTTTAACTCATTTAATCAGTTTTACAGTTTTCATTGTAGAGGTATTTTACCTCCCTGGTTAGATTTATTCATAGGTATTTATTTATTTGTAGCAACTGTAAATGGAATTACTTTCTTCTTTTCTTTCTCAGATAGTTCACCATTGGTGTATAAAAACACCACTGATTTTTTATATCAATCTTATATCCTGCATTTTTACTGTATTTGTTTATTAGTTCTAACAGGTTTTTGGTGGAGTCTTTAGAGTATTCTATGTGTAAGATTATGTCATCTGCAAATAGGGACAATTTGACTTCCTCCTCCTTTCCTATTTGGATGTATTTTATTTCTTTCTTTTGCCTAATTGCTGTAGAAAGGACTTTCACTACTATGTCAAGGAGTTGTGAAAATGGGCATCCTTGTCTTCTTCCAAATCTTAGAGGGAAAGCTTTCAATAAAAAAGAAAAAAACAGGCTAATATTGCTAATGAACATAGATGCAAAAATACTCAACAAAACACTAGCAAACAAAAGTCAATAGCACATTAAAAAGATTATTCACCATGAACAAGTAAGATCGATCCCAAGGATGCAAGAATGGTTTAATGTATGCAAATCATAAATGTAACGTATTAATAGAATAAAGAGTAAAAATCATATGACCATCTCAATAAGCCAGAAGAAGGATTTGACAAAATTTGACATCCCTTCATGATAAAACCTCTCAACAAATCAGGTACAAATCTACCTCAACATTTTAGAGCAAAAATATTGTGCAGATAATACTCCCCCACTCCCATATAATTTCCTCTATTAACATTTTGCATAGTATAGAATGATGCATTTGTTACAATTAATGAGCCAATACT